>NC_000012.12:25209650-25834650 GCF_000001405.40 Homo sapiens
ATAAGCATTTAAGGTAAAAGCTAACAGTCTGCATGGAGCAGGAAAAAAATTAGGTAATGCTAAAACAAATGCTAATAATTTAGTGTAATGTACAAAAATTACCACTTGTACTAGTATGCCTTAAGAAAAAAGTACAAATTGTATTTACATAATTACACACTTTGTCTTTGACTTCTTTTTCTTCTTTTTACCATCTTTGCTCATCTTTTCTTTATGTTTTCGAATTTCTCGAACTAATGTATAGAAGGCATCATCAACACCCTGAAATACATAAAAAGTATTAAAATGTGAATATATACGATGGCTTCATGTGTACAGGTAACAAATTTCATTAATGGAAAAAATATTAAGAAAGGATTCTTTATGTTTCTCTTCAGGCAACTGAATATATATTACATATATTAGGACTTTTAGAATTCTTAAATGTCATCCGCATAGGTGTTTTGTCAATATTATAAACAGGAACACTAATTTTCACAAAAGACAAGGATAACCAATGGCACAGAATTTTAAATAAGGTAACGACTTTTTCACAGGAGAACTTAATTTGCTACTATTTTTTCCACATTGGCAAACCTAAGTCATCAAAATCCAAATGCATGTGTGTGTGTGTACACTTAATTGTCCTTATGTTTCTGGACTTTAGATATAAGCCATGCAACTGTAAACTATGTTCATATATCTTCACACACAGTAACAGTATTTGAGCTCCAGTTCTATACTTACGTAAAATCCATTGGATTTAAAAATTTACCAAGAAGTAAACAGTATTCGAACATCCTATTCCAATAATTTATCAACAAGTAAACAGTATCTAAACATATTATTTCAGTTTTCAAATGATATATATTAAGGGATTAGTTTCAATTCATATATTTATCATTAAGAAAAAGGTTTAAAGTGACCCCAACACAGGAGAATACCACTTTAAAAAAAACACTAATACCTCAGATTTGTGGAGAAATTAGCTAAATCATTTGAAAGGTCTTATAGTTTACCAATTTGGAGGAGATTCTTTCTATCCCATAAAGTTTTAATTTCTGTTGTATTCAAAAGCTTGCCATATAAAGCCAAATATCCTGTCTTCAAAGAGTTTAACAGTTAGTCATTGTGACCACCATCTATTTATGATTAAAGCAAGGTTATTTAAATTTAATGGCTAAAAGCGATTTTAAGCCATAATACTTTTCAACCTAATAATCTACAGTGTGAAAAATGGCACTCTCAAACTGGTAGTAGATTTTAAACCTGCAGTACTTAAATTATGCAAGATCCATACACAAGTCAATTCTTGTCATGTCTCCAATTAAAAGAAAAATATAAATAAAAGCAAAAAATGAAGAAAAAATATGATTCTCTCTGTATTTTAAAGCCTGTTCAACTGAGTAGTAACTATAAAAAGAAAATCTGTTAACCTCACAATACTTCCAAACCTAGACAGCAGAGGGAGTCTTAGAAACAAATACCCAACACATTAAGTTGTATAAATCAAGCCACTTTAGGAACAATGAAAACTGGGTTTTTACTCATTGTAATCACTTTGTAGGATATTATAAACTGTGTAAATAAATGTATTAAAAAAATTATATGTGTAAAAATATTCAAGTGATATTATCTTGAAATTAATTTAAAATGTTAAGTGGGCGGGGTGCGGTGGCTCAAGCCTGTAATCCCAGCACTTTGGGAGGCCAAGACGGGTGGATCACTTGAGGTGAGGAGTTTCAGACCAGCCTGGCCAACATGGTGAAACCCTGTCTCTACTAAAAATACAAAAATTAGCTGGGTGTGGTAGCAGGTGCCTGTAATCCCAGCTACTCAGGAGGCTGAGGCAGGAGAATTGCTGAACCCGGAGAGGCGAAGTGCATTGCAGTGAGCCGAGATAGCACCACTGCACTCCAGACTGGGTGACAGAGCATGACTCTGTCTCAAAGAAAAAAAAACAAAAAATGTTAAGTGGTATTTCTCCTTTACTGTACTACTAAGATTAACGATATTTCAAAATAAATCTGGAGCATGAACAATGAAAATTAGCTACAGTTCATGAATTTTCCTAATAGATCTATAATTCAAGAAAGCGTGACCAATATTTTAAGAGAGGTAAACATAGAATGGGAATAAGAGGCTAGTCCACATTAAGCAAACAGTAGGATAAAAACCAGCATTATTTATTTGAGCACTAGTGAAAGTCTCCAATAAAGTCCCCAAACTGCACTCACTGATGTTTCCCACTCTCTAATATCATTACTGATACTACACAAACATATGCTTTTGTTTCTCCCACAGGAGAAAGGAAAAGTGGTAAGAAATAATTTATCAGCAATACAATACCATCAAGGTTTGATTACATATATGTATGTGTATGTATCCCTTCAGGCTAAACTCTTTAACACATATAGAGGGGAAAATTTCCAATGATACAATAAAAATTATTCTGTAGCTTGCCAGCACTTGACAATTTACTTGACAGTTTAGAATCATAAACCCTTAGAATGTGATAGAATCTTAAAAGAGGATCTAACTCCCTTACCCTGAATGAATAAATTCCCTCTGATCACATCCTTATGTAATCTACTCCATTTCTACTACTTTTACAATGAAGAAAAATGCCAATGGTACTAAAATGGTAAAGCAGAAAACAATGAAAAACCATGTGATGGACACAGAGAAGACACATTTTATGGTGAAAACACAGAATTTGAAAACATTACTTCCTAAGATTCTGACAAAGATTCTAGGCTTATGTTGCAATGAACTCTCCTCTCTACATCATCTTGTTAAAATTAAGTAATTTTGGCCCAGTGCAGTGGCTCACACCTACAGTCACAGCAATTTGGGAGGCTGAGGCAGGAGAACTGCTTGAGGCCAGGAGTTTGAGACCAGCCTGGGCAACACAGCAAGAACCTGTCTCTATTTTAAAAATAAATAAGTAATAAAAAAAAATTAATTAATTTCAATCGTGAAGGAAATGTCACAACCTACACAGAGCAATGAATTCTTTTTTTCTCATATGAGAACTAATCATTCTCACACATACACATAACATTATCTTTTTCAGGACTAAGAAAAGCTAATTTATATATGTTTATCATTGTCAAATTTTTATTTATGTATTTATTTCCTAAAGGTGGGGTCTCATTACGTTGCCCAGTCTGGTCTTAAACTCCTGGCCTCAAGCAGTCCTCGCGCTGTGGACTCCTAAAGTTCTGGCATTATAAGTGTGAGCCACTGTCCCTGTGCCAAAATTTTTTTATTTTTACTTTTTTTAAGAGATGGAGTCTCTTTCTGTTGCCTAGGCTACAGTGCCATGGCACCATCATAGCTCCCTTCAACCTCAAACTCCTGGGGTCAGGCAATCCTCCTGCCTCAGGCTCCCAAGCAGCTGATACTACAGGCACACACACCACAGCCAGCTTGTCAAATAAATTTTTTTTTAAATTGTATTTAATTTTAAATTTTTAATTACCAAGTATACTTCTCTTTTATATGAATTACTTCCACGTGTACTGAAAAACAAGGATTCGTCACATCAAACAATTGTGACATTCACCTACAGTCACTGTATAAAACATAATTTGCACAAATTAGAAATTTTAGAATAGTACGTGCTTAAACCTTCATTTTAAATATAAATTAGAGCATAACACTTATTTTACTCTAAACAATTCTATTTTTAAAATCATCTAATGGTGAGACAATAGGAGGAGAAAATAAAAAATTAAAACCACCACCTAAATCTGGTCATGGTACTGTTATTTAAAATGTGTAACTTTTCAAACTGTATTGTTAAATTTGCAATATTTTAGAGGTTGTGGTAAAATTTAACATGCAAAATTGCTTTAATTGCAAAATATTGCTTTACAGAATGATATTCAAAAACATTCAGAGTTCATAAATTTCAACAAAAATTAATGCCAGTCATGCTTTGTTTCTGAGTTTAGTAGATTAGTACACCACGTAGTATCTTTTGGGATTGAGTCTACTATTCAAATGTATATTTTATACTTTTGGGAAATACCTAAAATTCATGTAATAAAGAACACCAACTTGTAATAAATATAATAAATGTAGTAGTTTTTGAAAACTGTAATTTTATTGCCTATTCTTAAGAACATGATATATTACAAACAATATGCATCCAAAGCTTAAGCTCTGCCATGAACTTTATGATACCTAGTGAAGTATTTTCTGAGCAAGACAGAGTTTAATACGGGTTTAGAAACGAAAATGAGAATTCCACGCAATAAATATTTACTGGGTAGTTACTATGTCCCAGGAACCTTACTAGGCAATGGGTGTGCAAAGATTAAAAATATGTAATTCTGGCTAAGATTTTGCTGTCAAGTAATATAGGAATGAAACAGAAGAGGTTAGTTATTTCAACATAACATGGGAAGCATATAATAGTTAAGAATAGTATTCTGGGAATACACAGGAAGGGCTCCATGCCTAGTCTAAGGGTTTAAAGAAAGGTTTTTAGAGAGTAGGAGACTGGGGAATCATGAGAGTGTTAGCTAATTAGTAAGACTAGGGATAAAAATACTGGCATTCCAAACAAGAGCCAAGACTCAAGGGAAGGTAGGAAATAACATGGTATTTATTTATAGAAGAACAAAAGAAATTCAGGCAAGATGACGTTTTTAGATATAAGACCAAAAAAGAGCTGGAGTGGTGGGAAGGTAGTAAGGACTATCTGCAACACATGTGGAACATGAGATTTTATTCTATAGCTAAAATGACTTTTTTTTTTTTTTTTTGAGACAGAGTTTCGCTCTTGTTGCTCAAGCTGGAGTGCAATGGTGCATTCTCAGCTCACTGCAACCTCTGCCTCCCAGGTTCAAGCAATTCTCCTGCCTCAGCCTCCCAAGTAGCTGGGATTACAGGCACGTGCCACCACGCCCGGCTAATTTTTTGTATTTTTAGTAGAAATAGGGTTTCACCATGTTAGCCAGGCTGGTCTTGAACTCCTGACCTCAGGTGATCACCCGCCTAGGCCTCCCAAAGTGCTGGGATTACAGGCGTGAGCCACCGCGCCCGGCCAAAAATGACATTTCTTTAAAGTGTATCTCTCCGGTTTCACAATGAATGATGGCAGCAACTGGTAAACCAAATAGGAGGTTCTAACAGTCCAACAAGAAATGATAGGGGCCTGAACTAATGATGACATAAAAGACACAGAATGTAACGTCACAGGAATTTGTGGATACTTCCAAACCAGGGGGAAAAGAGGGCGGTAGGAGTCATCCTAAAATTCCCAGGTTTCTCACTGGGATAAGAAAGTGCTGTGCTGCTGATGCCACTGAGATGGCGAACTTAGGCAGAAGTTATTATTTGCTTGTAAAATATCCAAAAGAAAAAATACATTTAAGAGTGGCTTTTTCCCACCTTCTGGGCCATTCAATATTACTGCTGTCTACTATAGCTCATATCTTTTTCTCCCTACTAAAAAAAAAAAAAAAAAAAAAAAAGCTGCTGATTATCTCAAAACTTTTCCCTTAAAAATAAAGGTAAATATCAGTTTCCAAATATTTAGTTTACTTAAGACTCATTAAATCATTAGACTTTATGCCAAATATAGATTAGTCTACTACAGCCATCAAAATTGTCTCAATTATAATTAATTCCCACTAGATTAAAAATAAATGTACTAATTATGGAAACAAGTTTCTTATCTTTTAATACTTCAAGTTAGAATACTACACCTAAGTAGTTCTAAAGTGGTTGCCACCTTGTTACCTTTAAAAGACATCTGCTTTCTGCCAAAATTAATGTGCTGAACTTAAACTTACCAGATTACATTATAATGCATTTTTTAATTTTCACACAGCCAGGAGTCTTTTCTTCTTTGCTGATTTTTTTCAATCTGTATTGTCGGATCTCTCTCACCAATGTATAAAAAGCATCCTCCACTCTCTGCATTGTAAAACACAACTTCTTTAAAGTCTGTTGCATTGGTAAGAGTAATTTACTGGGAAAGCCATGTGCAAGAAGTTTGAGATTATGAGCTTGAGATTTTTTTTTTTTTAAACAGACATCAGACTGTTTGAATAAAACTGAGGATGCAGTTTTAAAATATGGGCTAGAATCCTGGTTTGTTCTTAAAAGTCAGTTTTGTTTTCTAATGGAATTAAATTTTAAAATTTTTAAATTAGGAATTAGGAGAGATTATGACAAGCCTAAACACAGGTATTAGCATCTGTTTGTCAATTAATGCAACCATTTTAGTTTGCTAGTCCTGGAATTAAAGCCTAAACTGAAGTTAGCTTTAAATTACTTCTTTGACTTAGGAAAAAAGTGATTTATATACTATCGATTCCCACACCCTCCTCCAGGGGAGAATGAGAAGAAAAATGGTAAAATATGGACGTGAAACCTTTGTTAAAAAACAACAAAAACATAAAAGAATCTCAAAGGTGAGTCAAGAAACTGGAACCTTGAGTTTTATCTTAAATTTTAACACCTTTCAGTCTATTTCCAGGGTATACAAGTGAAGCTGAGACTGGGTCTTCTGTACATGTTTAATTACATTATTAAAATCTTAAATGAGAGCTGCTTACCATAATATAAAAACATCATGAATTAAAGGACACACACAAAATAGGAGCATTTTGTATCCTTACTACAAGTTCTTTTTTTATTTTTTTGTTTTAGAGACAGGGTCTCACTGGGTTGCCCAGGATGGAGTGCAATGGCACGATCATGACTGCAGCCTCGACCTCCCAGGCTAGGTGATCCCCCTGCCTCAGCCTCTCAAATAGCTGGGACTACAGGCAAGCACCACCACACCTGACTGATTTTTGTATTTTTCGTAGAGACAGGGTTTTGCCATGTTGCCCGGGCTGGTCTCAAACTCCTGAGCACAAGTGATCCGCCCACCTTGGCCTCCTAAGGGCTGGGATTACAGCCATGAGCCACCAAACCTGGCCTTACTACAAGTCTTAAAAATAATTTTTAGAACAGTGTTCAATCATACTGGCTGTGTGCCTTCCATTCTAATTTAAATACTCTTAATAGGGTTTTTCTTGCTTAAACATAAGAGAGCTATGACAACAGGTACAATCATATATTGGCCATATGGAGATAAAAGTTTTTAATATTTTCCAATCTAGAAAATTAGGCAGTCATCAAACGGGGCAAAGTGCTTAGTTAACTGTGCTGCTAGTTTGTTCAGAAAAGCATACCATCAAAGTAGGGGCACAGAGAAATACACAGAAATATTAATCTATATATAGTGCAAATTAAAAGATGTAATATTATGTTCATTCTTCTAACAGAAAGGTGAATATTTTTTAAAGCTGGTATATTTTACTCCACATTTAATTTTAAGGGAATTCTATTCTTTTATCTTAAAATTAAGAATAAATTACCTAATTTGGGGATTGGCATACATATTTTAGCTTTCTGAGATTGGTAACATCAATGTTTCTACTGAACCAAATGTAACAAAGTGGACCTAGCACCTAAAAAGTTAATGTATCACCAGTACCATTTGCAGTTTTAAATTCAATCACACACAGAGAATTGGCAACTAAGTATTAGTTGAAGTAAACCAATGGCTAGGGCTTAATTTTTGCATGCAGAAGTCATCTGTACATCTACTGCCTACAGTAGTTAAGAAAAACACACCTCAATTCTTTAGGGCACACTAATTTTTAGAAATCTCAGAATTATATTAAGAACTGCTTTAGTAAAGTACAGAAATTTACCTCTAAAGTCAAACTTTAATTTAAATTCATAATGTTAAGTTTCAGTTCAAAGGCAGGCATTTAAGTAACGTGATTATATGTTAAAATGCGTATCTCAAGTCATTAACATATACTATCCAGTGATATATTTATATTTAACGAATAACAAAAATCATTATATTCTAAGAGCAGTCTTATCTTATTTTTAATGGAATCAATTTAGTTAACTAGTTAGCTAAGCCAACTACAAACTTTCAACTACATTCGTTGGCACTTTAAGTTAGATACCCACTTACACCTGTATATAAAAGATTTTAAGTGTCAGGTGTGGTGACTAATGCCTGTAGTACCAGCACTTTGAGAGGGCAAGAGATGCCAGGAGTTTGAGACCTCATCTCTACTAAAAATAAGATAAATTAGGCATGTTGGCATGAGCCTGAAGTCCCAGCTACTCAAAAGGCTGAGGCAGGAGGGTTGCCTGGGCCCAGGAGTTTGAGGCTTCATTGAGCTATGACTGCACCACTGCACTTCAGTCTGGGCAACAGAGCAAGACCCTGTCTCTAAAAAAATTTTTTTAATCGTTTTAAAGTTTATATTTATCATTAATCCTCAGAAGGAAAGGGTTTATTATTTTTACCTTTGTCTTGAAAAAATTATGTATCCAAAATTTTCATTAATAAGCAACATAAATAATTTAAGGCACTAAAATAACTTTGTAGCATGTAAAATGTAAAGCATGAGCTCTGTTAAGATACTTTCACAAATGGTTCTCTTTCAATTTGAAAATCAATGTAAGAAATTTAAAAATATGTGTATATATATACGCACACACACAAACCAGGTAAAAGCTCATATTTTCATAAATTTTCTAAGAATGTAAACTTCTATTTCTGTTTAAAAAAAAAAAAGTTATAATGTCAATGTAGAAGTACCAAAACATACTATGAAGGAGAAAAACAGTATTGGTCCTCTACTAATTTAGCAGAAGCAAATTTTGATTTTAACTTATTTCTAAAATCAATATGAATGTGTCTACTTTTTCAGTGACAGCATCCCCACCACCAATAGTGAAATATATGATTTTTGTTTCCAGCAATGCAGAGAGAATTGGAAGCCAATAATTAAAAAGAAGAGATTATTATCCACCACCAAGAATTCAGTGTCAGGACCTCAGTGGCTCATATAATTAACAGCACAGGGTGACTTTTACCATTTCTTATTTTTAGTAATAAGAAACTTAGGTTTTAGAGTACCAGTTATTTACCACAGTTTTTCAGACTTAGTTATTTCTTGATAATATGCTTTAAAGTCATACTGACATCAAGAGAACATGAGAACATTATCCTTGTGTACACTGTAAACCACTGGCACTGGCTCTTATTTTTAAAATGCCTACAGTATATACCTATGAAACAAAACACTAGTTTTTCACATTCCAAAATCTGTAGATAATTTTTAAAGATAAAATATAGCTGAAACAGATATTTAATACCGACTGGCTACTCATTAAGCTCTTAACTAGCACACAATAATTTTTTTGAGAATAGGACTTGTTGCCACATATACTCATTTTGTGGGGGTTTTTTGTTTTTTTTTAACTTTTTCTTTTTTTGTTTTTTTTTTTTGAGATGGAGTCTCGCTCTGCCGCCCAGGCTGGACTGCAGTGGTGCAATCTCGGCTCACTGCAACCGCCACCTCCGGGTTCAAGCGATTCTCCTGCCTCAGCCTCCTGAGTAGCTGGGACTACAGGCATGCACCACCACACCCAGCTAATTTTTGTATTTTTAGTAGAGGGGGGTTTCACCATATTGCCCAGGCTGGTCTCAAACTCCTGACCTTGTGATCCGCCTGCCTCAGCCTCCCAAAGTGCTAGGATTATAGGCATGAGCCACCGTGCCTAGCCTACTTTTGTTTTTATACACATATACTCATTTTCAAATGTCACTTATTAAACTTTAAGAACAACTGAAAATACGTAGGAACAAAAGTATACAACTTTAAATATGTAAATTTTTTAAAATCAAGAGATTGACAACATTTTCAACTCAACTATTATCTGAAAACATACTTGTGAGGCTATGGAAACAAAGCACTCCATATAGAGAAAGTACTGTTAGCCAAAGTATCATTCTAAATCTTGCTAGACTATGCTTTTACTAAGAGATTTTGTTTTAAGTAAGTTTTTGTTCCTGTTAAATCTGCAAATTCTTGCAAAACTCTGTCAAGGAAGCAACACATCAAATACCCTAACTATATACAAATGCAAGACTACCAGCCTTTTGGTGGGGAAGGGCATGGAGGAACAAGATGTATTCTAAAACCCAACTGTGCATCCCTCACTTTCTCAAGAAACCTTGCCACCCACAGCCTATCTCATGTACTATTGAAATGCAGAAAAACCACTACTTGGGAGACTACCATGGTGCACAGCAAGTGCACAGTAACTGTTCCGTCAATTTTTAACTCATAAAAAGCTATAGTTCAAAATATTGATCTCATGTACACAAACTCAACTACTATTAAACAGAGACATAGCACATAAGGAGGTTGTTTTGCAAAGCATTCTTTAACGGGGTTCTTCTAACAATTAATTTAAATATCTAGAAATTAACAACAAAACCAGGAAATGAATCACTCAACATTTTTAGGTTCGTAAAACTAATTTTCACATTATATTTAAATTGAGACCCCCAGAGAGCAGAAAAGCCGAATGAGGAGTAACAGATACCCCGAAAACTCTGCTTCTGTTATTCACCTTACTGAACCCTCCCACTTTTGATTTTAGCAGACTGGAAAACACACAATTCTCATGGTGTCAATGTTTCAATTTTGACAGCTTTTGCCAACATGGCCATGCACTGTCCAAAGGGACCAGGAAAATCTGTCAACAACCCAGATAAATGTGAACTAGGTAACAGTCCTTATACACTAGGAACATAGGGACTACACAATGTACTAGCAGAAAATAATTCTATTTGCCTTTCAGATATGGACTGAACTGAGTGTAAAGAATATGTAACGCATTATATTCTAGCCAAGTAATTAGCTTTTTAAAATTATAAGTTATTAAGTTGGTAAAAATATATACCCTGCAATTCTTATCTTAAAAAGTACAGCTGGGCACAGTGGCTCACGCCTGTAATCCCAGCACTTTGGGAGGCCGAGACGGGCAGATCACGAGGTCAAGAGATTGAGACCATATTGGCCAACATGGTGAAACCCCGTCTCTACTAAAAATACAAAAATTAGCTGGGCGTGGTGGTGTGCACCCATAGTCCCAGCTACTCAGGAGGCTGAGGCAGGAAAATCGCTTGAATCCGGGAAGCGGAGGTTGCAGTGAGCCAGGATCGCGCCACTGCACTCCAGCCTGGCAACAGTGAGACCGTCTCAAAAAAAAAAAAAATACTAGAGACCAGGCACAGTGACTCACGTCTGTAATCCCAGCACACTGGGAGGCTCAGATGGGAGGATCACTTGATGCCAGGAGTTCAAGACCAGCCTGGCCAACATGGCGAAACCCTGTCTCTACTAAAAATACAAAAATCAGTCAGGTGTGGTGGTGCGTGCCTGTAGTCCCAGCTGCTCGGGAGGCTGAGGCACAAGAATTGCTTGAACCCAGGAGGAGGAGGTTGCAATCAGCCAAGATCCCACCACTGCACTCCAGCCTGGGTGACAGAGGGAGACTCTGCCTCAAAAAAAAAAAAAAAAAAAAAAAAGAGTACTAGGGTAAAATTTCTATTTCCTTTCCATGAACTATGTTAAGTTTTACTTTAAGATTATTAAAGTTAGCCTGTAAAATACAAAAGTTTAACCTAACTTCTAGTAGCTAATCAAACACTAAAGTTACCCAGAGAATTAGGAATCAGCATATTACAGCCAATGGACCAAATGCAGCCACAGCCTTTTTTTTTTTTTTTTGAGACAGAGTCTCGCTCGGTCGTCCAGGCTGGTGTGCACTGGCTTGATCTGGGCTCACTACAGCCTCTGCCTCTCAGGTTCAAGCAATTCTACTGCCTCAGCCCCTTGAGTAGCCAGGATAACAGGCACCCGCCACCACGCCTGGCTAAGTTTTGTATTTTTAGTAGAGACGGGGTTTCAACCACGTTGGCCAGGCTGGCCTCGAACTCCTGACCTCAGGTGGTGTGCCCACCTCGGCTTCCCACCTCATTTCTGGGATTACAGGCATGAGCCACAGCATGCGGCCAGCCTATTTTTATACTATGCACAAGCTAACAACGATTTTTGCATTTTAAAGGGTCATAATTAAAAAAAAATGCAACAGATACCACTTGTGGCCCTCAAAGCCTAAAACATTTACTATCTTGGCCCTTTACAGAAAATATTTGCCAGCCTCTGATTTACATGGATGAGAACTTCTAAATGAATGTTTTGTTCCTTTAACCGGAATATAATTCTTTTTGGGTGTTTACGTGTTTTAGGCTCATGATCAAGACCCCAAAAGTTAGGGCATAAAACAACTTGCCGATAAAATACAACAAGGATATGCACACTAATTTTGTTTAAAAAACAAATAAGGGCCAGGCGCGGTGGCTCATGCCTGTAATCCCAGCACTTTGGGAGGCCGAGGCAGGTGGATCACGAGGTCAAGAGATCGAGACCATCCTGGCTAACACAGTGAAACCCGTCTCTACTAAAAATACAAAAATTTAGCAAGGCATGGTGGCGGGTGCCTGTAGTCCCAGCTACTTGGGAGGCTGAGGCAGAAGAATGGTGTGAACCCGGGAGGCGGAGCCTGCAGTGAGCCAAGATCCCACCACTGTACTCCAGCCTGGGCGACAAAGCAAGACTCCGTCTCAAAAAAAAAAAACAAGAAAGAAAGAAAAATAAATAAATAAATAAATAAATAAATAAGCTGAATAACAGATGAGTAACAAAATACTCTGCAGAAAGGAGGACTTGACATTTTCACCAGTAACTGGAGATGTAAAATTTATTAAAATTCCCATATTTCATTTTATAATCTCTACAGTTACTCGGAATAGCTCTTTAAAGTCTTCCAGAAGCATGCAAATATCAAATTAATTTCAACGGAGGAAGATTAATAAGACTTTTGAAAGGCAAATTAATTTCTAGGCAAATCAACAAGTCCATTTAATAATAAAAGGAAATCAAAGAACAGAAATTAAATATCTAATTTATAGTTTAGCAACATAAATTACATAATAACATCAGTGAAACAGGATGTAAAAGAAAGGTTGAGTGCTCTGTTAAGAAGTACAAGTATTCTTTCATACTGTATCCCTCCATTTTTAATTAGATGATCCACATAAAAATGTCTACAAATCAAATTTGTTTATCTACTTACATATTATATACCTTCAAAAAAACAAATCAAACAAAAAAACCCAAGGCCACAAAACTGTATAAAACCTAAAAATCTCTTATAAAAGGAAGCCAGATAGTTTTCTGATCAAATATGAATGCTGTGTTATATTAAAGTATTAAGGTCAAATAGCAAGAATCAATTAGTACTTCTGAGGTAGTAATCATACAACCACCAAAAAGGAGACACAGCTATTTTAGGATATTATCAAATGAGAAGTGGACAGCAACAAAGTGGGACTAACAAGACTCTTTTTATGTCCTCTACTGCTTTTCTACTCAAAGTATGGTCCAAGTACCAAGAAAAATACCACCTAGGAGTTTGTTAGAAATGCAGACTCGGTCCCCACCTAAACCTTCTGAATTAGAATCTGGATTTTAATAAGCCCAGCTGATTTGTATGCATAAGAAAATATAAGAAGCACTTCTTTACTGCAACCCCTTAAAACATTATGCAAAGTCTCTTAAATTTTTTCTTTTCTTTGTGAAATGTAAGCTAAAATGTTCAGTGGTATAAAAAGCATCTTTTAAAAGTTGTAAGTAAAGCAAATATAAAACAACAATGGTAGAATCTAGGTAGTATATTTGCAAATGTTTTAAATAAAACTCAATTTTGTATTTGAAAATGTTTCATAAGAAAATGTTGGAAGAAAAAATAATAAATATTAGAATCATGTTTTCTCAGTACCTTCTCTCCTAAGAAAAGTCAAGGAGACTGTAAAGACAGTAAAAAGAAAAACAAAAACCAAGCCTCTTCCTGGTCTTTGGAACCTGGAAATGGATTTATGTGAAATCTTAATTCCTCTAAAGTAAAGTGATATATGATATACACCAAGTTTAACCTATAAATCAGGTTTTAGTAAAATTGCCAGATAAATCTGTACAATGGTCAAACTAGAGAAATTCAGTTTTTAATCCTCCCAAAATGACTTGAAGTAGAATTTACTGTTTCTTTACTATATATCAAATTTGTATAACTAGGAAGAGGTACATATGCTCTCCTACTAGGGAAATACAACATATATATTAGCTGGATAATGATTTACATTTACATTTTTGCACCTTTATGAAATTTGATAAACTTCTAGAACGCTTGTTTTTAAATGTTTAACAATGTAAAAGTTGTTCAGCAATTTTTTTTAACTCCTAGCATTACAGAAGTTAATTTCTACAAAACTGGTTTTCTGGGCTCACAGGTAAATGTAACCAGAAAAAGCCCTAAACAAATTGATGGAATATAGATGGATCAATTTCTTAGTACAGTCATGTACCACATAATGACATTTTGGTCCACAGGAGATTGCATATGTGATAGTGGTCCCATAAGATTATAATGGAGTTTAAAAGTTCCTATTGCTTAGTGATGTTATAGCCATCCTAACACTGTAGTACGACACATTGCTCACGTGTTTGTGGTGATGCTGGTGTAAACAAACCTACTGCACTGTCAGTTGTATAATGGTATAGCACCTATATTGTTATTTTATAGTGTACTCCTCCTATTTACTAAAAAAAAAAAAAAAAAAAAAAAAAAGTTAACTATAAACAGCCTTGGATAGGTCCTTCAGGAGGTATTCCAAAAGAAGGCAATGTTATTATAGGAGATGACAGCTCCACGTGTGTTACTGCCCCTGAAGATCTTCCAGTGGGACAAGATGTGGAAGTGGAAGACAATGATATTGATGGTCCTGACCCTGTGTAGGCCTAGGTTAATGTGCATGCATGTCTTAGTTTTTAACAAAAAAGTTTAATAAGTAAAAACAAACAAAAAATTTTAAATATGGAAAAAAGCTTACAGAATAAAGATATAAGGAAAGAAAAATTTGTATAGCTGTATAATGTGTGTTTTAAGCTGTATTACAAAAGTCAAAATGTTAGGAAAAATTAAAAAGTTTAAAAAGTTACAGTAAAGTAAGGTTAATTTATTATTGAACAGAAATTTAAAAAAATATATAAACTTAGGGTAGCCCAAGTGTAGGTTTAGACACACAAAACTTACCATTGTGTTAACAATTGCCTTATAGTCATTAGTACAGTTACATACTGTACAGGTTTGTATCCCTGGGGCAAGAGACTATACTACATATCCCAGGTGTATAGTAGGTTATACTACCAAGGTTTGTGTAAGTATATTCTATGATGTTTGCACAATGACAAAATCACCTAACAATGTATTTCTTAGAAAGTATCCCTGTCATTAAGAGACATATGACTACATATAACAATTAATTCCTTCCTATCTTTATGTATTCATTTCCTATATGTTAAACTCTTCATACAAACAGGTTAAATAATAGCAACTGAAATTATTTTATTTTACCTGAAGAAAAAGTCATTTTTAAAACAAAGATGATTTTTGAAACAAAATTCAGGTTCTCTCTGGCAATAATTTTTGTCAGAAAAATGCATTAAATGAGTAACAGAATTTCTGTTGGCTTTCTGGGTATTGTCTTTCTTTAATGAGACCTTTCTCCAGAAATAAACACATCCTCAAAAAAATTCTGCCAAAGTAAAATTCTTCAAATACAACAACGTTTAACCTAGAAACATGACATAATGGTTTAAAAGTACTACCGAAATAGAAAACGCAAAAATTTGTTGCCCTGTTCTTTATATATATATATATATATATATATATATATATATATATATATATATATGTAACCATGGGAAAAAAAAATCCCCACCTCTTGAATTCTAAATGTTAACATGTGCTCAGAATTGAAGAGAAATTTTCAATGTAGAAAGAAACCAAAGCCAAAAGCAGTACCATGGACACTGGATTAAGAAGCAATGCCCTCTCAAGAGACAAAAACATTTACTAAATATTGTTTTATTTCCTAGTATAGCATAATTGAGAGAAAAACTGATATATTAAATGACATAACAGTTATGATTTTGCAGAAAACAGATCTGTATTTATTTCAGTGTTACTTACCTGTCTTGTCTTTGCTGATGTTTCAATAAAAGGAATTCCATAACTTCTTGCTAAGTCCTGAGCCTGTTTTGTGTCTACTGTTCTAGAAGGCAAATCACATTTATTTCCTACTAGGACCATAGGTACATCTTCAGAGTCCTTAACTCTTTTAATTTGTTCTCTGGGAAAGAAAAAAAAGTTATAGCACAGTCATTAGTAACACAAATATCTTTCAAAACCTGTCCACAACTTTTGTCATAAAATTTGGCTGAAAGAAAACAATGTAATTCCTAGTTTCCACTACACCAAATTTTCCTTCCTTCTTCTACTAGTTATTTTGTTTCTTTACCTTTTTAAACAGAAACCTTGTATCTCTCTCAAAAGATCAAATACCTAGAAGTATAGTAAAACTATAACCTAATAGGTTAATATGCAGGTAGATCATAATAGTAAAACAGAAACTACTGAAAAATTCTAGACCCAAAGTGCTATATAACAGACTATAATTTTAGAAACGTATGTTAAATGTGTAAAGATAAAAAATATTTTACAAAAACCTGAATTAAAGCATTAACATAATTTTCATATTACTTTTTCAAAAAACAAAGTGGACAACTAGAAAGATTTTGATTTCTAGGTAGGCAACACTGAAGTTACTACACCACTTATTCCATTAAAAGCCCTTCTACATGTTAATCATTTTCAATATAACAAGTGCATAAACTCTAAATTTGGGGTGAAATTACATTCCCTCACAATTTTAGGTGACTTTCAAAGACACAGCACAAAAGAAGGAGCAGAGCAGACAACAGAGTCAGAATTGGCTCAAATTCCCGGTTCCGAACACCATTAGCTGGGTAAACTTGGATAATAGAGCTGAAATTTGGTAACTCCTCTATAAAAATACTACCACTACCACCCACCCAAATGTCTTTTCCTCTATTACTAGACTATACAGTAAACATGCTGTAACAATGTTCTTAAATAAAATGTTAAACTTCTTATAACTAGGCTAACTCGTTATTATATGACATAGCCACTGAGTGATTCATTTGCTTAATATGTAGTTTTTGGAAAACTAAACCCTCAAAGAAATAGAATATAAAATAGTATAATAATGATTATTTTAATAGTTTTATGCAGCTTTGTCAGATTTAAGAGAACTGTAATGCCCAAATTCTTCAATCTTTCAAAACTTTTATTTTTTAAAATATATAATGCCACTGTTTATCCAATCCAAGCAATTCTATGCTATACACACGATTGCTTTTAAGACTGTTAAAGTGACACCATCTCAAATCATCTTTTCATATTCTTTTTTATGGTTTTCTTTTTTAATGATGTATCTAAAAAGTTTAAAGTCTTGCTTTTGTAGAATAGTCAAGAGTACAGAAGGCTGTGGAGTCAAACAGGCCTAGGTTTCAATCCCAGCACCACCACTACCGATGCAGTCTGGAGCAAGTTACTCCACTGCTCTAATCCCCCAAGAACTTCATTTATAAAACAGGGATATTACCTACCTCATAAACATTATTTAAAAATTTTTATTAAATATTATATGCATGGCATTAGCAAAGACTCAAAAAATAAAAACTATAATTACTCCTTAATGTCAGCTTATTATATTCAATTTAAACCCACCTATAATGGTGAATATCTTCAAATGATTTAGTATTATTTATGGCAAATACACAAAGAAAGCCCTCCCCAGTCCTCATGTACTGGTCCCTCATTGCACTGTACTCCTCTTGACCTGCTGTGTCGAGAATATCCAAGAGACAGGTTTCTCCATCAATTACTACTTGCTTCCTGTAGGAATCCTGAGAAGGGAGAAACACAGTCTGGATTATTACAGTGCACCTTTTACTTCAAAAAAGGTGTTATATACAACTCAACAACAAAAAATTCAATTTAAAAATGGGCAAAGGACTTGAAAAGACATTGTTCCTGCTCCAAAGATGACGGACAAATGGCCACTAAGCACCTGAAAAGATGCTCAACATCATCAATAGTCAGGAAAATAAAATCAAAACCATGAGATGCTACCACATACCCATTAGGATTGGCTATTATTAAAAAAACAAAACAAAAAAACTCAAAAAATGGAAAATAAGTGTTAGCAAGGATACAGACACTGAAATCTTTGTGCATTGCTGGTGGGAATGTAAAATGGTGATGCCATTGTGGAAAACAGTGGTAGTTCCTCAAAAAGTTAAACACAGAATTACCATATGATCAGCAATTCCATTCCTAGGTATATAACCAAAATAACTAAAAACAGGGACTCAAACAGATACATGTACACCAATGTTCGCAGCAGCACTATTTATAATACCCAAAATGTGGAAATAACTTAAGTGTCTGTTAACAGATGAATGGATAAACAAAATGTAGTATATACATACAGTGGAACATTATTCAGCCATAAAAAGGAATAAAATTTCATATAGGTTGAGCATTAATGCAGGTTAATCCAAAAATCTGAAATCCAAAATGCTCCAAAACCTGTAACTTTTAGAGCCTGACATGATGCTAAAAGGAAATGCTCACTGGAGCATTTGATTTTGGATTTTTTTTTCTTTCATCTTTTTTTTTTTTTTTTTTTTTTTGGAGAGATAGGGTCTTGTGTTGCTCAGGCTGGTTGAACTCCTGGGCTCAAGCGATCCTCCTGCCTTGGCCACCCAACGTGTTGGGATTACAAGCATGAGCCACTGAGCTCCATCTGATTTTGGATTTTTGGACGAGGGATGCTGAACCAGTTAAGTATCTATGAATATTCCAAAATCCAAAAAAAAAATCTGAAATCCAAACCACTTCTGGTCACAACCATTTTGGATAACGGATGCTTCAACCTGTATATACATGCTACAACACAGATGAACCTTGAAAACATTATGCTAAATGAAGTAAGCCAACACAAAAGGACAAATACCACATAATTCCACTTATATGAGGAACCTAAAATAGGCAAATTCAAAAAGACGAAAAGTAGACTACAGATTACCAGGGGCTGGGGGAGGGAGGATTACTGGGGACTATTTGACAGGTACAGAATTCTAATTTGGGATGATAAAAAAAAGTTCTCAAAACAGATAGTGCTAATGGTTAGACAACATGGTGATGGTTGCACAACATTATGAACACACTTAAGGTCACTGAATTGAACACTTAAAATTAACTACCATGGTCTAGGCGCGGTGGCTCACACTTGCAATCCCAACACTTTGGGAGGCCGAGGTGGGCGGATCATGAGGTCAGGAGATCAAGAACATCCTGGCCAACATGGTGAAACCCCATCTCTATTAAAATACAAAATATTAGCCGGGCGTGGTGGCGGGCGCCTGTAGTCCCAGCTACTCAGGAGGCTGAGGCAGGGGAATTGCTTGAACCCGGGAGGCGGAGGTTGCAGTGAGCCAAGATCGCTCCACTGCACTCCAGCCTGGCAACAGAGCAAGGCTCCGTCTCAAAAAAACAAAAACAAAACAAATGAAAGAAAACTACCATGGTAAACTTTATGTTATGCATATTTTACCACAAAAAAAAATTTTTTAAAGGTATTATATGGAGAGTCAACAATGCAAGTGTACATGCTGGTAACAAAAAGTTATTGACAAAACAAAATAATTTCAAAAATGGGATAGCTCTACCAACTCTATTATTCAAGATGATTTAAATGACAAGAAAAATCAATCAACTTATAAATAATTGTCATGCATCTATTTTATCTATAGTCAAAGGCACACATAAGGAAATGGGCAATACTCAAGATTCTAATGGCCTCATCCACTTCTGAAAACTGTGGAAAAATAATCTAACAGCCAGATGGATATCTCTAAAGAGCAATATTGTTTCATCTGCAAATCCTGAGGGGCCTCTTTTTTCTTTTCTAAAAAGAGAGAGAACTGCAACTATAAGATTAAGTAAAAGAAGGGAGTGGGTAACTTTAACAGAATCTTGAAATAAAAATCTGATTTTCTTCTGACTTTTGGGTAATACTTCTGCTCAAGATTTCACACATTCTGCCAAAACAGTCCTCAAAAAATATGGTAAAGGGATGTTACAATGTGAAGCCATGAAATCATGAAATAAGAAGCAGGGCTAACAACAGGTATAAAGCATAAACATAAAAGCAATTATTTTCTTAATGTTCCACATGTAGGCTATAGTATTAATGTATCTTTTTTTTTTTTTTTTGAGATGGAGTCTCGCTCTGTCGCCCAGGCTGGAGTGCTGTGGTGCAATCTCGGCTCACTACAACCTCTGCCTCCTGGGCTCGAGTGATTCTCCTGCCTCAGCCTCTTGAGTAGCTGGGATTCTAGGTGCACGCCACCACGCCCGGCTAATTTTTGTACTGTTTTTTTAGTAGAGATGGGGTTTCACCATGTTAGTCAGGCTGGTCTCTAACTCCTGACCTCGTGATCTGCACGCCTCAGCCTCTCAAAGTGCTGGGATTACAGGCATGAGCCACTGCGCCCAGCCTCTAAAGTATGTTTAGTTTATGAATTACTCTGTAGACCATTCTATCAGAGGGAGAAAGAGAGAAAGAATGGTCATTACAAATGTTGTTAGTAAAGTATTTCAAAATGTTTACAGTATAAGGAGAATATAAAGATGTCTAAGTGCAGCATGATCACAATAATATGTGTTTATGTATTTATACAAATCTACTATGTGTTTAAAAACTGGTAATATATACATCAAAATGTTATAAAGGTTATGTCTTTAATGGAGATAATTTAAAAGACATTTATCTTGGCCGGGTGCGATGGCTCATGTCTGTAATCCCAGCACTTTGGGAGGCCAAGGTGGGCAGATCACCTGAGGTCGGGAGTTTGAGATCAGCCTGACCAACACGGAGAAACCCCATCTCTACTAAACATACAAAATTACCTGGGCCTGGTGGTGCATGACTGTAATCCCAGCTACTCGGGAGGCTGAGGCAGGAGAATCACTTGAACCCGGGAGGTGGAGGTTACGGTGAGCTGAGATTGTGCCATTGCACTCCAGCCTGGGCAACAACAGCAAAACTCTGTCCCAAAAAAGACATTTATCTCTTGCTTATCTCTTTTCTTTGTACTAGATGCTATGTTAAATGTTTTTCTTTGGTTTTCAATTTTTTAAAGTATGAAAACCTACATATTAGACTATAATTTTGTGCTTATCTTTTAAAGCATATGGTATTTTCCAAACCATCTGTAATAAAAATTAATTATCTCACCAGTCAGAAAAAAAAGATGGATATTTATTTTCTAAATAAGAGGCTCTTTAGTAGAGATTTGAGCATTCAGTTGACATTTACTTAATTTAGCCTATTCTCTTATTAAATACTTGAAAGAACTCCTATAGATCACAAATTAAAAACCATTCTAAAGAGTAATGAAAAAGCAGGAGGTGGGAGCAAAGCACAGAGTCTTAGAGTCAACCCATTACCCAGGCATGGCTACAGAGCATGTAAAGCTGACCAAAGACTCTTCCTACCTATTGCTGCCACCTCACATTCTTTTTTTTTTTTTTTTTTTTTTTTTTTGAGATGGAGTCTTGCTCTGTTGCCTAGGCTGGAGGGCAGTGACACGATCTCGAGTCACTGCAACCTCCGCCTCCCAGGTTCAAGCGATTCTCCTACCTCAGCCTCCTGAGTAGCTGGGACTACTGGCACGTGCCACTGTGTCCAGCTAATTTTTGTATTTTTAGTACAGATTGGCCAGGCTGGTCTTCAACTCCTGACCTCAGGTGATCCGCCTCGGCCTCCCAAAGTGCTGGGATTACAGGCGTCAACCATCGCGCCCAGCCTGTCACCTCACATTCTTTACTTACCAATGTAGGCTGAGTATCCCTACTCTGAAAAACCAAAATCCAAAAATACTTCTAGGTCCTAAGCATTTCAGATAAAGAATAGTCAACCTGTAATGTGGGATATTAGTAGTTTATGTACATATTTCATAAGATGCTTCCATGGTGAATACACCAGTGCGACCGAGAAACTGGGAAAGCAGTCCCCTATTCACTGATAAATCTCATTCCTATTATCTTTTCCCTACCAGACCTTAAAAATATCGATAGCAAAGTTCTGAGACACATTCCGTTTCAAAGTAATCTATAACCTACTCATAAATAATACTGTTGATTAGAAATAAAAGGTTTAGGTTAAAAATTCAGTATTTTTAGAGTTAATTTTAACTAGGGTCCTCACTCTTAGAAGTGCAATTAGTCACTGAGCTATTTTCAGTGCAACTTGGTAAAAACTAAAGAAGAAAAAGTGTTAAATGAAATACGATCTAAAAAGAATGGATAAATATAAAGAGAAAACAAACGCAACAAAAATTATATATTAATAAAGATTCTGTTCCAACTTCAGGTCAGGCCATAAGAAACAGTCATCCCTGGTATACACACGGCATTGGTTCCAAGACCCCCCCAGCCTCTAGTCCTACAGTTGGCCCAGGAACATCCAGGTATATGAAAAGTCAGCCCTCCATATCTGCATTTGGTTGGGAAAAAAACGTGTATCACAAGTGGACCCATGGTCACTCAAACGCATGTTGTTCAAGGGTCAACTGTATTTGGAGGAAGAAAAAAAAATATGCATCAATGTAGACTCTTTCAAAAAATTTAGAGTCTAAATAAGGTTTCAGCAAGCTACTGCCCACAGGCCAAATCTTGCCCACTGTTTTTGTATTGCCCATTAGCTAGGAATAGTTAAATAGCTGTTTAAAAAAACAAAAACAAAAACCCAAGACTTTGTGACAAAGACCCATATGGCCCTTTATAGAAAAGTTTGCCAACTCCTGCTGTAAGTTAATAACTCTTCACATTATTTGAAGTATTCTCAACAAATATTATTTATTCTCTTTATATATTTTTTTAAATTTACCACTCTGAGAAAGTACTGGTTATGAAAACCCATCTGATTTTAAAACACAGAGATTCTGTAATGAAACTAGTTAATAATGGAGCAAAGACAAGGATGAAGGTGTTACGTTTTTAATTAGTATTTCCAGCCTTTCAAAAAAGTAAACTTTTAAATTAGGTACATAAGTTACCAAGGTTACTAATTTGTAGCCTTAGGAAACTACGATAAAATAAAGTAACTTAAACTAACTCACAATAAAATATTAAATGAAGGAAAGTTATTCCCCATAGTCCCCCCACTCCCAGCTAAAATATTATTTTTTCCATCTACATAGTAAAAAATTTTTCTAAATGAAATGTACTATACTGGCAAGACTGAATTGTAGACAGAATTCAAACATTTCTGGTGACATAATAAGCACAATATTTTTGGAAAGCAATTACAGTATTTATCTAAAGTCATTCAAATGTTCATAGCCTTTGACATAGTAATGTTACTATGGGAAATTATGCTAAGAAAATATGTGGTTTTTTTTTAAATGACAGTTATAAAGAGATTCTTAACATGGCATCCTAAAATGTCTTACAAAGAAAATTTACTTAAGCATTTAAAACTGACCCATAATCTTGCACCATTTACCTATCTTCAAAATATATCCTACATCCAACCACCTACCACCACCACCACCACCATCCCCCTAGTCCATGATAACTATTTTGTCTCAGGCAATCTGCAGCAATTGCTTCCTAGCAGGTATCCCTGCTGTTAATCTCACAATATAGTCTCCACACAGCAGCAAGTGATAGTTTATAAATGTAGGTTAGGGCTAGGCACCATGGGCTAGGCACCTATAATCCCAACACCTTGGGAGGCCGAGACAGGTGGATCACCTGAGGTCAAGAGTTCAAGACCAGCCTGGCCAACATGGTAAAATCCCATCAAAAATACAAAAAATACAAAAAAAAATTAGGTGTGGTAGTGTGTACCTGTAGTCCCAGCTATTTGGGGAGCTCAGGTGGGAGGACTGCTTGAGCCAGGAAGGAAGAAAATGAATGAATGAATGAATGAACGAAGGTAGGTTAGATCATGTCATTCACTTGCTCAAAGTCCTCCAATAGCACTCTTCGGTCTTAAAAATAAAAATGCAAAGCACTCTTCCTTCTCTGGTACCTCCTATGTTTCCTTCATAGCATGTATTATAATTTGTAATTATGTATTTACTTGTGAAATTGTTTAAGTCTATATCCTCTACTAGGCTTTAAACTCCGTGTTGGTAGGGCTCACGCCTGTTGTACTCACCACTACACACCCTCTACCTAACAGTCTTGAACGCTATAGGTAATTAGTACTGCCTCTTAAATAAGTGAATGAATCCATTTGATGTAAATATATGCAGATACTAAAAAATGAATGGAAATTTTATTAGAATTAAGCAGTTAACATAAATACAATTTAACAGATTTTTCAATTATATAATACAAATCCTTCTCAAATATTCTGAAGATACTACATATTTGAAATGAATGTTCACGACAAATGCCCCACTTTCAATGTAACAGTGTGCAAAGGCAGATTTTTTAATCTTTCAACAATTTGTTTTAAAATCTATGTTTCAATGTTCTCTTAGAAAAACAAGCACATGTTTAAGATACCATAAATTTTATCAAGACAATGAAGCTGTTAATTTTTAAATTACAATATATATTAAGAATAATTTAATAAATTTTACCTTCAATTAAATTTTATATAATATGTAAAGTTTTATGTAAAAATACAACCAAAACAATACACACAGAGATTTTAACACATTTATGGGAGGGAAGAAAATAAGACTAGGGAAAAGAATGCAGGAGTCTTCAACAATATTAACTTTTCTATCTTGGAAAAAAGAAAGAGCTAAATCAAATGTTGCTAAATGTTAAGATATGAAAGAGCTGGTTGGTACACACATGAGGTTCATTATACTACTATTCTATAAAGCACTAAGAGTGCACCCATTTTATCATTACTTAAAATGGATTTCATATTTTTAAATTTTTGTTGGTTTGATAAGCTACACATTTTTATTGTTTTCATACCAATTTCTTTGAGGAGTAATAATGTTATATAGGTTTTTTTTCTTATCTGCATATTTATCGCCAACGTGTGTCCTTTGCCCATGTGGAATTTTAATCTTCTTTTACACTGACTTGCATAATTTTTTTAATGAAGTGTTTCCTGGTTTATTAAATGCCTTTATTTTGAGGAATTTAAAAGCTAACTCATTCAAGATAAGATAACCTCATTAACCAGAACATCAAGTTTGTCATTTTTCCATTATAATTAATAACTAAATTATTCAGTGTGTTCACCTTTTAACATACTCGAGTATGGGTTTTCCAACTCAGGCAGTGACTCTGACACAGAGACATATTCCATGTATCAAAACAAAACAATATATACATTCCAAGTATAGATTTTGTTTACTATATTGTAGTAAACAAAAAACCTAAAGAAACTAATAACTTTTACTAAAGGTAATCATATTACTATTAATAGTAATTACAGCAGTCAACATTTACTGAGCCCTTACTTATATGCCAGATACTGTCATAAGCATATTACAAACATCATCTCATTTAATCTCCATCTTCATTCTGCCAATTCCATGAGATGCTCTTCTCAATATAACTAGAACTGCTGAAAATGTCAATAATGTATTACTCGGGGATTTCCTCTTGAAATTGTATGTTTTCTTAATGTATTAAGTATTGTAAGGACTTTTTACATACTGCTTAATAACACCTGTAGGAAAAGATGAGAAACTTTTACTCAATTAATGCTCAAGTACTTTACGTTACTCTTCCGAAAGGTTATTTAAATTCACTGTAGAATGATGTGTTCCGCACTTTCCGTTTATAAGCCATCAAAGACGGTTGTAGACTGTCAGAATTATAATAGGGAAGAAACAGGGAATTTAGGGTATGTAAACAGAGGTTGATGAGTTCATTCCCATCTACCCACATCAGTCTCCCTTGTATCATAGAAACACTTATTGAAAATCTAGGTGTCACATTCCGTGTCACACATTATATAGTTTCTGACCTCAAGCAACTAAGGTGAGTGGAAGAGACATGAACGTAAATAAATAATTAAAATAAAATGAATGTAACACCATATGCAAGACGAAGTACAATGGTGGCACACAGGAGAGATCAACTTTGTATGCATTAAGAAAGACGGGGAGGGGAAGGACATTCCAAGCAGGAAGGAGCAAACAGAATGTAAAAAACATAGAACAGCATGTTGAGGACACAGAACCAAGGAGCTCCATATAACTTTAGCTTAGAACAGCGGTCCCCAACTTTTCCGGCATCAGGGACCAGTTTCGTGGAAGACAATTTTTCCAAGGACCGAGTTGGGGGTGATTTCAGGATGAAACTGTTTCACCTCAGACCATCAAGCATTAGTTAGATTCTCCTAAGGAGTATGCAACCTAGATCCTTGCATGGGCAGTTCACAACACGGTTCACGCTCCTATTAGAATCTAATGCTGCCGATCTGACAGGAGCTAAGGCAAGTAATGCTCACCTCCTTCCGGCTGTGCAGCCCAGTTCCTCACAGGCCACACAGGTGGGTACCAGTCCGCAGTCCAGGGTTTGGGGATCTCAAAGGCTTAGAGGATCTCTAAGGCTTAGAGGCCTTAGAATAAGCACCAAGAAGTGAAACTGGACAATCAAGCAGGGGCCAGCTTACGGAGGGTCATGTGTATATTAAGTAAGGAGTTTTAAACTTCATCCTATACAAAATCACTAAAAGGTTTTTAAAATAGGAAGGGAGATCAGATTCATTACTAGCATTATCATGACAAATTATAGAAAGGGACAAAATGTTTTGGCCCTTCCCAGACACTGACTCATCATACCCACTCAGATTCACCAGTAGCAGCCAAAGGCACCTCTGCAGGGATTAAGCCTCAGCGACAAGGGGCCCCTCCTCTGAGCTTCCAGTTCTGATAAACCCCAAATCTTCCCAGCATTCCCTGAATCTTAGGAGTAGTGCCCATTCTTGATGTTACTGTGTTACTTCAGTGTTTTTTTGCCTTTCAGTCTTCCAACACCTAATTAGTTCTCTGTGCTGAAATATCTAGTATGGTTTCTGCTTTCTGAACTAGACTTTTGACTTCTATAAATGTTAAAAATGGGTGGAAATAAGAGAGAGAAGAAGGGGGAGGGAGGGAGAGAGGGGAGCAGAGACTGGGAGATGAGCTACGAATTATTACAAGAAATGACAAAATCTGAACTAAGGCAGCAACAGCAGTATGGACCGAAAAGATTAAATAGATTTGAGAAATACTTAGGTAAAATTGTTGGTAGGAATGTAAACAGTACAATCACTACCAAAACCACTTGGCAGTTCCTCAAAAAGTCAAAGACAGAGCTACCATATAACCCAGCAACTGTACCTTAGATATACACCCGAGAGAAGTGAAAACATATGGTCACACAAAAACGTGTACATAAATGTTTATAGTGGCATTATTCAAAATTGCCAAAAAGAGGAAATCACTCAAATGCCCATCAAATGAACAGATAAACAAAATAAGGTATATCCATATAACAGAGTATTATTCAGCCAGAAAAAGGAATGAAGGAATGATCAACAAGCAAAAACATAGACGAACTCTGAAAATATCATCCTGTGTGGAGGATGCCAGACACAAAAGGCCACGTCTGTACGATTCTCTTTATATGAAATAATCAGAGTGGACAAATCCACAGAGATGGAAAAATTAGCAGTTTTTAGAGGCTGGTGGGAGAAGGGATTGGGGAGTGGCTGCTAATGGATGTGGGACTTTTGGGGTGATAATAACATTCTGGAATTAGTAGTAATGACTGCACAACCCTTGTGAATATACTAAAAACCATGTACACTTGAAAAGTGTAAATTGTATGCTATGTGAATACATTTCAATTTTTTAAAATAACAGAGCTTACCGACAGGGGATGAGTACAAAGGGGAGGGCGAAGGAAAAGATGAGTGATATTGGGCATGTTGAATTCCCTGTACTCATGGGTTGTCCTGGTGGATATGACCTGCAGGCATCTTGATATACATACATGTCTGGTGCTCAGGACAGAAGTCCAGGCTAGAGATAGACTTGGGAGTCTTCGATCCATGGACAGCCGAAGAACTTCACTTATTTGTGCTATGGGCTTGGGCAAACTACTTTATCTCACATCTTCTCTAAGCTATTGTTCCTTCAGCTGTGAAAGTAGGTAAAACTGCATACAGGACTTTATACATAGATTAATATTAAAGACCATGAAAATCTCTTTATAAAATGAAAAGTGCTATAAAAAGTTAACTGCATTATTTTATATACTACACGCAGGCCAAAAAGTAGGGGCAGGCCACTGGCTACTGAGAACTGTTCAGAAACAGTATCTTCTCCTTACAAAATCACTGGGCACCTACAGTTGAAATAATTTTGCAAAACTGGTCACCATATTTCAAAATAAATATAATGGAGCTGGACAAATCACAGGGAAGGATAGCTACAACTGAAGGCTATGAAGGATTTCTGTTTTGATTAGGGAGTGAAGATGTTAAAGAGCTTATTTTCATGGCAGAATTTTCAATTAAAAACTAAGACATTCACTAAAAGTAAGGATAAAGAAAACAAAGACTTCTTTACTAAATGCTGGATACTTAAAATTATAAGAATGGTGAACATTAGCTTAGTACTAGAGAGAATTAAGTGTGTACTACTCCCAAGAGAAAAAACTAGTTCAAAAATCTGAATGAACTCAAGGAAAATTTATATGACAAATTTTGAAAATAACGATATAATGAGCATACATGTGTAACCTGTTCAAGTCAGATGGCATTTGCCCACAAGTGATCACTTGAAGTCCAGGTAAGAATGAGAGGCTGGAATGACCGTGGATCCAATCTTAATGCCAATATAATGTTCATATTTTATATTATATACCTCTCATATTATTTATTTAGCCTTAATAGCAATTTCCTTAATCCAAGACTACATGTGAATTATGTAATTTATTGAGGCTTGAAAAATAAGCATGAAATAATCTAACGGTATCTGAAACTTTAGTGCCCTTTTCTCTCTCCAAAACGAGTATTTACTTTTCCCCCAGCCCAATGGTATAAGCTTATTTTAAAAAACTAAAACACAACAAAGGATGAGGGAGTAATTTTGTTTCTAGATGAAATCATACTCAACACAAGGTGCTGTGACCCAGCTTCACTTACATAATGGACATTTTTGAACATCAGTATATCTAAATCTACCTAATATTTCCAACAACTATGTAATTTGTATATATGGACATACCATAATTTATTCACCCATTCTCTATTGGTAGACATGAAGATGATTTCCATTTTTTTAAAATCATAAACAACACTGCAGTAAACATTCTTATATATACATCTTAAACATTTATCCAATTAAATCCTTGGATAAATTTCAAGAAGTTGAATTACCTGGTCAAAGGACATGTAGTTTACATTTTGAAACATATTTCCAGACTGACCTCCATAAAGTCTGAGGGTCTATACTCCCACTACAGTGCAAGGCGCACACTTCTCCATACCCTTCCTAGCAGTTATCATTTTAACCTTAGCCAATATGAAAGTACAGAAATGTTATTTATTGTTTGAACTTGCATCACATTCATGAAGTAAGTGTCTTTTTATATGTTCATGTTATTTATTTTATTTCTTTTTTGGTAGACAAGCTATTTATATCTTTAGTACCCCCCATCCCTTTTTTTCTATTTGTGTGTTTGCTTTTCTCTAATTCATATATAAGATAGCTTCCTGTTACTTGAACCAAATGGTTTTTCTAGGTTTTCATTTGTCTTCTATCTTTGTTAAAGAAAACTTAATTTTTATGCAGCCAGATAGCTCAGTTTTTTCCCAAATGTTTGCCTTAATGGTTTAAGGATACTCTGATGATGAGAAAGGAGTCTCACTTTTCTCAAGGGTGAAAAATATTTATCCAAATTCCACAAATAAGGAAACCTAAAGTTAAATCACTCAATCTATGTTACTTAGATAACACTGCAAGATCCATAATTTAAGAATGACATTATCATTTTTATTTCACAAGTGTATAGTTTAGCATTAAAATTTACACAAGGAGAAACAGGGTAGAACCAGGGTTCTCACTGCGGGAGAAAGAAGGTGAAAAATAGTTAACTCTTGATTTCTTAGTAACATGCATTTCTAAGCTCTGTGCCTTGAAAACGGTCTAGAAGCAGTGACACTGCTGAGGCGGGCAGATCACGAGGTCAGGAGTTCGAGACTAGCCTGGCCAACATGGTGAAACCCCGTCTCTACTAAAAATACAAAAAGTAATTGGGTGTGGTGGTGCATGCCTGTAATACCAGCTACCCAGGAGGCTGAGGCAGGAGAATGGCTGGAACCCAGGAGGTGGAGGCTGCAGTGAGCCAAGATCGCGCCACTGCACTCCAGCCTGGGCAACAGAGCGAGACTCCATCTCAAAAACAAAAAAAAAAATTAATAGAAATAGTGAAAATAAAATATTTGAAAGGATTAAGGAGGGACACACTACCTACCTTACTTTTTTCAATGTTTTATTTTGAAAAAATTTCAAACCTATAGAAAAGTAGTAAAAAATAGTACAGCGAATAGCCTCAGCCTCCCAAAGTGCTAAGATTACAGGCATGAGCCACCATATCTGGCTTATTTCTACTAATTTCTATATTAAGATCCCAATAATTTAACTGTTCCATAACCTACACATTATGAAATAATAATGGTTAAGAGACGCCAGAAATGTAATGCTCTTAAGTATAAAGCCTCTAAATTAAGTCATATATAATTAGCATGATTGCCTAGAAACACTGCTCTTCAAAATAAAGTGGGCCATCCATATCCATGGGTACTGCATCTACAGATTCAACCAATTATGGATAAAAGATATTCTGAGGAAAAAAATCCATGAAGTTCCGAAAAGTAAAACTTGAATTTGCCATGTACTGAGTACTACGTTGAACCCACATGAATGAACTGATGTGCAGGCATTGTAATAGGTATTACAAGAAATCTAGAGATACCTAAAACTAATAAGCTCCATGAAGGCAGGAATCTGGTCTGTTTTGCGCCTCAGTGTATCTCTAGCCCACAGGAAGACTGCATGGTACAAAGTGGGCAGTGAAGAACATTTCTAGGATTAAGGAATTAGTTGTATTGTTAAAACCAGAATCTTAGGAGATTCCAAACCATAAAATCATTTTTTCCTTTCACTTAATTCCATTACCAACTTCCATTTGTATGTTTTTAAATCTTTGGATTTATAAAAACCCAAGGTAGAAAAAAACCATGACCAGTAAAGTTTTATATTCAGGTCTTAATAAATACTTATTCTTAATTTGACCTAAATACAGTACCTGAGTTTTCTGTTTATTCTAAAAATCAGGTGCTCACAACTATTCTACAGTCCTATAAAACTCTACAAAATGTGCACTTTCACAATTTGCCACTTCTGAATAGGACCCTCCTATCATCCCCTGTAACACACCACCAAGCCTTGGACTCCATTAAGCAGCTCCTGAGTGCATGCAAAGAAGCTCAGAGAGCCACACTGCTGCCTTTTAGTCCCTTCAACAAAGTAAGCTCAGTAAGTGTTAACAACTGAACCACCCTATTTTCTTATATACTGCCTCGTTTCCTTTCTTAGTTCACTATACTCACCTACTTAGTTAGGCCTAACTAATACAGACAGTAATCTTTATATTAATATTAGCAGAGAGCAAAAATGATACGAAATCAATCATATAAGACTTTTAAATAAAACGAATATATTTATAAATTGATGCCACCCATAATTTAAACAGCGAAACTACACAAACTTAGGATTTCACTGTTACTTGTTATAAAGCAAATAATTTGACCAGTAGAGGGCACTCACAAAAGTGGGGAGAGCTTCACAGCCTTGAAGAGAAATGATTTATAAAATTGCTGTGTGTCTCTGATTTTAAAAACAGAATGTTTTAATAGAAGACTGGAGTAAGCTAACATATCATTAACGTACAAAAGTTAAAGTTTAAATCTTTGTTATACTTGAAAATCTAACATAAACCTTATGTCAGGGACATGAATTTGACAATTTAAAGGATGTTTAAAGCTACAGGTTAACATATCAAGGTTTGGATCTTAACACCATTGAGGTTTGGGGTCAGATAACCCTGTTGTGGGGGCTTTCCCGTGCACTGCAGGAAGTTTAATATTAGGTTGGTGCAAAGGTAACTGCAGCTTTGCCATTTAAAGTAATAGCATCTACTCAATAGATGCCAGTAGCAGTACTCTCTCCCCAAGTTGTGGCAACCAAAAACATCTCCAGATGTTGCCAAATGTCCCCTGGAGGGCAGTCACCCAACCATCCCTCATTGATTACTAAAGATATATGTATAAACTCAGAAGAATAGCAGCTTACAAATTACATAAGGCTTTTCTTATACCAGTCTTCAGTATCAGTTTAATTTTACAAATTTTCTCTCTATAATCTACATACTTCATTCGTAGGTAAAATGAATTCTACAATGAACATGGAAAAATAAAAATAAAATAAAAATTAAAATAAACCTTGGTAAATAAATACTCTACAGCTCAGAACACTAAAGATGAAACAAACCAATCCAATGATTAATCTGGTCTTCCTTACTGAATAGGAAACTGTTCCATCAAAGAGGGGCATAATACTTGAACTGAATTATAAGTGCCACAATAAAAGCATGCTGATGTCAAACAATTAGAGCCTGGGAAAAAATACTTCCTGCTATATTTATTCTTACTAGCATATTATATACAGTAGATACTTAATATATATTTGGTAAGTGATCAACTAATCATTCTGATCTCTGTAACTACCTACATTTTTTTAAAACGAGACTTTTCCTCTTCCACCAAATTTTACCTTAGAAAAAAAACTTCAGGGTTTTGATAATAAATGATCTCTGAACTATAAAGGTATATATTTCTAGCCAAGTATTGTGTTTGGGGGCTATTTTGAGTTTTCAATAATCTTGCCCTAATAACGAGGTATTTCATTATCTCTTTAGTGGGCTTCATAAAAGATAACAATATATACTTCACAATACAAGTAAAGGTGATTATGTGCACAGCCTCGAATACAAACATACTCCATCTATGTGTCATACCTGAATGATTTTACATCATACCTCTGCCACTAAGTTGCCATTAGATAGCAGGCTAAGTTCAAATTTTGGTATACTTACAAATCTGAATTAGTCTCCATTAGTAAATATTTTCTTAATTTGAAAGATAGCTAATTTTCAGTTTTAAAAAGTTATACAAGAGTACAGTGCAAATTCTACTTAACTTGGTCTCAGAGAATTTAAATTGAAATCCTACCACTTATTAGCTACGTATCCTTAGATGAGTTACAACCTCTCAGAGACATTATTGAAAGAAACAATAGCCACCCTCCTTACTATCTCTTAGTGTAAATTTTGAAAAATCTAAATCACCAAAAAATACAGTATTACTTGATTTAAATTTTTAAAAAATTTATTTCCATTTTAAATGTAGAAAAACTGCTAATAATTCCAAAATGTGCAGTCATATCCTTTCTAATTTTCTCTCTGACCCACACGGATTGGTAAATACCAATCAAAACCTGCAATGGCAGTGAAATCCCCATATCCTCCTAAATTTTTAACTTTTTACAATAACATGGAGTCAGCATTTCCATTTAACCAACTATTTAACTACTAAGTTCTCCTGCCTTTCTTACAGTTTAACTACACCAAGAACTTAATGTAATGTGTCAGTTCCCTCAGAGACTCACTGTAACTTGGGAGATAAGAGATAATCTCAGATACCTTTTCCCAGGTGACTAAACTACGTCAGGGACCGTCAGTTTCAAAGTTCACAGGTAACCAATGCTTCCCAGAGTCAAGTCTTCTGGTTTGGCAGAAATCATAAGCAGAGTTATAGGTTTAAGTTTATAAACTTTTTCAGCCTTCCGCCCAAATAAAGGCTTAACTGTTAGCTTTATTTCTTCAACATTTATATTGCATTTTAACAATCATTAGCAAAAGGTTTCCTAACCCACTTTATCACATTCATGACGTCATGCTGTATATACTCATATAGCACTCATGACCTCTGATTGGAAACAAAGTGTAATGGAATTTCTCAGATTTTCAGGGAAGACAGACAGCATTTCCAGTAAAATCACCTTCCAAAATCCCAGGAAAACTTTCAGGCATAAAGTGAATTATATTAAAACTTCCTTTTACATCTGATTTAAATAGTAGAGTCTGCCAAGTAACCCTGAATTTGCAATACAGATTAAAATGGGTGCACTATTCAAACCTCTTCAAAGAAACAAAACTATAGTACACATTGAATTAACTTGTCAAAAGTAAATATACAGAGACTATTGCATAGGCAGTCTACTTCAATTAGACTGTTCCCCTTTACTGCTGTAAATTCTTAAAATTGGAAGCCAAATAAAGTTGTTTCTATGTTTAAATCAAATCTTTGCAAATAGGCATTATTTCTCCACTTTTTTATAGTACCAAAAATATGTGACGTTTCCTTATGATTAGTTATCTAATCAATTCTCCAGGTTCTAAACTGCATAAATATCTTCCCAAGGCCACCCAATGCCCTCAGAACTTGCCTCAGCGCAAAGTGTCTCTTCAAGACACTACACAGTACAGTACGTTAATAAGGCACTTTGACCTGTTCTAGATTTCACAGCTTGGAACTTGAAGAAAGTTCTTAGAAATTTTTCAGAACTGATTTTTTTAAATTAGTACACTAGATGTAGAATAAATGCTAAAGTATTAGGACTGCTTAACCCAGGGTAAAGAAGCCTAAGAAACAATCTAACAATATAGGGCTATTTCAAAGACAAGGCGATATGCTTATTTTCCATCTCCACTGATGTTAAATTTAACATGAAGATCCAAATTACATGTAAAATATGCTAATAAATATGTTCTGAAAATGAGTTAACAAGGACAGTTGGGGAATGTCCCCTCCTGGAGGTCTTTGAGATTAAATAAATCCTCATCTGCTTGGGATGGAAGTTCTACTCCATGACCTTCAAGGTGTCTTACAGGTCTTTACTTATCATTCTGCTGCTGGTCTTTACTTTGGTAAATTTTCATTAAACTAAAAAAATCTGAAAATAATCCTCAAAAACATGATAACAATTTAAATTTACTCAAGGAATTTTTTTTTAAATCCTAGTATTTCCTTGAGTAAATTTAAAAATGACAACAAAGCAAAGGTAAAGTTGGTAATAGTACCTTTATATAAACCACACCTTAGGCAAATAATTCATTTTGTAAAATTTATCCGGTAGTTGTAGGTTCTCTAATGTTGAGAAGAAGATAGGAAAATACTGCTGATGAAGTTTAAAAAAATCAACCATCAAACAATTATATTTCACTAGTACAATTAAATCTAACCTTTACATATGATGTCACAATACCAAGAAACCCATAAAAATAAAAGTTACAATAAAAAGATTGTCTTTTAGGTCCAGATAGGATACAAATTTCTACCCTCTCACGAAACTCTGAAATACACTTCCAATCAAAATGCACAGAGAGTGAACATCATGGACCCTGACATACTCCCAAGGAAAGTAAAGTTCCCATATTAATGGTTACATATAACTTGAAACCCAAGGTACATTTCAGATAACTTAACTTTCAGCATAATTATCTTGTAATAAGTACTCATGAAAATGGTCAGAGAAACCTTTATCTGTATCAAAGAATGGTCCTGCACCAGTAATATGCATATTAAAACAAGATTTACCTCTATTGTTGGATCATATTCGTCCACAAAATGATTCTGAATTAGCTGTATCGTCAAGGCACTCTTGCCTACGCCACCAGCTCCAACTACCACAAGTTTATATTCAGTCATTTTCAGCAGGCCTTATAATAAAAATAATGAAAATGTGACTATATTAGAACATGTCACACATAAGGTTAATACACTATCAAATACTCCACCAGTACCTTTTAATACAAACTCACCTTTATATGAAAAATTATTTCAAAATACCTTACAAAATTCAATCATGAAAATTCCAGTTGACTGCAGACGTGTATCGTAATGAACTGTACTTCATTTACAAACTCCTCCATCGACGCTTAAGAAAAATGCATAAATGCTACATAGACAGTTCTTTTATCTTAAAATCAAGTTGTTCTATCTAAATAGCCAGACTGCTGTTCTGCGGCGGCTAAAGGCTCTCAAAGGATCATATCATGACTTCACTCATGTAGAGACTTCACAGTGCTCTACACCCTGTAGCACACCCTCACAAAAGTTGCTGACAGCTATCTCCACTCTTATTGTTACAGTTTTCCTAGTGGACCCCCACCTCTAAGTGTTAGAAGTCAATATGCAACAGCTACAGAAAAACTTTTAAAGCATCATGGCAGTAGTTCTCTTGGATAAATATTAACAGTAAGAATCAGATGAGAGTTGAGAGAATGAGTGTCAAATAAAGCTGGATTGTGTCATGGGGAAATAAAAATTTAAACACTGAGGCAAAGAAGAACAATATTTGACGACATTTTAATGTGTGAAATATCTCTGGGGAAAATAGGAGTCCGAGGTTGCAATGAGCCGAGATGGCGCCACTGCACTCCAGCCTGGCGATAGAGCAAGACTCCGTCTCAAAAAAAAAAAAAAAAAAAAAAATCTCTGGGGAAAATAAAGCTAAAAACCAAGAGAACTCCGAATTAACTGTTCAGTACAATACATAATCCTGTATCACCGCTGCACAAAAAAAGATAAAGATTAGAAAGCCGGGTGCGGCGGCTCATGCCTGTAATCCCAGCACTTTCAGAGGCCAAGGCGGGTGGATCACCTGAGGCCAGGAGTTCAAGACCAGCCTGGCCAATATGGTGAAACCCTCTCTCTACTAAAAATACAAAAATTAATCAGGCGTGGTGGCGCTCTCCTGTAGTCCTAGCTACTGGGGAGGCTGAGGAAGGAGAATCACTTGAACCCGGGAGGCAGAGGTTGCAGTGAGCCCAGATCACGCCACTGCACTCCAGATTGGGTGACGGAGTAAGACTCCATCTCAAAACAAACAAACAAACAAAAAGATTAGAGATAAACACTGTTTTTAGTAAGAAAACAGCTGTTAAGAGATGCAAGTGAGCCGGGCACGGTGGCTCACGCCTATAATCCTAGCACTTTGGGAGGCCGAGGAGGGTGGATCACGAGGTCAGGAGATCAAGACCATCCTGGCTAACCCGGTGAAACCCCGTCTCTACTAAAAATATAAAAAAATTAGCCGGGCGTGGTGGCGGGCGCCTGTAGTCCCAGCTACTTGGGAGGCTGAGGCAGAAGAATGGCGTGAACCCAGGAGGCGGAGCTTGCAGTGAGCCGAGATCACGCCACTGCACTCCAGCCTGGGCGACAGAGCCACTCCGTCTCAAAAAAAAAAAAAGATGCAAGTGAATATATCTCAGTAATCAGTAATCCATGTGACTGTTACTCTTTGCTTTTCATACACTGTCTCCCAAGAGGTGCATGAATATTGACAGATTGTATAACAAACACCATACAGAAAATAAAACATATTTTTTAGTTAGTTGTTTCAAATTTTTTGAAATAATATGAATGTTTAATTTCACCTCCTTTCCCTCATGTAACACATAATTATAAATAAGGAGAGAAATGCAGAAAAAAATGGGAGTAAATGCACAACTATTTATTATAGGATGAGTAGCTCCAAATTAATGAATGTGCATATATTGTAGATAAACACTAAATATACACAGCATCATAATTGACTGAAGACCCAAAATAATAATTTGGTTTCCCAAATGATAACATACTAACCTTACTCCTAAGCCCTGCCGCAAAAAGCACCACAGGCTAGAAAAATTGTATCACACACGGTCACGGCATAGTTCCCCGCCTTACTCTGCTCTACCTAGACTTATTGGCTGCTTGTCTAGGGTGAAGTTAACAACCACTACAAACATGTATCTTATCCCGTTTGCCTCCACGCTTTATTTCAAATGTAGGCCAAAGCAATTAGGAATAGATGAGGAGAATTACACTAAAATGTATCTTCTAGCTCTCTGCCTACCCCAACCTCCCCCCAACCAGTTTGCATAGCCTAAAACAGTTCTCAAAATGTGGTCTAGGAACCCCTCAGGTTACTAAGACTTTTCTGGTGTGCAAGAGGTCAAAACTGTTTTCATAATAACATTAAGATGTCCTTTACCCTTTTAACTCCCATTCTTTCACAAGTTTTCCAGATGTGTGATCATAATAGATTGAATGCAGATGCAGATATAAGAATCCATATCTTCTATTAAGCCACATCATTAAAGAGATTTACTGAAGTGTGAAACAATACCACTTTTCTAAGTTTTGGTTTTGTTTTGGAAAATAGTTATTTTTCATAAAATATTTTATTCATGTTACCAAGTAATGGGCTTATTATTTTTAAATGAATACATTTTAAAAAATTGTTTTAATTTCCAATACGGTAAATATTAATAAATCCCAAACAAATCAAAGATTTTTTTTAATCCTGGATTTTTTTTTTCTTTATAACAAGGTCTCACTATGTTGAGTACGCTGGTCTCCAACTCCTGGCCTCAAGCGATCCTCCCGCCTCAGTCTCCCAAAGTGCTGGGATTACAGATAAGAGCCAATGTGCCCGGCCCCTTCGATAATTTTTAAGAGTGTAGGCCGGGTGTGGTGGCCTGTAATCCCAGCACTTTGGGAGGCTTAGGCGGGCGGATCACCTGAGGTCAGGAGGTCGAGACCAGCCTGGCCAACATGGTGAAATCCCGTATCTAAAAATACAATTAGCCCGGTGGCGGGAGCCTGTAATCCCGGCTACTCGGGAAGCTGAGGCGGGAGAATCGCTTGAGCCTGAGAGTCGGAGGTAGTAGCGGGCCGAGATCGCGCCACTGCATTCCGGCCTGGGTGACAGAGTGAGACTCTCTCTCTCAAAAAAACAAAGAGGGTAGAGGGGTCGTTAAGGCCAAAAAGTTTACTAGCCTAGGAAATACTGTGGACAGACATTGGATTAGAGTTTGTGTATATATATGAATTCAGAGCCACATGTATCTTCCGGTTTACTTGTTTATGCGGTGGTTGTTTCCAGAAAAAAAAAAAATTCCTTGAATGAGATTTTTAAAACCAAATCACATTTAAATCCACTAGAGAGAACTGGGTTCCAAAGGAGTCTTACCAAATGAAGATCATGGGCTGGGAGGGGATCCCTCACCGAGAGTTAGAAAAGCTAGTAAGGAGTGGACTGGACTCGAATCCAACAATTTTGTAATGGAAGAAAATTCATTTTTATTTTTCATAAAACTGAATTACCATCTACCATCTCTTAAAAGCAAATATACTGTGGATGGCTACAGTCTCAAAGTAAACTATTGTTAGCAACCATATTTGATATCTGTAGTCTATAACATGCAGAGTCAGCATTTTGGACCTCAGTCACTTCAGTGACACCAGTTTTATGGTTAATTCTGAGCTGATAATTACAAATAGACCTTTCCCATTTATAACTTATTTGTAAAATGATTTCTATTATAAACATAACATATACATTGTATAACAATTAGAAAACCTGTCTGTTTTGATGGATCTCAAGATTTAAGAAGGCTTAGACTTCAGCTATAAGATGCACATGCCACTGTGGGAGGCCGAGGCGGGCAGATCACGAGGTCAGGAGTTCTAGACCAGCCTGACCAACATGGTGAAACCCCCGTCTCTACTAAAAATACAAAAAATTAGCCGGGCATGGCAGCAGACACCTGTAATCCCAGTTATTCGGGAGGCTGAGGCAGGAGAATTGCTTGAATGCAGGAGGCAGAGGTTGCAGTGAGCCGAGACGGCGCCACTGCACTCCAGCCTGGGCAACAGAGCAGATGGAGACCATCCTGACCAACATGATGAAACTCTGTCTCTACTAAAAATACAAAAATTAGCTGGGCATGGTGGCGTGCACCTACTAGTCCCAGCTACTCGGGAGGCTGAGGCAGGAGAATTGCTTGAACCCAGGAGGCGGAGGTTTCAGTGAGCCGATACCGCGCCATTGCACTCCAGCCTGGGCAACAGAGCGAGACTGTGTCTCAAAAAAAAAAAAAAAAAGGAGATGCACATGTTTAAGTCTATTTCAGGCGGTTAGCTGGTGGATTGCTACAATTCCTCTGTAAGTTTAAAAAATCATGTAAGTGCTGTTTTGGAGTACTGTAATAACTCTTGAGATGTAGAACACATCTGCAAAATGAGGGTAGTATAAAAGAGACGAGGGGATGAGGGTAATACATAAGAAATAGGGGAAAGGACAAGAACAGGTAAATTAAACTTCAAGTACTATTTTTGCTATTGCTGTCTACACTCAACTAGCAAGGAAAAAGCCTTGCTTCTGCTCTGCGGGTTTTCTTCGGGTTTAACTTGACCAAGCAAAACAGACCATCTGGGATTAACTTTTTCCTTTTCACTGTAGGTCACAGGCTCTACGTGTAGGGTGTTGGCCACCTGTTCTTCCACCATCTCTACCTCCACCTCCTCCTTTGTGGCCACAGCAATGTCACAGCCCATACATGGGGGAGGGGAGCATTCAGGAACTCGGAGGCAGATGCATTTTTTTCCAAACACAATAACCTCAAACAGTGGTCTCTAAGCACTTTCCTATGCTCTTCCAAAACGTGACCTCCCCTCTTACTCACACATCCCCTACACACGGAAAAGGACCACTATCCGTCCAGCCTGCGCTCGAGGGAGAAGTTTATACCTTCGTCCTAGAGATGCCAAATGCAGCAGGGAAGGCTGGACCGAGGCAGCCGAGTGCTGGAAAGGGAGGCAAGAGGTGCGGGAGCGGGGAGAGGGGGAGGGGAGGCCGGGGCGCCGCGGGAGTAACCTCCACCGCACCCCACCGCTCCGAGGGGCAGCCGGCCCGGCCCGAGTTTCTCCCCAGAAGCCTCCAGCCGCGGCTCTCGGGGAGGAGGAAGGAAGGGGTTCCCCGTCCAGGAAGCAGCACCAGCGGCGACCGCCTCCAGCCTCACCCTCCTCAGCCCCGCACCGCCCATTCCTCACTCCCCGCGCCGCCGCGTCCGCGCGCCTCCCCCCTGCAGACCCCTCTCACCCAGCCCGCCCCGACCCCGCGCCCGCGCCCCCCACCCGCCCCTCCGGGGACCCCTAATTCATTCACTCGCCGCCGGCCCCGCCCGGCGCCGGCAAAGAGGGTCGGGACCCGGGCAGGGGCCCAGGAGGGGTGGTCCGCTCCGTACCTCTCTCCCGCACCTGGGAGCCGCTGAGCCTCTGGCCCCGCCGCCGCCTTCAGTGCCTGCGCCGCGCTCGCTCCCAGTCCGAAATGGCGGGGGCCGGGAGTACTGGCCGAGCCGCCGCCACCTTCGCCGCCGCCACTGCCGCCGCCGCTGCTGCCTCCGCCGCCGCGGCCGCCGCCTAGGAAAATCGAGCTCCGAGCACACCGATGAGTTCGGGGCCGGGCGGCCGCAGAGGGCAGAGCTATCGATGCGTTCCGCGCTCGATTCTTCTTCAGACGGGCGTACGAGAGGGAGCGGCTGAGGGCGGTGTGGGAAGAGGGAAGAGGGGGAGGCAGCGAGCGCCGGCGGGGAGAAGGAGGGGGCCGGGCCGGGCCGGCGGGGGAGGAGCGGGGGCCGGGCCGGCGGAGGAAGGGGTGGCTGGGGCGGTCTAGGGTGGCGAGCCGGGCCGGCTGGAGAGCGGGTCTGGGCGGCGCCTTGGCGGGAGGAGGGACTGCCGGACCCACGCGGCGGCCCGCCCCCTGCCTAGCCGCAAGGCTGTCCCCGCAGCCGCCAATTCTGACCCGGAGCGGGACCGGACCGCGGCGGGCTGTGCGGATGCCACCAGGGAGACGCCGCGAGCGGCCACGCCGCCCCGCTGACCGGTCTCCACAGAGAAGCTGCGAAGAGCACCCCGCCACCCTCAGGGTCGGCCTATACTGGCGCGCATCCATTTACTATCATTGACTGCATGTAAATAAACAAGCAGTCACCAAAAGTGGGAGGCGACTTCGGGGACTTAGGGAGACCGGGCGGACGATTTCCCACACCGGGGCTGTCTGATCGCCGCCCCGATTATTATCAGCCTCAGCACTTGGGCTGGGAATTTAGCCCCAGGCCCAAACAAACACGACAGACCCTTTCAACGCTAATCTTCTCGGGTCAGGAGGCTTGTGATATTTTGCTATCTTTCTTGATATTTTGAACCCATCACAAGGTCTCTAAACAGGGACTTCGCTTATACCCAGGGCCCCTGAAATCACAAACAAAAGACAACTGTTTTTAAGTAGAGATGGCCTTGGTAGTTTAGACCTGAGGAGAGTCATTCAAACATTAATTAGAAGACAGATTAATCAGTTAAAGTTCGTGGAGTTAAGACATTAAACAATGGGGCAATTAAACATGCTAGCATACCCGGAGTCTGTGTTGATAAACTACCTAGAAATGTATCTTGGGAGAGTCTTGAGGATTGAGGGCTGGAAAAGCAGCGCCTGTACCTGATAGGATCGCCCCTCCTCCGAGACTTTCAGTTCCATTCCTCTAGTCCACATCATAAACCACCAATAAAGCTGAATTTAAATCCCAGCTATTATGTCTGTTAACCAAGGCTTTACATCAACTGTCATCCTTTCCTTTCTACTCTTACACGGGCTGTAATCTGCAAGGTTTATTCCAGTCTCCCCCTCCTAGCGCCAGGTGGAAGGGGCAGAAGAGAAAAGTGAAAGACAGGGAAGGGGAGAAAATGTGCCTACTCTATGTTAAGTACAAGCTAAATCTTTTGCACTTATCGTATCATCTTATTTAATCATCACGACAACCTTATGAGGTAAAATACTTTTTACCGTTTTACAAATGACGAAACAGATTTAGAGGTTAAAACGTTGGCACAAGTTCACATAGTTAAAAAATGGAGTATACTTCATGTCGGATCATAGTCACTCTACTCCCAGATCATCAGTGGCCCTCATTCCACTTGACATAAAAGCAAAATTCTTCTCAAAAATCCTACATGGCCTTAAATTATTTGATATCCCCTACCCTCTTCTCTGAACTCTCATCCTACTGTTCTCCCTTCCTTACTTACGTAGATAAACATTGGTTACTGGCTGTTCCTTGAAAATGCCAGGCAGGCGTCTTCCTCAGGGAATATGCACTTGCTACCCCTCTGGCACCTCATTTAAATCTTTGTTCCAAAGTGTTTTTAAAAGGAGATCTTCCCTAAAAAGATCATCTTTGATACTGTAATTTCGCCCTTGTCCCAGATCTGTCTCTTTTCCTACTTTTTCTCCAGAGCTCTCATCACCTTCAATAATACACTATCTATTTTGTTTTCTTGTCTCTCTACCATCAGAATGTAAGCTCCATGAGGGCATGGGTTTTGGTCTGTTTCATTTACTGCTAAATTTCCAGCACCTAAGACAGTCTCTGACACAAAAAGGCATTCAATAAATATTTATGGAATGTTGAATGAGTGAATCTGTGGACCCTCTGTGGATTCTAAATCCTAATCCATGAACTCTGTGACTCTAAATCTTTACTTTAGACAGAGTGTCTTAAACCTCCTGTCAATCTCTGTCTTCATCTTAACAAAATCTGCTTTGAAACTTAGGTCACCTTCTGATAAGCCACATTCCGTGCAGCTCAGAGATACTTATCTCGTACATAATAGACACAAGGAATTCTTAAATGAATGAATTTGCGCTTATGTGTATGCTACTTTGTGGTCACTCAAGCATAAATCACAGATTTATTTTGTACAACATCAAGTGCATGATAAGTTCTTGTTTCCTCTTACAGCTGTGAATATGATGTTCTTCCTATAGTTGATGTTCCATACATCTTAAAAGGACTATAATATAGAAGAGGGGAAAGCTTTATATAGCACTTTTATGCTGATTATAAAAATTCTGGCATTAGCAGAAACCTAATCCATCCACATGGTCTCAGTTATCATCTAGGCTCATGATTCGTAAAGCAAATCTGCATCCAACCATTTGTTCCACGCACCCCACACTCCAGTTTTACCTCAGACACTTTCTCTTTCCTTTTCACTTCCACAGCAATTTATACATATGGTATGTCAGGTCTTTCTGCCGTTCAGTCCTGGGTACTTTCTTAGAAGCCGGCACCACCTCCTTGCAACATTACCTTTCTTTCCTTAACATAGAGGTCTCAAGGGTAAATGCTTTAGGAATCACCTGCCATGCCTACCAAAAATGCAAGTTCCTAGGCCCCTCACCCAGATATTTTATTCAGTTGGTCTAAGGTAGACCAGTAATCTTCATTTTTAGCAAATCAAATGATCCTAAACTGGTAGTTCACTGTGTGCACATTGAGAAACTCTGATGTAGATATTCAAATTCTTGGCACCTGCACTTTCTACTGTCTTCAGGGGTTCCTCTTTCTCGAGCCTGGTGGCTCCCTTGAACAGTCTCCCTGGCTCTCCCTTCCCTTGCTCTCTCCAAGGACAAGCACACTGAAGTAGCCTGTGATCACAATGGGAAAGGGGGGAGGAAATAAAAAGTATAAGCATGGGGATTCCAGGCCTGCTCTCAGCTACAACTGAAGTTTCTACCCTCTACTGTCAGACTGTCCTGGGAAGGCAGCCACGTACAAAGGTGTGCACGTACATACCCTTTTTATCTGCTGTACAGATAAAAGACCATACTGACCCTTTCTTTCACAAGAAACCCTCTTCTGCAGATAGAATTAAAGCCAGAACAACAGGAGTACCCTTATGTTACCTGGGCTCTTAGAAAAAAGGTATAAAATGCTAGGACACCCTCAGAGCACTGCAAATGCTGAGGATTTACTTTAAGGCAATAAGGACACTTTAAAAAACCCTATCATCAGGCGGAGAGCTGCTGTTCAGTCCAGCAATCAACTGCACTTGTGAGCCAGCAACAGGCTGTGGGGCCCTGCTCATCCCTTCATTAACAAGTATCCATTGCCTATGACTCTAGTAATTTTGCCATTCTCATAAATCACCATCTGTCCACTGCTTTTTCATGTAGTCTTAGCTTCTACTGCTATCTGTGCTTCTAGTGGTCACTCTCTGTGACTAACATTCAAAGCATTCCAAGAGAGAAGATCTGGCCATGTCTGTCATTCACTGTTCAATAGGAAGGGCCTTTATGGGACACAATTTTCCTGATTGGTGGCTGGCCTTCTTTATGTCTGGCTAAAAGATTATTGTGTTTGTTTGTGTGTCAACCCTGGGTCCAGACGGTTGTGGCCAGAGTAGCAGGACGCAGAGCAGGGGAACTTGAGCAGGAGGAGCCATCTACGATGCTTTCATGGACTCTACTTCAGCACAACCTTTTGACTCTGGCAGGAATTTGAACACATGAATGGGTGCTGCTTAATTCACTTACTCTGCACTTTATCCTTACTGGACACTTATTTCATTATACTTTGTATACCTTTTTTGCAAATATGTTTTCCCATAACTGCTTTACTAGGTTGTAAATTATTCCAGGCCCATTTCTTTTAATTCTATGTTTTCATAGTTCTTAGCACATTTGGGTCCTCTGTAAATATTCCTGAAGTGAATGAAATTATAACAAGCTTCAGTCCTCTCTCTTCACAGGCACTTCATTCTCATCAAACCAATTTCCTGGACCATTTCTAAATGAATATTCTGTTATCATGGCAAATGCCTGTCCAAAGCCAAATTCCCCATGTTATTCCCTCTAACGAATTCCCTCTCTCAATTCCTCCATCTTACCTGAGTGACATCATGGTCCTCCAGAACATTTAGACATGAAAACTTAATTTTTAACCCAGTCCTTATTAAAATTAGTCACAGCTCCTTTTAATTATACTTCCTGAGTATTTTCCCATATCTGCCTCTTCTGTATTCCTTCCTTCTCAGCTACATTTCTGGAATAACTTCTTCATTGACTTTCCTACCTCCTGGCTTTCTTTGTCTCAATTCAGTTTTATGATGTTGCCAAATTAACCTTTCTTCCGCATGTCTTTTATCATCATCAAACATTTACTCTGTGCCTGCTCCATATAGGCTACATGCATACTGGGTATATATTTGAACAGTGGAAAGAGTTACAAGCTAAGTACCTAATGAGTACCTAAAGATGATAAGTACCTTTAAAATTATAGGGGAAAATGATCTCTGGTCCCAGTTAAGTCTCCCCTTCCCGGAGACTTAATCTTGCTTCCAAGTCTGTAATAACTTCTTATATCCAGCTGAATCCAGTCCAAATCCTTGGTGCCTAGCTTTTGAGAGCATCCATAGTCAGGCACCATCCTGACCCTATGACTTTGTTTCCCAGCTTCTCAAAGCAGATAGATGGTCTCCCCTCCTTGAGTGAATCCCCTCTCTATACCCTTAAAATTGGATATTTTATTTATGTCTCTGCTCCTTTTCTCACCCAGCACCTTTTTGTCTTTCTGTTTGCTACAATTCTCTCTCATTCAAGATTTAGAATAAGACCTATTTTCTCCATGAATGCTTTGTTGATTATGCTGCCTCTTTTTTATCTCCTTCTCTATTGTTTTATGTGGGTTAATCATGTCTCCCCAAGTAAATTCTAAAATCCTAGAGGCAAGAGCCGTATCTCAGGTGTGTGAACCCCACTCACCTGTAGAGCCTAGTTCATTGCAATTACTCAATAACCACATGAATACACATAATGTGCTTATCAGCAAGGTAAACATGATGAAAGCAATGTTTGAGGAAGATTAGAATGGCAGCTACATGCAGAAAAGATTGGAAGGAAAAAAGACCTCAGGTAAAGTATTTTGTGGATAGCATAACAGTACCTAGTAGCGGTGGGAATGGTGCGCTGGCTTAATTTACTAGTCCTGTGAGCTAGAACAAATCCGTGAATCCCTTCAAGATTCATGTTTACGAATGGAGTAATGCAATAACTGCTACCATTTTTAAAACTCCTCCTATGAGCCAGACAAGATTTACACTATTTTATTTTATTTTATCTTATTTATTTGAGATGGAGTTTTGCTCTTGTCGCCCCGGCTAGAGTGCAGTGGCGCAATCTTGGCTCACTGCAACTTCCGCCTCCCGGGTTCAAGCAATTTTCCTGCCTCAGCTTCCCGAGTAGTTGGGATTACAGGCAACTGCCACCATGCTCAGCTAATTTTTGTATTTTTAGTAGAGATGGGGTTTCACCATGTTGGCCGGGCTGGTCTCGAACTCCAGACCTCAGGAGATCTGCAGTCCTTGGCCTCCCGAAGTGCTGGATTACAGGTGTGAGCTGCCATACCAGGGCAGATTTACATTATTTTAAACAAATCTATCCCACATTTGTCCACTTCTCAACTTCTTCGCTGCTCCCAGTGTAGTCCAAGCCATTGCTTTCCCTCCCCTAGGCAGGCAGATAGCAGCTAACAGGCCTCCTTGCGTCTGCTCTTGTTCCTCTACAATCTATTCTCCACAGAGCAGCCAGACTGGTTCTTTTAAAAATGCAAAATGGGTCATGTGACCAGATCAAGCTCTCCACTGGCTTCTGTTGCACTCACAATAAAATTCACACTCCTTCAAGCCGTTTCATGATCTAGTTTTTGCCTACTTCTGATTGCACCATGCAAGACCCTTATCCTCACTAGGCTTCAACTTCACCAGCCACCTTTTTCTTCCCAGTACACAGCGAGCTCTTTTCCTCCTTAGGCCTGTGACTGCTCTTTTCTCAGTCAGGCATGCCCCTGCTAGCCAGGTTTTCTGTCTTTCAGGTGTCAGCTGAGAGACATTGCTTCAGTGAGAGACTCCCCAACACCAGGTCTAAATCAGCAATCCTCACCTTATTCCCTAACTTCAATCCTTCAGTGAATCTCTCTTTCACATAGTGGCCTGTGTTATTCTTTTATTTAGCGCTTATCATATCTGAAGTTATCTTGATCATTTATTGACTGCTTGCCTGTTTCCTCCCCTGAAATATAAATTTCATGAGCCAGGGACCACTGAATCCTCAACGTCCAGAAAGAGCCTGGCACATAGTAGTCACTTAATAAAGATTTGTTGATAAGTTGCCATAAAGAAAATAATAGGACGAATAATCCACTCTAAGTGAGGTCTCTGCAAGTCAATTTAGATCTCTTGGCTTTGCTTCTATCTACATAATACAATAGTACTTCATTTAGGCCAGGCATGGTGGCTCATGCCTATAATCCCAGCACTTTGGGAGGCCAAGGCAAGAGAATCGCTGGAGTCCAGGAGTTTGAGACCAACCTGGCAATGTGGTAACATGGCAAAACGCCATCTCTACAAAAAATACAAAAATTAACCAGGCATGGTAGCATGCGCCTGTAGTCCCAGCTTTGGGGGAGGGGGGATTGCTTGAGCCCAGGAGGTCAAGGCTAAAGTGAGCTGAGATCACGCTACTGCATTCCAGCCTGGGCGATGAATGAGACCTAGTTTGAAAAAAAAAAAAAAGTGCTTTAGTGCTTGGTTTTGTTTTTAAGGATATCAGAAATCAGAAGTATTTTTAAAAATCATTTCCTTCTAATTCCCCAAGCATGTGCTAATTGGACTCCCTGCTGATTACAAGCCTGATTTTCCTACTTTCTGTCTCTTCTCTCTAATCACAGTTGTTGGATATGTTGTCAGGTGCTTCTAGTTCATTCATGGTGATATGTATTCAAATAGAGCTTTATTTGTGCACATCAGTTTAACATTATGGAGTCTAGGGGCATTAACCCTTTGGGCCCAGACATCTCATTTAGGATCCACATGTCCTCAGTTGAATAAGGCAAGTCACCTTTGAGGTAAATTCTTTTTGGAAGATTGTTCTGCCTTGTCAATAATTTTTTATATTAGAAGTCTATAAATGTAGAGAGGTGGTAAATGGAAGTATAAATGATTATTTCACTTTAATCTGAATTATTTTCATAAATAGTTGTAATGCCTGCATAAATTAATTCTATCTTAATGTATGAAAACCTCAACAAACTCAAACATTACCATTTGTTACAGGCCCTTAAGAAGCCAATATTAGCAGGCTAGGCACGGTAGCTCACACCTGTAATCCCAGCACTTTGAAAGGCCGAGGCCGGCGGATCCTTGAGGTAAGAAGTTCAAGACCAGCCTGGCTACATGGTGAAACCCCGTCTCTACTAAAAATACAAAAATTAGCTGGGCGTGGTGGTGGACGCTTGTAATCCCAGCTACTAGGGAGGCTGAGGCAGGAGAATTGCTTGAATCCAGGAGGTGAAGGTTGCTATGAGCCAAGATTGTGCCACTACACTCCAGCCTGGGCGACAGGGCAAGACTCTAAAAAAAAAAAAAAGAAGCCAATATTCAATATTAGCTAATCTAATATGTTAATAACATTTTATTCATTCAGTCAGTCAATAGGTATTTCTTTACTGAGCCCTTACTATATGCCCGGTATCATCTTTGATATTTGGGATGCATTGGTATACCAAACAGACACATATCTCTGCTATCTTGGAAGTCACATTCTAAGGCAGTGCTCCTCAGACTTTTTGATGTCAGGATCATTTCACATATTTAGAAGTTATTTGTTTAAAATAATAATAAACCCATCACATATTAACATAAATAACATTATGAAAATAATTATATTTTTAAAAATATGTAATGAGAAGAGTGGCATCGTTTTAACATATTTGCAAATCCTTAATGCCTTGTTTAATAGAAGAGGCTAGATTCTCAAATCTGCTCCTGTATTCTCTCTGTTATATCACATATAACCTCTGGAAAACTCCACTGTACACTCATGAGAGAAATGAAAATGAAAAAGGAAAATAACATCTCACATCTCAGTATTATTATGATTAGAGATTTGACCTTCCAGACCTCCTGAAAAGGTCTTGGAACCCCCCACCTCTGAACAAGGGTGCCTGTAGAACACTGAGAACTGCTGTTCTAAAGAATTTTTTATCAATTTTTTTTTTTTTTGCTAATGAAACAGGGCCAAATTGAATAAAGACCAATGCAATAATTAGCTTTTCCAAAACTATTGTTTTACTCCTCAGAACAGGTTATCTGATTCCCTCTTAGACAGTATCTATTGATAATGGTAACCAGGATAAATTATTGTTAAGATAATATACAAAGTAAAACAGATGCCCGAAATGATGCACTTTTTTGCAATAACTGAAATTTCTTGTTTTTAGGTCAGTCTTGTGTTCTTCAGCATCTTGAAGTACTTTACAAATTTTAATTAATTGAACTTCCCAAGATGCCAATAAAATGTTTCCAAATACAAATTTTGTGCACTTTGTAAACAGTTTGACAGGGTAACAGGGCTTGTCCTAGCTTGAAGGAAAGCTGTGAGCAAAACCAAAGAATTATTGTGTATTTATTGTGACTATAAACACACTATATTGTCTCCAGACTTTTTTTTTTTTTTGAGACAGAGTTTCCCTCTTGTCGCCCAAGCTAGAGTGAAATGGCGCAATGTCAGCTTACTGCAACCTCCACCTCCCAGGTCCAAGTGATTCTCCTCCCTCAGCCTCCCACATAGCTAGGATTACAGGCACCCGCCACCACGCCCAGCTAATTTTTGCATTTGTAGTAGAGATGGGGTTTCACCAGGTTGGCCAGGCTGGTCTCGAACTCCTGACCTCAGGTGATCCACCCGCTTCAGCCTCCCAAAGTGCTGTGATTACAGGCGTGAGCCACCGCACCCGGCCTAGACTGTTTTAATTTACCATGTTTGTCAGGAGAATGGACTATGTTGTTATAATGAAAGTTACTGCTCTCAATGTCTTGACAATATTTTATCTTTCATTTTGTTTTTTACGCCTTTTTCTTTCCTGTCTTGTTCTCTCCCTTCTTCCCTCCTTGCCACCCTCCTGTCTCCTTCCATCCTTCCTTCCTTAATATTTTTCAGAAAAAAATGCCAAAACTATAAAATTCCTCGAAACTTAATTTAATCATGAAATCTTAACCCACCTCCATGAAACATCCAGCTATCTAGAAGTCATCACTTAAGTGACCTCAAACTCACTGTATCTCATCCACTGATGTTCAAGTCACAATAAAATCTTGTCACTCCTCTGTTCAAAACTTCCAATAGCTTCCCATCTCATTCAAAGGTAAAACCCTCAGATGACCTACAAAGGGCCTCTTACCTTTCCAATTCCATGTCCTACTCCTTTCCTCCTGGTTTGATCTTTTACTGTCACAGTGACCTCCTCTTTTTCCTTGAACATACCAGGCAGACACCTACCTCAGGGCCTTTGCACCTGCTGTTCTCCCTGCCTGGAAGGCTCTTTCCTGAGATAACTCATGGTCTGCTCCCTCACCTCCTTCAGCTCTGTGCTGAAATGCCACTTTCTCATTGAGGTCTTTCCTGACCACCTTATTCTTAAAAAATGAAACTTCCATCCCAGAACTCTCTTTTCTTTATCTGCATATTTTCCCATATAACTTATCACCATCTGTCACACAATATGTTTCACTTATTTATTTGTTCATAGTCTGTCTTCCCCCAATTAGAAATTAGGCTATACAAGAGCTAGGATTTGTGTCTGTTTTATTCACTATGGATTTCCCATCACTAGAATACATAATAGACACTCAAAAAATATTTGTTAAATGAAAAAAATAAATCGTAAAATGCACTTTGACATGTGTCAGAATGAATAAGAATGTAGCCAACTAAGAAAACATGCTTAAGTGTAATAAATAGGTATTTCCAGAAAATCATCCTGAAGTCGCTATTTCATCAACAATCAAGGATAAACGGATATTCCATTCAACTTTTTCTACTGGCTTCAGAATATTATACAGCTTATATTGTTTTTTTTTTTTTAAGTGAATGGCAGGACTACCAAAATGAATTCTGTTAATAGATAAATTTGTGAGCTGAGTGTAAATTCTCCTCAAAATTTTATATGAGAGAAGGCACTTAACTACCTTTGAACTTATTCTTATACATTTCTTATTTTATCTTTATGGTTTAAGAAAGCTACTGGCCTAAGATCAGTTTTATCAAAACAAACAAAATAAACCCTCAATAACCAATCTAATTTTCTAAGTGAAAATGTGTTATGAGTAAAGATATTTATGTATTATAAAAATCAAAGAGCACATACTAGGCAATTGTATATAATTTTTGATAGAATTTGAAGAATCAAATTCAGAAAATAGAGGTACGAATGAAAAACTGAGTCTGCTGTGGTTTGAATGTGTCCACCAGAAAGCATGTGTTGGAAACTTAATCCCCAGTGTAACAATATTAAAAAGTAGGACCTTTAAAAAGTGATTAAGCCATGAGGGCTCTGCCCTCATGAATGTAGTAATATAATTATCTAGGGGGTGGGTTTCTTATAAAGGAACAAATGTGGCTCCCTTTTGTCTCTTTCTCTTCCTCTCTCTTTGCCCTTCCACCATGGCATGGTGCAGCAAGAAGGCCCTTGCCAGAAGCCAGCCCCCTGATCTTGGACTTCCCAGCCTCCAGAGCCATGAGATAATAAATTTCTGTTTATTATAAACTACCCAGTTCCGCTGGGCACAGTGGCTCACGCCTGTAATCCCAGCACTTTGGGAGGCCGAGGTGAGAAGATCACCTGAGGTCAGGAGTTTGAGACCAGCCTAGCCAATATGGGTGAAACCCCATTTCTACTAAAAATATAAAAAAATTAGCCGGGCATTGTGGCAGGCACCTATAATCCCAGCTACTCGGGAGCTGAGGCAGGAGAATTGCTTGCACCTGGGAGGCGGAGGTTGCAGTGAGCCAAGATCATGCCACTGCACTCCAGCCTGGTGACAGAACAAGACTTCATCTAAAAAAATAAATAAATAAATAGCCCAGTTCCACATATTTTTCCATAGCAAGACAAAATGGACTAAGACAGAGTCTAATTAATACTGGGAATGTGCACATGTGTGTGGATGGTGGGGGAATATATTGTGTGTGTAGACCTTATCAACCCTCAATAATGCCTGGTGGTGATAGCATCAAGTCTATCAGCTCTGAACTAGCAAACTGTTGAGATGTATTTAACTGCGAGGATATCTACAAGTCATTTGTAACTAATGTTAAAGTACTTCACACTTCAGTTGGCTTTAAAATTTTTAATTCATGCTCAAGGTTACCCCTAGCACAATGCTTCTCAAGCTGGCTTGAATTATCATATGGCTTTCTTGAGTGGGAGTTGCAGTGAGTTCCCATGGGAGTATATTATGAATGTGATTATCCTCAATCATTTGTGTCTCAGAGAGAAAACATTGAGAATTATTGGTCTGATTCATTTTCCAAGGAAAATTAGAAACCCTACAAAATAAAGAAGAAAGCAAGCAAAGCTTTGATATCATTATTAATAAGCTGTTGGGCCATCATTTTCTAATAATTTTAGAGTGAAACACTAGATAGCCATTCATCATGACCATGGTTTCAGATGGTTAGAAGCAAGCTGCTGTAATGCATGTAGGTTCACAGGGTGAAATGGGAGTTTCAAAATTTCCAAATGGTGCAGTGTTATGCATTGACTCATTAATATATGAAACTCAACATCCAAAGGTAGATCACTTTTGGTTTTCTTTCAAATCTAAGATTTCTCAGAGCATCTGAAAAAAACAAAAAGCATTACTTTGTAAGAGAACTTGGGGCTGATTAGGCTTCCAGTAACATCTCTACACAAAAAAGTAAACAATGTGTAGAGTAGTTATTATTTTTCCTTATGTGCTGTTAAAGAAACAAGCTGTTATGGAACCGCATCTTGTATGTGATTCCATTGCTATAAATTAAAGAAAGATGTGTAGTATCGCTGTGACACTAGCTTACTATAGACAGCTGTAATAAATAAATAATGATGTGTATAAATGCAAGACACTGACACACATACTCAATACTACCACTGAAAAGTATATGTAGTTTTATAATGATAATACACATAATCTTTCACCTAGGCTTTTGCACTGGGTTCCTAACTGGTCCCCTCAATTATGATTTTTCTTTCTTCAAATCCACTTCATATACTATTTTCAGATTAATCCTCTTGAAGTACACTGCTGACATCCCTCCCTTCTTCAGAAATCATAAGTGCCTACAGCATTAATACCTATGGAATAAAATTCAAACCTGAGTCTGCTGTTTCAACCATATTTGCCACTACCCTTTCCCTTAAGGTGCCTTACTGAAGCTAAACTTCTTCACTCCTCTACTTGTCCTGCCACTGTGATTTTGCCCGCTGCCTGGAATTCTTGTTTCATGTCAGAATCCTCCATGATTTTTAAGCGTTAGCAAAGCAGATTCTAATGGGGAGACGGTTCTAGACCTGTGTGTTATACCTACTCCTTGGTTTTATGGGGAAGTGAAAACTCTCCAAAAGTGCAAATATTTGACCACTATTTTTACAATATTCTCTCTGATGTATTTTTATCATAGCCTCAAAAACTTTCATGACAACATAATACCTTCAAAACACCGTAAAAGTCTCATTTTTAGAGAATATGTCTGGGGGAAGCAATCCCCCCCTTCACACCCAACTTGGCACCCTCTTACTTCAAGGCTCTTCTCAGATGACACTGTCATCATAAAGCCTCATCTCTGATTCTCTCAGTAAGAAATGATTTTCTACTTCTTTGCAGAGTTTACAGGAAAAAAAAAAAGACATAATTTCCACTCTTCTTGACTCTCATTATACTTTATCTGTTTCTCCTATTCATTCAAACATCTGTGTGGCCTCTGAGTGTCTGGTGCTGAAACTGCAAGAGTAAGAAGCATCCTGCTGCTAAGCATTTAACCCTCTTATGTGTGTGTCGTGTTTGGAAGGGTCTTTTCAGTGTGCCACAAACAGGCACACCCAGGCTACTCCTAATCAATAGGAATATATTGTGAAGCTCTGCAGGGAAGTGAAAGAAAGAACAAGAAAGTGTCTCAATAGCCACATCAATTGAGAAAAGAACCTTTCCCAGGACACAGCTGTGCTTGGGACCCTCCAGGCTCAGAAGCACTAGCTATCTGCCTCAGCTGGCCATCCTCATCCCTTCAACTCAAGCAACACAACATCAGTTACCCCTTGTTCTAGTTTTCCACTATCACCATGCCTTAGCAACCTTCCATCTCTGCTTCTCAACTGCAGCAACATTATCAACACATTTACTCTCTCTGCATGTCTCATTCAAATTTCTGGAGGGTGATTTTGAATGAGCTAGCCAGTGAGTGACTTATCAGCATTGAACTCCTGTATTGGGCAGAGTTCATGCCCCAGACCAGCTCTGGAAACAGGTTGTTCATCTCAGATCCAATCTTCTAAGCATTAAGATGCATAATGTATACACAAAATAATTCTAACTTTTTAAAAAAAATCTAGGTGAAGTAAGGCATGCCCCCATAGCTTTTGCATTTTACATGCCTGCAGAATTAGCATCACAAGGACACCAGAAGGTTTTTGGTTTGTACTTTCCACAGTGGCAGGTCAAGTTGCACCTGAACCCACTTGAGCCATGGCTGGGGTGACCAAGGAGCATTGCACCAGAATCCACAGAGACTCAATGTGGCTCTGGGCAGTGGGTCCATGAAAACTGACCTAGGCCTGTTCCCTCAAAGCATTTTGCCCTTCTAGAATCTGGGCCTGTGATAGGAGGGGCAGCCTCTAGGAGCTCTGAAATGCCTTTGGGCACAGTCTCCTATTGTTTTGATGAATAGCACCTGGCTCCCTTCTATCTGTATTAATCTCCTTAGAAAACAGTCACTTGGCCACACCCTCGACTTGCTCTCCTGAATATACTTTTTTATTCTCTACATGGCCAGGCTTAAAACTCAAAATCTTTTCATTCTGCATCTCTTTTAATTATAAATTCTGTCTTTAAGTCATGTCTTCCTTTGCATCTTACTGTATGCTGTTAAAAGTAGTCACACAGCTTCTTCAATATTTTGCTTAGAAATTTTTTTCCACCAGATGTGGTAGCTCATTGCATTTAAATTCCACCTTCCATAAAGCCCCGGAGCATGGACACAATTTGGTCAAGTTCTTTGCCAGTTTATAACAAAAATGGCCTTTATTCCAGTTTTCAATAAGTTATCTCTGATTTCCATCTGAGACTTTATCAGAATGGCCTTTACTGTCCATATTTCCACTAACATTTTGATCATGGCCACTTAAGTAATCTCTAAGAAGTTCCAGACTTTCCCTACAACTTCTCTTGTCTTTTGAGCCCTCACCAAAATTGTCCTTAATGCTCCACTCACAGAAATTTAGACTTTTTCTAGCCTGCTCCTCTAAATTATTCCTGCCTCTACCCATTACCCAGTTCCAAAACTGTTTCCACATTTTCAGGTATTTGTTATGGCAACAGCCCCACTTCTTGATAGCAATTTTTTTTTATCTTACTCCATTTTATGCTGTGATAATAGAATAACACAGATTGGAAATTTTATAATAAAAAGCAAGGAATTTCTCACAGTCCTGAAGGCTGGGAAGTCCACTATCACAGTGCCAGCATCTTTCAAGGGCCTTCTTGCTGTGTCATTCATTGTGGAAGACAGAAAGGTAAGAGAGCAAGAGAGAGCAATAGAAGAAAGGGGTCAAATGCGTACTTTTATCAAAAACCCACTCCTGAGATAATGAATGCCATTATCTCAGGAGTGGGTTTTTGATATGCTCTCTTAAGTTTCTGACACACAAACCTGATTAACACAGTCAAACCATAGCAGGTGGCTATGAATATATTAGACAATCAGAGCATTGCTTGTCAGGGCAGACCTTTATTATAGCTGTATGTATTGTTTTATAACCCCTACTTGATTGTAAGCCCCTTAAAGACACAATCGTGTTCCATTTGTCTTTGCATCCTCCATAGACAGTAGCTTAGTATCTGGCACAGAGTATATGCTCAATAAAAATATATTAACATGTGCCCAGATTATACCCTGAATATAACCCCGATCCCTCCCAACAAAATAATGTGAAGTATAATCTGGCATTGGTTATTCTTCATGGTGGTTATTTATTACCCCTGTTATCAGTAACAGTTACGTTAAAATAGAGTTTCACTATTTCATATATAATTCTAGCCAGAAGGGTACAAAGCTGCAACCAAAGGTAGGGTGGAGGTGGGGGTAGTTTGTCATTTGCTTTTTTTATCCACTATAAAATATGTTGTAAACAGTTTTATAAGATTTCACCAGAGCCTAGTGCCCCTGCATACATAAGAAATGCTGAAGTAATTACCAAGTGATGTTTTAAATGTAGGAAAAAAAATTTCAGGGTGGAGCAAGAATGTGAAGCAAAGTTTCTATCTTAGGTCTCCTAAGCATATTTCTAGTCTAACTCTGACTTGGCAGCCATCCAGAGGGGCCACATTAAGATGTAGATGACATTTTTTAAAACAGAGATTTACTAACATATTTTCTGTTTTATGTTTTTCTCTCTCAGTAATTTGTTGTTTCCTCTTTTTTTATGTCTTCTGGATTGTATTTCCAGGTAGCATTCCTATCTTCATATAAAACAAAACATTTTTGTTTTTATTGTCTTTAATACTATTCTCCTGGAATATTTTTATCATTAGGTTCTTTCTCATATTCTTCTTCCATTAAGTTCCGAGTTTATACTCTACAAGATTTCTTTATTTCTCTAGCACAAATTATTCATAACTGTACTTTGTCATACATATTTTTATATGTGCATATTTCTTTTAGTAATGATTCTTTCCTGAAAAGAATACCAATAAAGATAAGTCCATAAAAAATGTAAAATGTTTATGTAAAATCTCATTTTACTTTCAAAACACTTATCAAATATGAATGCTTTCACCCCAAAGAAAATGATTTATTTGCTTTTCCTGCATGATTACCTCAGTATGTGAAAAGAGAAACACAAAATCATTTTGTTAGACATTTAGTTTGAAATTTTTTCATTAGAAACATTGCTGCTTGAACTGAAAGAATGAGAAGAATGAATGTTACATGCCCAGTAAGAATTTTTGAAACAGCATTAACTTATGTTTAAATTAGAATAATTCTAGTGTAAAACATTAACAAATTAAATAAATGAATATTTTGCCTTTCTACTGGAAAAATAAATCAGGATGAATTCTTCAGACAGTTCTATTTCAGTATATGATCCATCAGTTTTAACCTCTTCTGTTGACTTGATAAATTATATACATAGTTTCCATATTAAATGTTTTGTTACCCAAGAAATTCAGGTTCCTGTGACATAGCTCTCCAATGTTATACATAATGTATCACCACCACTAGTCTTGATTTCTATTCAGCAAGTCTTTGTCACAAAGCATCCATACAGTTAACAGAGATAAACATATTTACCCAAAGCTTTACATACTACCCTGAATTTTCCATAATGAAAACATTAATAGCCCAAATGGCATTCTATTTTATCACTAAATGTTCTTCTCGTCTATTATTTGCCGTTTAAGCAACACTGATCATGTGCATCAACTAATATCATCAACATACAGAGAGCCCTTAACAAATCTCAGTATCACACACCATCTGTGCATTGCTCCTGCAGGATTCTGTAGGAGCTAACAATATATTTTAGAGTAAGAACTACCCTTGTGGTTGAAAATCTCTCTTTAAAAAATCATTTTCTGTGTTTATTTGGGAACAAGGACTTGTGATGTTCAACAGCATCATTTGCTTTCATTTTAGGCAATAATTTTCTTTCCTATTTTTTTTTTGTTTAAGATGGTGGCTCGCTCTGTCGCCCAGGATGGAGTGCAGCAGTACAATCTCGGCTCGCTGCAACCTCGCCTCCCACGTTCAAGGGATTCTTCTGCCTCAGCCTCTGGAGTAGCTGGGACTATAGGCACGTGCCACATCTCCCAGCTAATTTTTGAATGTGTAGTAGATAATGGTGTTTCACCGCGTTGCGCAGGCCAGTCTCAAACTCCTGACCTCAAGTCAAAGTGCTGGGATTACAGGTATGAGCCACCGTGGCTGGCCAAAAAATAATCTTTTTTCTTTTCAGGCTCCAAGCCAAGTGACTTTAAATGTAGAACACAAGTTATTTTATAACAGCCTAAAGTAGAAGCACAGGTAGTAACTGAGCCTGGCCTTCAGCTTTCTCACTTATATTTAGAGTAGAAAGATGTGGTGAAAGAATTGGACACCCTTACTTTTTCTTTCTATTTTGTTCTCTGAAGGGAAGGTTTCCCTCTTAGTACTCAGCAGTTTTCAGAAATTTGGTCCTCCTAGTAACTCAGGAACCCACAGACTCCCTACCTCTGGTTTTGTTGTTCCTAAGGACCCACACTGCTTTTTTTTCTCTTTTCTTTCTCTGCCTCACTGTAATATTCGACCAGAAAGGACAATGTCTACATCCATGATAAAAAGGGAGGTTAATGCTAAAATTATTTGTTGAAATTTGTATTTGGTCTCCATGATATCTAATAAAATGGAAACAGACATTAAAAGCTAGTCGTGAAGAAAAACTAAGGTCTTAGATATATACTAGCAGCAAACTGACTGAGAATAAAAAGTTTGACTCAGCTCAACACATTTGGCTAGGAGGTAGAACCATTGATTTCTCATTTATCATCCTCCCAGTCTTCCTGCAGCCTATGGCAAACTGGGGAGACCAAATTTTGCAGTCCCCCGCCCTCTCAAACCACCTCAAGCTGGATCTGGTACCTTTGCTCCCATTTTGCTTATCCCTATGGGAGCACTGCCTTTGTCTTTACTTTACTAGAATATACACTTCTGTAGGACAAGAGTTGTATCTTGTTCATTCATTCATTTATAAAATATTAAGTGAATGTCTACTAGGTACCAGTCACTGTATCAGGTATTGGGAGTATAACAGCAAACACACATACACAAGTCCCTGCCTTCATGCAGTGTAAGAGGCTCAGTGTTGTGTTCCCTTTCTCAGACCTTCTTGATCAGGTGTTTTCCTTGCTTTGATGGCTCTTGTGCCCTCAAGGTTTTTACTCCCTGACCCTGTTCCAATCCAGTCTTACTTAGTGCCTGGTGGTCAATAACTATGTGTTGAATTGAATAACTGTTTCTCTGCATTCAATGGAGATGTGGTCTATAATATTCCTTGAGTTAGAAAGATAACAATACACTGTTGTGGGACCCATTCATAGGTAATGTGGGACCTGAAAAGAGAGAATGACTTTTGGGGGTGACTTAGGTGTGGCAAGCAGAAGGAGTGGCATAGGGTCATGGTGACATGGCCTGTGCCTGTCCAAGATGGGCTCAGTGTCTTCACTGAGCAGAGATGGGGCTGGTGGCATAGAAGAGGAATTTGAGAAGTACCAGGAAACTCCCTTTCACTGCCTGTCTTAGTCCATTGGATGTTACTGGAAAGGAAGACCTGAAGCTGGGTAATTTATCAAGAAAAGAGGTTTAGCTCATGGTTCTGTAGGCTATACGAGAAGCATGCCAGTATCTGCTTGTCTTCTGTTGAGGGTTTTTGTGTTGGGTCAAAGCATGACAGAGAAGGTAAAAGGGGAAGTGGGCATGAGTCAGTGGGACCAAACCTGAGGGTTGTCCTGGCTTTATAGCAACACATTCTTGCAGAACTAATCTATTCCCCCAGAGAACCAGTTTGATCTCAAGAGAGTGAGCACTCACTCACTACCCTAAGAACAGCACCAAGCCGTTCATGAGGGTCCACCCCCATGATTCAAAAACCTCCCACTAAGCTTCATCTCCCAACATTGCCACACTGGGGATCATATTTTAATATGAGATTTCACAGGAACAGACAAACCACATCCAAACCATAGCACTGCCTAAATGTGTAAGCTGAAAAGAGGTAGGCAGAGGTCAATGAGCTGGTTGTAAATAGGTAGGCCACTCTAAGAGACGCAAATGTTTGTCTTAAAGTAATGGAAAATCTCTTATCCTGCCAGGATTACATCTTCTGGCTGGGAATGGAGGTAAAGGGAAGAGGGTGGCAGAGCTAAGCAATAGACCGTGAGGCTCTCCTAAAAAATAAAGAGTAGAGGGCTATTCTAAAGATAAATAAAACAGGGATGGGGATGAGGGAACTCCGCAATGGGGCAGAAGGCTATGACTAAGGTGAGAAATGGCTTTTAGGCCCTTGGGGGACCCATGTATAGGGCCTTGGGTCTGTAGACTCTGAGAGTTACCAGCTCCAGCATCCAGTTTTAAGCTTTCTGTACCGTTATTCTCTGCTGTTAAATTCAGCTGTAATCCCTGCACTTTGGGAGGCCAAGGCGGGTGGATGACCTGAGGTCAAAAGTTCGAGACCAGCCTGGCCAACATGATGAAACACCGTCTCTACTAAAAATACAAAAATTAGCTGGGTGTGGTGGCACATGCTTGCAGTCCCAGCTACTTGGGAGGCTGAGGCAGGAGAATCCCTTGAACTCTTCAAGCAGAGGTTGCCATGAGCTGAGATCACACCACTGCACTCTAGCCTGGACGACAGAGTGAGACTCCGTCTCGGAAAAAGAAAGAAAAAAAAATCAGCTGTCCGTAAAGCCTTGTTGAATGTTTAAAAACAAGTAAGATACATATTTAACATAGTCGTACTAGCAAAACAAACAAACAAACAAACAAAAAAGGACACCAGGGATTTTTAGTATAAAATATGGTATATAGCCATCTAAGAATGCCATATGACCATTGAGAATGGTGATATAAAAGTATATTTATTATAAGTGTTTTCAATATATTGTTAAGTGAAAATAATAGATTATAAAATTGTATGATCCTATTTTTATAATGAGAAATATTTACACATGTGTATGGAAAAAGTTTAGAAGGCTATTTATTAAACTACTAAGGATGAATATGATGAATTTGGTGGGTGGTGAAATGAAGTTTTTAATTATTAAAAAATTTTAACAATAAGTTTGTTACTTTTCAAATAATAAAACAACGCATGGCTTATAAAAATGGAAAGAAAAAGCAAAGGAAATGGGAAATAAGAATTACTCTTAAAGGGCTTTGTAATCTTTATAGCAGCCAATTTTGGGGGTTCCCTTACATGTATCCATTTTTTTTCCTCAAAGCGATTAGGAATGAAATCCTTAACACAAAATACGTCTTACTTAGTCAAGCTACACATATTTACTGAGCACCTACTTGGTGCAGGTACCATGTTAAATGCTCAGAGCACACAAGTACCTCCTCTTACTGAATTGGGAGCCTAAGAGTAGAACCATCAAGCGGTTTGCCACCATCTATCCCATAATGGAGCTGCACACGGCCCAGCTTTGGAATCAGGCAGAAGTGGGTATAGCTGTTTTGCCTAGGAAGCCACCAAGTGAAGAACTCAGTTGCTGTGGTTGAGGCCTCATGACATCCACTGGTGCATAAACTCCTCTGACCTACTTTCTAGCATGATACTCCTTGGCTTTTCTTGTCTGGGCACCAGGAGGTTGTTTTTGGGGATTTTTTTAGCTGTCACAACTCCTTTTATTCAAGTTCTTCTTCCCTCTAAGCCTAACTATCCAGTAAGAGAGTTTCTCCTTATTACCTTCTTTAAATGAGCATCTACTCACTGAGAGCAATTTTTAAAGTGATGCAAGTTAGATGATAATGGCTAGTGAATGGGAGATTTTTAATGTGTGTGTGTGTGTGTGTGTGTGTGTGTGTGTGTAAGGGCCATGGGGGTGAGATGCAGGGGCTCACTCGCAGCAGCATTCCTCAATGACTCGCCCATCACAAGGTCAGTCCTGCCCCTAGAGCAGTAAACCTCTGTACTATGTGCTGATTGAAGATCTTTATGAAGACAATGCCTGACAATACATTTGATTAATTAATGATACCTACCATTCTATTTCCCAGGGGCATCCAAGGAGAAAGAGGCATTTACTTATTCATTCAATACACATTTATTGTGCACTATTTTATGGTAGGCATTGGGTTGAGTGGCAAAGACAGAACAGTGAACAAAATAGGCAACACCCCTGGTCTTAAAAAGTATGCAACCTACCAGCAAAATAAAAGACCCCATCTGCGTAATGGTTTCTGTCTTTTTATAAATCCCATTACACCCACTAGAAAGGCAGCAAAGCATAGGCTCTTTGCATTAAGATTAAGACAGAACTGGGGGCTGGACACAGTGGCTTATGCTTGTAATCCCAACATTTTTGGAGGCTTAGGCAGGAGAATTGCTTGAGCCCAAGAGTTTGAGGCCAGCCGGGCTAACATAGGGAGACCTCATCTCTATAAAAAAAAAAAATTACAAAAATTGTCTGGGCATGATGGGTATGTGCCTGTACGCAGAGCTACTTGGGAGGCTGAGGTGGGAGGATTGATTGAGCCCAGGAGCTAGAGGCTGCATTGACCCAAGATCTTGCCACTGCACTCCAGGCTTGGTGATAGACCAAGACCCCATTTAAAATTTTTAAAATTTTTTAAAAGAACTGGGTTTATTTCAGGCCCAATGATTTTTTTTTCAGATTCTATGTTTTAGAAATTTATTTTATTTTATTTATTTATTTTTTTTGAGACAGAGTCTCCCTCTGTTGCGCAGACTGGAGTGCAATGGCGTGATCTTGGCTCACTGCAACCTCCGCCTCCCGGGTTTTAAGCGATTCTCCTGCCTCAGCCTCCTTAGAAATTCATTTTTTAACCAAATTTTTCTTCTAAGAATTTCCATTTACAAAGAAAACATTTTTATTTTTAAAATAAGCTTTATATTTTACAGCAGTTTTACATTTACATAAAAATTGTGAAAACAATACTGTCCTGTGATTTTAGTTATGTGAACTTTTGAGAGAAGACTCAACCTATTTAAGCCTCAGTTTTCTTATCTGTGAAATGGGAAATATAGATTTGTTTTCATAGGTTTTGTTTTCAGAATTAGAAATACTATATATAAAACATCTGTATTGGGTAAGTGTTCAGTCAATGTTAGCTCTTCCCTATTGCCCTCCAGCCGTATTGCTGGGTTCTGCTAAAGCCTGTTGTCATTCCTGGATGTACAGGTCAGTCATTTATGGACTTTCAATCTCTGTGTCATCTGCCCAAGGGACACTTGGGCAGTGGCCACATTTAGTGACCTGATTATACTCTGTTTAGGATCAGAGTCATGCCAGTGTTAAAAAAAGAAAAATCCTACTCTAGGAATTAATGACTATGTAACCGTTAAATCACAGTCATTCTTTTAAATGACTGACGTACTTATTAGGCAGAAAGAATGTAGAATCACAAACCTTCATATTCTCCAGCATGCTGCTCCACAGCCAGCTGAATTCATCCAGAAATGAGTAAGATCAAATGGGGAGAATGGCCAATGAGCCGGCTGGGGGGAAAACACAGAGTTTTTTTTGTTTTTTTTTTTTTGAGACAGAGTCTCGCTCTGTGGCCAGGCTGGAGTGCAGTGGCACAATCTCGGCTCGCTGCAACCTCCACCTCCCGGATTCAAGCAATTCTCCTGCCTCAGCCTCCTGAGTAGTGGGACTACACTTGCACCACCATGCCCAGCTAATTTTTGTGTTTTTAGTAGAGATGGGTTTTCACCATGTTGGCCAGGATAGTCTTGATCTCCTGACCTCGTGATCTGCCCACCTTGGCCTCCCAAAGTCCTAGGATTATAGGTGTGAGCCACTGCGCCCGGCCTAAAAAAGATTTTTAAGAGTATTACCTGTAATGTTTCAGGCTATGTTGATAAAATGTGCATGACTAAATCACAATGTGTGTGTTAAAAAAATCAATTTTTATTTTACTTTTGTAAAAACTTTATTTTGCTGAGAGAAAAATGCTTGGATTCATTGTTCAGGGAAAATACTTATTGTTATTATTATTATTATTTTATTTATTTTTTTTTTTTTGCGATGGAGTTTCACTCTTGTTGCCCAGGCTGGAGTGCAATGGCACCATCTCAGCTCACTGCAACCTCCGCCTCCTGGGTTCAAGTGATCCTCCTGCCTCAGCCTCCCAAGCAGCTGGGATTACAGGCATGTACCACCACGTCCGGCTAATTTTGTATTTTTAGTAGAGACGGGGTTTCTCCACGTTGGTCAGGCTGGTCTTGAATTCCCAACCTCAGGTGATCCACCTGCCTCGGCCTCCCAAAGTGCTGGGATTACAGGCGTGAGCTACCGTACCTGGCCCTCATTATTATTTTTATGAGCAACATGTTTTGGAACAGTATGCCAACAATATGCCAACACCATGCCTAGTGCTGTACACGTATTTCCTCATATAATTCTCGCTACAGCTCAAGGAGGTAGGTGCTGTTACCATATCCACTAAACAGATGTCAACGCTGATACTGAGTTTGATTTCAGAGCCTGTGCTTTTAACCTCTACACATGATTGTGTTATAAAGTTTGATTCAACAAATACTTCTGAGCTAGGAATTGGTGGTAACAATTCTGCTAGGTGTTAGCTGGCTCTGGGAATAGTGGAGAACAAGACAGACACAAACCCTACCTTCACACAGTTTACAATGCAGAGGGCAGACAGACAATTAGGAAGTAATTTCAATGAAGTTTGATAAGTATTACAATGGGAGAAGAACAGGGTGTTAGGAGAGTAGAGTGAAAGTAGAATTTTATACCAGCTGAGGTCTCTAAGTTGCTCTGAAACTTACTGCATTCCACAGAGAAATTTGGGTTGTTGATTATATGTCATTTAGTTCAGCAACATATAATCCTTTAACATCTCAGTAGTTCTTTCTCTTCCCTCTCTCTCTGTTTCTCCTTTTCTCTTCTCTTTTTATGCCCCAATTAATTATATGTTTGGTTTCTTCCCTGTTGCTCAATAATATATTAATATTCTGGAATTCAAATTTCTGTCTTTTTGTTTGTAACTGGGAAAAAAGGGAGATTATTCAGAATTACTTTTTTCTCTTATACAAAGGAAGAAAAAATACTTGGTAAAGTTTGAGGCCAAGCACTGAGACCCTTTTAAGAAAACATCTAATTCAACCTTTTTCTCAGAAGACAGTTTTACCATCCAACAATACTTCTTAGTTCAAACATTTATTGAATTTTTAAACATCAATCAATTCCTATTAAACAATATTGAGTTATGTAAAATGAGTCAGAAATATGTACATTACATTTCCCTTGAGACCTTTTGAATGTTAAGAAGACAAGTTCTTTTAGAAAATCATTTTGTTTTTGCCAAGCCCGTAATATTTAAAAAATAATTTGAAATATTTTGTGAAGCCCCATATCCCAAGAGATTCATCCATCTCTCCCAAATTATGAGAACATGTGTTTTATTTCCACACCTAAATTTATCCAATTTGGGCTTTCTCTTAGAATTAAAAAACCTTTAAAGCAAGAGGGGAAAAAGCTACCAAACTGAAAATCCAAACCAACTGTGACTCTTGGATTTGAGAGTTAGTCTGCAATTTCTGCTTTTGCTCATAGAAGCTCTTTTAAAATCCTGATAAGCACACTCTGTGGAGCTCCCATTATGTTCCAGGTGCCGTGCAAGCTTCTTTCAATATTGTGTTAATTTGATTCTTTCAGAGTGCAAAGAACAGAGAAATGACCACTTGGCTCAATTAATGCAGGTTTATTAAGAAGGATATAATGACCGGGCGTGGTAGTTCACGCCTGTAATCCCAGCACTTTGGGAGGCCAAGGCGGGCCTGAGGTCACCTGAGGTCAGGAGTTCGAGTCCAGCCTGACCAACATGGAGAAACCCCGTCTCTACTAAAAATACAAAATTAGCTAGGCGTGCTGGCGCATGCCTGTAATCCCAGCTACTTGGGAGGCTAAGGCAGGAGAATTGTTTGAACCCAGGAGGCGGAGGTTGCAGTGAGCCGAGATCACACCATTGCGCTCCAGCCTGGGCAACAAGAGCGAAACTCCATCTCAAAAAAATAAAATAAAATAAAATAAAGAATATAATGTGGAGAAGTAAAAAAATATATAAAGGTCTCATTAACAGGACTAGAATTGCGCTATAGTCACTAAGCCACAACTGAGTAATAGCTCTGATCTAGTAGTATAACTTATCCCCTGGTGACCTCACACAAACTCTTGGCTCCTTGCCATGCACATGACTCAGCTCTTCTGTCTCCATTTCTCTGTACCTGCTTATTTTTCCAACCATTGCTACTGACTGTACTCACTCACTTTCTCTCTGCCTCATGGCTTTGCTACATGGCTGTCTTCCCTCTCTCCACTTCTGCATTTACCCAATGCTGACCCCTCCTTGGATGTTTCCTACTCAGACCCTATAAGACAGAAGAAAGGGCTCTCCTCTTGCGCCAGGCTTCATCATAGGCCATTGGTCATCAGGTCATGTTTAATTAGTAGGGTGACAGGGCAAACAACAACAACAACAACAACAACGGGGAACCTCTCTCAAAAAACCACTCTGATGCTTTTCAGTTTCAGAAGAGAGCAATGAAGCTGGCTAGGAGCCATAAAGGCCTGCACATAGTTTGTTATTTAACTTTGAAACTAAACAAATGTGCAGTGTTTACATAGAGTAAACTGTACCATCATTATCATTGTCATCACCACAGCCATATCTACCTTATATAATATCTACAGCCTCACAAACGTTATCTTACAAAAATGTGTCACTCTGGTTTGTCAAGTATTCTTGTTTATAGAGAATGGTTTGGTACACTAAATGAGGATTGTTGATTTTAGAAAAACTAGGACAAGACGGCATGAAGGCAAAACGCAGTCATTTTCAAATGGGGGGGTATTGCAGGGCAGAGGGAGGCAGAGACAGAGAGGGAAGTGAAGCAGCAAAGCCAGCCACACAAGCAGAACATCCAGGAGTTTATCTGTTTTATACTTTTCATATGAACAGAAGGTTTTCCTATTGGAAAAGATTCCATAGCTTAACAAAAAGTTTGAAAACTCTTGTTAGAGATACGTGTTCAAATCCCAGGTGCCCCTCTTTCTTGCCATGTCAAAATGCCTAAGTTAATTACTTTCTTTTGCCAGTCCTTCTTTGTTTAAAAAATGGACATAATGGTAACTCCTTCATAGGTTTGATGTGTGGATCTAAAGAAATATAGCATACAATGCATGGGGATTATTGTACCTAGGTAAATGTTAGCTCCAGTCTACACTAAATACTAAACAGGGCCAGGCGCAGTGGCTCATGCCTGTAATCCCAGCACTTTGGGAGGCTGAGGCGGGCGGATCACGAGATCAGGAGATCGAGACCATCCTGGCTAACACAGTGAAACCCTGTCTCTACTAAAAATACAAAAAAATTAGCCGGGCGTGAGGCTGAGGCAGGAGAATGGCGTGAACCTGGGAGGTGGAGCTTGCAGTGAGCTGAGATCGTGCCACTGCACTCTAGCCTGGGCAACAGAGTGAGACTCCATCTCAAAAAATAAATAAATAAATAAATAAATAAATACTAAACAGTAAAATTTTACTGGTCATGACTTAATCTTTCATTGCTGATTTAGAGGAATTTTCAGCAGCATTAAATAAAATGCTGGCTGAGATTTACATATGGTGTTTGCTGTAGAAATATTTATGTTATAGCTATTTAAATACACTTTTATTGTAAAAATCCAGTGTTTTGGAAATTTTTCATTATAGGATCAAATAATTAGGAAGAACATAAGGAAGAGACATTACCTTATTCGATTATTCAATTCCTTAACTAAAATATAATTTAGTTGTAATTTAAATCATAATTCCTTGAAAAAGATTGTTTTTCAAATATAAGGTATTATCTGTTTTATAACTCTGGCTCACTCCTGGTTTCTATGCACTTTTTCTTAACAGCATTTTAAGACATTAATTTTACCTTATTGATAATGCTTCCTTTTTGAAATCTTTCCAGCAGTGAAATTACCATGCAAAGTATAACTTCAAGTGTCAAGAACGCAAACATGACTAAAAATATATTGCTTTACACATACAACAAGTGTATGTGTTTCTGTTTTACTGGTTTAGAAGATGTGTCACTTGAATATTCAAAATTCAGTGACTTTCTCAATTTCGGAGAATTTTAGGATGTAGTTGTTCAAGGCGCTTATTTGATAGATAAGGGAAATCAAGTGCCAAGAAGTTACATGATGGTACACCACCACTCAGGCTAGGGCCATGACCCATCATCGATCTGCTGGTTCTTAGCGCTCTGCCTCACATCAAGACCAGTGGAACAGCCACCTGCATCATTTGCTGAGTAAGCATTTGAACGTGAAATTGGATGGACCCTAAAAGAAAGTATGAACCAATTATCAAAACTAGAAAACTTGAAGGATAAAAGTAAAAAAAAAAAAAGAAAGAAAGAAAGAAAAAAATTAATGCTATTTAACGAGCCTAAAACACCACATGAAAACTTTAAAAAAATTGTACTGTATTTGTGTAATATTCTGCATCAAGGTAAAAATCCAATCTTCTAGTAGAGAAGCCAATTAAAAAATTCAATGATTAGAGTCCTCTTTAGACGATAATAGCAGAAATCCTCACTCATTAGTTTAGAGAAAGTCTTGCCTTCATTATATTAACCAGTGGGAAAATGTGTTTAAATTTCTACAAGAAGTTAATATTTATTTTTCTATGAGTAACAGTGACTGAGATTTAATATGTTTAAGTAAGTGTCAATATAGAATCTTAATTAAACTAACAGATTATTCTTTGTCAGATTATTCTTTGTCATGAAATGCAATTTGAATGAATCAATTGGCTATTTTTCATCTATTGTAAGACATTAGTTTCTATGATGGTTAATGCTAATATGTATAACCAGGTAAGTGTTTAAAGCAGATAGGAAATTGGAGTACCGGGTAGCCCTGGCTGCCCACTTAGTCACTACCATCTCTCTGGGAAATAACCATTTTATTGTATTAGGATTCTCACTCTACTTTTTCTCTTTTGTAATATTCCTACAAGGTTGTATGACTTATTGTTATATAGGTAAAAAATATTCTTGGGGCAAAACATGACCCCCAAATCTAGTGGCTTAAAATAAACAATAAACATTTATTATTTCCTACAGTTTCTGTGGGAAGGGACTGTGAGGGTGGCTTGGCAATTGATCCTGAATTGGTGTCTCATGAGATTAGGATCATTCAAAGAGTTCACTAGAGTTAGAAAGTCTGCTTCCAAGGTGCTCACTCACATGGTGGCTTGTTGACACTGGCTGTTAGCACTTGGCCTTAGTTCCTTTCCATGTGGGTCACTTCATGAGATTACCTGAGTGTCTCTACAACATGGCAGCCAGCTTTCTCATCTGCAAGCAATCCAAGAGACCAAGATGAAGCCTCAGTACTCTCTGAGACTAGCTTCAGTAGTCACACACCGTCATTTCCACATTTGCATTTAGTCAATCAGGGTTCTACACAAGGATATAACTACCAGAGTTGAGGACCATTGGCTGCTATCTTATAGCCTGGCTATCAAAAAGACAATGTATTAGCCAGGGCTCTTTTTGGTTCTTAAATGACAGAAGCACAACTCAAACTTACTTAGACAAAGGAGAACTTATTGGCTCACATAACTAAATTGTCATTAGAGGTGACATGTATGTATGCCTTGGATATTAATGAAACTAGATGCCCTGAGAACTCTCTGTCCATTCCATGCATATACTACTCTTTGCATGTCAGTGGTATGCTCTCAAACTGCCTGCTTCCACGTGGCCATCTTATGGTGGGGTCTATCCTTTTCACTTTTGCCTTCAGAGAAGAACTGACTCTTTTCCATGAATTCCAGTTAGAAAAGTCCTGGAGAAAAACTCTCATTGGCCCAACCTGCTCATGTGATCTCTCCAGTGGTCATTGGTTTGGGTACTATGCTGTCTGTTCCCCCAGAATCATCTAATTAGACTTCAAGGCAGAGAAGTTTCCTAAAGTAAGTAGTGCTATTCCCAGAAGAAGGGAAGGATTGGGAGACAATTAATAATAGTGGTCTATGAAAATTAAATATCATCAGTTACATAAAAACTGAGCACTTTGGCACCTTTATTTTTTCACTACTCTGCTGTGAGCAGGCAACAAATACCTCTCCTCCCTGCCACAATTTCCTGTTACTAAATTTTACCATGAATATACTGTTTTTTCTTTATCAGGTACAATCTTTTTTAAACAAAAAAGCCTTTTAAATTCTATTTCAAAGGTTTGTTTTAAAAGCTATAGATTATACATTAGTTTAATTTGATATCAGTGTGATTTGCAAATGTTTCAAATGAACAGTGCAGGTGCTGACTAATTTGACGTTAACAAAAGATAATTATAATGGTAAAAGCAACAAACAGAACATTTGAAATCTGGAAGAAGATGAGATTTGAAGAAAATGCTAAGGACATCAAAATTGGTTCTCTATCTACATATTTATAATATTTGATGTAAGAAGATATCACATGTATACCCACTAACATATATCTATATACTTAAATATGTTTTTACAAATACATACATATTTATGTGCTGTATACACATATGTTTACATATGGGTGTACATGCATGTATGTTTACATATATGTGTGTGTGTACACATATAATCCTACAGTGTATTCAGAACAGACAAACAAGGAAGAGATATACTCACTGCTGACACTATATGGTGAAATATTAATGGTCTAAAAAAAACAGAACTCCTCAAATCCTCCTTCTTTCTTCTACATAGAGAACACTGAACTGTCAACTGGAAAATGTAGATCAATCGTTGCTAAAAAGAACCTGAAGCTGGCTGGGCGCAGTGGCTTACGCCTGTAACCCCAATACTTTGGAAAGCCAAGGCAGGGGGATCACTTGAGGTCAGGAGTTTGAGACTAGCCTGGCCAAAATGGCAAAACCCCATCTCTACTAAAAAATACAAAAATTAGCTGGGCGTGGTGGCATGTGCCTGTAAGTCTAGCTATTAGGGTGGCCGAGGCATGAGAATTGCTTGAACCCAGGAGGCGGAGGTTACAGTGAGTTGGGATTGCGTTACTGCGCTCCAGCCTGGGTGCCAGAGCGAGACTCTGTCCAAAAAAAGAAAAAAGAAACCTGAAGCCAAAGACAGATAAGAGAATAATAAGAAAGCATCTAATTGCTTTAATCAATTCAATACTTCTGGCTGAGACAAAGTTACTACATACCTTGCAAATGTGCTTGAAAACTCGATTTCAGTAATCTTTTAGAAATCATGAGGTTTTTCAAGTAGGTTATGCTGCCCAACTGTTATTCCTGAGTCAAACCCAGAAATATTTCCTACTATGGATGTGAATAAACCAGAGTGCTTTCAAAAGGTAAAGCAGTAAATCACCTCATCCATCTAGTAAGAACAAGGGCTGTATGCCTCAGAAGTGAGACCTAGAGAGAGGTTCAGTACAATCCAAGTGCTGGAGTCAGTCCATACAAGTTGCCCAGGGGATAGTCAACATCATCCACATTTCACAGAAGATGGGAAAGGGACCTCAGAACCTGGGGTCATTTATTTGAGCTAGACTTGCCACACCCCTCTTTTAGGAAACCCTTAGAGAGATAACTTTCTTATACATCCCATGAGCCTTTTAGAAAACCATTTTCATGACAGGGAAGCCATAGGACAATCTTTTGTCTCCTAGACAAATCAGTTTCCAATAGAAATATTATGCAGTCCACAAAGGCAAGCTGCATATGTAATTTGAAGTCTAGTGGCCAAATTTTAAAAGGTTAAAAGAAATAAGTACAATTAATTCAATTTTGCTTATTTCTGATATATTAAAATATTATCATCTCAAATGTAACCAATATAAAACATTATTGAGATACATTTTATTTTTTGTTGGTACTAAGTCTTCGAAATTCAGTGTGTGTTTTAAACTTGGTACATCTCAATTCTAACTAGTAACATTTCAAGGGCTCAGTAGCCGCAAATGGCTAGTGGCTACCGTACTGGACAGCATAGCTGGAGTCTAAGGTCACAGATAAGAGGTCCTCAAAATATTGTTTTTCTTTTTCAGGATGACCTGAAGACTTAGCAAGATTGTTCTTGCCCATGTAAAGGGGCAAAGCTGTGATTCCTTATGAAGCCCAGTTTCTGATTTCTCAGCTCCTTTCCATCCCATGTCACATACATGTTCCTTCCTTTTGGTCAACTTCATAATGCTAAAGGGGCCAATTCAACATATTTTCTAGACCTTTCTTCATAAACAAATCTGGCTTAGAAAGAGCATGAGGGCAAGACATATCTGAGTTCAAATCCCATCTTTATTACTTATGACTACTGCAGAGACTTCTAGTTGTTCCTAATATCTGTCCTCCCCTTCTGTAGTCATAGAAAACTTGGCACAAAACCACTTAGAAAAAGAATGACTACACTGTCAGCCTAATTTGCAGCTAGATATGTTCACATGCCTAAGTTCTGGCCAATAGGATGTGAGCAGAAGTGTCATGGGGAAGCTTCTGGGAGCCTTCCTAAAGAGCAGCATATGTGTCCTGTTTTACTTCTTTCTTCTTTCTGCTTGGAACATAGATGCTACCACCTTGGACCAGAAAGTCAAGGCCATGCATGCCTCAAAACACCATATCAGCTCACAGACTTTTACACAGGAGAAGTAAACTTCTATCTGTGCCACCGTAATGTTGGATCTTCTGTCACTTATAGCAAGCACTCTAATATAATGACCTTGAGTAAAGATTTAACCTCTAAGGTTATAAGAATCAAAGGTGAAAGTGACTATTCTAATGCCTTGTACAAGTAAGCACTTCATATTGTTAGAATTTTTTTAAGTATATTAAAATCCACTAAACTCCATGAGTTTCTAAATAAACTTGTTTGTTCCTCCTCTAGCTCAGCTTTCTGGCTTGTTTCAGAACTACCGGTAGATGATACAAATATCTTCATCACATTTGCATCTCTCCCCAGAAAATTGCCTGACTGCCAGTATAGTCATGTTCATGAATGCCTGATGGCTCAGAAAAGCCTCTGCTAGAACACCTCAGATAAATATTTAGAAAGGCATTAGGAGAACACTTGGCAGTGCTATTCCAGAATTTCTAAAGCAACTAGATACTGGGATCAGGAGGCCTTCCTCGCTATGTCACACTTCTCAACCAGGCAGATCTATTTACCGTATTTTTTTTTTAATAGGAAAAAATTGAAATAATTCTTTTCACAGATTTCTCACTTTCCAGAAGAGTGAGAAGCAGGAAGTGAAAAAGTACAGGAAATACTCAATGTTTTATCAGTTGTTTTCAAGTTCTTTTTTTGTAGTGGAACAATATGTGAAAATTTTCAAGGAATTTCATGTTTTAAAACAAGAGTTTAAATCTATGTAGTGGTATCAGAAGGCATCTATTGCCAGAATGCCGTAATTAAAGGTCCCTGCCAACACAGTTTTGAAGATTGCCAGTGTGCTCAATGTGTATACATTTTTGTGTGTGTTGTCATTTATTATGCTTTAAAAGAATAGTTAAAAATGAAAAAGGATGGGAGTATGTTAAAAAGACAGAGGAGTTACCCCAAAAAAGCTTCCAAAATAAACAATAGTATTGGGTTATAATTCAAAGAAAAAAATAAATATTTACGAGTCCATACTGATATAAATACATGACTGAATAAGTAAATCGGGTGTAAGAGACAAATCTTTCTTCTACGAAATTGCAAATAGTATATAGACAGACACTCCTGCTCCAGGATGTAGAGCTTAGTTCCTCTCCCCTTCAGTAGGGGCTTAGTGACTTGCTTTCAAAGTATGGAAAGGAAAATAAGTATGAAAAGAAAAAAAATAGCAACTTTACAGTGGAGAAACCTGGAAGACACCACCTTAATCAAGTCATCAAGGTCAGTTTTATTAGTGATACGTCGTGTTAATATTATGCATGCTGTCATATGACATAATGAAAATGGAACTTCACCTCTGTGGAATTCTTCCCCAAATCCACAATCTTAAACTAATTATGAGAAGACATCAGACACACCTAAATTGAGAAACATTCTACAAACTACCTGACTAATACTCTTCGAAAGACATGGAGACTGGGCGTGGCAGCTCACACCTATAATCCCAGCACTTTGGGAGGCTAAGGTGAAGTGGGTGGATTACCTGAGGTCAGGAGTCCAAGAACAGCCTGGCCAACATGGTGAAACCTCATCTCTACTAAAAACACAAAAATTAGCTGGGAGTGGTGGCATGCACCTGTAGTCCCAGCTACTCAGGAGGCTGAAGCAGGAGAATCCCTTGAACCTAGGAGGCGGAGGTTGCAGTGAGCCAAGATCGCACCACTGCATTCCAGCCGGGGTAACTGAGTGAGACTCCGTCTCAAAAAAAGAAAACAAAAAAGACGTGGAAAGACTGAGGCAGATAAGAGGAGACTAAGAAGACACAATGATTAAATGTCATGTGGGATCCTGGACTTGATCCTGTAACAGAGAAAGAATATTAGTGGAAAAACTGGTGAAACAGAATAATGTCTGTAGTTAATAGTTTTGACAAATGTACTATGGTTATGTAAGATGTTAACATGAGGAGAAAGTAAAATGAACATTTGTAGAAAGCCTATTGGGTGCCTGACATTATACTAAATTGTAAATGTGTATATATTATACATATGTGTATGGCATATGTAATCTTCATATTACACATAGCTCACCCAAGGACTATTAAATAAAAAAAAAAATGGTTGTCCCCAGAGAGTTAAACTATAAAAATAAATGACAGCAGATACAATAAAAATTACCTTTAAATGATGGCTAACATTTATATAATGCTTAATGTATATCAGGCACTATTCTAAAAAATTTACACATATATATCAAATCATTTAATTTTTCTGAAATCCTATGAGCTAGGTACTGTTATCATTCACATTTTTCTGAATTTTTTTTTTTGAGATGAAATCTTGCTTTGTTGCCCAGGCTGGAGTGCAGTGGCACGATCTCGGCTCACTACAACCACTGCCTCCCATGTTTAAGCGATTCTCCTGCCTCAGCCTCCCGAGTAGCTTGGATTACAGGTGCCCGCCACCACACCTGGCTAATTTTTGTATTTTTAGTAGAGACGGGGTTTCACCATGTTGGTCAGTCTGGTCTCAAACTCCTGACCTCAAGCCATCCACCTGCCTTGGCCTCCCAGCTGGGATTACAGGCGTCAGCCACCACGCTGGACCATTTTTCTAACTTTTTATTTTGAATAATTATAAATTCAAGCAAAGTTGCAAGGAAATATACAGTGAAGTCCCAAGCACACTTCTCCCCATTCAATGTTAACATTTACACAACTATTATATAATACCAAAACCAAGATATTAATATTGGTGCAACCCACAGAGCTTATTCAGACTTCACCTTTTATACATGCACTTATTTCTGTACATATATCTAGCTCTATATATTATTTCCATTTTACAGAAGATGAAACTGGGGCTTAGAAAGGCTTAGAAATAAGGGTCACTGAATTTGTCCATGGTGAAGATATTCTTTAAATCTGGGCAATTTGGTACCAGAGTCCATACTCTCAATTATGAATCTCTACTGTAGCACATTGCAATAACTTGAATGCTTATATCAGCATATCTAAAGAAGGATTGTAACCACCAATATGTGCACAACTTTATGTGTGTAAAGTCGTCCTTTCAAAAGGACAGAGCAACTGTGCCCACCCTATAATTGTATAGGGGCAAACATTTGGGGCCAATGGACTTCAAATTTTGTAGTACAGCCATGATAAAAAGCAATCTAATAATTAAAAAAGAGTATCTCTAGATATTCTACCTGAAGAATGTATCTCAGGAACAACAAATAGCCCCTGTTTTTATCCATGACCACGGAGCAATGTTTTAGCCATCCACTTTCTTCTAGTGTCTCATACAACAATGGGGTCCTCAAAAACTATTATGTAAACTCAACTGCAAGTTTCTTGAGGACAGAGATGGCATCAGTTCTGTCCATGCTGCCTTTTGTTGAATGAGTGAATGAATGAATGAATTGATTAAAAGTGTTGTCAGCGACACCCCTCCCTACTACATTTACCTATAATGTTGAAAATGTTTGAGTGCTTTTCACTTTTTTATTAAATCCAATCAATCTTTATATCCTAAGGAGTCTCTCACAAGTTTTTCATCGTTTTATATATTTTATTTATGTTTTCCCTCCAGCAAATCCGCCATCTTATAGTGTTAACATTGGACATGGTACTAATGTAGTTCTACCCACGTAATAGTGAAATACACTAGTACCCATGTGCTCTGCTTCCCTTCCTCTTGCAACCAGATTCCCGCTCCTGAGGCCAAGCCTGCCTTCTGTGCTCTTGATTTCAACCTGTCATTTTTAACAAGGATCTTATTTCATAAATTATTTCGTTTTTCTTTCACTTTCTCCCTCATGGCTAGTTTATTTCCATCTGCATACAAATATGCCTTAATATCATCCCAAGTTAAAATTAATGAATAAAACAAATCCTTTGATTCAATCTTTCTCTGCAGATTCAGGACAAAATTTTTGAACTTATTTATGTTACCTGTCTCCTTTTGCACCTTGTAATCACTCCTGTATCCACTATGATCAGACTTTTGTGAATACCACTCTACTGAAATGGCTTTTATTAGGTCACTAGATAATTCCATCTTGGAAAACTTCTGCAGGTCAACTTTCCACCCATCATTTGATTTGATCTCTTACCTAGTCTTTCTTTGTTGAAACATTTTCTTTTTCTTCTCTAGGCTTCCTTCATATCATAGGCTCCTGGCTTTATCCTATCATAATAGTTTCTTTTTTCCAGTCTCCTTTGTTCCTCAGTCCTCTTTTCTTCTTTAGTGATCTCATCCATGCCCATGGTTTTGGATACTTGCCATATGCTTATGACTCCCAGGTACATCCAGTTCTGACCTTTGTCCTGAATTCCAGACTCATATATCCAATTATCTAGTCAACATCTCATCTTGAATATTTAACAGACACCTCAAACTTAACATTTCCAAAATGGAACTCCTGATCCTTGGCCTCTCTTCCTTCCCACTCCCTCTGCCCAAATGTGCTCCTCCTTCTTATCTCAGTAAATGGCCCCATCATGCACCCAGTCCAGAAAAAGTGGTAACCACCTTTGATCTTGTTCTCCTCATATATCTTATTCAATCCATAAACAAGACCTGTCTATGCTACCTCCAATATAGCCCATAGATTACCACCATTTATCCATTCCACCGAGGAACTCTGGACCAAGTCTCTCTTCTCTCCCACTCAGACCACTGCAACAGTCTCCCAACTGGTCTCAGGGCTCCCTTTCTTGCCCCACCTACCCATGTCTATTTTCCACTTAGGACCCATGGTGGTCTTTACAAAGCATGCACTATATCACCTATAGTATATATGATAAGTCTTATTATATCATCTTGTGATTTTACTAACTTTCTTTGCAATTAGAATAAAATCCAAGCTCCTTTCCATGGTCCATGAGACCTATAGTATTAGGCTCCTGCCTACGTCTGTAATTGCATTTCTTACCACTCTTTCCTTGGACTGCATATTTCTCCTTTCCATATATAGTTGCCTCTGCCTAGAATATTTTCCCTCTGGCTTCACTGACAGAATAACATCTACTTATTTTCTCAAGTCTGAACTCTGTGAAGCTTTCTCATAAACCCTTCTTGCTAGACACACTCAGTTGCTCAATAATTGTTCTTCATTGGTCTAAACTTGATTTCACCTCAGGGCTTTTTCATTTTCTGTTCCTTTTGCCTGAAAGGCTCTTGACCCCTCACAAATTCTTACGAATGCTCCATTTTCATTATTTTTCTCAACTCAGATGTCACTTTCTCAGAGTCCTTCTATGACCACCTGAGGTGAAGTAGTTGCAACATATCCTCCAATGTCCTCTACCCCTTTCCCTCGTTTTATTATCTTTATGTCACTTAGCATTATCTGCAATTATTTTATTCATTTATCTACATAGTTTTGTTTCTGTGTTCCCCAGGTAAGATTTAATCTCTGGTATATGTAGACACATGATAAAGGGTTTCATGGATAAAATCTAAAGAAAATTTACGACGTATCAGTTACTGTGCTACATGATAGGAAATAACACTGAATAAGGTATTAGCCCCTACTCATGACCTTTCAGACTAGTTGAGAAGAAAGGTATTCCAACAAAAAAAGATATTGCAACCCAAAACAATCATAATATAAAATGATAAATGATATTGAAATATACACTATGCAACTAGTTATGGATCTCAGAGGAAGGAATAAATAATTCATTGTACCCCCCGAGAAGGTTGACTGAAAGATTTAACAGAAGTGCTATATGAACTGAGTCCTGAAAAACGAGCAAGAGCTGCCTTTTAATAGAGATAGGAAAAGTGAATTTCAGGCAGTTGAACTAGCATTCAAAAAAGCATGGAGAAAAAAATATTTTTTTTAAAAAAGAACATAGGTGTCTATAGATCAATGCCATCTAAATCATAATCCCAGCAGGGTTTTTTTTCTTTGGTAGAAATTGACAAGCTGATTCTAAAATTATATGAAATTATATGAAAATACAAAAGATCTTGAAGCAGAGTAAACTTGAAAAATAAATTGAAGCATTTATACTGCATGATTTCGAGACTTACTATAAAGCTACAATAATCAATAAATTATGGTCCTGGCATAAATATGAACAAATAGATCAATGGGATGAAATTGAAAGCCCAGAAATAGATCTACGTATAGAGAATCATTTTAAAAAATGACCAAAGCAATACTATGGGAATACATTTTTCTCAACCAACTTTTGAAATAACTATCAATATAGCAAAAATGAATCTCAACCTCTACCTCACACTGTACACAAAAACTAAATTAAGTTGGGTTATAGTTCTAAACATGAAAGCAAAAACCATAAAGCTTTCAAAGGAAAACAGGAGAATATCTTTGTGCCTTAGAAACAGCTTTCTTAGACATGATATGGAAAGCAATAACCCAAAAATAAAAATTGGATAAACTAGACTTTATGAAGTTAAAAACCTTCAATTATTAAAAAAAATCATCATTAGGAAAATAAGTAGGCAAGTCACAGACTGGGGAAAATGTTTTTAAAATTCTTTGACAAAGGACTGGTAACCAGGATTATAAAGAAATCCTACAACTCAATAATAAAAAGGCAAATATTCGAACAGACACATCATGAAAGGAAGTATACAAATACATAATAAATGTATATGAGAAAAAGCTCAACATTGTCAGTTTCCAGGGAAATGCAAATTAAAAAACGAGAGGCCCCCACATACCTATCAGAATGGCTAAAATTAAAAAGACTAACAACATCGAATGTTGAAGGGTATGTGGAGCAACTGGAACTCTCATACATTGGTAGAGAAGTGTAAAATAGTACAACCACTTTGAGAAGAGGTTTGGTTATTACTTAGAAAGTTAAACATAAACCTATCATATGACCCAGCAATTTCACTAGTATTTACCCCAAGAGAATGAAAACATATGTCCAAATAAAGATGTGTACAAGAATGTTCACAATAGCTTTATTTGTGATAGCCAAACACTGGGAACAGCTTAAGTATCCGTCAACAGGAGAATGGATAATCAAACTGTGATATATTCATACAAAGGAATACAACTCAGCAATTAGAAAGGAATGAACTGATACACTCAACTGTACTCAAAAACACTATGCTAGGTGAGAGAAGAGTGCATGCTGTGTGATTCCTTTTACGTGAGACTAATCTCATCTCTGGGAAAAAAATTTGAACAGTGGTTACCTCTGGAAGACAGACTGGGTTTGACTGGGAAAGGCTATGAAGAAAATCGTGGAAGTATGGTAAAGTTCTGTATCTCAACACGAGTTTTAATCACACAGCTGTGTATATTTGTCAAAATTCAGTGAATGGTACACTTAGGATTTATGCATTTTACTGTATGTAAATTTTTACTACAAAAAAGAAGATAAAAGGCCATAAATAGATATTGATCTCTAGTTAAATATATGCATGCTGAAGTGTTTAGGGGAAAGACCATTGGTGACTGCAATTTACTTTGATAGAAGAATAGATAGAAGGGTAGATATATGATAAAGTAAATACAGTAAAATAAAAAAATCTAGGTAGTGGACACTTGGATGCTCACTGTAACATTATTTAAAACATTGTTTGAAAATATTCAAAATAAAATGTTGGGGAAAATAGCATGGAGACGTGAAGGATGTGGGGAATCTCAGGTGGTGTTCAGTGGCTGGAACATGAGGTAGTTTGGCAAAAGATGAAGTGGGAAAGGCAATCAGAACTCTGATTGTGAAGGGCGTTTCATGTCATGCTTAGGAATTTATATTTTATCCTGTGCAGCAATATTGCTCAACTCTTTCTACTCTCATTGTTACCATCTTCAGTCATACCCTCATTAACCTTCATCTGGGCTTTTACAATGTATTTATTTTATCAAATTGGATTGAACTGAATAAGATACAAAGGATGCACTTATATTTCCTGTGAGTTTACATAATTTTTCCTGCTTTAATGTCAGGCAACTTTGAGATTTTTTTGCATGTAAATAGAAATTACTGTTTGAATGCATTTCCAATGGAGGGTAGCTTCCAAATTGCATCTTTGTTTCTAGGCCTTAGGGCCTTACTTTGAATGTATCCCCAAATAAACAAGGAGCAGACTTCACATGTAAGTTTTACAAATAGGCAATGAGCAATGAATTCACTTTATGTTTCTCAGTATAAAATATTTAAGCAAATGTTGAATACAAAAGACTGTAAAAACACTAGGGGGTTGCAGAAAGTACCTAATTATAAATGATAACCCTTGCCTCCAAGGTTTTGACAGTCAAAATACCTACATTTTATGAAACACAAATAGAATTCTTTGAAATTTATGCTTTGTTAGCTGTAAAGACATGTATTTGCTAGATTCTGTGGGTTTCCCTCCTCTCATTTTTCTATTCCCATTTGATAATGAGATAACTATTTGCAAAGGTGTAATGGTAGATGATATCATAGGTTTGGCCACATTAAGTGTTTACCATCTATGGAGATAAAGCAAAAGGACTGAGCAAGCCTTCTATTTCCCAACAGTTCCCTCCAAACTGCAAACTGACTTCCGCAAGAAGCTTTTAAGAAAATAATTCTTAAAACACAGTATTAATTATGTTCCAGACCATTTCTCCCTTTAAAAAAAATTTGGCTTTCCATTTATTTTATTTTTTTATTTTTCTTTCTTTCTTCTTGTAGCATCTTTTCTGATTTGGGTGATTTTTAAAGTATGGGTATCCCTCAGGAGATTTACTTTTCCAAATCTACTGAGTAAAACATCTATCTGTTCAAGAGAATCTAGTCCATTTTTATTAAATTTTATATTCCCAGAGTTTTGCCTAGTGCCTGACATGAAATATATCTAGAAAACAAATATAATTTGAATAAATAAATTAATGAGTAAACAACAGCCAGACTACCCAAGTACTAGACGATACAACTAATGGTTATAAATCTAAATATTAAGCTAACATATACTCCCCTCTTAGAACTAAATCACAAAGCATTAGACACCCATGCATGTTATCAAATAACCCTTCAGTAAATTACAGGATACACGTTGTATTTTGTCTACAAAATCATTAACACAAAAATTAGTTGTTTTAGCCGGGCGCGGTGGCTCAAGCCTGTAATCCCAGCACTTTGGGAGGCCGAGGCGGGCGGATCACGAGGTCAGGAGATCGAGACCATCCTGGCTAACACGGTGAAACCCCGTCTCTACTAAAAACACACAAAAAATGAGCCGGGCGCGGTGGCAGGCGCCTGTAGTCCCAGCTATTCAGGAGGCTGAGGCAGGAGAATGGTGTGAACCCGGGAGGCGGAGCTTGCAGTGAGCTGAGATCGCGCAACTGCACTCTAGCCTGGGCGACAGAGCGAGACTCCGTCTCAAAAAAAAAAAAAAAAAAAAAATTAGTTGTTTTATACTAGCTTTGGTGGGAAATGGAAAGCATGATGGATGCCTTAGTTACTCCGTAATGGAAAGCATGATGACTTAGTATACTCAATAATTCTATTAATAGACTGTTTCTATTAGCATGTATTTGGTAACTAGAAAATCTCTATTGACACGTGTTTCTGAGACTGATGTACAACAATAATAGATATTAATTAACAATGAATTTAAAACCAGAGTTGAGCCCCAGGCAAAAATTTGAAGCTTATAAATTTTGTATTTAGAGTGTCTTCCCAGCTCTCCTCCACTTCACAGAATAATGTATCCTCCAGGCTTGTAGCAGATGCTGATTCCTAATCAACAACCAACTTTTTTGCTTCTTCTCTACTAACAGAACTCTAGTTTTGTTTAGGTATCCATTCTCCTCCACTGGGCTAGGGGCTTCAAGGGATATTGGCTCCACTAATTTAGCACTAGGAGCTAAATTCTTGTTGGGTCTTGAGGCAATCACGACATTCTTAGTCCCTGACCAGAGATTGGCTTAGGTGCCTCTTTGTGACATAACTCTTATGAGAAGAAAGCTTGCTGGGGGCTTTGGGGACGGGTTTAGCCATCCTTTGTGACACAAAGAAAGACAATGCCATCCTCTTCTGGATATTGTTGTGTTGCATCTGAAGTTGACACCTGGAATTGTTACAGTCTCCCTGCTGCAAAGCTGAAGATAAAGCCAGCATACAGAGAAGGCAAAGGCAAGAGATTATAGAGAAGTGGACCTAGACTCTATGCGTTTGTAACCTGCCTTACTTCTGTGTAACCCTATTTTAACCGAAGTTTCTGTTACTTGTTGCTTGATGTGGTTTGGCTGTGTTCCCACCCAAATCTCAGTTTGAATTGTATCTCCCAGAATTCCCATGTGTTGTGGGAGGGACCCAGGGGGAGGTAATTGAATCATGGGGGCCGGTTTTTCCTATGCTATTCTTGTCATAGTGAATAAGTCTCATGAGGTCTGATGGGTTTATCAGGGGTTTCCACTTTTCCTTCTTCCTCATTTTCTCTTCCCACCACCCTGTAAGAAGTGCCTTTAACCTCCCGCCGTGATTCTGAGGCATCCCCAACAATGTAGAGCTGTAAGTCCAATTAAATCTCTTTTTCTTCCCAGTTTCGGGTATATGTTTATGAGCAGCATGAAAATGGACTAATACACTGCTAAAAGTATATAAATAATGTTACGTGGATTTTATCAACTCTAAATCTTGGACAGTTGACCATGTGTGAATGGCAGATATAGGAATATAATTAACTGGAATCTTTAAATTTTATTTTCAACCTGGTCTGGAAGATAAGAATTTAATGTGTGTGTGTTAAATAATTAACATAAAACCCCTCCCTAAAGTCTTTTTTATTAGGGTTAAAAATATATGAAATACAGTTATATTAGAAAGGAAGGAAAATTATTTTCCTAACCAAAATGAATAGTATGGTGTCTTGTGTACCCCACAAAGAACTAATTGCTAACAGTAAAGCTTGTTTGACAGTCTGTGATTATTTACTTTCTACGAGGCTTGAAAACCTAAAGGACTACATTGAAATAGGGGCTAGCCAACACCATGATCACATGATGGGCTTTCAATCATAATTGGCGCCACTTAATAGGATGGTGGTTAATATTGCTGTCTGAGTAAGGAGAGCATGTGACTGAGGATCAATTTCACATCATCATGACTAAAGATTTCTTCTTTCAAATCATATTCTTTGGGGGATACTTTGAAAACCTCAGGTCAAGTGACAGAGAAGCAGAGAAATGCTTTTATGAGCACTTATGATGAAAGGAGCTATTTTAAAGGCTAAGACAAAAAAATAAAAGCTGATCCTTTCTGTATAGGACATTCCAGGCATTTCCTATGAGTGAAGGCAAATGGGAAAACACCTTTCTCAGATCCACTCATGGTAGCTCTATTATTCCACCAGATATAAAGCACCATGAGAAAGCAATTATGAATTATTGTGCCCAATACCTACCCTAGTTACTGGTACAGAGGATGTATACAATAGTTATTTACTGGATATCCATGCAGTTGAAAGGCTGAAATGAAAGGGTCAATTTTCCTTTAACAGTAGCCATTCCCACGACCCCCAAAAGAGTTTCTTTATTCATTTGCCCTTGTGGTTTTTGCCATTTACAAAAATTAGAAAAATAATAATAAGAAACAATTACATTTTATTGAGCACTGACTATATGCTAGGTACTATTTGAATACAACAATCAATAAACCAGGGCTGCTGTTCTTGAAGAATAAAGAGTTACAAAACAATAATCATGACAGGAACAAGTCACTGTGGGATTCCCAAAACAGAAAGCAATTAATTGCCTGGGAGAGCCAGGTGCATTTCCATTAAGGTGTAACAGCTTTGCGGTCAATGAATATTTATTAAATGACTACTAATGTGCCCATGGTAGGCATCTGACTGGCGAGGAAGAAATGGGAAGCTTATACAGGCAGAGGAAGGCCGAGTTGGGAGAATGCTCAAAGGCTCAGTATAATTGTAATGTAAGGTATCTCTGGAGTCCATGGGGAGGTAGGGTGGTGGGTGGAGAGGAGGGATTGGTGGAAAGAGATGAAACTAGAAGCTGGAATGAGCCATTAGGATTTCAAAGAGAGGAACTGGCATGATTAAATCGTATATCATGTGAAGAATGAATTAGTGGAGGGAGAATGAATTAGAAGCAGAGGAGAGAGGAGGAGTCAGTTAGGAGGTCATTTTAATAGCTCCTCAGAGGGAATAGTGGCTTTCTGAAGTAAAACCATTTCCAGGGGGAAGGAGGAAAATACAGAATCTGGAGACAATTAAAAATAGAATGAAAGCACAATTAGGGGACCAGGTTGGTTATGGAGACAGAAAAGGGGAAGTTAAGGATTATTCCTAGGTTTATGCAGGTAGTATAAAGTCCAAGGAGATCTACAAATGATTTCTTCCATAAAACTCCTGTCTTTATGTATATCACTAAATTACTGAAGAAAGAATAGTATTGTGGAATTAATTCATGAATGAATTGCTAATTTATTAATAGTAGTAGATAACAGAATCCTAGACATGGTAGGGTACATTGAAGAAAAGATTTCCACCTAGCTCACAAAGTGAATAATTTTAAATAAAACAGTCTCTTAAATTCAGCATATATAATTATTATTTATTACTATTACTCTTATAGATGATATTGATAATAAATAGCAAATTAAAAAAAAAATCAGCTGTACACAAGAAGCTAGAGGAAACGTGACAATATAAGTTGTGCTTGTAAGTCTTCAGTTAGAATTTTCTTTCTTGGTTTTCAACTCTTACCTTGAGTTTTCTGATTTAATCTTCACATAGGCCCAAAGTCATATCAATGAGCATTACTAGTCAAATTTAAAAAGAAAAGGAAATAGCTAAGTCATCTGTTTTCACTTTTGATGCTGAGTTGGTCTAGACAGGATGAATTCATTTCAGCAGAGTTTTTAGGCTGGTAGCCATTTTGCCCTTAGAAATGTGATATTTCAATTTAGGATACGCTGCTCTAGTATTTTCATTGTGGAGATGTCTCTTTGGTCCTTTATAGTTATTTATTTTGTTATTAATAGAAAAAAACAGCAGTATAAATGTATGGCATGTTACAGGCTTAAAGTGCCTTTACATTTCTTATTTGACTCATAACAAGTATTTGACATAGATAAGGCTGATAGAATTACGTCTTTTAAAATGAAATTTAACCCCTTCATTATAAAATATAATATACTTGCAATAAGGTACACAAAACATGTACAGCTCAAGGACTTAAGAAAATAACCTGGGTAACCACCTCCAGATCAAGGACCATTGTCAGGTCCCAAAAGTGCCTCTTGTGCCCTTTTCAACAATTATCCCAACCTCTACACCACAGGTAGGTATGTTTATCGCCTGACACCTATGGCCATCACTTCCTTGCTTTTCTTTACAGTGCTGCCACCCATAGATACATCCCTAAACACTGTAGTTTTTGTTTGTCTTTTTAACTTGATTTAAACAGAATTGTACTATATGTATTATTTCGCACCTGGCCTCTCTGACCCAAGATAATTTTTTTTTATATTTATCAATATTGTTTTCAGCTATAGTTCATCCATTTTCATTGCTATGGAGTATTTTCATTAAAGGAATATGTCATAATTTATTTATCCATTTAATTTTTTTTCCCCACAGTCTTGCCGTGTTGCCAAGGCTGGTCTTGAACTCCTGGGCTCCAGTGATCCTCCCATCTCAGGCTCCCAAGTAGCTGAGACTACAGGCATGTGCCACTGTGCCTAGATTCCATTTACTAATGATGGAAATTTGGATTGCTTCAGAGTTGGCAAATATAAAAAATGCTTTTATGAACTTTCTTGTGCATGTGTCTTGGGGTGCACATGTGCACAAGTTAGGGTGGATATGGAGTGGTGAAATTATTGAGTCATAAATTATGCACTTACTAGGCAATGTCATATTGTTTTCATTCAGTTGTACCAATTCACACTCCCTTCAATAGCATATGAGAGTTGCTCTCATTCTGGCCACTCACTAGCATATTGCTGTTGCTGGTCTTTAATTTTATCCTTTCTGGTGGGTATGTAGTACTATCATATTGTAATTTTAATTTCCATTTCCTTGATTACTATCACTGGGATCCAGCCTCTTTTCATCTGCTTATTGGCCATTTGGATATTTGTGTGTGTGTGATGTGTGTGTTGAAATCCCACGCCCATTTTTCTATTATCTGTCCTTATCTTTATTGACTTAGAGAGTTTCTTTGTATATCTTGGATATATTCCTTTGTAATTCAGTTATATTACAGATATTTTTTTCTAGGCTAACAGCTTGTTTTTTTTTTACTTTCATCATAGTGTCTTCTTTGAACAGTTCTTAATTCTAATGTAGTCCAATTTATGAATCTTTTCCTTTATGACTAACATTTTTTGTTGTATAAGAACTCTTTGCCCCCAAAAACAGGAAGCCATGTTTTTTTACAGATGAAAAAATGAAGACAGAGAGAGATGGAGTGGTTTGCTAAACTTGAATCCAGGTATTTTGACACCAAAGTCTGCATTATTTCCATTACACCATGCTAATGTCAATTTTTTATAAAAAATTATTTTTATTTATTTTGGTCACTGACCTTTCCTCATCACTTGATGTAATACAAAGCTTTAAGAGTATGGAGAAGCAGGTGATGGTACTTAGGGATAAGAAAAGTTCACAAAGCTCCCACACGTGCCTCATGCCCTCAGCCAGAGGTAGAAGGATATTTTGCAAATATTCCCAACTTTGCTGCTCATGCAGCCTTTTCTCTGCTGATTAATATTCCCACACCTCCTCTGGCCTAATTTTTGTCCTAAACACTTGAGGCCAGGCAAAATATGATAGCAGCAGAGGACTTAAATTTGTAGATAGTATATATGCTAACCAATACATCATCATTTTAAGGCTTTGTCTTAAAAATAGCAAAAGATATGGAAAGTTACGAAGAAGGATATATAAGTACAGCAGTAATCCCGCATGTTTCTAATTGAATATGGGCCTCCCGAAGTTTCCACCAACATACAATACCACCTTTGCTGAATAAGGATTCCACCAGATTTGAGAAGCATTCGGAGCTTCTGTAAATATTCTGGTAACTTCCCCTTAAACAGTTCTAAAAACTCCAGTTGCATCTCTGCTTGCTCACAGGGAGCAGATGATTGGTACAAAACAACTCCAGCATATCTCTAATATTATTTTTTTTTTAAACTTAACTATTTTGACATATTTTTAAACTTGAAAATGTTGCAATAGTAGATGGGTCTCCAATATATCCTTTATCCAGATTCACCCAATCTTTTTTTTTTTTTTCTTTACATATTGCCCTGTTGGCTTTACCATTGTATCAACTCATGCATGTATTTTTTTCTGAAATGTAGTAATGAGTTGGAGACCTCATGTTCCTTTCTTCCTAAATACTTCACTGTGCATTTCCTGTAATCAAAATCAGGATATTTAACATAGCTGTAACACTACTGGCAAATCCATAGTCCGTATTCAAATGGGATCAATGGTTCTCTAATATACATCATTGCTATTATTTTTCCTAACCTAGGATTCCAATGGTAGGCATTGTGCTTAGTTGTAATATCTCTTTGGTCTTCTCCAATTTGGAATAGTTCCTCAGCTTTTCTGTTTTTTGTTTTGTTTTGTTTTTGTTTTTGTTTTTACCTTGTTATTTTTGAAGAATACAGCCATTACTTTGGAGACTGTCCCTCAGCTTGTGTTTGTCTGATGTTTCCTCATGTTTAGATTTTGATTATGCATTTTGCCAGGAAAACCATGGATGTCATGGTTTGGCCTTCGTTTTGTAGCAATCATAGCAAGTGGCACATAGTATTGGTAATATCGACTATGATCACTTGGATAGGGTGGTGCTCTCTAGGTTCCTCCACTGTGAAACCATGCAAATATCCTGTTCCTTATCAAAGTTTGGTGTTCTTGGTTTAGCATCCATTGAACATTCAGAAACTCTTGTTCCCCCCCACCCCACCGGACTCACTGCAAGCTCTGCCTCCCAGGTTCACACCATTCTCCTGCCTCAGCCTCCCGAGTAGCTGGGACTACAGGCACCCGCCTCCACGCCCGGCTAATTTTTTTTGTATTTTTTAGTAGAGACGGGGTTTCACCGTGTTAGCCAGTACGGTCTCGATCTCCTGACCTCGTGATCCGCCTGCCTCGGCCTCCCAAAGTGCTGGGATTACAGGTGTGAGCCACCACGCCTGGCCAAAAACTCTTATTTCTTTATATTTATTAGTTGACTTTCTATTGTAAGGAAGAGCTTTCCTGCATGTATGCATGTATGTCAGTATGAGCTCACAGATTTTTATTTTACTCAGTAGGTTATAATCCATTGCTGTAATTATTTTTGTATTTTGATGTTTAAATTGTCCTGCATTTGGTCAGTGGGGAACCCTTTCCAGCTGTCTCCTGTGTCCTTTCAATACAGTCCCTCCATTCTTTGGGTGAATCCTAACTTTCTGGTGCAGTGAGATATTCCAGATTCATATTATATCTCTCTGCTCAAGCATTGGAATCAATGCTTTTTTTGTAGGTCTCTTGTTCTATTTAGTGGAGAATGGCATTTAGAAAGCTAGATAAGGTAGTGGTTACACAACCATACGCCTTTGTCAAAACAGGTTATAGAACTGTACGCTAAAATAAAGATAATTTATTTTTTTCTTTTACTCCATGGTATATATAAAATAAAATACGTAAACATTATAATAAGGAAAAAAGAAAAAAGTTAAAACTGAATTATAGACAACTACTAATATGTACACCAAACAATTAAGATATGGTATATTTTCAGCATCAACAAAAATTGCCTTGTTTCCCCTTAAGGCCAACCTGTCCTTCATCCTAGCCCTTGGAAACCACTGATCTATTTTCTGCCCCTGTAGTTTTGCCTTTTCCAGAATGTCTAATAAACTGGATCATACAGTGTTTAACCTTCTTAATGTTATGCATTGAGCTTCCTCCATTTTATTGCATATATTGGTAGTTCGTTCCTTTTTATTGCTGAGTAATATTCTATTGTATGTGCTACAGTTCACTCATTCACCAGTTGAAGAACATTTAGGTTTTGTCAATTATGAAAAAAGTTACTATAAACATATATGACCAGTGTTGTTATTGTTCTTCAGTAAATACGTAGGAGTGAGTTTACTAGATCATATAGTAAGTGTGTTTAACTTTATAAAGTAAAACTTTATGCTTTACAAAGTATTTTTAAAATTCTTAACTTTATAAAGTTAAAAAAACTTTATTAATTAAAACTGCCAAACTGTTTTCAATTCCATTCCCACCAACAATGAATGAGAGTTCTAGTTCTAAGTTATTGTCAGCACTTGGTATTTTCACATAAAAAAAATTCAAAAATGTAATAAGAATATAGTGGTATCTCATTTATGGTTTTAGTTTGCATTTCCTTGATTGCTAATGATATTGAGCATCTTTTAATGTAATATACATACATTTTAAAAGCAAAAGTAGAATTGTACTGCATATACTATTGGTAACCTACTTTTTATTTCCCACTTAACAGTGTGTAATTCATATTTTTCTACAATATAATTAATTAATTACTTTGTTTAAAGCCTAAGCATGACTGACAAATGTGAAAAATAGACAAGGAAACCTGTAATGCAATGCCACTCTCTCTAATAAAAAAAATCTAGAATTCACATTTTGATGCTGAAAGGAAACTTGTTTCAACTCTTTTGTGTTATTCATCTTTTTCCTCTCAGAATAGCCATAGATTATTATTTAGTACTCATTCCTCAGTTTCCCCAATGCCTTGCTGGTCTGCTGAGGTAGCTTCTGGCTGGGAATGGAGCAGGCAGAATAATCTGCCCTGTAGCTCAGTCTTCAATGCCTTCCCCCCACCCTCTTCTCCCCAGTTCAACTCCTCCCGCTTTATCACCCTCCTCAGGAGGGAAGCCTTTGGAAGGAGTCTGCTCCTCTCTCAGCATTGTGGGAGACTTTCCTAAACTATCATCTTTTAATTGCGATCTCAGAGACAGCCTTACTACCATGACCACCACCTCTATTTCCCTGGGACCTGTTGGATATCTCAGAATCCAATCAGTAGCCAACCTGCCCTCAACCAGCTCCTACTTGATCAGAGTTGTGTTAGTTTTCCAAGCGTTTCATCCCACGTGCTTCTGCTTGGGTTGATTTTTGTAATCTAATGTTAATTTATTTTATTTTATTTTATTTTTTGAGACAGGGTCTCATTCTGTCACCCAGGCTGGAGTGCAGTGATGCAATCACAGCTCACTGTAGCCTCAATCTCCTGGGCTCAAATGATTCTCCCACCTCAGCCTCCCAAGTAGGTAGGACTGCAGGTGCCACACCACCACACCCAGGTAATTTTTCTTTTCTTTTTTTTTTTTTTCCAGTACAGATAGGATCTTGCTATGTTGCCCAGGATGGTTTCAAACTCCTGGTGTCAAGCAATCCTCCCACTATGGCTTTCCAAAGTGCTGCAAATTCAGGCCTGGGCCACTGTGCTCGGCCATAAATTTGAATTTTGCTTTCAGTATTTCCACGAAGTCTTCTATCTAGCTGGGTAGGGATCCTCGAGCAAGACATATATACCAATTCACTGTTTTGTCCATCTCACCCATATGGAAATTTGAAAGTTATTAGTGGTTAATCAAAAAAAGAGAATGATCCCTTCAAATCGGGCTTTCAAACCCCTTCCTGATATGAAGAGGCTGTTCATATGAGAAGCTGTTCAGCACTTCTTTTTCCCAGAATGCAGAAAGATTGTTTGGTGAGGCTCACCATGCATGCCTGGCTCTCAGGCCTCCCCAAAAGGTCTCTGACTCTTTAACAAGTTGAGGACCTTCTTGTCCCGAATGGTCATTTTTCTTTCCCTTTTCAAGTGGAGGATTTACGGAAAGCAAGTTTCTCCACTAATCCATTCCCCCTTCGCATTGGTAGGTACTTCCTTCTACTCCTGAATAAATTCCCTGGAGCTTCTCTCAGCCTAGACCCTGACTCCACTTGGCTCTTTCCAGTTGTGTTTCTATGGTCTAGAGTGGGCATTTTCTTCCCTCAATCTGATGAGGACAAAAGTGAATCCACCATCTCATCCCTCAACTAGAGTCCAACCAAAAGTCCCCAAAGGAAAGATGTGGTGGCAAGGAGCTGGGATGTTGGTAAGATCCGAGTCTCCCTCTTCTTGTTCACATTTTTCCTGGACTTCTTAGCTCTATACTGTTATGCCTTCATTATCTATTATTGTGCAACAAAGATTCCATCATTTAGCAGCTTGAAACAACAAACATTTGTTACCTCACAGTTTCTAAGGGTCAGGAATCTGAAGTGATCTAGCTGGATGGTATGGCTCAGGGTCTTGCATGAGGCACCGTCACAATAACAGCCAGGATTGGCTAGGCATGGTGGCTCATGCCTGGAATCCCAGCACTTTGGGAGGCTGACGCAGGTGGACTTGAGTCCAGGAGTTCAAGACCAGTCTGGGCAATATGGTGAACCCTGTCTCTATTTAAAAAAAGAAAAAGAAAAAGAAAAACAGCCAAGACTTCAGCCTCTGAAAACTTGACTTGGGTAAACACCGCTCTGCTGTTAGAGCTTTCTGACATCATCTCCAACACTCTCACTTATTCCTTCTCTTTATAATCTTTAATAGGGCTGACAAATCTGGAATAGTCAAACAAGATTTTACTGCAAGGCTAGACAATTACAAAGAAACCTAACAAAAGAGTAAAACAAATTTAGAAAATCTAGCAAACGAAGTAGTTTAGAGACTTTCATCCTATATGGCACTTTGAATGCTGGCCTGTCCTTGCTGGCTATCTCCCTGCATCCACCTGAAAAAGGATATTGTTAAAACCCAGGCTGTAGGGCTCACTTTCCTGGACACCTACATTCTTTACAGTTTAGCAAGAAGGGAGGCAGAGCTTTTTTCTCTTATCTACCTAGAGGTCACTCAGTTTTTCTGCTTTAGGAATTGCCTCTTCTCATGAATATACCAGGAAAGACCTGTCTGCCCTTAAGGGGAAACACTACTTCCAAACCCAAAGAATGGTGGCTCTGCCCTGGTCAGATTTAACCTGATAACCATTTCTCAACAAGTGCAGTAACCCAATATTCACATAAGTGATACAGAAACTGGAAGTTGTTTTCTTAAACTATGACCATGTTTAATTATTTTAATTTCTTCATGTGATTTCAGGTCAATCCAATCTATACCGAAAGGTTAATTCCCAGAGTTAATCAGAAAATAGCTACAACAAATACTTCGACAGATATATTTTATTTAGTTTCTCCTGCTAGGATTGGCATTAAATTGAATATGACATCCTTTCAAAAGTGAAGGGTAGAAAGATGGGGAAAAATGGCAGACAGGAGGCCGGACTAGCTTGCAGGTCCCACTCAGATGAACAGAGCATGTAGAGACCCACATCATAAACTTTTGCTCCAAGAACTGCCACAGGAACATACCAGGAAAGCCGAGAGAATTCACAGATCCTTTAAAGGAGGTGGCTTGCCACTGCAGGCTCTGCGGGACAGCCAAGGAACTGTGAGTCCATTTGCTTTCTCAGCCGGGAGGCTTGCAGCCTGGGTCAAGTTCTCAGCCCTGCTCACCGGCTGCCTGAATATGTAACTCAGTACTGTTGTGGGGCACGGTGAGAGTGAGTCCGGCCTTCACGCTGCTGGCTGTGTGGGAGCTGGGTGAAGCCTGTGACTGCCGGGGTTCTCCCACTTCCCTGGTGACTTGTGTGAGGAAGCACAGGCAGCCATAATTCCCCTGGGAACATAACTCCATTGGCCTGGGAACCACATCCCGATCCCCCACTGCAGCTGTAGCAAGCCCCACCCAGAGTCTTAGCTCAGACGCGCCTAACCCTGCTCCCACCTGATGGTCTTTCTCTACCTGCCCTGGTAGCCAAAGACAAAGGAGGTAATCTCTTGGGACCTCTATGGTCCCACCTACCACATGATCCTCCCTATACTATCACAAGCTGATGCTCTCTTGAAAGTGTCACCTCCTGGCTGGAGGCCAACCAACACAAAACCAGTGCACTTAACAAAAACACAACTGAGGCCCCTCACGGAGTCCACATCACTCCCCAGCTACCTCCACCAGATTAGGTGCTGGTATCCATGACCGGGAGACCTGAAGATGAATCACATCACATGACTCTTGGCAGACAGTCCCCATTATCAGCCCAGAGCCTAGTAGCTCCGCTGGGTGGCTAGATACAGAAGAGAAATAACAATCACTGTAGTTTGGCTCTCAGGAAGCCCCATCCCTAGGGGAAGCGGGGAGAGCACCACATCAAGGAAGCATGCCATGGGACAAAAGAATTGAAACAGCAGCCCTTGAGTCCCAGATCTTCCCTCTGAAATAGTCTGCCCAAATGAGGAGGAACCAGAAAAACTATTCAGGTAATACGACAAAACAAGGTTCTTTAATACCCCCAAAAGATCACAGTGGCTCACCAGCAATTGATCCAAACCAAGAAGAAATCTCTGAATTGCCAGAAAAAGAATTCAGAAGGTCAATTATTAAGCCAATCAAGGAGGCACCAGAGAAAGGTGAAGTCCAATTTAAAGAAAACAAAAACCCGGATATGAATGGAAAAATCTAATGAAATAGATAGTATAAATAAAAAACAATCACAGCTTCTGGAAATCAAGGACACACTTAGGGAAATGCAAAATGCACTGGAAAGTCTCAGCGATAGAATCAAACAAGCAGAAGAAAGAACTTCAACTTCAGGGCTTGAAGACAAGCCTTTCGAGTTAACCAAATCCAACAAAGACAAAGAAAAAAGCATCTTAAAAAATGAACGAAGCCTCCAAGAAGTTTGGGATTATGTTAAATGACCAAATCCAAGAATAATTGGTGTTCCTGAGAAAGAAGAGAAATCTACAAGTTTGGAAAACATATTTGTGGGAATAATTGAGGAAAACTTTCCTGGCCTTGATAGGGATTTAGACATTCAAATACAAGAAGATCAAAGAACACCTGGGAAATTCATCACAAAAAGATTATCACCTAGGGACATAGTCATCAGTTTATCTAAAGTCAAGATGAAGGAAAGGATCTTAAGAGCTGTGAGGCAAAAGCATCAGGTAACCTACAAAGGAAAACCTATCAAGTTAACAGCAGATTTCTCGGCAGAAACCTTACAAGCTAGAAGGGATTGGGGTCCTATCTTTAGCCTCCTTAAACAAAATAATTATCAGCCAAGAAGTTTGTATCCAGTGAAACTAAGCTTCATAAATGAAGGAAAAATACCGTCTTTTTCAGACAAACAAATGCTGAGAGAATTAGGCACTACCAAGCCAGTACAACAAGAACTGCTAAAAGGAGTTATAAATCTTGAAGCAAATCCTCAAAATACACCAAAATAGAATCTTCTTAAAGTGTAATTCTCACAGGATCTATAAAACAATAACACAATGAACAAAAACAAGGTATTCAGGCAACAAATAACATGATGAAGAGAATAGTACCTCACATCTCAACACTAATGTTGAATGTAAATGGCCTAAATGCTCCACTTAAAAGATACATAATGGCAGAATGGATAAGAACTCACCAACCAAGTCTCCGCTGTCTTCAAGAGACTCACCTGACACATAAGGACTCATATAAACTTAAGGTAAAGGGGTAGGAAAAGATATTCCATGCAAATGGACACCAAAAGCGAGCAGGAGTAGCTATTCCTGTATCAGACAAAACAAACTTTAAAGCAACAGCAGTTAATCAAACACAGAGGGACATTATATAATGATAAAAGGACTAGTCCAAGAGGAAAATATCACAATCCTAAATATATATGCACCTAAGACTGGAGCTCCCAAATTTATAAAACAATTACTACTAGACCTAAGAAATGAGATAGATGGCAACACAATAATAGTGGGAGACTTCAACACTCCACTGACAGCACTAGACAGGTCATCAAGACAGAAAGTCAACAAAGAAACAATGGACTTAAACTATACACTAGAACAAATGGACTTAACAGATATTTACAGAACATTCTACCCAACAACTGCAGAATATACATTCTATTATTCATCAGCACATGGAGCATTCTCCAAGAAGACCGTATGATAGGTGACAAAACAAGTCTCAACAAATTTAAGAAAACCAAAATTATATAAATTATATAAGCACTCTTATAAGTAATACAGTTACTCTCTCAGACCGCAGTGTAATAAAATTGGAAATCAACTCCAAAAGGAACCCTCAAAACCATGCAAATATGTGGAAATTAAATAACCTGCTCCTGAATAATCAGTGGGTCAACAATGAAATCAAGATGGAAAGTCTTTGAACTGAATGATAATAATGGCACAACCTATCATAAGCCCTGGGATATGGCAAAAGCAGTGCTAAGAGGAAAGTTCATAGCATTAAATGCCTACATCAAAAAGTCTGAAAGAGCGCAAATAGACAATCTAAGGACACACCTCAAGGAACTAGAGAAGCAAGAACAAATCAAACCCAAATCCAGTAGAAGAAAATAAATGGCAAGATCAGAGAAGAACTAAATGAAATTGAAACAAACAAAACACAAAAGATAAATAAAACAAAAAGTTGGTTTTGTTAAAAGATAAATAAAATTGATAGACTATTAGCAAGATTAACCAAGAAGAGAGAAGATCCAAATAAGCTCAACTAGAAATGAAACAGGAGATATTACAACAGATACCACAGAAATACAAAAGATTATTCAAGGCTACTATGAACACCTTTATGTGCATAAACTAGAAAACCTAGAGGAGATGGGTAAATTCCTGGAAATATACAAAATATACAACTCTTCTAGACTAAACCAGGAAGAAATAGAAACTCTGAACAGACCAATAACAAGCAGTGAGATTGAAATGGTAATTTAAAAGTTACAAACAAAAAAACATCCAGGACCAGATGGATTCACAGCTGAATTCTATCAAACATTCAAAGAAGAATTGGTACCAGTCCTATCGACACTATTCCAAAAAATAAGAAGGAAATCTTTCCTAAATCATTCTATGAAGCCAGCATCACCCTAATACCAAAACCAGGAAAGAATATAACAACAACAACAACAACAGCCAATATCCTTGATGAACATAGATGCAAAAATCCTCAACAAAATAGTAGCTTATTGAGTCCAACAGCATATCAAAAGATAATCCACCATGATCAAATGGGTTACATACCAGGGATGCAGGGATGGTTTAAACATCCTCAAATCAATAATTGTGATACACCATATAAACAGAATTAAAAACAAAAATCACATGATCATTTCCATAGATGCAGAAAAAGCATCTGACGAAATCCAGCATCCCTTTATGATTAAAACCCTCAGCAAAATCAGCATAGAAGAGACATACCTTAATGTAATATAGGCTATATATGAAAAACCCACAGCCAACATTACACTGAACTTGGAAAAGTTGAAAGCATCCCCCCTGAGAACTGGAACAAGACAGGTGTGATAATATTGAGTGTCAACTTGATCGGATTGAAGAATGCAAAGTTGTTCCTGGGTGTGTCTGTGAGGGTGTTTCCAAAGGAGATTAACATTTGAGTCAGTGAACTGAGAGAGACAGACCCACCCTCAATCTGGATGGGCACCATTTAATCAGCTGCCAGCAAGCTAGAATAAAGCAGGTAGAAAAAGTTGGAAGGACTAGACTTGCTGTGTCTTTCAGTCTTCATCATTCTCCTGTGCTGGATGCTTCCTGCCCTCGAAAATCAGACTCCAAGTTCTTAAGCTTTTGGACCCTTGGACTTACACCAGTGATTTGTCAGGGGGCTCTCAGGCCTTTGACTACAGACTGAAGGCTGCACGGTCAGCTTCCCTACTTTTGAGGTTTTGGGACTCAGACTGGCTTTCTTGCTCCTCGGCTTGCAGATGGCCTATGGGGGGACTTTACCTTGTGATCATGTGAGTCAATTCTCCTTAATAAACTCCCTTTCATATATACATTTATCCTATTAGTTCTGTTCTTCTAGAGAGAACCCTGACTAATGCAGATTTTGGTACCAGGAGTGGCTCTAGAGGAACAGAATTTTAAGAATGGATTTCTTTAGTTGGTTTGGAGGTTTCTGGAGTTGGCTGTTTAATCTGATTAAACCCAAAATGCTAAGCACTCTACTTCTAATAGTATGAAGAACACTGATAGTCCTTGCCATTCACTGTTTAAAGAGTTATGCAAAATAAATGCATTTGATACTCCTGATCCACCACTCGTGAGAGGCAAGGAATTTAGTGACTCTATACATAATACTTTTGACCATATGTGGAGAACCAAGGAATATAATGAAGATGGTTGGTTGCTCATAAGCTTGCTGGAAAAGTGATGAAAGAAAAGGATGAGCTCAGGAATTCTAACTCCTGGCTCCAGAAGCACAGACTGAGCCTCAAGTCTTCTGAGATTTCCCTTAGTGAGTGTCTTATCTCCTCTAGACAAAGGTCTGAAATTGCAGAAAATGAGACACAAGCTCTTATCATGAGAGTGGCTGACCTGCAATGAAAGGTGCATGCACAGTCTTGCCAGGTGTCTACTGTTAAGGTGAGGACATTGATTAGAAATGAATGGGACCCTGCAACTTGGAATGGGGTCACGTGAGAGGACCCTGATGAAGCCACAGACACAGCTCATAAACTCTGATGAACCTTTTTTGCCAGAAGGAATAGCTTCCCGATACCCAGCAGTGGCAACATCCCCTCCCCCACCCACACTGCCATCAGCCTTTCTACCTCTGTCTGAGGAGATAACCCTGCACTGCCTGAAGCAACAGTGAAGTTGCCAGGCAAAAAAATACTTATTCTCCTCAGGACCCACCCCCAACACCCCTGTTTGCTTCTAGACCTATAACTAGACTCAAGTCCTAACAGGCCCCTTAGAGGTAAGGTTTAGAGTGTGACCCACAAGGAGGTGTGCTACGCTCCAAAAGAACTGCTTGAGTTTTCTAATTGATATAAGCAGAAATCTGGAGAACATGCATGGGAATGGATATTAAGGGTGTGGGATAATGGTGGAAGAAACATGAAGTTACATCAGACTGAATGTATTGACATGGGTCCACCAAGCAGGGATCCTGCATTTAATGTTGCAGCTCAGGGAGTTAAAAACAGTTTTAATAGTTCATTTGCTTGGTTAGCTGAAATATGGATCAAAAGATGGCCCACTGTGAGCAAGCTGGAAATGAAATGCCTGATCTCCCTTGGTTTAATGTAGAGGAAGGAATCCAAAGCCTTGGGAAGATTGGAATGCTAGAGTGGATTAGTCACTTTAGACCTACTCATCCCAGCTGGAGTGTACAGAAGACATACCCTTCACCAATACTTGGCGAAATAGATTTGTGAGGGCAGCACCTGCATCCTTAAAGAGGTCTGTGATTGCCCTTCTCTGTAGGCCAGGTCTTACAGTGGGAACTACAGTCACTTAGTAAGAAAATTTAAATGCAATGGGAATAACTGAAAGTCAAGGTGGCAGGGGCCAAGTGATGGCATTCAACCTTCAAAGGCAAGGTGTAGTTACCGTAAGAGATAGCAGAGGCAAAGCAGCAATCAGAATAGTCTGACTCATGTAGAGCTGTGGCACTGGCTAATCATGATGTTCCTAGAAGTGAAATTGATAAGAAGCCCACTGCATTCTCACTATAGTAATTTGTATAAGCAAAAGCTTCTAGGCCGAGTGGACAAAAACTAATTTTAATTATAAAAATAAAGAATTATGTCCCCTCAATCAAATTCCAGACATGAACAAATTTACAGACCCAGAATCCCTTGAATGAAGGGGAGGCCAGACTCCCCTTGAGGAACGACCACACTAAACTACCAACAATTTATGCTGTTAATCTTTCTCCCATCCTCCCCCAAGGAAACCTCCAGCCTTTTACCAGAGTAACTGTGCACTGGGGAAAGAGGAATGATCAGACCTTTTGGGGACTACTGGACACTGGCTCTGAGCTGATGTTGATTCCAGGGGACCCAAATGTCATTGTGGTCCTCCAGTTAAAGTAGAGGCTTATGGAGGTTAGGTAATTAGTAGAGTTTTAGCTCGGGTCTGACTTATAGTGTGTCCAGTGGGTCCCTGGACTCATCCTTTGGTCATTTCCCCAGTGCCAGAATGCATAATTGGGATAGACATACTTAGCAGCTGGCAGAACCCCCATATTGGCTCCCTGACTTGTAGGGTGAAGGGCTACTATGGTGAGAAAAGCCAAATGGAAGCCATTAGAGCTGCCTCTACCTAGAAAAATACTAAATGAAAAACAATATCTCATCCCTGGAGGGATTGTGGAGATTAGTGCCACCATCAAGAACTTGAAAGATGCAGGGATGGTGATTCCCACCACATCCCTGTTCAACTCGCCTATTTGGTCTGTGCAAAAGACAGATGGATCTCAGAGGATGACAGCAGATTATTGTAAGCTTAACCAAGTGGTGACTCCAGTTGCAGCTGCTGTACCAGATGTGTTCATAGCTTGAAACAAATTAATACATCTTCTGGTATGGGTTATGCAGCCATTGACTTGGCAAATGCCTTTGTCTCTATTCCTATCCATAAAGCCCACCAGAAGCAATTTGCCTTCAGCTGGCAAGGCCAGCAATATACCTTTACTGTCCTACCGCAGGGGTGTATCAACTCTCCAGCTTTGTGTCATAATCTTGTTCTCAGAGATCTTGATCACTTTTCCTTTCCACATATCACACTGGTCCATTACATTGATGATATTATACTGATTGGATCCAGTGAGCGAGAAAGTAGCAAACACACTGGACTTATTGGTGAGACATTTGCATGCCAAAGGATGGGAAAACAATCTGACTAAAATTCAGGGATCTTCTACCTCAGAAAAATTTCTAGTGGTTCAGTGGTGTGGGGCCTGTCAAGATATTCCTTCTAAGGTGAAGGATAAATTGTTGCATTTGGCCCCTCCTACAACCAAGAAAGAGGCACAACATCTAGCGGATCTATTTGGTTTTTGGAGGCAACACATTCCTCATTTGGGTGTGTTACTCTGGTTCATTTATCAAGTGACCTGAAAGGCTGACAGTTTTGAGTGGGGCCCAGAACAGACGGCTCTGCAACAGGTCCAGTCTGCTGTGCAATCTTCTCTTTCACTTGGGCCATATGACCTAGCAGATCCAATGGTGCTCGAGGTGTCAGTGGCAGATAGAGGTGCTGTGTGGAGCCTTTGACAGGCCCCCATAGGTGAATCACAGTGGAGGCCTCTAGGATTTTGGAGCAAGGCCCTGCCGTCTTCTGCAGATAACTACCCTCCTTTTGAGAGACAGCTCTTGGCCTGTTGCTGAGCTTTGGTAGAAACTGAACGTCTGACTATGGATCATCAAGTCACCATGCGACCTGAACTGTCTATCATCAACTGGGTCTTTTCTGAGCCACATAGCCATAAAGTGGGCCATGCAAAGCTGCATTCCATCATCAAATGGAAGTGGTATATACATGACTGGGCTCAAGCAGGTCCTGAGGGCACAAGTTTACATGAGGAAGTGGCTCAAATGCCCATGGTCTCCACTCCTGCCACCCTGCCTTCTCACCCCCAGCCTGCACTGATGGCCTTATGGGGAGTTCCCTATGATCAGCTGACAGAGGAAGAGAAAACTAGGACCTGGTTTACAGATGGGTCTGCACGATATGCAGGCACCACCTGAAAGTGGACAGCTGCATCATATAGCCCCTTTTTAGGACATCCGTGATGGACAGTGGCAAAGGTATATCTTCCCAGAGGGCAGAACTTTGAGCAGTGCAGCTGGTTGAGCACTTTGCTTGGAAGGAGAAATGGCCATATATGCGATTATATACTGATGCATGAGCTGTAGCTGATGGTTTGGCTGGATGGTCGGGGACTTGGAAGAGGCATGATTGGAAAATTAGTGACAGAGAAATTTGGGGAAGAGGTATGTGGATGAACTTCCCTAGTGGGCAAAAACTGTGAAGATATTTGTATCTCATGTGAATGCTCACCAAAGGGTGACCTCAGCAGAGGAGGATTTAAATAATCAAGTGGATAGGGTGACTCATTCTGTAGACACCACTCAGCCTCTTTCCCCAGCCACCGTGTCATCCCTCAATGGACCCATGAACAAAGTGGCCATGGTGGCAGGGATGGAGGTTACACATGGGATCAGCAACATGAACTTCCACTCACCAAGGCTGACCTTGCTATGGCCACCGCTGAGTGCCCAATTTGCCAGCAGCAGAGACCAACACTGAGCCCTCAATATAGTACCATTCCTCAAGGTAATCAGCCAGCTACGTGGACTTCTTCCATCATGGAAAGGGCAGAGGTTTGTCTTCACCAGAATAGATACATACTCCAGATATGGGTTTGCCTACCCTGTATGTAATGCTTCTGCCAAGACTACCATCTGTGGACCCATGGAATGCCTTATGCACTATCATTGTATTCCACACAGCATTGCCTCTGACCAAGGCACTCACTTTACAGCTAAGGAAGTGGGCTCATGCTCATGGAATTCACTGGTCTTACCATGTTCCCCATCATCCTGAAGCAGCTGGATTGATAGAATGGTGGAATGGCCTTTTGAAGTCACAATTACAACGCCAACTAGGTGACAGTACTTTGCAGGGCTAGGTTTAAGTTCTCCAGAAGGCTATGTATGCCCTGAATCAGCATCCAATATGTGGTACTGTTTCTCCCATAGCCAGCCAGGATTCATGGGTCCAGGAATCAGGGGGTGGAAGTGGAAATGGCATCACTTACCATCACCCCTAGTGACCCACTAGCAAAATTTTTGCTTCCTGTTCCTGCAACATTGTGTTCTGCTAGTCTAGAGGTCTTAGTTCCAGAAGGAGGAATGCAACTACCAGGAGACACAATGATTCCATTAAACTGGAAGTTAAGATTGCCACCTGGACACTTTGGGCTCCTCCTATCCCTAAGTCAACAGGCTAAGAAGGGAGTTACAGTATTGGCTGTGGTGATTGGCCCAGATTACCACTATGAAGTCGGTCTACTATGGAGGTAAGGGAGTCCATGATGGAGGTAGGGAAGAGTATGTGTGGAATACAAGAGATCCCTTAGGGTGTCTCTTAGTATTACCATGCCCTGTGATTAAGGTCAATGGGAAACTACAACAACCCAAATCAGGCAGGACTACAAATGGCCCAGACCATTTAGGAATGAAGGTTTGGGCCACTCCATCAGGTAAAAAACTGTGACCCACTGAGGTGCTTCCTGAAGGCAAAAGGAATACAGAATGGGTGGTAGAAGAAGGTAGTCATCAATACTAGCTACAACCACATGACCAGTTGCAGAAAAGAGGACTGTAATTGTCATACGGATTTCCTCCTTATTTTGTTAGGAACATGTTTGTGCATGTATACACTTGTACTAAGAAAATATCTTCATTTTATTTTCTTTCTTTTTCCTTTATCATGTGACATAAGATTTCTTGACTTCATATCAGTATTTAAGTATTGTTAACTTTATGTAATAGCATTTAGATTAAGGATTAGTGTAATTCTGATTGTATGAAGGATAGCCCTATTATGTTAGGCATAACTATGACCTTATTATTGTCTTTATTTGAAAATTATGTATGATTGCAGGAGATGTGTATGGGTTCAAGTTGACAAGGGGTGGACTTGAGATGGTTAATATCGAGTATCAACTTGATTGGATCAAAGGATGCAAAGAGTTGTTCCTGGGTGTGTCTGTGAGGGTGTTTCCAAAGGAGATTAACATTTGAGTCAGTAGACTGGGAGAGACAGACCCACCCTCAATCTGGGTGGGCACCATCTAATCAGCTGCCAGTACAGCTAGAATAAAGCAGGCAGAAAAAGTTGGAAGGACTAGACTTGCTGTGTCTTTCAGTCTTCATCTTTCTCCTGTGCTGGACGCTTCCTGCCCTCGAACATCAGACTCCAGGTTCTTCAGCTTTTGGACTCTCGGACTTACACCAGTGATTTGCCAGGGGGCTCTCAGGCCTTTGACTACAGACTGAAGGCTGCCCTGTTGGCTTCCCTGCTTCTGAGGTTTTGGGACTCAGACTGGCTTTCTTGCTCCTCAGTTCACAGATGGCCTATTGTGGGACTTCACCTTGTGATCATATGAGTCAGTACTCCTTAATAAACTCCCCTTCATATGTACATTTGTCCTGTTTGTTCTGTCCCTCTAGAGAACCCTGACTAATACAACAAGGATGCCCACTTTTACCACTTCTATCCAACATAACACTGGAAGTCCTAGCCAGAATAATTAGACAACAGAAAGAAATAAAGGGCATCCAAATTGGTAATGAGGAAATCAAACTGTTGTTGTCTGCTGATGACATGATCATATACCTAGAAAACCCTGAAGACTCATCCAAAAAGCTCCTAGAGCTGGTAAATGAATCCATCAAAGTTTCAGGATACAAAATTAATGTACACAAATCAGCAGCTCTGCTATAGCTCTGTTAGAACAGTGAGCAAGCTGAGAATCAAATAAGAAACTGAACCCCTTTTACAATAGCTGCAAAAAAAAAAAAAAACCAAAAAAAAAACTTCGGAATATACTTAACCAAGGAGGCAAGGAGGTGAAAGACCTCTACAAGGAAATCTACAAAACACCACTGAAAGAAATCATAGATGATGTAAACAAATGGAAACACATCCCATGCTCATGGATGGGTAGAATCAATATGGTGAAAATGACCACACTGTCAAAAGCAATCTACAAATTCGATGCAATTCCCATCAAAATATCATCATCATTCTTCACAGAACTAGAAAAAAATCCTAAAATTCATATGAAATCAAAAAAGAGCCCACATAGCCAAAGCAAGACTAAGCAGAAAGAACAAATCTGGAGGCATTACATTACCCAACTTCAAACTATACTGTAAGGCCATAGTCACCAAAACTGGATGGTGCTGGTGTAAAAATAGGCACATAGACCAATGGAATAGTATAGAGAATCCAGAAATAAAGCCAAATATCTACAGTAAACTGATCTTTGTCAAAGCAAGCAAAAACATAAAGTGGGGAAAGGACATCCTATTCAACAAATGGTGCTTAGATAATTGGCAAGCCACATATAGAAGAATGAAACTGGATCCTCATCTCTCATCCTATACAAAAATCAACTCAAGATGGATCAAAAACTTAAATCTAAGACCTGAAACCATAAAATTTCTAGAAGATAGCATTGGAAAAATCCCTTCTAGATATTGGCTTAGGCAAAGACTTAATGAGTAAGAACCAAAAAGCAAATGCAACAAAAACAAAGATAAATAGATGGGACCTAATTAAACTAAAAAGCTTTCTGCACAGCAAAAGAAATAATCAGTAGAGCAGACAGACTACCCATAGAGTGAGAGAAAATCTCCTCAATCTATATATCCAACAAAGGACTAATATCCAGAATCTACAAGGAACTCAAATCAGCAAGAACAAAACAAACAATCCCATCAAAAAGTGGGCTAAGGACATGAATACACAATTCTCAAAACAAGATATACAAATGGCCAACAAACGTATGAAAAAATGCTCAACATCACTATTTATCAGGGAAATGGAAATCAATACCACAATGTGATACCACCTTACTCCTTAAAGAATATCCATAATCAAAAAATCAAAAAATAATAATAGATGTTGGCGTGGATGTGGTGAAAAAGGAACACTTTTATACTGTTGGTGGGAAAGTAAACTAGTACAACCACTATGGAAAACAGTGTGGAGATTCCTTAAAGAACTAAAAGTAGAACTACCATTTGATCCAGCAGTCCCCCTACTGGGTACCTACCCAGAGGAAAAGAGGTCATTATATGAAAAAGATACTTGCACATGCATGTTTATAGCAGAACAATTCACAATTGCAAAAATATGGAATCAGCCCAAATGCTCATCAATTAACAAGTGGATAAACAAAATGTGGTATATATGTATATACCATGAAATATTTCTCAGCCATAAAAAGGAACAAAATAATAGCATTTGCAGCAATCTGGATTGAATTGGTGACCATTATTCTGAGTGAATTAACTGAGGAATGGAAAGCCAAACATCATATGTTCTCACTCATAAGGGGGAGCTAAGCTATGAAGGCACAAAAGCATAAGAATGATACAAGTTTTTGGCCAGGCACAGTGGCTCAGGCCTGCAATCTCAGCACTTTGGGAAGCCGCGGTGGGAGGATCACTTGAGGTCAGGAGTTCGAGACGAGGCTGCCCAACATGGCAAAACCCTGTCTCTATTAAAAATACAAAAATTACCCAGCATGGTTGAGCAGGCCTGTAATCCCAGCTACTGAGGAGGCTGAGGCAAGAGAATTGCTCGAACCCAGAGGCAGAGGTTGCAGTGAGCCGAGATCATGACTGGGCGACAGAGAGAGGCTCTGTCTCAAAAAAAAAAAAATGATACAGAAGTTTCAGTGACTAGAGATTGCACCATTGCACTCCAGCCTGGGTGACAGAGCAAGAGCTTGTCTCAATAAAAAACAAAAAAACAAACAAACAAAACAAAAAAGAATGATACAATGGGCTTTGGGGACTCATGGCAAAGGGTGGAAAGGGAGTTAGGAATAAAAGATCACTTTGGGTATGGTGTATACTGCTTGCATGATGGGTGTATCAAAGTCTCAGAAATCACCACCAAAGAACTTATTCATGTAACCAAATACCACCTGTTCCCCCAAAACCTATTGAAACAAACAAACAAAAAGTGATTCCAAGTTAATTTCCACTCACAGATTTAACTCTGGCTGTATCTCCCTGGTTTGCGCTAAGTATACAAATGGCATCTAGAACTTGCAAAAGGGTTTGAAGGTTCCAGAGGACAAGCCCCAATCAAAGGATCCCCCTTGCTGTGAAAAGTATCTCTCATAATGTATTTTCCTCTGCAAAATACCTGTCATCTGAATCTGTAGTTCACATACTTTGTGTCAGTATTCTCTGCACCCGAGATGGCAAGAGGCTTTCCTGCCTGGAGTGCTATACCGTGAGGAGTGATAGATGGCATTCATGATGAGTAACAAAGAATCTCTACGATTGGACAGAAATTCCTGCAGCTGAGTCTGAATGGCCTTGTGTAGCCCAAGTGTCACGAATAGATTGTGCTCACCCTAAAAGCATTGTCTAGTTGGTGGGTTCTGGTATCGCCTCAGGTTCTTTGATCATTAGCCCATCTGGAACAAAGGCGCAAGATACCCAATCCCAGGGAGTTTTAGAAGAAAAAGCCCTTTTGGAAAATATTTTTTATGGCTTGGGTGTAGTGGCTCATGCCTGTAATCCCAGCACTTTGGGAGGCCAAGGTGGGCGGATCACGAGGTGAGGAGATCGAGACCATCCTGGCTAACATGGTGAAACCCTATCTCTACTAAAAATACAAAAAAAATTAGCCTGGCGTGGTGGCGGGCGCCTGTAGTCCCAGCTACTGGGTAGGCTGAGGCAGAAGAATGGCGTGAACCCGGGAGGCGGAGCTTACAGTGAGCTGAGATTGCGCTACTGCACTCCAGCCTGGGCAACAGAGTGAGACTCCATCTCAAAAAAAAAAAAAATTCTTTTTCTATATATCTGTGTGTTTAAAGAGTGCGAGAGGGTGTGCGTGTGTGTGTGTGTGTGTATGTGTGTGTGTGTCTAAAGTCTATTCATTCCCTAATCAAGACCTTGGAAGGTAAACTCAAGTAGTTCTTTTGTTTGACAAGGTCAACCAGAAGAAAGAGGAAAAACTGAAATTTTCTTATTAACACCTTCTCTTTTGGTAAACTTGCATTTTAAATGGAAAAGTTTTATATCACATGGCTAAGCTAAAAAGTTAAAAGAATTTATGAAGTTGCTACAAATATCCAAAAATATACACTATGAAAAGAAGCTCAAGAGGACAATAGTTTCTCTAAAAGCAAGGGGGGAAAAAAAAAAGCTCCTGACATGACTTTATAAAACACCACAACAAATATTTTAGGCATTCATGAGAACTAGTTCTGGAAGCCTGTGCAAAGAAAAGACATATTCTTTTCCAGCACCCACATAGTCGTAACTACCCTCCCGACAGTCTTCAGAGTTCACATAATTGGCCCCTAGATTTTCAAATGCTTTAGCCAAGTCCCTGGAGTAAAATATTTGCCATTTAAATGTGCGTTGCTTCCTTCAGTCATGTCAGTTTTCAAATGTCTTACTTCCTTCTTTGTCTAATATTTAATCTTGTTGCTCTATATGATCTATTTTTTTTCTCCTTTTAGAATGAACATATAGTTTCAGGGCAAAGAAGCGTTTCCAGGATTTAGAACATGTTATATTACTCAATTTGGGTTTAGTTTGTTGATAAATTTAAAATCTTCATGCTGATATATATGAAGTACAAGAAGGAAAATGTCTTTCTACACCTTGAAGATGAGAAGGAATTATTTTGGTATATCAAGTCTCCCTTCAGGTAACCAGCTAACATACATTTATTTATTTAGTTGGCCCAGGCTGGAGTGCAGCGGTATGATTACAGCTTACTGCAGCTTCAACCTCCCAGGCTCAAGCAATCATCCCACCTCAGCCTCCTGAGTTGCTAGGACTACAGGCACGTGCTACCACACCCAGATAATTTTTTATTTTTCAGTTTTTTGTAGAGACGTTGTCTCATTATGTTGCCAAGACTGACCTCAAACTCCTGGGCTCAAGTGATCCTCCCGCCTTGGCCTCCCAAAGTGCTGAGATTATAGGTATGAGACACTTTGCACAGCCCAGCTAATATTTAAAGTATTACGAATATTTCAATCAGACAATTTTTAAATCCCATACATATTTGCTAAATACCTATGTTGTACATTGCACAGGTAATAGAGGCTATGAAGATTAATAAGGCAGAATCCCTGTCCTGAAGAATTTACAGCCTCATGAACAAAGTAGGCATACGAGTCTAATTTCCTATTCTGCTGTGATAATTGAGTAGTATTGGATTATTGCTAAGCTGGCATGCTCCCATCCCCAAATCAACATTGTTTCATGGTATAAGAAAACCTCTCTGTTAAGTTATTGTGATTTCATTTTGCACATTAATTTAGATAAAGAAACAGAATTTCATAAAGATTATATTACATAAAGAAACAGAATTTCATAAAGATGATATTACATTCCTTTAAAACCATACAGCTAGTAAGAGTTAGAACCAAGACTCAATCTCAAATATTTGTTTAGTTACAACATATATCCATGTTATTTGTCTCTATATTAATATAAGCATTTTTATGTACAGGAAGGCACTGTAATGCAGGGGTTTATAATTCACTAACTATACTTTCTAAATTTTTAAATGTCTTTTCTTGAGAAAAAGAAATGACTTCATAAAGTAATTACACAAAGTTACCTAGTTGTTCTCCAGCTCCACTGAAGAGACAAGAAAGAAAGGTTGGAAAGTTTCGGTTAGAAATAAGACTTGAGGCCAGGTGCGGTGGCTCATGCCCGTAATCCCAGCACTTTGGGAGGTAGAGGTGGGCAGATCACCTGAGGTCAGAAGTTTGAGATCAGCCTGGCTAACATGGTGAAACCCATTTCTACTAAGAATACAAAAAAATTAGCTGGGCGCGGTGGCGCTCGCCAGTAATCCCAGGTACTCGGGAGACTGAGGCAGGAGAATCACTTGAACCCAGGAGGCAGAGGTTGCAGTGAGCCGAGATCACGCCATCGCACTCCAGCTTGGGCAACAAGAGCGAAATTCCATCTCAAAAAAAAAAGAAAGAAAGAAAGAAAGAAGACTTGGGCTATTAAACACTAAACTGGCTATTGGTGGTGGTTGTGCAATCTCTAAACGTATCTTAAAAACAAGACAAACTAATCTGCTCAGGGAAATTTTTTTTTTAAAGAACAGTGGAGTTTTATTGTATCATTGCCATTAATTTATTTTAATTACTATAAAGCATGTGTTAATATAGTCTCTGCTGATACTGAAATTTGTCTTTACTTCATCAAAAGTTGTCCCTAACCGTTAAAAAAGTGTTCAGGTTATAAATGGACAAGAAGCAACCAAGCTGACTTATTTCTTATTTTCTTAGTAGGTCAGTGTTGGGGACAGATTCTGGTTTAGGACTGATGAAACCACATCAATTCCTTTTTTATACCACTTCAAGGACTACACAAAAGAAAAGGTTTAGCTACATCTGACTTCTTCATGACACTGCAAATAAAGCAAGCCAGTACCTATTCCCTCTATGTCTTTATGAACTAATGCTACATACAAAATTCAAGACACAACTGTAATGATTTTTACTTAGGGAAAATTTTAAACATACTTTCTGCCTGAAGGGCAAAGACTAGGTCCAGTAATTTCAAAACCCCTATAATTATATGATTTAGGAGAAAATGCAGTGAAAACCTCTTTTTTTATCCCAAGTGGAAGAAAACATTGAATGTCTAGGTTGGTGGTCAATAGTGTACAGAATGAACTTTACTTTGTGTAAGCTTTTAAAATAGAGACATTTATCTCAAACTTTTTTTGTTGTTTGCTAAATTCTAGAGTTAGAGACTTGTGATCAATAGCCCAGACACTTCTCCATTGTACCAGCCAACTTTCCCCCTGAGGAAAACAACTTTAAACTTCAGAGACAAAAACGAGAAGTGCTCAGATGTGAAAGTTTCACTAGCATTTCTTATCATCAGACATGCATTCATCTAGCATGTATAGCAAACCTACTATATTTAGACACTATGCAGGATACCAGAAGGAATACAGAGGAGACGGCATAGCACTTGTAATTGAGCCAAGCACAGCAGTTTTATTGGGATAGGTTTGATTCACCAAATGGCAAAGAATCTGTGTGATGAATTTGCAGTTCTAATTAAAATTCCCCAGAGTCGGTTCTTTAAGTCTCAGCCCTAATTCATTTCCAGAAAGCCCTGTGGTTTTAAGGTGATTTATATTGCTTCTGCAAAGACTGTGGAGAAAGCTCTTGGCAATCACATGTCTTGTACAAATACAATTTACAGATCAAATCAGAGAAAAAGTACCGTAGCAACTCTGGGGGAAGAAACCATGAAATGTCCCAAACCCCATACCGTTCCTAACACACATAGGCACCTGATGTGTATTGACTAAATAAGAGTGCTATGTCAGATACTAGGAGGCCACAAAGGTTAGGAATGCATAATTCCTCCTCCCAGGAAGCTCTCACCTCATGGGGACAGGGTGAGACAGATGACTGTTAACCAGACAGACTTGCTTGTGTCAGATCCCTTAGCTCTCCCAACTTGGCCATCACAGAGGTCATGGGTACTGTGTTTAAAGGTGTCATGAGCCCCTGAACTTGGGCTCAGGAAATTCCCATCTGCTCATCTTGCAACTGTCAACCTTGAACTTCCTCACACATCAATGCATCTCATTCCTGACCTTTTTGGTCCTAATCGTTGGTGTCTAGCTTCACGGAGACTGGCAACCTCAGTTAAAACTACTTACGTTGGTGCTGCTCCGGACAAACTTTTAGGAAAGTCAGCATAGTGATAAGTGAAGCACAGACTCTTGACGATTTCAACTATCTGCGCTATATGTATTTGAAGCTTGGCTGTGCTATTTATAATGATTTTGGAAACCTGGCATAACTTTTTGTGTATGCTTCAGTTTCTTAATCTTCTGAATTACGATCCTAATAGTGCTTAACTCATAAGGTTGTTATAAGGATTAAATGAGTTAATATCTCCAAAGCACTTAGAAATGTTTCTGGCACATAGTTTTTATGTCAAGTAAAGGCTATTTCCTGTGGTTTCCTCTTGGTACCATTTTAATAAATGCAGACAATTGGCCCCATGGCCACATGGCCTAACCAGACACCACCAGTTGGCAAAGAGCATGAGTGATCAAAAGTAAGGAGCTAGGAAAGTAAAGAATGTCGAATTAAGGGTCCAGTCTGGCTAAAGCACTGGGCTCAGGGGACTGCATATGCAGCCGTGATTTTAAAAGGTTGACAAGGAACAGGTTGTGGAGAAACTTAAATACTAAGATGGGGAGCTTGTCATCTATTCTGTAAGCCATGTAGCATTGCAAGATAATAGTGCTCTAGAAGGAGTTCTAGCAGTAGTAACGAGGATGGACAGGAGGCTGGGAGATAAGCAAGAAAATATTTTTAGAAAAGTTGCAATCATCAGGCAAGTGGTAATGAGACGCAAAACTAAGGTGGTGACAATGTCAGTAATATCAAAAGAGAAAATGTTACAATAAAAGAGACTATTTGTAAGCAAAACTAAAAATGTATAAAAATTATTTGCCTGGCTGTGATACGTCAGGCACATAGAAGGTGCTTTGTGAACATTGTTTCATTTAACTGGTGCAATACCTGGGCTGAGTAAATATGGGTACCTGATTAATTCAGATGAAGAAACTCAGGGAGATCACGCAATTAACCTGAGGTCACAGTTCTGGAAAGTGGCACAACAGGGATTCAACCCAAGTCAGTCTGGTTTCAAAGTTTCATCTTTTTTTTCACCGTTTAAATTCATGTAGGGTATGAGAGAAAGGGAGAGGCTGAATGTGCTCCCAAATGCTCTTGGAGGCTGAAAATGTATTAGTTTAGATGAGAACATTTCAAAGATGAGATGCTTCATTTGGCTTTGAAATTTAAAATTTTAATTGTTTTGGAGATATGGCAGTTTAGCAGGCAACTGGAAATTCAGATGCTGAATTAGGAGAGAAGTCAGGACTGGAAACACGTATTTTGGAGTCATTTGCAGAAAGTTGAAAAAGTTGAGTAAATAAGCTTTCCAAAAAAGATCACCAAAGAGAGTAAGATAAAAAGAGGGTCAAGAAAGACTCTTTGTAGTATTTCATTTAATGAGTAGAAGTGAAGGAAAATCTGTGAGGTACAGTGAGGTTAAAGGTTCAGAGAGGGGAGTCTAAGACTTCAAGGAAGAGAATTCAACAGGAAGTAGGTGTCAGCAGTGTCAGATGCTGCCGAGATCAGAGAGGGTAAGAATAGAGAAAAGTCCAATGAATTTGTGTTTAGGGAGGCCACTGGGGACATTTAGGAGAACCATTTTTGTAGAGTGGGAGACCTAGATTTAAAGTGACCATTTTGTAATGAAGGTAGAAAAGCAGAGGGGACATTAAAATGGGGATGGGAAACACCCAGCATGTTTCCATTAATAGGTCAAGGAGAAATCAAGAAGAATCAAGAGTGATTGACACTTTGTAGAAGGATGACTGATGGAGGGCAAGGCCGTGGAGAAGGCTGGAGAGAATGAGAACAGGGCATAGATGAGGAGTTTTCCCTGGAGAGGGGGTTAGTCTCTTCCTCTTTAGCCATCTGAAGAAATTCAGGGTAGAGGCAGTAAAGGACATGTTGCCTGCTCTCTCTTTCCTTAAAAAAGTAGATGCAAATAATGATCTGCTAAAGTTGAAGGGCTTCGATGGGGTATTTGAGGGGCAGAAGAAGAGTGTAAACAATCCAGGGCTTTCTTTTTTACCTTTTACTACCATATTGTTAAATGACTCATTGCAGACACTGCATTTCCTTTGTCTTCCCTTTATTGGCTTGTGGGTTGTTTTTACTGGCATCAAGCGTGAGATATAGTATACTTCCAGCTCTTTAAAGTGTTCTCATTTTTTCCTGGAACTTAGGAAATATATTTACTATTTCATGTAAAAAGTGAGAATACCAAAAGAGGATACGATTGTCACAAAACAATAAGCAAGTTAATTAAATAAGATATGGCAACTCAGCATAAAAATACTGAAGTGATGAACCATAAATGAGATTTTTAAAAAATGAATTCCTTAAAATGATAGTTAAATCACTTAAGTAAGCTTTGTCTTAGATGGCCATCACATTTTCTAAGCATTATCCCAGAAAAATGAGAAGCATATTTTTACTTTCAAGCATTGTTCCTCATACTTCATTTGCCCTATTTCAAGATAAGAAGAAATATCTTTCATAATGTGAGTAACAATAAAACCACTACTGATGATAACGGTAATAGAAACATTCCCAGTTCTTCCAAATTGTAGGTCAGGGACTGAACTTCAAAGGAAAGACTCTGAAATTCATGCAGAATGGGATGAATTCCAGCCCACCCACTGCAAAATGCTTCCCTACTCATCTATTTTCCAGAGATATGCTTAGTGTCGTGGGCATGCTCAGGGATTTTCCTGGTCATGGAGAAATGGCTGGTGTGTAGCTGCTCTGGTTCAGTTCTCATAGCTCTCTGAGGGACACAGAAAAGGGCTGAATCCAGCAGCTGTCTTAGCTGAAAGCTAAGGGGAAAAAGTGAGAGGGGGATGGTGAGATCAAACTTTCATGTGTGGCCCATTTTTGATGTGGCTGAAAGAACTGGTTAGAACAACACTTTTCATCTTGAGGAGCTCAGATATTTTTGGCCTCCAGATAATTCTATATGTGGATGGGCATAGTAACTAGCACAAGATTAAAGAAAAGACGGAAGAGGCACTCAGTGATGTATTTAGTTTGTTTAGTAAAGGCAGAGGTTTAATCACACACTTGCATTTTCCCTCTTCAAAACTTTTTCCCTTGAGGAAGAGCCATGCACTGTTTTACTGTTTACTAGGTGACAGTAAATTCTGTAATATGCATAGTGTAACTCTATGTTAGACAGTTACATAAATTAACCCATTTAATATTATCAACAACCCTGAAAGGTATATTTTGTTGCCTCAGTTTTGGAAGTGGAGACACCAACTGTCTAGAAAATAAGCCAATTTCCCAAGACCATTCAGCTAGAAAACAGAGAAACTGAAATTTGAATACAGATTGTGTGGATACAAAGCCCATGCTCCACCAAAGGAAGCTTATCCATGGACTTCCCCTACCCCTACCCACACATATACTATAGCCCTCCACCCAGAGATAGTCTTATTTTTTCTCTTGATTAAAAAAATAATAATAATTCCAGGGCAGGGTGGCTGAAGCCTGTAATCCCAGCATTTTGGGAGGCCGAGGTGGGAGGATCACTTGAGGTCAGGAGTTCGTGACCAGCCTGGCCAACATAGTGAAACCCCGTTTCTACTAAAAATACAAAAATTAGCAGGGCATGGTGGTGTGCACCTATAATCCCAGCTACTTGGGAGGCTGAGGCAGGAGAATCACTTGAACCCAGGAGGCGGAGGTTGCAGTGAGCTGAAATTGTGCCACTGCACTCCAGCCTAGGTGACAGAGTGAGACTCCATCTCAAAAAACAATAATAATAATAATTCTAAATTTTAGGCTTAAAAAGTCCTGAAGAAGAGAGCTCTAAGATTTGACTTCTGAAAGGTAAGTTCCAATGTTACCAATGTTCACTCTGTTAAATTTTTATGAGACTCTAAACCACTTTTAAAAATGTAATAATGGTCTTTGAGCAAAATTGGAAAATACACATACATACATAATTTAGGATACACTGAAGTCTGGCTTCAGCCTCCGAATTCAGACAAAATTTACTGTTTGGTTTCAGTTTCAGACTTGACCTTGACTTTCGAAAGGCAGAATGGTTGAATGCCTACTCTATAATATAATGTCAGGAACACAAACAAGGTTTGTTATTCTGATTAACATTAATATCTGAATATTCACTTTCAAATATAAGTGATTATAATATTATATATAGTATAATATGAATACATAAGATTTCTATTATAATGCTCATCATGTAAGTATTCCAGATAGTACTTTGAGTAAAAATTCACTTGTGCGCTTTGTTCCAGTTTTGACAGTTGAAGTATAAATGCATTTTTACTATTCTGAGAGTAAAATGCTATAATAATTAATGATTATAAAGTTACTAATTTTATCTACCAAAAAAGTTCCTCAATTATTAACAGCTTTCAAATAGTTAAGTAGAACAGGATTGACAGTTACTATGAAAATAGATTTATAATCCCTTATCTGAATTCCTTGGGATCATATGTCCTTTGAAATGAAGAACTATTCAGATTTTAGGGAGGTAGTAGATTGCATGTACTATATTTATCAACCTTTCCAGGGGTCGGGGGGTTAGGAAACAAGTCGATGTAGCACATTACTATGTGGTAAAATGTGTGACCATTCCCACTAAGCCTCACATCAGATCACACAGATTCTGTGGCCAAATGAGTTATGAAAATATTTCCATTTCTCAGAGCTTTGGATGTTTAAATTGGACATAAAGGATTGTGGACATTTTAAGGGAGGCATTCCTAGACAACGTTAGGAAAAATAACAAATTATTTATAAATAAATGTTCATAAGCATAAAAATAATAACATAAGACAGAAATATCGAGATACTGTTAAAATTACATCATAATGCCAATCTTAAGAGTTGTTTTGTGATGTGAAATTTTTAACATTAAACAAAAATAAACTTTTAGGATTGCATTTAACTGTAGTCATTTAATTCCACATAGACCATTTTTCAGGAAAAAAAAGACCCTATTTGGGATTACTTTAAACCTTGCAGAATGAACTAAAATAATTCAGTGTTACCATCTATAAATTTCACAAAAATGAAAAGCTCTAAAATTATGTATAATAACACTCATGATAAAGATAAAGCATATGATAGCCAAAGAAAAACTAAAAAGAAAAAAAAAGATAAAGCACATGATGGAAAGAACAGAATCTTAGAGAAAGAGAAGTCACTCAAAACATACCTTGTACTCACTACTCAAAACTCCAAAGCAATAGCCTTTATAAGAGTGCTTTAAGATACTTTCTTAGGATTTTGAATCTATGGATTCAAAAAATATTTTAAAAGCTTGTTAAAATGATTGTTACAGATTGTAACCATGTAAAGATAAAGGATATTTTAGACTTACCCAAGCTGTGAGTCCTAGGTACAACATTTCTTCCAGAAAACATGTTACTGAAAATTATTTTCTGCTTTGCACAGAAAAGGTGAGTGTTGCTATTATATGTGCCACTTGAAAGGGGGCGTCTCTCCAGTAACACAAATGCAGGCGCTAAAACCATCTTAGCCAACTTTGCTAAGAAATGACTGTTCCTGAACTGTCATATCAAACTGAAAATTTGTCTAATTTTTAATAATATAATTGTAATCATAATACAGTTTTAAAAAATAACACTTCTGATTTATTTTTGTATCCCAGAAGTTGACTCTCTAATGGTGATAATAACATTCAGCTTTGCTGAATATTGATTTTAACACATGGCCACTTGGCCAAAATGTATATTTGGTACTACATATACGGCAATTTATATATATTTATCTTTATTTTATATACAGAATCATGATGCACTTACTGGCTAAACCATTCCTCTGTTCTTAGGTTGGTTATCTTGCTGCCCAACAACTGTCTTAAGTAGTCCAGTGGAAAACGTCTAATTTTCAGATTTGGGCTACAAAACTGTACAGTTACAGATTTTGACAGTATGTTACTAATGAAAATTAACTACTATTTATTGAACACCTATTAGGCGTCACACATTGATCAAGGTACCTTCAACAACAGTGAAAAAGTGGTTTTGGTGTTATTCCAGTTGTACAGATGAGTAAATTGAGACTCAGATTTAAATGTTAACTTAGAACTCAAGCCTTTTTTTAACTTCAATTTGAAGGTTATTTTCACTGTATCAAGTGTTTTTCAAAATTGAGTAAAGAGGGAGAGAGCCATGAAGACTCTAAATATTGACTTAAATTATTTTATTATATTATTTAAAATCACATACAAATATTAGGTGAGGGAAAACTCCTTAATTATTGTGGCTTTCATATGACAATAAAATCAAAGAAAATTAACAAATCAGAACCAAATTACAATATACCTCTACAACATTAATCTGATGACTGATGTTCTGCGGAAACTAAGCTGTCAACGTCGAATTAAATAGTAGAACAATGTGTTTGTGTTTTTGTCTACATGATTCCTTTGCTTTCTCACACGAGGAATCCCTTGACTCACTGCCATTGTCTGGGCATTTGAAATTCTTTTTAATGTTTATCATTTATTATCTTGTTCTGCCAACAATTTTAATAGTTTCCTGCAAAATAGAGTACATGAGAATAGTTTTTTGGCCAGGCACAGAGCCTCACACCTGTAATCTTAGCATTTTGAGAGGCCTAGGTGGGTGGATTGCTTAAGCTCAGGAGTTCAAGACCAGCCTGGGGAACATGGTGAAACCTCATCTCTACAAAAAAATACAAAAATTAGCCAGGTGTGGTGGCTCGCACCTGTAGTCCCAGCTACTCGGGAGACTGAGGTGGGAGGATCGTTTGATCCCAGGAAGCAGAGGTTGCAGTGAGCCAAGATCGTGCCACTGCACTCCAGCCTCGGTGACAGAGTGAGACCCTGTCTCCAAATAAATAAATAAATAAATAAATAAATAAATAAATAAATAAATGTATTAAAGAAAAAGAGAATAGTTTTTTAAAGTTTTAAAATTGTAACTATGCTAATGTTAATGAACTGCCATGAGAGGGACTGTATAAAACATAATATGTACACTCCAGACTCCTGCTCTAGCATAGAGTTGTCCACTACAGCACATTTTCTCTTGAGTTCAACAAGCCAGTAAATCATGCTCAATGTAATGATTCCATTTTCCTACCACTTTCCTCTATTCAAATCGCTGGGAACCTTTGCTTGCTTGTGCAACAAAGCATGATGTCATTTGGCTTGCTATTAACCTGCTCAGAAGCAGAAATGCAAACGAGGACACCAAAACCACGTGACACTACTCAGCTATAAGATAGTTATTCTGATGATTCACAGCATGCTTATCTTAATTGTTTTAGATTAAAAACAACAACAATAAAAATGCACAAAATTAAAAAACAATTATCTTTGGACTTCTGTACTCCTGAGAAGACAAACATGGAAACAAACATAGGTTCTCTTAGATATTAGTAGACGTGCTGTAAACAAAACAAAATTTAAAAACTTCCATTGTTGAATATGTCCAGGAAACCCATTACCATATTAAAGGCTTTGAGAAATTCCAGTTAACTTTGTTTTGCTCAGTTCAAACTAGAATGTATTTTGGCGAATGCCAATGTAAACAACAATACACTAGGTACTAGAATCAATACATCTAGAGAGAACCACATAACTTCAGAGACAAATCATCTCAAAATGTTGACTGGCAAATTGCTTTCAGCTCAGATTTTCTAAAATTTGTTTTTCTTTTTTTCCACAGCTCAGTCTTCAAAGGTCTACAGAAATCGGATGTCTGTTTGTACGATATTAAGCACACATAGTAATATCTGTATTCAATTTAACTCTCATCTTAAAAAGAGGAATTGTATTTTTAGTTTGAATATGCACAATGCCTAGTGCATTGTCTTACATGTCATAAACACTCACCAAATGTTTAATATTTGACTGATGATGCAATTTATCCAAGCCCTAATTGTAATTCACAGGCATGATTTTTGTTCATAATAACCACGTCCTTGGAGACTGAAGCAAATGGACACAAATGATAAAGCCAGAGTACTGTTGGGAACCTCTAGCCTTGTTGTTGTTGAATAAATATTCATGGTATATGCATGAATAAAATATATGGTAGGACATTTTTATTTATGAATACAATAAACAAGATTGAAAAGAACATGGGATATATTTTTAGCTAGTGCCTTTCCCTTTTTATGGGACTGGATGGTTTGATGCTTCATATTTTAAAAAGGTATTTTCACCTCCTTTGAGATTTTTATGAGTCCTTTTTAGTTGGGAAAAACTGCTGCCTCCTGTAGCACGAGGTCTGTAGAAGCTGCTTGTGGATTTTGGCCCTGGGGATGTAGGCGTTATTGTGTATTTCTATAATTTCTCAGGGATATGTAACTTGCCTATAAAAATATGCCTGTGGGTTGAATCTTGGCAGTTAACATTTCAGTAAGAGAATATATTTAGTAATATCTGAATGTCTAAAAGAGTAACACATAGGTAAGCTATTTTAAAAAACTGGGTGACAAAAACATTGGTTGTTATTGCCACTTTTTGAATGTGTTTTGCTATAAGTAAATATCAGCTTTAAAATTTATTTTTTAAAAAACATTTGAGAGGCAAGGATTTGGGTTAGCTCTGCATTGGCTCCCCTCGTCATGAAAAACAAAGAACTCAAATCCTTCATTTGGAAAACTGGTGACACTGAGCTAGACTTTCTGAGGATCTGACATCTTTGCATACTAGGTATTTCCGTTGCCTCTGTAGTGTTGACATAAGTCAATACATACTGACTTTCGTTTTTGGGCTCAATTTTTGTTTGTTTGTTTGGTTTGGTTTTTGAGACGGAGTCTTGCTCTGTCCCCCAAGCTGGAGTGCAGTGGTGCAATCTCGGTTCACTGCAGCCTCCGCCTCCTGAGTTCAAGCGATTATCCCACCTCAGCCTCCCGAGTAGCTGGGAATAGAGGTGTGCACCACCACGCCCGGCTAATTTTTGTATTTGTAGTAGAAATGGGTTTTCACCATGTTGGCCATGCTGGTCTCAAAGTCGTGACCTCAGGTGATCTTGGGCTCAAATTTTGATGGGTAGTAATGATCTGGAGATCTGGAGTTCTCATTATGATCTCTCTTTTTCATTAATTCAGTTAGTTTAAAAAGTATGTATAGAGAGTGTTTAGCATTCTTAGCCTTGTATTGAAAATATACAATGACAACACCTAAGAATTGGAGGGCATTATCTTTGTCTAACAGGTGATTGTAACTTAGAAATGCAGATGAAACAAAAGTAATCAGCAGTGTAATGTAAGTCTTTTGCTCAGAGATACCATGATTAGTAGCTTACGGAACAGACACAAGTTAATTAGCCTACAAATTTAAAAAACCAAAATGAATGAATAATAAACAGATTTGGAAGGTAGATTAGTGGAGTGAAAACCTCATGCTTTGAATCTAAGTGCTACTATTGATTGTTACCTAGACTTTTTTAGCTTTAATGCCTTCATTTGCAAAATAGGGATAATTATAGCTACCTTGCAGGGTTGTTGTAAAAATTAGATAAATACAATGTGTTCTATAAATGGGGACTATATGTAATGAATATTATTTTCATGACTAAATCTCCATTGGAGCTTCACAGCCATTAAGTACTAGTAGTAATACCCAACAAGGGAAAATTTGGGTTGTTTAGAGTAGCTGGAAGGGTCTTGTCCTTGCGGAGGTGAGACCTGAGTGAGAGTAGATTACAGACAATTGATGCGAGCCAAAGGGAAGAGTAACTATTACCAGCCAAAGCTTGGCTTAGAAGAGGGCCTTTCTTTGACCTTACTTAGGAACTGAAGCCCCTAGATGCTAAAGCCACATGGCAGGATTATAAATCCAAAACCTGCATGTTCATACTCAATAGTGTGGCATATTCTTATGCAAATTTTAAGTTGGATATAGTTATTATTACTGAAATTTATTTAGGTAAGAGGAGACCTATTGCAAGACTAAAGAAGGAAAATAATCAGACTGTATCAAAACTCATCTGTTATTGGCCATATTTTCATATTTTGAAAAATACACTGGTTTATCTTCCAAGCACACAGAAAGTTGAGCATTAGACTTGGTGTTTTCACAGACATTATCTCATTCCACCCTGACAGCATAGTTGGAAAGTGTGCATTCTATCCTCATTGTAAGTATGAGGAACAAGGCTTAAAGAGCCCAGTAGGGCCAGCATCAGAGCCTGGGTTTTATTCGCCTGTAACTACACCATGTTACACAGCTCCTGCATATCACATATCACAGTGGTTTTCTGCTGCTATTCGTAAATTTCGTAGGTAACTGAGAGAGAGAGCATTGAGGGTGAGGGGATAGAAGTGTGGAGTGAGACAGGTGCTCTTGCGATGGAGATGGGGGTATATATGGCACATAAACCATGGGATTGCAATGGGGACTGGGCAGGGAGGAGACCACAGACCATCAGGCAACCAAACTCTAAGATAATTGTCCAAGGACTATTAATTTACCACCTTGGGGCTCCCAGTGAGACCCCAGAAACGCTGAAACCCTATTTCCTGTTTTCTCTTTTACTTGCTAGATGTCCCAATTCTTTTTTAGCATAACTTGATGTGACACCAATGTCTTTGATACGTGTGTCTGAGAAAGCAGCTACTGAAAACCATCTTCTCCAGCAAGCCTTCCAGGACTGCAGGTAAGGGTGTCTGTCACTACTCCCAGCAGCCCCCAAGGGTGGACAGTAGTAACCTCCTGGGATTCACTCTCACCTGTCACTCTGTGCATCTACTCACCTTTCTTTTTATTCACAGTAAACCCTTTCCTTGAATTCAATGTTAACAACATTCTCTACACCCCCTTTATAGTCCAGTGTTATCTGGTTATCTGCCTCACTTTGGAAATCAGAACCTCCTAATTAGGCAGGGTATGGTGGCTCACGCCTGTAATCCCAGCACTTTGTGAAGCCGAGGTGGGCAGATTACCTGAGATCAGGTGTTTGAGACCAGCCTGGCCAGCATGGTGAAACCCCATCTCTACTAAAAATACAAAAAAATTAGCTAGGGGTGGTGGCATGGACCTGTAGTCCCAACTGCTTGGGAGGCTGAGGCAGGAAAATCACTTGAACCCAGGAGGCAGAGGTTGCAGTCAGCCAAGATCATGCCACTGCACTCCAGCCTGGGCGAGAGAACCAGACTCCATCTCAAAAAAAAAAAAAAAAAAAAAAGAACTTTGTAATTGTTTACTAGAAGCCTTGGGAAAGACCTTGAATTTGCAAACCTGTGAATTTTTCCACTCTGAGGACGGGAGCAGAGCCTGCAAGAATCAGACCAGCCCTGTCATTGAAGCTTTGGGCTGTCTTCTGGACTATTTTCTGTCTTTTACTCTTGAGTTAGCAGTTTCACTCTTAGTATGGTATAAGTCAAGTTTGCAATGACAGTGAGTTTCAGCACTCTGCCCAGGTGTGCAACTGTATTAAGGTGTCCATTGAACAATGCACAACGAAAGCTTTTAGATCACTGGCAGAAAATAAATAAATTGAATAAGTAAAAATTGAAAGCAGATTATAGAATTAGTTAAGCATAGTTTTTAAAGCACTATGTTTCTTTATTCCAAAAGGAATACATGTCTATTGCACAAACTTTGGAAAATGTAAGAATTTGACATGATTGTTAACAGAGCAGAGGCATTTATCTCTTAGCTGGCTTGGGGTCCATTCTCCTTTCCACATCATTTTCTCCTGTGAGAGAACAAATGTGACAAAGGGTATCAAGAAGTTTCTTTTCCTTCCCTCTTTTCAAGACTGCATCTTACAGAGGTGTGTCAGATCTAGAATTCTACATAGAGGGGCTTAGAAGTCATGTCTTGTTACAAAGAGAGGATTAAAGCTGTGAGTTTGTAAAGCATGTGACATAAGACCTGAAAAACATCAACTATTCGTTTTGAAGAAGGGCTCACAGAGAGATTTTGAAAGACAAAACCCTCCCAAGCTACACTCCTAGTGCCTCAGTTGCTACAGAGGGGTGTCCACAAGACTATTTAGTTACCTATTCCGTTAATAAGCATTTATTGAGCACCTTCTATGTGCAATGCCATAAGGTAAATCCTAGACAAAACAAGAAACAAAAATGAACAAACTGTGGTTCCCAGCTTTATGGAATTTTAAAATAACAAAAGATTTTGCTTGACATTTAGGTCATTTTCTACTAAAAATAATACTGTGATGAAATCCCTGTGGTTGAATTCTTTTGCACATCTCTGAATATTTCCTTAGGATTTATTTTTAGAAGGAGATGTGCAAGGTGTCAGCTTGATGATCTTAGAACTTGTAAAATAATCAGACAAATCAGAAGACATAGCCAGAATTTAATGGATTATTAATTTATTATCTATAGTAGTTGCGTTGTTCTAAAACTTAAAAGTACATGTAAAGAATTCAGGAGTTTGACTAAAAAGACATTTAAATGGCTGGGTGCTGTGGCTCACGCCTGTAATCCCAACACTTTGGGAGGCCAAGGTGGGCAGATCACCTGAGGTTAGGAGTTCAAGCCTGGCCTGGCCAACATGGTGAAGCCCCATCTCTACTAAAAATACAAAATTAGCCAGGCATGATGGCACATTCCTGTAATCCCAGCTACTTGGGAGGCTGAGGCAGGAGATCACTTGAACCTGGGAGGTGGAGGCTGCAGTGAGCCAAGATCATGCCATTGCACTTCAGCCTGGGCAACAAGAACAAAACTCAGTCTCAAAAAAAAAAAAAAAAAAAAAAAAGCCATTTGAACATCTCAGAAGCCAAAGAAATATAAAATCCAATCCACTCAAATGAGAAAGCTTCAAAAGTGAGTGTTACAGATCCCAATATGATTTGAAAATTAGGTAATAAGATGACTCACATCTAAGGACTTTTGTTTCAAATGATGAAATCTCTGTTTCAGGCTATAAATAGGGCTCAATACGCCAGTATGCCCTTTCAGTGTCATAAACACCGATCGAGTGTCGTCTCAGCCTGTATCACCTGGCACCCACAAAGCTTCAGCAAGTCAATCCATAAATTACACAGGGAGGTAATCCTCCAAACTGTGAAGGATGACATCATCACTTCCTTGATGACTAAGCCTCTTCCAACTCTACGAAGATTTAGAAAGTTTTTCATGGTATTAACATATTTTGTGTTAGGAAATCTATGTATGCTTAGTATTTTTGGTTCTTTCTTTTTCTTCCTTTTTTTTTTTTTTTTTGAGACAGTCTCACTCTGTCGCCCAGGCTGGAGTGCAGTGGCACAATCTCAGCTCACTGCAGTCTCCACCTCCCAGGTTCAAGTGATTCTCATGCCTCAGCTTCCCGAGTGGCTGGGATTACAAGAGTCCACCACCATGCCCAGCTAATTTTTGTATTTTTTAGTAGAGACAGGGTTTCACCATGTGTACTTTCAATGTTTATAATTTAGCCTATTACAGTTAACAGATCAGTTCTTAGTTTCTATTTTAAACATGTATGTTATACGTAATGGATTTAGACTTTTGATTTAAGTTGAAATTTTATTGAGCTGATCTATGTATTAAAATAGTGAAAAGATCCTAAAGCTCATTGTATTTATAAGCTTATTAGAGTCATGGTTTATTTGGTACCAGGAAAGTTTGTTTGTTAGAACAGACAATTACAGTGTTGAAAAGAAAATGAATGTTTAAATCTATAGAGTTTAAGGTATTCGAAGGAGCCCCTTTATCTTTAAATGAGATTAAACATAATTGATGGCCCCTAAATATAATTGTTATTAATTACTGGACTTTTGAATAATTCTTTGAATTTAACACCTTAATGAAGAGCTACTGTTTAGAACTTGTCATTTTAATTTAAAAGTTCAAAATAATCATTTTTACACAGAAAATTCTCTTTCAAAGACGCCAAAAAAAATACTCACTTAGAATTAATATAAATGCACAATTCTAGGCTTTTAGTACCTATTAGGCTGTCTATATTTGAAATTTTAAATTCTCTATCCCTGAGTAATCACAAAGTTATCCTAACAACACATTTTAAATATTTCTTTCTAATCTCTCTGTCTCTGTCTCTCTCTCTCTCTTTTCTCTTCTTACTGAATTTTGAATAGTCTAGGTCTAGGGCACACACTCTGACCATGTTTATGAGCTGATTAGCATAATAAAATTATAGGCGAAAAAATAAATCACTTAAAGGTACATAGAAGAAAAATAGAAAGTTATATAATTTTCTTCAGTGAGGATATAAATGCATGCTTTGGATATCCAGAGATTCAAACGAAATCCATTGGTTGGAAAGCTTTTATATTAGAGGAAAAAAGCTTTCATTACCAGAGGGGGAAAAAAGAATTGAGATGACTTTATGAAAGAACCACAAAACTAATTAAAGTTCTGTGAAAGAGGCCCCATAGGGAAAGGCTTAAAGATGTGGGATATTTAAACTGCAGAAAACTGAGGTGAAGTGTCTAGACAAAGTGGTTTGACTAAAGTTGGCTTTTAAATACTGGTTGAAGTTCTTCCAATAACTGGCCCCCTTATAAAGCAAATAAAGCTTATTTTAAAAATTCTTCAGCTGACCTATGAAGTGTAGAATTTAAGGATCTTTAAATATAGGAAGAGATATTCTATGAAGTATATACTAAACAGACATTTTCTTTCCTTTACAGATAGTGCAAAGGCAGAATGAGCTACAGCAAGAAAATTGTAGGTCGACATTAGAAAAATTTGTAGATCTAAGATTGCATTATACAAATAATATACTGGATGATCCTTTTTGGAAGGAAAAAGAAACTAAAATGCATAGAAAGCATTCTTTCTTAGTAGATGAATGTAAAAGGTGATGAGAAAATCACAGGGTGAAGGCACAGGGAAGAGAAGGGAGGATAAGTAGCCACTGGGCTTGGTCAAATCCTAGACAAAAGGTTAGAGAGGTCAAACTCAGCCATTTAATGCCCCTGCCCCTTCTCACATTCAGGTCCAGGAAACTAGCTTCTTGGGATTCTCACTTTCACAGTCGCTGCTCTGAACTCCACCAGTCTTACTCTAAGCCATCTAGCCAACTTCTCCCCATCACTCAGGGCTTTGTTTTTTCTAATTAGATAAAAATCGCTCATCAGGAAAAGTGGCATTTATCAAGGTGTTAATGGGTACCCCTCGGCTAATGTTATCTTTGTCCAAATATCACATTTGCTTTATAATCAGATTTCTTGAATATTTATAACTTTACTAAAAGGAATGACTTTAACAATAGAACTCTCTAGAACTTTTTTAGGTCAGGATGGGAGGGAGAAGAGTTTTGAGGGATCCAAACACTCCATGTACATTGGTTCAACAGCTAATTATTAAGCACTTTCTGTTTCAGACACAGTTCTAAGCACATGCTATAACTTCATATAGTGAAAAGTACTACGAATAAAAGACAACAAGGTGATGAGATAGAGATGAATGGGTAGAGCTGGGATAGGTGGTGCTGGTGGCTACTTTTTCTAGATCGTGCAGTCTCGGAACTCCTTTCTGAGAAGGTGATGCTTGAGCTGAGAATCTGAGTAAGATGGAGCTTGTTAGGTTAAGCTTTGGAGGCAGAGAATATTCTAGGAAAATCTTTAACTGAGGTTGGATGGCCTTTGCATGCATTCAACCTGAGAACATCAGTAGCACTTATGGAATTAATATTGGTCTCTCATCTTCTCTAGAGGTTTCAGAAAACTCTAGGAAATTCAGATCAAGCTTTGACATCCTCTATGATCTTTTTCTTCTTAGATTTCAATCTTCTAAGGCAATTAGAACAGATATACTCTGCTCATATAGGAGTCTATTATTTATTCTTTTTTTATTAGTTCTTGAACATTTATTCAACAAATATTTATTAAACATCTACCACGCGCCAGATAATACAGCAGTGAACCAAACATAAAAATCCATATCTAGGCTGGGTGCAGTGGTTCACACCTGTAACCCCAACATTTTGGGAGGTCAAGGCGGGAGGATTGCTTGACACCAGGGGTTTGAGACCACCCCGGCCAACACAGCGAGACCCCATTTCAAAAAAAAAAAAATCCACATCCATATGGAAATTTGCATTTTAGTGAGAGAGAAAAACAATAAAGAAAATACTTTATTTCATCAAATGTAAGATGGACAATTTTTCACACTTCAAAATCTCTGAAATTGTAATCTGACTTAGTACCATCTTACATTTGTAATTGGCAGCTGTTTTTCTTTTCTTGTGATACAAAAATAATGTTGCATCTTATTATCAAAGACATCTAAGATTTCATCAAGTGTTTCTTACTGATAATAAGAAAAATAAGTAGATGGTTAGATAGTGTTAAGTGCAAAAGAGAAAAATAAAGCAACTTTCACTGCCAAAATGAGTGAGAATAAATTAATTTTAAGAAAAGTAAAGCAAGAGGGGGAAGGGGATAGAAAGTGCTTGTGACTTGGAGGGGCGGGTGGGAAGGGAGTTATAATTTTAGATGGGAAGGCCTCATTGAGAAGGTGCCGTTTGTGCACGACCTGAGGGTGGTGAAGGAGGAAGCCATGTGAATATCTAGGGGAAAGGTATCCCAAGAAGAGAACTGCAAGTGCAGAGGTCCTGAGGCAGGTGCTTGCCAAGTATGCTTAGAAAGCAGCAATGAAGGCCACGTGCCTGTGGTAGAGTGAGCAAAGAGGAGAGCAGTAGGAGATGAAGTCAGGGAGGTAAGGAAGTGCCGGATCATGAAGAGCGTTAACAATTGATTTGTCATTGATGGAGAAGAAGCTGATTTGATGAGAAAATATCAAGGGCCCAACATAAGACACGTTTTAGAGATGTCTGGGAGTCAGTTTATCTGAGGCTGAAATTCAACAGAGGTCCAAGTTGGAGATGTACATCTAGGCTCTATATAGCCAAATTATGGACATGGTTGTGGTGTACATAAATAATTCTAAGGACAGAGCCCGAGGGAGGACTCCAGCATTTTATTGTGACCCACATAGGCCAACTTGGCCTCAAAGACAACTGACTTACCCATTCACTAGCAACTGTATGCACAAGGCTAAATTCTAGATTCATCCAATTACTTTAAAAGGCCCCGTGGGAATATACTCAACAACACTGTGTGTTTATTACAGAGGATGCTGTGACATGTGGTTATTCCTTGAGGAGCAGTGTTTTGTCTATTTCATCTGCTCTGGATATCTTCCAGTACTGGCATATCTTAGGACTGAGCACAGTTTTTCTCTGGATGGCTTCTATTCCATCTATTTTCCATTCCTTCAGAGGTTACAAATAAAGACACTGATTTCCTTACTCATAAAATGAGAGTTTAATGGCTACGTCACAAGATAACTGTGATGACCATTTCAAAGGAAATAAAGAAAGCATTTAGTGCAGCATGTGGGGGCATAGTGTAACATCCATAAATGTTCATTTGCTTATTTCTTTTTCCAGATATGGTCTTGAAGACATCTTAAAAAATCCGTTGGACCAGAGTATAAAGGTGTGTTCCAGAAAATTAGCCAATGGCGCCTGCAGTTATAAAAGAAAGTATGTTCAAAGATTTTCAAGATTATCTTGGAATCATATGAAAAGATTTAAATGCAAAATCTCCTCCTTGGTAATGTATAAGGAACTCCTGTGCTGCTTTGCATCATTGCAACAGGTCTTATACATAGCCTCAGTTATATCAATAATATGATTAGCCATTTATGTTAATTTTGCAGATTGGTAATAAAAATCTAGGCGTTTTAATGGATGTCCTTGTACTTCTTTAACAACTGTTTTTAAAGGATTTAACGTGTACCCAGTAGTGTACTAGCTACTGGAAATCTGCTGGTGAGTAAGACACCATCTGTGCCCTCAAAAAGATAATGTATAGCGAGACTGAAGAATAGAGTGAAATATGGCAAATTTGTCGAGAGGACTAAGTTGAGCACTACGTGAGAACGAGAGCACCACGAGTTTTCCTAAAATGTGCCATAACTTACTGGCAATTTAATTTTGGATGGGGGTCTAGATTCTGATGTTACAATTCCACTCTGTGAGTGGCAGATGATTTCAAACATACCTTTGAAATCAAATACTTCATTCGTATCATTACAGTTTCCTTTCTCCTTTCTATAGTCAGAATTTTTCCTTTCTACAGTCGGAAGTGTGAATATGAATGCCTGATCCTAACCCAAGCATGGCCGGCTACAATAAGAACAGGTATTACAGTCATTTTGTCAGTCAAGCCTGAATCACAGTGTCAATGAGTAAATTATCTCTCAATAGATCTTTTTGTAAAGGTGTGAGAGTATACATGTTCTGCTTAAGAACACCAGCCAACTGGCCGGATGTGGTGACTCACGTCTGTAATCCCAGCACTTTGGGAGGCCGAGGCAGGAGGATCACGAGGTCAAGAAATGGAGACCGTCCTGCCCAATATGCTGAAATCCCGTCTCTACTAATAATACAAAAAATTAGCTGGGTGTGGTAGCGCATGCCTATCGTCCCAGCTACTGAGGAGGCTGAGGCAGGAAAATCGCTTGAACTCAGGAGGTGCAGGTTGCAGTGAGCCAAGATCGTGCCACTGCACTCAAGCCTGGTAATAGTGTGAGACTCCGTTTAAAAAAAAAAAAAAAAAATAGAACACCAGCCTTATTTTCCTCCAGGGAAATCAAATGAATGTATTAGTCCGTTTTCAGGCTGCTGATAAAGACATTTGGGTAAAGATACCCAAGACTGGGCAATTTACAAAAGAAAGAGGTTTAATTGGACTTACAGTTCCATGTGGATTGTGAGGGAAGCCTCACAATCATGGTGAAGGCAAGGAGGAACAAGTCACTTATTACATGAATAGCAGCAATCAAAGAGAGCTTGTGCAGAAAAACTACCCCTTATCATAACCATCAGATCTCATGGGACCTACTCACTATCACGAGAATAGCATGGGAAAGACCTGTCCCCATGATTCAATTACCTCCCACCGGGTCCCCCCCACAACACAAGGGAATTCAAGAAGAGATTTGGGTGGGGACACAGCCAAACCATATCATTCACCCCTGGCCCCTTCCAAATCTCATGTCCTCATATTTCGAAGCCAATCATGCCTTCCCAACAGTCCCCCAAAGTCTTATTTCATTTCAGCATTAAATAAAAAGTCCACAGTCCAAAGTCATATCCCAGACAAGGCAAGTCCCTTCCACCTATGAGCCTGTAAAATCAAAAGCAAGTTAGTTACTTCCTAGATACAACAGGGGTACAGGCGTTGGATAAATACAGTCATTCCAAATGGGAGACATTGGCCAAAACAAAGGGGCTACAGGCCCCATGCAAGTCTGAAATCCAGCAGGGCAGTCAAATCTTAAAGCTCTAAAATGATCCCTTTTGACTCCATATCTCACATCCAGGACACACTGATGCAAGAGGTGGGTTCTCACAGTCTTGGACAGCTCTGCCCCTGTGGCTTTGCAGGGTATAGCCCCTTTCCAGGCTGCTTTCACAGGCTGGAGTTAAGTGTCTGCAGCTTTTCCAGGCACACGGTGCAATCTATCAGTGGATCTACCATTCTGGGGTCTGGAGGACAGTGGCCCTCTTCTCACAGCTCCACTAGGCAGTGCCCCAGCAGGAACTCTATGTGGGGCCTCTGACCCCACATTTCCCTTCTGCACTGCTCTAGCAGAAGTTCTCCATGAGGGCCCCCCACACAAAGGCCCCCCCAAACGCCCCACAGCAAACTTTTGCCTGGGCATCCAGGTGTTTCCATACATCTTCTGAAATCTAGATGGAGGTTCTCAAACCTCAATTCTTGACTTCTGTGCACCTGCAAGCTCAACACCACATGGAAGCTGCCAAGGCTTGGGGTTTCCACCCTCTGAAGCAACAGCCAAGCTGTACCTTGTCCTCTTTTAGTCATGGCTGAAGTGGCTAGGATGCAGGGCACCAAGTCCCTAGACTGCACACAGTAGAGGGACCCTGGGCCTAGCCCACAAAACCATTTTCTCCTAGACCTCCGGGCCTGTGATGGGAGAGGCTGCTGTAAAGACCTCTGACATGCCCTGGAAACATTTTCCCCATTATCTTGGGGATTAACATTCGACTCCCTGTTACTTATGCAAATTTTTGCAGCCAGCTTGAATTTCTCCTCATAAAATGGGTTTTTCTTTTCTATCACGTGGTCAGGCTGCAAATTTTCTGAACTTTTATGCTCTGCTTCCCTTATAAAACAGAATGCCTTTAACAGCACCCAAGTCACCTCTTGAATGTTTTGCTGCTTAGACATTTCTTCTGCCAGATACCCCAAATCATCTCTTTCAAATTCAAAGTTCCACAAATCTCTAGGGCAGGGAGAAAATGCCACCAGTCTCTTTGCTAAAACAGAACAAGAGTCACCTTTGCTCCAGTTCCCAACAAGTTTCTCATCTACATCTGAGACCACCTCAGCCTGGACTTTATTGTTTATATCACTATCAGCATTTCTGTCAAAGCCATTCAACAAGTTTCTAGGAAGTTCCAAACTTTCTCACACTTTCTTGTCTTCTTCTGAGCCCTCCAAACTGTTCCAACCTCTGCCTGTTACCCAGTTCCAAAGTTGCTTCCACATTTTCGGGTATCTATTCAGCAACACCCCACTCTACTGGTACCAATTTACTGTATTAGTCGGTTTTCATGCTGCTGAAGACCTACTCACTATCATGAGAACAGCACGGGAGAGACCTGCCCCCATGATTCAATTACCTCCCACCAGGTCCCTCCCACAACATGTGGGAATTCAAGATGAGATATGGCTGGGGACACAGCCAAATCATATCAATGGGGTAAAAGCATTTTTATTTTCTTCCTGGAGTATTTATATTCAATGGCTCCTGGAAGCAAAATCTCCAACCAGACATAGTGAGAGGTGAAGCCAGCTGGACTTCCTGGGTCAAGTGGGGACTTGGAGAACTTTTCTGTCTAGCTAGAGGATTGTAAACACACCAATCAGCACTCTGTAAAAACACACCAATCAGCGCTCTGTGTCTAGCTAGAGGATTGTAAACGCACCAATCAGCACTCTGTAAAAACACACCAATCAGCACTCTGTGTCTAGTTAAAGGATTGTAAACACACCAATCAACACTCTGTAAAAATGCACCAATCAGTGCTCTGTGTCTAGCTAACATATTGTAAACGCACCAATCAGCACCCTGTAAAATGGACCAATCAGCTCTCTGTAAAATGGACCAATCAGCTCTCTGTAAAATGGACCAATCAGCAGGATGTGGGTGGGGCCAAATAAGGGAATAAAAGCTGGCCACCCGAGCCAGCAGCAGCAACCCGCTTGGGTCCTTTTCCATGCTGTTGGAGCTTTGTTCTTTTGCTCTTCACGATAAATCTTGCTGCTTCTCACTCTTTGGGTGTGTACTAACTTTAGGAGCTGTAACACTCACCATGAAGGTCTGCAGCTTTATTCCTGAAGTCAGCAAGACCACGAACCCACCGGGAGGAACAAAAACTCTGGACATGTCGCCTTTAAAAGCTGTAACACTCACTGTGAAGGTCTGCGGCTTCACTCCTAAAGTCAGGAAGACCACGAACCCACCAGAAGGAAGAAACTCTGGACACATCGGAAGGAACAAACTCCAGACACACCATCTTTAAGAACTGTAACAACTCACCACGAGGGTCTGAGGCTTCATTCTTGAAGTCAGCAAGACCAAGAACCCACCGGAAGGAACCAATTCCGGACACAATGGTTCCTGTGTGTGATAACCTGTGAAACCATTTCACGGTGGTTAATTTTCTCTTAAGTTTCCAGGTAGATCACCAGCTTCCCTCAACATTTATTGAGTGTTTACATACCTGGGTTCTCGGAGGTGAGGAACTTGATAATGATCACCTTGTTGCCTCACTCCTCTCTTTCTGGACATTGTGAATTCTCTTTGATCCATTTTCAACCATAGACATCTCTGTGATCTTTGTTCTTGGAGGTTTACCAACTGATGCTACATCTAAAGAAAACACGTAATTAAAATTCAGTTGGAACCACTTAGAAATGAGCAATACTTAGTTGGAAGCAATTGTCTTCAAAATTCCTTGGTTATTCATTAAGGAGTAACCTCAGAAAACATCCCAGAAAAGGCTGACAGTTTACAGTTTGGAAGACATTAATTAATTTAATAAGGTTGAATTAGGGGCAAAATTTGCAGAAGGATACTCTTTTTGTTTGTTTTTTGAGACAGAGTCTCACTTTGTCACCCAGGCTAGTGTGCAGTGGCTCTCTGCAGCCTCTTCCTCCTGGGCTCAAGTGATCCTCCAGTCTCAGCCCCCAAGTAGCTGTAAACATAGGCACATGCCACCGCACCTGGCTCATTTTTGTATTTTTTTATGGAGATGAAGTTTTGCCATGTTGCCCAGGCTGGTCTTAAGCTCAAGCCATCTTCCTGCCTCGGCCTCCCAAAGTGCAGGAAATATATAGGCATGAGCCACTGTGCCTGGCCCAATATTAATGTTTTTTAAAAAGTAAAGTTAGAAATATAATTTCCATTTAAACAGGAAAGAATTCTTACTGTATTTGCCTAAAATAAAGCAGTATTTATTTTAAAGCTAAGCTTATAGTGCAAGTAATAATTCATCATTTTTATTTCCCAGTTAAAAAAATACAACTTTAGCATTCAAATTTGCATGCTCTTGTTGCCTTTGTAGTTATCAGTGTCTTCAGCACACATGCTGGTGTGTGGCTGCTCATGACTGCTTAAACTGATACACATTTTGAAGTGAATTCGAGATTTCCAGAGAAGGATGTATGCTTACAATTTTGTTAATAAGGTAAAGCATATGCTAATTAGGTCAATTCATGAAGGGAGACATTAGGTCCCTGGGCTTAATAAAAGAGCTGTATTGTATGTATTTCTTTACATCTCTCTTTGATTATGAGTTCCTGACGATCAGGGACCATGTCCTATTCATTGTTACAGTCAAAGCATTAAGTATGTGTAGACCTGACAGATAGTGGAAGCGTAATAAATAATTCTTGAACTGACTCTCAAACAGGCCCTACAGGCAATTATAGTATGGATAAATAAGAGTAGAAATGAAGATTAAAAATAAACTTATAACCCTGATCCTATATTTCTTTAAGATATTGATATGCCCTAGCACTATTGTATGTGGGATTACTAACATACTAATAGGTAGAAGTTAATGCAGGCCTCCAGGGCAGCAGCATATTTCATAAGTAAATTTTTTTTGGATCTTTTCTTAGTTGTTGTTATTTCTAGTATCTGCAATTCAATAAACCGAACTGCTGCATCTAACAATTTTCAGTGCTTATTGTGTATCTAAAGCCAAATATAGCAAGGTTCCCAGAATACTGGATTCCTATAATGGCATAATTGATTTCCTCTTAACGGCTGTGTGTCTGTGTGTGAGTGTGTGTGTGTATGTGTTGTGTGTGTGTGTTTTTCACATAATTACTTATCTATTTAAAGGGGAAAACTTCTGAGAAAAATCACAGGAGGACTGAATTTAGCCTGCTCTGACGAACTAAAAATATGAAATAAAAAATGAACCAGTCTTGGTAAACCATCTCTTACCTCACTTTCCAAACAAATCCATCTGCAAAATTTAAAAATTTTCACTTAAAAATCATCTTTCCGTAGAAATATATAACGTGAAGAGGAAGTATAATAAAGTCATATACTTAATGCAAAGCCCTTTTGCATATACCAGATCCACATTAATGCATATGGGCTAACATCATTCAGGATGTTTCTCTTTAAAATGCTGGACTCATCTTATCCTCCATGCCCAAAGGACAATCTTGGGTGTAAGGAAAAATCTTTTTAAAACAGCTCTATTTCCAGTTACCTTTCTTTCATTAATTAGTTGTCTATACTAATTTATTGAATGCTTGCTAAATATCCCCTGCACTAGGGGATATGAAGGTGAATAAGACTAGGTTCATCTCCATAGTGAACAGGAGAGGAATTACTGGAATGTACCAGAAGGGTGCTGAGGGAGCCTTGTTGCCTGCCTAGAGAAGCTGGGGAGGCTTCACCAAAGTGTTTTTCAGCTGGATCTGGGAGGGGGAATTAGATTGTGGGGGGGAAGTAGGGAAGAAGGATGCTGTGGCCTGAATGTTTGTGTCCCCTGCAAATTCATATGTTGAAATCCTAACCCCCAAAGTGATAGTATTAAGAGACGGGGCTTTTGGGAGGTGATTAGGTCGCGAGGGTAGAGCCCTCATGAATGGGATTCGTGCCCTTGTGAAAGGCCCAGGGAGCTACCTCAGCCTTTCCTCCCGGTGAGGATGCAGCAAGAAGGCACCATCAGAGACCGGGAGACCACTGGCCCTCACCAGACACTGGATCTGCCGGCACCTTGACTTTGAACTGCCCAGCTTCCAGAACTGCAAGAAATAAATGGTGGTTGTTAATAAGCCACTAAGTCTGTAGTATGTCATTATAGCAGCCCAAATTCCTAAAGGAGAGTTGGAAGGAAGGCCCTTCACTTCAGGCAGGCTGGAAGCACCGAAATAAAGGCCTCAGGCAGCTAAAGGGCCTTCTGTGTCTGGGAAGTGGGGAGGCATTTGGAAGGGACAGAGAGCAGAGTAGGTAACTGGCACTCAGACTGTGAAGGGCCCTATGAAGGGATGTGGGCTTATCCTTTCGACTTTCAATGCCTGTTTCTCAAACTGCTGCGTATGTACTCACCCATGGGCATTTTAGGTTTTAGGATACACAGAGTGCAACTTTCTAGACTATCAATTTACCATAACGATTTGTGGGGGGCAGGGGCAAAGCATCATTTTTATACAAAAGTAAATGTGTATATGTTGCAGAGAGTGAAATTTTATGTTTGGCACAATTGCTTAGGGCTCTTCCCTAGATCCTCACATATTTCCTCTCCCTCCATCTCTTCCACCATTAAGTATCCTTTGGTAAAGTCTAGAAAGTTCGGGGAAGTCTTTCCTTAGCTGCTGCAGAGCCTGGACCTAGGTGTGGCCTCCCAAATCTAACCAAAAGACAAGCACCTTCACACTGACTCCCAGTCTCCTTCCAAAAGCAAAACCACCTTGTCAGTGTTAGGTACATCCCATCCTTCCTCCCTTCTCAGGTTTGTATTTGAATAGGTGTTTACATTTTACATGAAAGAATATTCCTGATAACAGCCTTTTGTTAAGACTACTACATGCCATATACTTTATATATATTAAGACATTTAATCCTCACTGAGACCTAAGGTCACGTAGTTTGCGATGGTAGGGTCAGAATTGAAGTCAGATTTTTTGGACCCCAGAGCCCATTTTTAAATTTCTTACCTTTATGCAACTCTGTTTAGAAGATTAAAAAAAAAATAAAAACTTCAGACTTAGCCAACCATTTCTGGTCAGAAGAATCCTGATCATACTTGTATAATACATGGTGTCTTCAAAATCCACAGAGACAAAGAAATACCTATAGGTATAATCCTGGCTACTGTGTATGTGCAGAATCTCCACCTGGTTGCCACCCCTCTTTTAAAGCCATAGGACCCAAAAGCAACACTAGGGGGTCTGTGGTTGTAGAAATCATATACCTCAGGCTGGGGTGGAGAGCATCAAGTCTGCCCCAGCTTCCCAAATATGAGGACTGCATATGTGCACGTTAGCCGTACACCTTGTATATGGAAACTAAAGCCAAGCAAAAGAGCTAAGACAAGCAATCTCACTGAGCATCCCTTTCAGATCACTGTTTTCCTGAGTAGATGGAGGCAGGGTTCACTCGTGAATTTACAGAAATTGATACCTAATTTCCAAATTGATCAGCCTTCCCTTTACCCTTCCCTTCCCCTCCCTCCGTTCCCCTCCCCTCCTCTCACCTCCCACTCCCTACCTTTTTTTTTTTACAGGGTCTCACTCTGTCACCCAGGCTTCCAGGCTGGAGTGCAGTGGCACAATCACAGCTCACTGCAGCCTCAACCTCCTGGGCTTAAACAATTGTCCACCTCAGCCTCCCAAGTAGCTGGGGCCACAGGTGCTCACCACTACACCTGGCCAATTTTTGTATTTTTTGTAGCAATGGAGTTTCTCTATGTTGCCCAGGCTGGTCTGGAACTCCTGAGCTCAAGTGGTCTGCCTGCCTTGGCCACCCAAAGTTTTGGGATTACAGGCGTGAGCCATTGCACAGGGCTGATCAGTATTTTTCTTATACTTTATACTCACCCTATTGTAGAAAGATTATCTGGGCAAAGCATTAATTCATGAGAAACTTGCAAAATTGTTTTACAGAAATTTACAAATCATTTTACAAATCAGACATTTTCAGAATCTCATATGCTTTTCTGTATTTGAATGAAAAAAAATTAGTAGTAGAAGGTTAAGATACATGTTAAATATATGGTAAAAGTCCAGGTATATAACTTCCATTTGCCTTAAGAGTCACTTGTGACATTTATTAAATGTAGATTCTGGGTTCCACCCTCAGGGATTTTGATTTAGTACTTTTGGAGGGTTCATAAAGCTGCATAGTTAACAAGCAACCAGCAGATTCTGAAGCACATCACATTTTTGAGAAATACTGTTCTGGACTATGAGAAGCCATTACATTCTAATTTATTAGAAATGAAATGGCAATGCTATATAAATACTTGATCAAGAACTAGAGCAGAACTCCTATGGAGCAGAACTAGAAAGGCAAGTATGTCTGTTCTGGTCACTGGGGACACAAATCACACAAATCAGAATGCGCAAAGCTTGCTTTTAAGGCCTTTCCATCTCCTGGCTGTCTCTTGGCACACCCCAAGTTCCTCTGCTTTAGGGTCTATGGTTCCCAGGTTAAGAAATCCTGGACTAGCCTGTTGAGGTAGTTTTGGAAACTACCTCATCATCTAGGTATTTGTTGTCCTCTGAGGATACGAAATTCTGCCTTGAAGGGAGTTGGCCAGTTTCAGGAACTCCTTGGAGAGATTCCTTAGCTCCATTAGCTCCACCGAGTTCACCAGGGGTAAGAGTGGAGGAAGAGTACACCATAGTTGATGATCAGCTTGAGCCCCAGGCAAGATGCTATGCTAGCCTTTCATGTATATAATTTCACTTCACCTTATCTAAACCTCACAATTACTCTACACGTTAGAGACGAGACTAGGGAGGTTAAGCAACCCTCCCAAAGTCACACAGCTGCTAAATGGCAAATGAAAACTTCAAAGGAAAGTCTGTTTGACTTTCAAGCCCCAAATACCTCAAGTCCAAGGAGGGTTACACAAGAAACCTTGAGTAAGATCTCAAAAGACACAAAAGATAATCCTTGAGTGTTACACCATCTCTGAGGCCAATGCAGCACTGGGTTGGGCAAATGAGACTATGGAAAAATTAAGGAATGATGAGGCTATGAGGTAAGTTTCAATGTGGTTTTTATACAATGAAACATATTTGAAAGGACATCTTACATCCAGAACAGCTAGGATAGAAAATACAGCAGAGGGAAGGAAGAAGTATTCATGCAGCTAGTTTTCAAATGGAAGTATGCAATCAATGACATCAGCAGCTTAATTAGGAAGGGATGATGATAAAGGGGGGCAGATTTTCAATTAAGAGCAGCACTATGAAAGATCAGTTTAACTGATACATGTTCTGCAATAGTAAAAACATTACACAACTGTGATAATATCTTATTTATATAGCTTAATGTACTAGGAAGGATTTGTTCCATGTTGTTTCAATTCAAATCATAATTCTATGAAAAATTTTGTTAGATAAGCAGTGAAGAGACATTAAATATGTAGGTCACCAAAATGTTTTCCCTGACTGAGTCATCTGATATTGACACCCCAGGCTCTGTCTATCACATCGCCCTGTTTTTTTTTTTTTTTTTTTTTTTTTTTTTTTTTTCAGAACAATTGGTACTACCTGGAATTATCTAACTTATATATTTACTTCTTAACTATATTCTCCAGTAGAATAAAATCTCCACATGAGCCATCTAGTTCACCACTGTATACCCAGTGCCTACATCCGTGCCTGGCACATTATAAGAGCTTGGTGCAAATTTGTTCAAGAAATGAATGACAAAAAACATCAAAACACTTGCAAGTAATTTATAAAAATAGATCTGTCTAAATTTATGTTTTAGATCTAGTGGTAGAAGAATAACAGCTGCGTCTAAAATAATTACTTCAGGGTGGGAGGAGGGCGAGGAATAAAAGACTACAAATAGGGTGCAGTGTGTACTGCTCAGGTGATGTGTGCACCAAAATCCCACAAAGCACCACTGAAGAACTTACTCATGTAATCAAATGCCACCTGTACCTTAATAACCTATGGAAAAAAATTTAAAACACATATGTAAAAAAGATAATATCTAAAATTGAAATAAGTATCAAGAGACTGATAATTGTGTTTGTTGCTGAGGAAAGTATACAAAAAAATTGGGGGTTTGTAGTACGCTTTGAGAATCTTAAATGTATACATATATTTTAACCCATTTTTTTAACTTCTTGGTGTTTACCCTGTGGAATTAATCATAGGTTGTGATTCATATTTAAATGATCATTATATTTGAATGATTTGGCTCAAATATGTCCACTTACACATTGTTTATATTAATAAAATTTGGGGGACAATAAAAAAAATAATTACTTCATTATTTGGATTTTTATTTACTATCCTATATTGTTAAGAGTGCCCTAAAAAGTATATATTATGTATAAAATATAAATATATTACATATAAAATCCAAGATTTATTGTGTGTTTTATGTGCCAGATATGTATTATAAACTCATTTAATTCTGTAACAACACCATGAACTGGGGCATTATTTTCATCTCCTAAATTTTTATAGATGACGGAATTGAAGCAAAGGGAAGTAAGGTCACTTATCGTGTTTTCCAGCAAAAAGTGGTGGAATTGGATTTAAACCTAAGGCATTTGACTTTAGAGTTTATAGTCTCAATCACATACTTAGAAAATATTTTTTAAAAGAATTCTGGCCGGGTGTGGTGGCTCATGACTGTAATCCTAGCACTTTGGGAGACTGAGGTAGGCAGATCACTTGAGGTCAGGAGTTCGAGACCAGCCTGGACAACATGGTGGAACTCCACTTCTACTCAAAATACAAAAATTAGCCGGGCATGGTGGCAGGTGCCACTCGGGAGGCTGAAGCAGGAGAATCGCTTGAACCTGGGAGGTGGAGGTTGCAATGAGCTGACATTGTGCCACTGCGCTCCAGCCTGGGTGACAGAGACATTTAAAAAAAATTTTTTTTTTTATTGGCCAGGCGCGGTGGCTCACGCCTGTAATCCCAGCACTTTAGGAGGCTAAGGCAGGTGGATCACGAGGTCAGGAGTTTGAGATCAGCCTGGCCAACATTGTGAAACCCGGTCTCTACTAAAATACAAAAATTAGCTGGGTGTGGCGGCGGGTGCCACTCGGGAGGCTGAGGCAGGAGAATTGCTTGAACCTAAGAAGTGGAGGTTGCAGTGAGCTGAGATCGTGCCACTGCACTCCAGCCTGGGCGACAGAGTGAGACTGTCTCAAAAATAAAAAAATCTATGATGATGATCCTGCCATTTTATTAGACTTCTAATTTTACAAATTTGGGGCAAACGCTAGTATAAGAAATAGATGTGACCCCATAAATGGCTTATTAGTCATAAATGGGTAAACAGTAAAAGAAACAAGACCACACCATAACCAGGTGACCAGAAAGAAATCGCCAGTGAGGGAAGTTCTAGCCAGAGCAAGTAGGCAAGAGAAAGAAATAAAAGGCATCCAAACAGGAAGAGAGCAAGCCAAACTATCTCTCTTCACAGATATGAGTCTACATCTAGAAAATCCCACAGGCTCTGCCGAAAGACTCACAGTGATAAATAACTTCAGTAAAGCTTCAGGATACAAAGTCAAGGCACAAAAATCAGTAGCATTTCTATACACCAATAATATCCAAGCTGAGAGCCAAATTAACAATGCAATCCCATTCACAATAGCCACAAAAAGAATAAAATACCTAGGAATACAGCTAACCATGGAAGTGAAAGATCTCTACAAGGAGAACTACAAAACAATGCTCAAAGAAATCAGAGATGACACAAACAAAAAGAAAAACATTCCATCCTTATGGACTGGAAGAATCAATATTGTTAAAATGGCCATACTGCCCAAAGCAATCTACAGATTCAATGCTATTCCTATCAAACTGGAAAAAACTGTTTTCAAACTAATATGAAACCAAAAAAGAGACTTAATAGCCAAAGCAATCCTAAGCAGAAAGAACAAAGCTGGATGCATCACCCTACCCTACATCAACCCATATTACAAGGCTACAGTAATCAAAACAGCATGGTACTGGCACAAAAACAGACACATAGACCAATAGAACAGAATAGAGAACCCAGAAATAAAGCTGCATACCTACAACCACCTGATCTTTGACAAAGCCAACAAAAACAAGCAATGGGGAAAGGATTCCCTATTCAATAAATGGTGCAGGAATAACTAGCTAGCCATATGGAGAAGATTGAAACTGGACCCCTTCCTTGCACCATATATAAAAATCAATCCAAGATGGAATAAAGATTTAAGTGTAAGACCTAAAACTATAAAATCCTTAGAAGAAAATCTAGAAAATACCATTATGGACATAGGCCTTGGCAAATATTGCATGATGAAGTCTCCAAAAGTAATTGCAACAAAACCAAAAACAGAAAAGTGGGACTCAGCCAGGCACAGTGGCTCAGGCTGGGCCCGGTGGCTCACACCTGTAATCCCAGCACTTTGGGAGGCTGAGGTGGGCAGATCACCTGAGGTCAGGAGTTCGAGACCAGCCTGGCCAACATGGCAAAACCCTGTCTCTACTAAAAATATAAAAATTAGCTGGGCGTGATGGCGGGCGCCTGTAGTCCCAGCTACTCGGGAGGCTGAGGCACGAGAATCGCTTGGCCTTGGGAGGCAGAGGTTGCAGTGAGCTGAGATCATGCCTCTGAACTCCAGCCTGGGAGACAGACCCATAACTCCATCTCAAAAAAAAAAAAAAAAAGAAAGAAAAGAAAAGTGGGACTTAATTAAACTAAAGAGCCTCTGCATAGCAAAAGAAACTATCAACAGAGTAAATAGACAACCTACAGAACGGGAGAAAATGTTTGCAAACTATGCATCCAACAAAGGTCTAATATCCAGAATCTATAAGGAACCTAAACAAATCAACAAGCAAAAACAAACTCCATTAAAAAATAGGCAAAGTATATGAACAGACACTCCTCAAAAGACATACTTGCAGCCAACAAGCATAAAAAAAAAATGCTCAACCTCACTTATCATTAGAGAAATGCAAATCAAAACCACAAGGAGATACTATCTCATACCAGTCAGAACGGCTATTATTAAAAAGTCAAAAATAACATTCTAGTGAGGTGGTAAAGCAAAGGGAATGCTTATACAGTGCTGGTGGGAATGTTCAGCCACTGTGGAGAGCAGTTTGGAGATTTCTCAAAAAACACAGCTACCATTTGACACAGCAATCCCATTACTGGGTATGCACCCAAAGGAATATAAATTATTCTACCAAAAAGACACTGTATTAGTCAGGGTTCTCTAGAAGGACAGAACTAATAGGATAGAATTATATCTGAAGGGGAGTTTATTAACTAGTATTGACTCACACCATCACAAGGTGAAGTCCCACAACAGGCCATCTGCAAGCTGAGGAGTAAGGAAGCCAGTCCAAGTCCCAAAACTTCAAAAGTAGGGAAGCTGACAGTGCAGCCTTCAGTCTGTGGCCAAAGGTCTAAGAACCCCTGGCAAACCACTAGTGTAGGTCCAAGAGTCCAAAAGCTGAAGAATTTGGAGTCCAATGTTCGAGGGCAGGAAGCACCCAGCACGGGAGAAAGATGAAGGCTGGGAGACTCAGCAAATCTCTTTCCACCTACTGCCTGCTTTATTCTAACCGTGCTGGCAGCTGATTAGATGCTGCCCACCCTGACTGAGGGTGGGTCTGCCTCTTCCAGTCCACTGACTCAAATGTTAATCTCCTTTGGCAACACCCTCACAGACACCCAGAAACAATACTTTGCATCCTTCAATCCAACCAAGTTGACAATATTAACCATCACAGACACACACACTCTTATGTTCGTTGCAGCACTATTCACAATAGCAAAGACATGGAATCAACCTAGATGCCCATCAATGGTGGACTGGAGAAAGAAAATGTGGTACATATGCACCATGGAATACTACACAGCCATAAAAAAGAACAAAATAATGTCTTTGCTGCAACATGGATGCAGCTGGAGGCCATTATTCTAAGTAAATTGATGTAGGAACAGAAAACCAAATGCCATGTGTTATCACTTACAAGTGGGAGCTGAACATTGAGTACACATGGACACAAAGAGGAGAAAAATAGACTCAGGTCTACTCGAGGGTAGAGGGTGGGAGGAGGATGAACGTCTATAAGCTACCTATTGGGTACTGTGCTCACTACGTGGGTGATGAAATCATTTGTGCACTAAACCTCAGCAACATGCAATTTACCCATGTAACAAACCTGTATATGTACCCCCAAACCTACAATAAAAGTTAAAAAATTAAAAATAAATAAAAATAAAAATTAGAAAAGAAAAAAAGAAAAAAGAAATTGCCAGTGAGATGATTAACATCATGTGCTTATAGAAGAAACACCTTGAGAAGGAGATAACATCATTATATGGTGATGCGTAGCCTGAATCTAATCATGAGGAACCATCAAACAAGCCCACGTGGAGGGATATTCCATGTAGCAACCATCTGTAAGAAAAATGTCAAGATCAGGAAAAACAAAGACTGAGGGACTGTTTCAGATTAAAGGAGAATTAGCCGTAATGGCAACTAAATGCAATACATGAACCTAGAATGAATTCTATACTGAAGAAGGAAAATGCTATAAATTTCATTGTTAAATAAATGGACAAAATTGGAACACACACTCTCCAGTAGAAATATTCTGGCACTATTGAATTTTCTCAACTTGTTAACTGTACTGTGACTACATAAAGAATATCCTTGTTCTTAAAACATACACATTGGTCCGGGTGCAGTGTCTCACGCCTGTAATCCCAGCACTTTGGGAGACCGAGGCAGGTGGATCACCTGAGGTCAGGAGTTCAAGACCAGCCTGGCCAAGATGGTGAAGCCCCGTCTCTACTAAAAATACAAAAATTAGCCGGGCGTGGTGAAGGGCGCCTGTAATCCCAGCTACTCGGGAGGCTGAGACAGAGAATTGCTTGAACCTGGAAGGCAGAGGTTGAACCCGAGATCGTGCCACTGCACTCCAGCCTAGGCGACAGAGTGAGACTCTGTCTCAAAAAAAAAAAAAAAATACACATTGAAGTATAAAGGGATAAATGGAGAAGATGCACGCCACCTACTCTCAAATGGTTAAAGAATAATACATAGCAAATTTTTAAAAGTTGGTGAATCTGTAAAGCATATATGAGTTCCCTTGTTTTATTCTTGCTACCTTTCTGTGAATTTAAAATTATTTAAAAATCAAAGTTACATATTAAAAAGTTAGATACAATTTTTTTAAAAGTAAAGGTGCCTCAAAGAGCTACTGAGTTTATCACTTGGTATCACTGATTTATACAGACTGTGTTCCAAAAAACAGAATGTGGCTCTATCGTCTATCAAAACTAGAACACAAACATAGTTCCCATATAGGTTTAAGTTGTTGGTTTTGCCATCATGATTCGCTCATTAGAATCATAATGGTTGTCATGAATTATGCCCACTTATTATTAGCATTTCATTTCTCCTCTGTCAAACAGTGACTTTTTTGCATTTGCATAGTATCCTGTACCACTTAAAGATTCTCTGAATTCAAGCTGGGTATCTTGCTGTGAAGAAGAGATACTGAGTGATCTGAGGAAAAGACTAAGAAACCACAGGATGTTAGACCTGGAAGAGATCTGTGGGATTTTATTAGATCTCCAATTTTACAAATGAAGATATTTATTTATGTAATTAGGCAAAATGATGTATTCGTATAAAAAAAGGACAAAAGCAAGATTGGGAAATGAGGAATAATAAATAGCAGCAGTAGAATGCATACTTATTGCATTGTTATGTCACAACAATGTTACCTCTAGACGTTGGCTTACTTTACTATAGGGCACATATTATATTAGTTCCTAAAGTTTATCACAATTTGTAAAGCAAGTTTATTTCTTTCTTTTTTTCTTTTGAGATGGAGTCTCACTCTGTTGTCCAGGCTGGAGTAACAATGGCATGTTCTCAGCTCACTGCAACCTCCGCCTCCTGGGTTCCAGCGATTCTCCTGCCTCAGCCTATGGAGTAACTGGGATTACAGGCGCCAGCCACCACGTCCGGCTAATTTTGTAGTTTTAGTAGAGACGGGGTTTTACCATGTTGGCCAGGCTGGTTTTGAACTCCTGACCTCAGGTGATCCACCCGCCTTGGCCTCCCAAAGTGCTGGGATTATAGGTGTGAGTCACCACACCTGACTACAAGAGTTTCTTTCTTAGTTGCTAATCTAACGTTTAAAAATTCCTAGTTTTGATAAAATTATTTTTAAAAATATAGATATTTTGGTAAGAGGGTAATTTCAGCTGAGCACCTAAGAACCGCCCCTGGAATTGAGGTCGTTTTGATACTGAGGTCACTGGATCTATAGTTTGAAGACAATTTTATGTGATTGTAATCATCATCGATAGAATTTAAAAATCTTCCTCTTTATATAGTCACAAGTGGTGAAAGCCTCTGGTACTAAGTCATTAAAATGCATTTTTAAAATTGTCTGGAAGTTTGCTTACAACAGTGACTCTAGCCACCTGAATGGTAATCCTGCTGTTACACGGCAAATCTATAAGGTAAAACGTGAATCCGTAAGGCAAACTTTGATTTCACACTAATTTATAGACCTAGAAATAGGAAAATATGGCTTTTAGAGCCTTGAAGATTGAACAAGCATTAACATGGCTTATTACTAATGTTGATAGATTGAGGAAAGTAAGGTGTTCCTCTAAAAACTTAGAAACTAGAAAAATAAGATTTATTACTCTAAAGAATGGATGATATTAGTGATGAATAAGAGTAACCCAAGAGAGAGCAGAGCACGGTGGCTCATGCCTGAAATCCCAGCTACATGGGAGGATCACTTAAAACCAGGAGTTTGACACCAACCTTGGCAACATAGTGAGACCCCGTTTCTAAAAAGAATTTTAAAAATTAGCCAGGCATAGTGGCATCTGCCTGTAGTTCCAACTACTTGGGAGACTGAGGTGGGAGAGTGGCTTGAGCTCAGGCATTCCAGACTGCAGCGAGCTATAATTGTGCCACTACACTTGAGCCTGGGCAACAGAGACCCTGTATTTAAAAAAAAAAAAAAAAAAGGGCCAGGCACGGTGGCTTATGCCTGTAATCCCATTTTGGGAGCTGAGGTGGGCGGATCATGAGGTCAGGAGATTGAGACCATCCTGGCTAACACGGTGAAAACCCATCTCTGCTAAAAATACAAAAAAATTAGTCGGGCGTGGTGGTACGCGCCTGTAGTCCCAGCTACTTGGGAGGCTGAGGCAGGAGAATCGCTTGAACCCAGGAGGTGGAGGTTGCAGTGAGCCTAGATCGTGCCGCTGCACTCCAGCCTGGGTGACAGAGCAAGACTCTGTCTCAAAAAAAAAAAAAAAAAAAAGGAATCCAAGAGAGCTAAGAGAGTGCTGACATTACTGAATAAAGAGTTTTGCGGGAAGGGGCTGAGCGCGGTAGCTCGTGCCTGTAATCCCAGAACTTTGGGAGGCTAAGGAAGGCAGATCCTGAGGTCAGGAGTTCGAGACCAGCCTGGCCAACATGGTGAAACCCTGTCTCTACTAAAAATACAAAAATTAGCTGGGCGTGGTGGTGAAACACCTGTAATCCCTGCTACTCGGGATAGGCTGAGGCAGGAGAATTGCTTGAACCTGGGAGGCGGGGGTTGCAGTGAGCCAAGATCGCGCCACTTCACTCCAGCCTGGGAGCAAGACTCCATCTCAAAAAAAAAAAGGAGTATTGGGGGAAAAATGCACAAACCTACCCGTCAGGGTGTTTACAGTATTATTTAAGAAGCCTATGAATGGATGTGATTATAATTATGAAAGACAAAATGGACAACTGTGTATATACAGTGAATAAAGACTTTTTCACAAAAGCAGGTGGGGACTTGGAAAGAGGTGTCTGAAGAGCAATAACACGGCACCTTAGTTACGAAAGACTTGGTGCTTCTATGAGGGACAGGTGTGTTTCATCGGCCTCACCTGGGCCTGGATGGAAGCTTCCCTCAAGACTGACTTCCTTCTTTGCTGGGTTTCTTGTCCTCACTTCTGCAACTGGCTGCTCAAAGGGAGAGGATGCACCGAGCAAATGAATTAGAGATTCTGCTCCATTTGTCAGCTACATTTCTCACTTTAAATGAAGAATTTATCGCTCTGTTTAACATAGAAATCTTATAACAAGGTGTTGCTAGATTAAAGGAGCTGTACCCCACAAACCATCCCTAAATGAGAGTTCTCTCTTGTAACCCTCAGATTATAATAATTATAAAATGCATCCTTCTGCTCATCAGCCATAATTAATTTTACAACCCAAGTTTCACATCCTATTGGTTTTAATGTTATTTCAAAATACAAACCAGTAGCAACTAAAGCATCACATCAACAATGTGCTAAGCAGTATCTCCTAATGCCTCTGCCCCCTCCCTTGTCAAAGCTGGCTGGATAGGGCTAAAGCTAGACGGAGACCTAAAGGTCTGGGGTGAGGGGTGGGGGCGCTGAGGACAGACTCCATTCAGATGAAGCACTGGTTTTCCACATTGCAGACCAAAAGACTTTAGAAATGTCAGAGATCACTAGGCAACATAGAATGCCCCAGGCAAACAGACCAAAGGGAGTCTAAACTCTCACTTTTCTCCACCCAAGGGGAGGAATATCTACCACCACTGCCTGAGAGCCTTCCTCCAGGAATGTTCCACTAACCATCAGTTTTCCCTGTCTCACCATCTTCACAACCCCATGGTTTGCTCTTTAAACCATACTATCACTCAATTGTGAGGCTGTCTTGTGACAAAATAATACACATACAATTCAACCAATACCTGCTGAACATCCACGACATTCCAGGCACTATATGTCACTTAATCATCTCCTGTAATCTGCACAAGTCTGCAGATGGGTTAGTTGTTGTTGTTACAAAATATATATATATATTTAATATCATAAATATATACTTAAATTCATTTTATTTATTTATTTTAAATAGAGACAGGATCTCCTTTTTGTTGCCCAGGCTGGTCTCAAACTCCTGAGGCTCAAATGATCCTCCCGTCTTGGCCTTCCAAAATGTTGGGATTACAGGCGTGAGCCACCGCATCTGGCTATATTTAAATTTATAAGAGAAAACTAAGGTCTACGAAAGTGAAATAACACAGGTCAATAGTCACACAGCATATAGGTGGAAGACCAGGACTGGAATTTATGTTTTCAATGTTCTTTACCACTCTACCATGATAGAAGAGCACACTCAGGTAAATACCTAGCCAACTAGTGCCCCTGTTACCTCAGACCCAGGCCATTTTCTAAGACACACCTAAGGGTGTGTCTCTCTGGAAATGCAGGAATGAAACGGTTCTTACCCACAGAGATGGGCATTTATTATTAGCATCATCATTATCATTATCATCATGATCATTTGCCTTACTAAGCAGGAAAAACACAATTTTGCATAAATTGCTGTGAGTTTTACTTTCTTATTGATTTTTACCTTTTTAGTACTTTTATACTTTATGTCATATTATTCTAAACACTTATGACAAATATAGTCGATCTATATCCTTTCAAATGCTCACAATTCAAAATACCACTCACATTTTTAACATTTCAGTTTACTTTAGGGGAAAGCGCTTCACTGACAAAAGACTGCAGTGTCCCAGAATACCAAACATAACTCTTGCTGAAAAACTCAGAAGTCCTGGAGAACACAGACCACACTTTGTAACCTGTAAAGGTTCTGGAAGAAGCTGGTGTTTAATAAACACTAAATAATACACCAATTGAACTTAAATTACCATTCAGCATTTTAGGCTAATTTTATAGCTTAGCTGAATGAATTATATTTTATTTTAAAATTATTATTATTTTTCTGAGACAGCGTCTCAGTCTGTCACCCGGGCTGGAGTGCAGTGGCACAATCTTGGCTCACTGCAGCCTCGACCTCTCCGGCCCAGGTAATTCTCTCACCTCAACCTCCTGAGGAGCTGGGACTACAGGTGTGCGCCACCACACCAACTAATTTTTTGTAGAGACGGGGTTTCACCATGTTGCTTAGGTTGTTCTGGAACTCCTGGCCTCAAGTGATCTGCCCACCTAACACAGGTGTTAGCCACTGTGCCCAGTCGGATTTCATCTCAATAACAATACAAAGAAAATGATTAAAGCTGCCACTTATAGATTGTGTTTGTAAGATATTGCAGCCTTACTCCCCCACCAACCCCACTTCCAGTGGTATATTTAAAATATCAGTAGTATTACTATTATTATTCTCTCTTTTTATTTTTTAGACCAGGTCTTACTCTGTCACCCAGGTTAGAGTGCAGTAGTGTGATCACTGCTCACTGTAGCCTCGACCTGCTGGGCTCAAGCAATCCTCCCAGTTCAGCCACCCGAGTACCTGAAACTATGTGTGTGCCACCATGTTTGGCTAATTAAAAAAAAAAAAATGTAGAGATGAGATCTTACTATGTTGCCCAGGTTGGTCTTGAACTCCTGAACTAAGAGATCCTCCTGCCTCAGCCTCCCAAAGTGCTAGGATTATAGATGTGAGCCATCGCACCTGGCCTACTCTAATTTTTTAATAAGAAAAGGAAATCAGAGAGAGAGCAATTTTTCCAAGGTGATATGAAGATTACAGATCAATTAACAGCTCTTGGTTTAGTCAGCTCTGCTGTTATTTCTCAACTCTTTGTTTCCCAGAGAAATCTATGTTCATCATTCTTCACATCATCACTGAAGATAGGAAGGTATTCACGTTCCTGATCCAGGACATGAGAGGGTATTTTGCATTAGTAGTTGCCAAACCACATGATTTCTTTCTCTTTTTTTCTTTTTGAGATGGAGTCTCGCTCTGTTGCCCAGGCCCAAGTGCAGTGGCGTGATCTCCACTCGCTGCAACATTTGCCTCCTGAGTTCAAGCAATTCTCCTGTCTCAGCCTCCTGGGTAGCTGGGATTACAGGCGCCCACCACCACGCCCAGCTTATTTTTGTGTTTTTAGTAGAGACAGGATTTCACCATGTTAGCCAGGCTGCAAACCACATGATTTCTGAGGTTTCTTATAAACTTGACATAACTTCAGGGGGAAAGCGTTTAGTACTATATAATACAATACATGATATATATGTAATTATATCTATATTATGTAGTATATAACATATATTAAATATATAACAAAGATTTATTTGGTAATATATAATATAGATTTACTCAGTTTTAATATCTTTTTTTTTTTTTGAGACAGAGTCTCGCTCTGTTGCCAGGCTGGAGTGCAGTGGCACAATCTCGGCTCACTGCAAGCTCCGCCTCCCATGTTCACACCATTCTCCTGCCTCAGCCTCCCGAGTAGCTGGGACTACAGGTGCCCGCCACCATGCCCAGCTAACTTTTTGCCCAGGGGTTTAGTAGAGAGGGGTTTTCACCGTGTTAGCCAGGATGGTCTCAATCTCCTGACCTCGTGATCTGCCCTCCTTGGCCTCCCAAAGTGCTGGGATTACAGGCGTGAGCCACTATGCCCGGCCCAGTTTTAATATCTTATCAAATGCTACCTATTTGTTATAAAATATATGAACAATATAAAATGTGGTGAACACAAAAATTAGGGTAGATGCTCTACTTCATACAGATTTTTCTCGGTGACCATGTCAGAGCCAGTTTCTTGCTCCCTTTTCTGAAGAACCATTTATTTCCCTTTCAATTTTGCTTCTAGGTCGGAACCGCCCTGTTTTTACATGACCCCACATCCCCAGCCACAGGGAAAGATCAAGGAGAGGGCATGCGAATCAATCTGGGCAATGAGAGTACTTACATTCTTGGTCACGGTAATTGGGGGCAGAAATGGACCTGTGGCCCAAGCCAGGTCAATCACAATCCTTTCCTGAGATTTTTACTGACTCAACATGGGGAGGAAGAATTTTCTTCTCAAATGCTGTTAAGATGTGAGCCTAGAACCTGCCAGCAGTGGCCATGTCTCCACTGGGTGAAGAAAGCAAGTCCACAGTTAAGGAGGAATAAAGCTGAAAGCTAGAAAGAAAAATAGCAGTGAGTCTTGATGGCATTTAGATCCTTGGTTTTAGAGATGCCTCAGGACAGCTTCACCTATGCCCTTCCTACATTTGGGTACATGACCTAATAAATTCCCACTTGCTTTTGCTAGCTCAAATAGCATTCCTTTCATTTGTAGCCAAAAATTTCTGATTAGTACAATTAATGTCTAAAGTTGAAAGTGAAATTTTCCCAACCACTTCTCAAAATGTACTAATCAGAGTTTAAGGATACTAGTAACAAGAGCCTAGTCTGATCCATCTTGAACAAATAGGGAAAATTATTTGCTTACATAACCAAGACTTCAGAGAGGTAAGAGTGGGACCTGGTTCCCTGGGAAGCAGGGCCTCATGACTGGCTCTGTCTCATCTCCACTTATCTCTGCATGTTAGCTTTGTTATCTCAGACTGGTTCTCTTCCACTGGGAATGAGAAGGGCCACCAGCAGCTCAAGAATCATCTTGGTGACTATAGAGGGAAGAAATCTTGCTCTCCTTAGAGGAAGTAAATTGGCAGAACCCTCAGAAAGCACTCTGATTAGTCTGGCTTGGGTCACACGCTAATCTCTAGACTAATCACTATGACCAGGAGTTCTCGGGTGGCACAATTGGCTGACTGCTGCAGCCAGAGGAATAGAATTGAAAGAAAGATGGCCATCCCCATTTGGACCAATTGACAAGAGTAGAAAGAGGAACAGTTTTTCAGATACAGAGGGCTGCTGTCCGAGAGAAAGGTGTGAAACAAATACCAATAAATGTTCACAATTCCCTTTGTTAATAGTTTGGTGCATTTCCTTCCAGACTTTTTTTTTTTCAATTGTGAGCAAACTTAGAAATGTAAGAAAATCCCAGTGAATGCTGGATGTATACCAATAATCAAAACAAAGCATGGGGCCGGGCGTAGTGGCTCATGCATGTAATCCTAGCACTTTGGGAGGCTGAGGCAGGCAGATCACTTGAGGTCAGGAGTTTGAGACCAGCCTGGCCAACATGGTGAAACCCTGTCTCTACTAAAAAAAAAAAAAAAAAAAAAAAAAAAAAAAAAAAAATTAGCCAGGCGTGGTGATGCACACCTCTAATCCCAGTTACTTGGGAGACTGTGTCTCAAAAAAAAAAAAAAAAGCATGGCTAGAATCCAGACTTCTCTCTTTTTTTTTTTTTTTTTTTTTTTTGAGACAGGGTCTCACGCTGTCACCCAGGCTGGAGTGCAGTGGTATGATTACAGCTCACTTGCAGCCTCAACCTCATGGGCTCAAGTGATTCTCCCACCTCAGCCTCCCAAGTAGCTTGGACTATAAATGTGTACCACTATGCCTGGCTAATTTTTTTTTCATAGAGACAGGGTCTCCCTATGTTGCCCAGGTTGATCCTGAACTCCTGGGCTCAAGCGATCCTCTCGCCTCGGCCTCCCAAAGTGTTAGGATTACAGGCATGAACCACTATGCCTGGCCCTTCTCTAATAGGTGGCATTCTACTTTCTTTTAGGACCAAGAGAAAACCAATTCACCAAAGAAAGCTGGAGGTACAGGTATATCCTGGGGGATTAGGGTTGAATTCCATGCCTAACTTTTGGCAGAGAACGTGATTCTGAAAAGATGTTACAAAGATTTCCTTCAGATAAAATTCCGAGATGCCTCTGTCACATCCCATAAGATATGTTCCCAGCAGTTCTGAGGATACAGCATATTCTCAATGAATAGATGATTATTTGCCTTGGAATCTGAAATAGGTACGCGTTTTCATTAGGTTTTTGCTGTTCACTAGGGATTTTTATATTTTAAAAATAAAAATATATACCTAAAAAGATTTTTATATTTGAAAAGAAATTAATACCTTTGCATTTTGCTAATGTTTAAAAATTTGGGCTGGTCGCAGTGGCTCACACCTGTAATCCCAGTGCTTTGGGAGGCCGAGGTGGGAGGATCATCTGAGGTCAGGAGTTCAAGACCAGCCTGACCAACGTGGTGAAACCCCGTCTCAATTAAAAATACAAAATTAGTTGGGCATGGTGGCACATGCCTGTAGTCCCAGCTACTTGGTGGCTGAGGCAGGAGAATCACTTGAACCCAGGAGGCGGAGTTTGCAGTGAGCCGAAATCACACCACTGCACTCCAGCCTGGGCAACAAGAGCGAAACTCTGTCAAAAAAAAAAAAATTAGCTGCTGGGTGTGGTGGTACACACTTGTAATCCTAGCTGCTGGGGAGGCAGGAGGATTGTTTACACCCAAGAGTTTGATACCAGCTTTGGCAACACAGTGAGACTCCATCTTTATTAAAAAATAAAATAAGAATTATCTATAAGGTTTTATAGTGTAAGCTATGGTAGCCAGCCTCTGAGGGCCGCCCCCACCCCCTGGCCCCGATTCTCACCTCCCTTGGTGTTCGTGCCCTTGTAAAGTCTTTTCCCACATGAAGCCAGTGCTGCTGTGTGGGACCAGTAAAACAAACAGATGGTTTCTGAAGCTAGGTGACTTTGCAGCTGTACCTTGTCCTCTTGTATTATTTACTCTAAATGAAGTCAGATGCCATGTTATGGATATTGAAATAAATCTACAGAGTGGCATACGTGGAGAGAAACTAAGTTCCTACCTATAGTCACCACCAACTTTCCAACCATGTGAGTGGGCCATCTGTACCTGGATAAAGCTTTTACATGTCAATCTCAGTAGACATTTGAGCAAACCTCATGATAAGACCAAGCCTGAACTGTCCAGCCAAGCCATTCCCTAATTCTTCTGGCCCATTGTTACAGTGAGAAATAATACATGCCATTATTTTAAGTCACTAAATTCTGGGATTATTTGTTACACAGAAATACAGAACTAACATATAAACTAACAAGAAAAATAAATCTAACAAATATTTCTGAGTAAACTTAACAGCAACCTTTTCTTCTGAAATGCGAAGTCAACCTTAAGAAGCCAAATTAGACCACATTACTACAAATGGAATATATTTTCTGGTTCCTTTTTCCTATTGAGTCTGCTATTTTAAGAAGTACGCATCTCTAAGGCACTCTATTTCTTTTTCCTTTTTTTTTTTTTTTTTTTTTTTGAGACGGAGTCTCGCTCTGTCGCCCAGGCTGGAGTGCAGTGGCGCGATCTCGGCTCACTGCAAGCTGCAAGCTCCGCCTCCTGGGTTCACGCCATTCTCCTGCCTCAGCCTCCCGCGTAGCTGGGACTGCAGGCGCCCGCCACCATGCCCGGCTAATTTTTTGTATTTTTTAGCAGAGAGGGGGTTTCACCGTGTTAGCCAGGATGGTCTCCATCTCCTGATCTCGTGATCCGCCCGCCTCAGCCTCCCAAAGTGCTGGGATTGCAGGCATTTGCCTTCAGCCAGTGAGATCTTTGTTGCAGGGAGGACTAGAAACACTTTTTCTTCACCAGTAGTACAAACTCAGGCAAGAGCTGAGGTCACTAGCAAAATAATACAAAGTAGCAGAGGAGCAGTACCTCTCCACCCGCACCCAACTGAGTTTTCCTTTAAATGCTAAACAGACCAAGACCTTAAAAAAAACACATGCAACAAAAGTGCTGCTGTTCATATATTTAAAAACTTTTGTGGTTTATTTGTGCTAAGTAACTTGTTGAGAAAATGTGTGTTATTGAAATATTTTTAGCAATGTAAACTCTCTGTTAATTGCTAAAGGAAGGGGTTTTTGGAACCACTCATGCTAATATTTGCTTTCCTGAGCACCAACTGTCCGTTAGCTACACGTTCAAAGGATTGAAAAGAAAAGAGTGTTAAAAATTGTAAAGGGGGAAGAAAGGGAAAGATCTATTTTTAAAAAGAACCATTTTTAGAAAAATTTAACTTCATCTAGGCATTCTTGCAAAGGTAACGATGAATTGCCCTTAGTGTCTAAAATTAAAAAAAAAAAATTAACATCAAGTAAATATGGAAATACGCCCTCCCTTTAGCTACAGGGCTTAAAAAAAAAAACAGCAACAGAAACCAAAACACTTCAAGTTAAAAACCATTGTCATCTAGAAAGTAGATTAGTGGTTGCCTGGGGCTGGGGGTGGGAGGGAGGAGAATGACTGTTAATGGGTTGAAAGTTTCCTTTTGGGATGATGAAAATGTTCTAAAACTGGATTATGATAATGGCTGCACTGTTCTGTAAATATGCTAAAAACTGTTGACTTGTACATTTTAAATGGATAAAATCTGTGATAATTTAATTACATCTCAATGAAGCTGTTTTTAAAAATTGTAATTGATGACCTTGAAAATATTCAGCTAAAGGATTAGCAATGTGCAAAGTCACCAAAAGAATGGTTCTGTTTCAAATGCTTTCCTCCCACATCGAAGCAGTTACATGTGCAGAGCTAAAGTTCACATCAAATTTTAAGACACCCCAACGGTATGTTTAAAAAACTCTCTAACAAGATATACAACTAAGAGGCTTTTTTTGAGCTTGAAGGTTTGCTTCACCATGTGCTCAGACAATAAATTTGATAGATTTTGAACTTGCTGTCAGAACTGAACGGCTAATAACAGTCATTTGCAGTTCCTATCAAGACAAATCTACAATGGAAAACTGAAATTCTTACAAGTGGAAAGACATGCTTTTCTTAGACATTTCTGTAACCACAGTGAAGTAGATCAGACATTTTGCATTTTAATTCTTTCAAAGGATTACAAATAAATTGTTTTCCTATAGATTACCTTAAATGTACAACAGTTGATATAAGTTTCATTTTGTTTTGTTCAGTTTTTCACTTCTGGCAATCTAGCAAATAAACCTGAATCTATGAGCTAGAATGTATTGGCTGTCTGTAATATAAAAGTTTTTTTGGGGAAAAAAAGGTACGTTTTTAAGTAAAAGACTAAAGATAATTAAAGGCACCCCAATTACAACTTTATACAGTTCAAATGAATAAAAGAAACCTATTATTATTAAATATCCCAGCTTCATATTGTAATGAAAGGTAATCAAATATTATATTTATAATGAAAGAAGCCAGAAACAAAAGACTGCATGATTCCGTTTATATCATATTCTGGAAAAGGCAAAACTCCAGGGACAGAAAACAGATCAGTGCTTGCCAAGGGCTGCCTATAAAGGCGCGGGAACTTTCTGGGGAATGGAGATGTTCTTTATCTTGATTGTGGTTGTCACTATATGATTTTGGACATGTGTCAAAGCTCATTGAACTGTACATTAGAAGGGGATGAATTTTAATGTAAATAAATTATGCTTCAAAATCTGATGTAAATATATAATTATGAATACTAGATTTAACTAGTCAAAGAGTATGCTGTTTGAGTTAACTATATGATGCTGAAAGTATACTGTGCCATCAAGCAAAAATTGTCTGCATTTATTGAAAGTTTTATAGCTACCAAAAGTTTTTAAAATCTTTGTTGTAGAAAACTTGAGGAGAAAAAGGTTCTAAAACAAAAATCTCACTACCCAGATAAAACATTTTTGGGTTGTTTTTGAGTGCATCTTTGTTTTTTTATATGTCACCCGTGTGTATAATTCTTATGTGGTTTTTGCGAAGATTTTTTTGCACACACACACATAAAACAGATACACACACACACATACATACATATATGCATGAGTGAAACAGCTCATTTCAATAAATATTTTTCCAAGATGGGCTTTTTCATCATCTATTTCCTCATGTGTAAAAATCAAGATTCATTCACTTCATTGAATTAAAATGAAATGAGATAAAGTAAACAAAGTATGTAAAAGTGACTGACACATAGTAAGCATTGGATAAATATTAGCTATTATCAGTTTTTACATTAGGGAAAATTATAATGTGGGTGGTCTGCTACCTCAACAAACAATAAAGAGGCATCTGCATCAAGGAAACGGGACTCAAATACATTTTAAAAATCATATGCAGTGGGGACAATGCCATGGTAAACAAACACACATGGGCAAGGTGGCCTTGTTTTTATTGTCAAAATATTGAACACCTATCCAGAGAAGACATATAGTAGTCCCCGCCTTAAAGGCAGGCAAATCAGTTTCTGTTGTTTCTGACATCTGTTGGGCTTCGGTCTTGCCAAAGACACCCCCAACCTGCCCCATACTGGCCCAACAGCCTGTTCTTGCACAACCCCATCTGTCCCTCATTGGACTGTCCATTTGATGGGGGAATCTGGTGAGAAAGAACCTGGATTACAAGGCAGGGAAATAAGCCACTGGTAGAGTGCAAGAGGGCAAAAGCCAAGAAAAAACTGCAATGACCCTAACAGAGCTCACGCTGACCAGCAAACTTCCATGGATCAGTCTAGATAAAAATGTTAACACTTCATGCTAAAATTAGCTTCTGCAATACAAATGATTGAATGCTTTATAAGATACTTACTTTCATCACTCACTTGATGACAATCATTTACTGTATCCTCTTGTAATTTCTGTATTGCTTTTATCATTATAACTCCATAGTAGCTATAGTTTATTCAAGGCCTACTAAGTTCTCGCTATTCTAGCTACCAAGTTTTTTCTCTATATCTATACTGATATATGTGCATATCTGGCATATACACATATATATGGCAATGTTACACACCTCATAGATAAAGTAGGAGAGATTTGAACCCAGATTTTTTTGAATTAGAAGGCACATCTTTCCATGTGTATTTGTTTCCCATTTTAATGTGAGTTGCTTGAGGAAAATAGCAATGTGCTATGTGTCTATTTTTTTCAATCTCTACTGTGTCTACTTAGATGTAATATGTGTAGCAGATGCTCATATATTATTATATGAGAACATAATTGATTCATTAATGCTCATCACAGAGAGCTGTTGTAATATTTAATCCTATATAAAAATATCATTGGAGGTATATTTGCATTAAGAGTTGTAAGGAAGGGATTCAACCCTAATTAATAACAAAATTGATTTATAACTTGCCATTGAAAGAGATAGTAATTTTATTTTTAAAAAAATGAAACAAAGATGACAAAAGTAAAAGTATTTCCATTTATCACTACAAGGCTTGGAGGCATACTCATTTAAATTCCAATGAATTTAAGATAACATTTGATTGTGGTTGTGATGATTTTTGTAGACTGGTGTTTAATACCCTTTCCATCATCTTTCCAATGTGCCTGCCTATTCTGCAGAAACTGGAAGGTCTCCCAGACTCCTTGCAGCTGGGTCTCAAAATTTATTTGGATTCAGCCAGTGTGAAACATTCATGTGAGAGCAAACCTTGCTTCTGTTACCTTGTCTGTCAAGCACAGTTGTGGAGGTGTTGGGCTTTCTGTGACAGCATTAGTAGAGCACCCTCACTGTCTAGTCATTAGCTTCATGGTTAAAAACGGCAAGAGGTAGGGCATGGGTTTTGCTGGTATGGATTATGATAAGTATGAAGCAGTTCTGAAGCCAGTAGGTATGGCAGTAGGTATGGTGGCAGTGGTAATGTAATTCTAGAACCTGCAGCTTCCTGACTGGAGAAGAGGCAATAGCTACCTTGGTGGTCCAGTTCTGTGGCATAGCTTTGTGAGTTGTCCTTAAAGCTCCACCTCCAGTCTGTTTCCTCAGTATTTCAATGGTTCTTAAGCCAGTTAATACCCCATAATAAATCCTTTCCTGCTTAAACTAGCTTCAGTAGATTTTATTCTTTGCAAATGAACCCTGACCATTTCAGAAATGAAATGGATTACAGGCCTCTCTAAAGAAAAATTAAATGGATGGAGGCACAATACTGTCAATCAATACAGTAATCAAAATGACTCATGAGCCTAGCTAAAAAAAATGGATTTACATTGTAAATTTAGATGGACACTCTCTGTCTATTTGTAATCTAATGAACTCCAAAGAGAAGGTCAAATACTACATGCAGATAGAATATTACCATATTGACCAGGACTTATAAATTTATGATATCTTCATAAATTTAGCACTATTATTTAATAGTAATGTGCGGTATGGCTGGGCATAGCGGCTCATGCTTACAATCCCAGTGCTTTGGAAGGCTGAGGTAGGAGTAGAGGTGACAGCGTGCTGGCAGTCCTCACAGCCCTCGCTCGCTCTCGGTGCCTCCTCTGCCTGGGCTCCCACTTTGGCGGCACTTGAGGAGCCCTTCAGCCCACCGCTGCACTGTGGGAGCCCCTTTCTGGGCTGGCCAAGGCCGGAGCCGGCTCCCTCAGCTTGCAGGGAAGTGTGAACGGAGAGCAGGAACCGGAGCTGCACGCGGCGCTTGCGGGCCAGCTGGAGTTCCGGGTTGGCGTGGGCTTGGCGGGCCCCGCACTCGGAGCAGGCGGCCGGCCCTGCTGGCCCCGGGCAATGAGGGGCTTAGCACCCGGGCCAGCGGCTGCGGGGGGTGTACTGGGTCCCCCAGCAGTGCCAGCCTACCGGCACTGCACTCATTTCTCTCTGGGCCTTAGCTGCCTTCCTGCAGGGCAGGGCTTGGGACCTGCAGCCCACCATGCCTGAGCCTCCCACCCCCTCCGTGGGCTACTGTGCGGTCTGAGCCTACGCGATGAGCGCCGCCCCCTGCTCCACGGCGCCCAGTCCCATCGACCACACAACGCCTGAGGAGTGTGGGCGCACGGCACAAGACTGGCAGGCAGCTCCACCTGCAGCCCCTGTGCGGGATCCACTGGGTGAAGCCAGCTGGGCTCCAGCTGGGCTCCTGAGTCTGGTGGGGAGGTGGAGAACCTTTATGTCTAGCTCAGGGATTGTAAATACACCAATCGGCACTCTGTATCTAGCTCAAGGTTTGTAAACACACCAATCAGCACCCTGTGGTCTAGCTCAGGGTTTGTGAATGCACCAATTGACACTCTGTATCTAGCTACTCTGGTGGGGCCTTGGAGAACCTTTGTGTTGACACTCTGTATCTAGCTAATCTGGTGGGGACGTGGAGAACCTTTGTGTCTGGCTCAGGGATTGTAAACACACCAATCAGCACCCTGTCAAAACAGACCTCTGGGCTCTACCAATCAGCAGGATGTGGGTGGGGCCAGATAAGAGAATAAAAGCAGGCTGCCCCAGCCAGCAGTAGCAACCCGCTCTGGTCCCCTTCCAGACTGTGGAAGCTTTGTTCTTTCGCTCATCGCAATAAATCTTGCTGCTGTTCACTCTATGGGTCCACACTGCCTTTATGAGCTGTAACACTCACCGCAAAGGTCTGCAGGTTCACTCCTGAGCCGGCAAGACCACGAACCCACCAGAAGAAACTCCGAACACATCCGAACATCAGAAGGAACAAACTCCGGACACGCCACCTTTAAGAACTGTAACACTCACCGCAAGGGTCCGTGGCTTCATTCTTGAAGTCAGTGAGACCAAGAACCCACCAATTCCGGACACAGGAGGATCACTTGAGACCAGGAGTTTGTGACCAGCCTGGGCAATATAGTGAGCTGTGGAAACTCTGTGTTTACCAAATAAATAAATAAAAGTGATAGGAGGTATAATTAAATAGTACTTTTTTTTTTTTTTTTTTTTTTGAGACGGAGTCTCGCGTTGTCACCCAGGCTAGAGTACAATGGCATGATCTTGGCTCACTACAAACTCCGCCTCCTGGGTTCACGTGATTCTCCTGCCACAGCCTCCTGAGTAGCTGGGATTACAGGCGCATACCATCACACCCGGCTAATTTTTGTATTTTTAGTAGAAACAGGGTTCCACTATGTTGGCCAGACTGGTCTCGAACTCCTGACCTTGTGATCCGCCCGCCTTGGCCTTCCAAAATTCTGGAATTAGAGGCGTGAGCCACTGTGCCCAGCCGATTAAATAGTACTATTTAAATATGATAGGGCTGGGCATGGTGGCTCACACCTGTAATCCCAGCACTTTGGGAGGCCAAGGCAGGTGGATCACTTGAGGTCAGGAGTTCAAGACCAGCCTGGCCAATATGGTAAAACCCGTCTCTACTAAAAATAGAAGAATCAGCCAGGGGTGGTGGAGGGCGCCTGTAATCTCGGCTACTCAAGAGACTGAGGCAGGAGAATTGCTTGAATCTGGGAGGCAGAGGTTTCAGTAAATTAAGATCATGCCACTGCACTTCAGCCTGGGTGACAGAGCAAGACTCCGTCTCAAAAAAAAAAAAAAAAAGATATTAGGCTGGGTGCAGTGGCTCACACCTGTAATCCCAGCACTTTGGGAGGCTGAGGCAGGCGGATCACTTGAGCTCAGGAGTTCGAGGCTAGCCTGAGAAACATGGTGAAATCCCATCTCTATGAAAACTAAAAAAATATTAGTCCGGTATGGTGGTGGGCACCTGTAGTCCCAGCTACTCAGGAGGCTGAGGTGGGAGAATCCCTTGAGTCCCTGAGGCGGAGGTTGCAGTGAGCCAAGACTGTGCCACTGAACTCCAGCCTGGGCAACAGAACCAGACCCCATCTCAAAAACATTTTAAAACTATATAATATTAGGTATGATTAAATAGAAGTGGGAGGGAAGGAAATACGTGATTAAACACATGAAAAATAGCATTTTTGAATAGAAACTTTAAGATATGCTAATTATATGAAAACCTACTAATTTTATTTAGTTATGAGAAGTCTTAAGTAAAGCCTGCGGTGCTTGTTCTTAGGTGTCCAAGAATTAAAAAGCAGGAGCCCCTAAAAGAAGTGGGAAAAGTGTTTGAGAATACTGGATTAAAAGGAGAGCCCTCCCTGAGAAGTTTTGCTTGGCAGTCTAAAATTACAGGATATAAGTGTAAAATTTTATTTTGAAACCATATAATTAATTGGGGCTAGACAACTTACTGCTAAGGACTTTGAACTTTCAGAAGGAAAAAAATAACCAAAATGTAAAATATGAGGACAATGATCTATTTGAAGGAGATTTTCCTGGAATGGTAGTTATAGCCACCATAACAACTTTCATAATGCTTTAACTTAAAATAGTTGAAAGCCAGCTTTATAGTATCATCTAGGTGCCCAGCTTAAGTCATCATGAATGTGTCAGCAATGTAGAACTGCTATTTAAAAAGAGCTGACATGGTGCTCCAGTATATTAACTGAAATATGACACACAAAAACCATGAAGTAATTTTCCCAGTATATGTAAGGTTGGTCAAGCCCATATTAGAAACTCACATCCAGTCTGAGGTTTCATATTTTTAAAAGAATGTGGAGAAACTAGAAAGGATACAGAACATAGCACAAAGAATGATGAAAGAACACTGGGCATGAAATGGGTATGGGAACTAGTTTTACTTAGCCCTAAGAAGGCTAAGCTAAATGGTTTTAATATGTAACAGTGTTCTTGGCTATAAAAATAAAATAGGCAAATTACACTTAGAAGGCCAGGCACGGTGCCTCAGGCTTGTAATCCTAGCACTTTGGGAGGCCAAGGCAAGTGGATCAACTGAGGTCACGAGTTCGAGACCAGCCTGGCCAACATGGCAAAACCTCGTCTCTACTAAAAATACAAAAATTATCTGGGCATGGTGGTGCACACCTGTAGTTCCAGGTACTTGGGAGGCTGAGGCAGGACAACAGTTTGAACCTGGGAGGTGGAGGTTGCAGTGAGCTGAGATGGCGCCATTGCACTCCAGCCTGGGTGACAGAGCAAGACTCTGTCTCAAAAAAAAAAAAAAAAAAAAAATTACACGTAGAAGTCCTAACCACCCAGACAGTAACAGCACAGAATTAAATAAATAGGAGCATAAGGCTTGTAACAACACTTAAGTAAGAATTGGATCTACCTTTTGTTTCCAAAATAGCTAGCCAGACCAGCAGAGAGAATCTCCACAATGTGAAAACACCAGAAAAATAGGACTCCAGCTGAATGATAGAAACATTGTATTTGTGGATTGCTGAACAAATATTAACATATTTCAATATAGGAAGGAATAGTCCCCTTATTATTAATAACACAGAAAACAATTCATGGAAGACCAGCATGCTGTACTAATTGCAGACATTTTCAGAAGCAGAATAGGTCATTTGCATAGGCATCCAGCTAGCTGTACTGGCAAGTTGAAGCAAGTTTCATGAAAAATTGTATAGGATATACTTAACATGTACTGGCAGATTTAAAACTCCAGTAGTAACACTCTTTAAAGCTGGACTGCATGCCAACGGGAAACAAACAAACAACTGGCCCCGGCTGAGTCCTTGTCCACTTTCTGTGAAGCATCTGCCTTGCCAGTCTCAGTGTTTTAAAGAATAATCTTGGTCATCAGGCTGGCTTCTAAAATAAACCAGGCTAGCATGGGATTAGAGAGGGCAAAAGAGCAGAAGGCAGTTTTCAAATGGCACTCACTGATTCTTTTGAAAACCTCCTAAAATATTTCAATAATTAAATGAGGGTCTTCAGTTGCCAAAAGAAAAAAAAATAGAATGACTGATTGTCAGAACAACACCTTAGATCTTGGGACACCCTGCTGACCACATATATCAGAAATGAGACCCAGTGGTTTTCTACAGAATCACAATTCAGATTTCTTGAGGGAAGGTGTGGGAGGAGTTTGGAGGGAAGACAGGAGGGAGTACAAATGTGGTGTTGCTAGAGAGGCTCTGAATGTTTTCCGAAAGTATATGTTACTCTGATGCTTTAACTTTGCCTCCTGAAGAAAGAGGCATAGAATTCCAAGTAGAAGCGCTATTAAAAAAAGAAGTGCAAGGAAATGTCTTCTTAGTCAAATGAAGAGTAGAATGCACAATTATGCAGTGGTCTTGAACACTTCCAGAATTCTGTTTGGATAAGCAGAAGAATGAGTTTCAGATATTCCCTGTAGTGTGGAAATCTGTGACTTGGTTACTGCCCTTTAAGCCTTGCTCTGGGCAACTGCTTCCCTCCCCAGCATCATGGGGTTCTAATAGAACTGTCAACCAAACAGCTCTGCCTTCCCCAGTACAGGCCTGAACATCAAGAGAGTCCCATTTCCTCGACACAGTGGTTAGTCTGGAGGGGGCCATGCAACCAAACTGGACCTTGGAGGTTGACAGGGATGCTGGGAAATAGATGGCATCTCTCTTTCTGAGGCCACCAGATAACAAGGACATGTAAACTTGGAAGGCCACCTTTTATCTTTATTTTTTGGCCACCAGGAGAGAGCCTGCAAGAGAATGAGGCCGAGGCAGAGCAGAGCTAATACACGGAGAGTGAAAAATAATCCCGATAGTGTCACTTGAGCCATATCTAACAATGGTGAAAGACTAACCAACACTTGGAGTTTTTAGCTTAAGTGAGTCAATAAGCTGCTGGGTTTTGTTGTTGTTGTCGTTGTTTGTTTGTTTGTTTTGAGACAGTGTCTCACTCTGTCACCCTGGCTGGAGTGCAGTGGCGCAATCTTGGCTCACTGCAACCTCTGCCTCCCAGGTTCAAGCAATTCTCATACCTCAGCCACCTGAATATCTGGGATTACAGGTGTGTGCCACCACGCCCGGGTAATTTTTTTTGTATTATTTGTAGAGAAAAAAATACAATACCTGGCCATATTGCCCAAGCTGGTCTGGAACTCCTGAGCTCAAAGCAATCCTCCCACCTCGTCCTCCCAAAGTGTTGGGATTACAGGCCTGAGTCACTGCGCCCAGCAATAAGCTTCTTTTGATGCATAAGCCATGTTGACTTAGCTTTCTGGTCCCTTGCCACCATAGGAGTTCTTGACTGCTGCACTCCCATTTTGCAGATTGGGAAACAAAAGCACAATTATTAAACTCTACGGTGAACAAGAAGTGAGAACATTCACTAAAACATTCACTAGTTCATAGGAAACTGATGTATATAGGTACAATTACAGTATCACCGTTTTAATTATTTGGATTGACACACTTTGGAGTTTGTAAGACATTTACAGTACAGGGGAGAAGGGCCTGGGCATTGAATCAGACAGCCGAATGCTCTGGCACTAGCCAACATTTAACTGCTGTAAGGTTTAGGTGGGAAGGGGAAGAGGGACACTAAACCTCACTAGGTATCAGTTTCCTCATCTGTAACATAGTAACGGGAAATAGTCCCTACCTCATAAAACTATTATATGGATTAAATGAGATAGTGTGTGTCATCTGTTGTTACAAAGGCTGTTTAATGATACAGTGGGTGGCACTTAGTAAAGATTCAATAAATTCCTCCTGTTTTTCTTGTTTTTGTTTTTTTTTTTTCCTTTTTCTGGAGAACGGGGTCTCGCTATATTGCCCAGGCAGGTCTCGAACTCCTGGGCTCAAGCTATCCTCCCGCCTCTTGCCTCCCTGAGAGCTGGGATTACAGGCATGAGCCACCACGCCCTGCAAATTCCTCCAGTTTTTCTACAGATTGCAAACATGAACGTTACAAACAAGTCCTAGGGGGAGGATAAATTTTGCAGGGGAAGAACTGTGCATTTCAAAACATTGAATTTCCTCTCCCACCATGTTAACAGACTCTACAAAACCATTCTAAATATTTATTAAAATTATTCTTTTAAAATTTAAAAAAAAATTTTTTTTTTTTTGAGATGGAGTCTTGCTCTGTTGCCCAGGCTGGAGTGCAGTGGCACGAGCTTGACTCACTACAACAACCTCCGTGTCCTGGGTTCAAGTGATTTCCAGCTAATTTTTGTATTTTTAGTAGAGACAGGGTTTCATCATGTTGGCCAGGCTGGTCTAAACTCCTGACCTCAGGTAATCCACCCGCTCAGGCTTCCAAAGTGGTAGGATTACAGGCGTGAGCATCTGCGCCCGGCCTACCTATAATCTTAAGTATATACGTAACAATGCTACAATAAGGGGGACTTTAAAAAGTCAGTAATTCAGATTATATGTTTTTCTTATCTGTCTTCCCATCCTCTTCCTGATTTCCTAATCCCAGGTTCTGACACTATCCTCCAACCTTGATCTAAGCAAATTTCAGGGAGGAATTAATCTACCTCTTTATCCTCATTCCGTATTTATTTGCCTATTTATGCTCATTTCTATTTTCTCACCTTCCCTTGCTTTGCTCTTTTTGCAAAAAGTCACATTTCCCAGGCTCCCTTCCCAACTGGCTTCTAGTTAGATTTGGGCAACTGAAGATAACGGGACAGCAGGAGGAGGAAAACCAGCCTGTATCTTCCCTTTCTTTGTTTCAGGGTGCTTCTCCCATAGTGACTGCCTCTCTTTTCTGGTCCAGCTGCCTCCAGGCAGCCATAGCTCCTGGACTCCGGTAATACCACCTGTCCCTTTGGTCCCTCCAGCTTTGGGGTAGTAGCCCTGCTCTGCCTTATTCCTTATAAGTTTCCTGTTTTCTATCCGCCTTTTCAGTTTTTCTAATGTCTTTTCAAACAAGTTCTCCATAATTAACTTTTTACTATTAAACTTGCTGGCATGGGTTCTGTTTTCCTGAGCAGACACTGACTGATAAGAGTTCTCCATATTCAGTTAGTAACCAAGCCTTGTCAATCTGTAGCTCTCTATATTTCTCTTCACCTTTTTTTGCTGCCCTAGTACAGTCCAGCAACTCATACCTAGACTAACTTCTCCATTTCCAATCTTTTGACCTTCAGTCTAATTCCCCTTAAAGACTTACTCCATGCAACCACAAAAAAAAAAAAAAAAAAAAAAAAAGGAAATCATGTCCTTTGCAGCAACACGGATGCAGCTGGTCACCATTATCCTAAATGAATTGACACAGGAACAGAAAACCAAACACTGCATGTTCTCACTTATAAGTGGGAGCTAAACATTGGGTACACATGGACACAAAGATGGGAGCAATAAACATTGGAGATTCCAAAGAGGGAAGGGAGGGAAAGGGGCAAGGATTGAAAAACTACCTATCGGATACTATGTTCACTACTTGGGTGATGGGATAATTAGAAGCCCAAACTTCAGCATCACACAATATACCCATGTAACAAACCTGCACATGTACCATCTGAATCTAAAATAATAATTTTTTAAAAGAGGACTATAACATGAAAAAAAGAAAAATAGTCACCTTATTTTGCCCTTGTCACTATTAACCTCATTGAAAACCCCTCCAGGCTTGGTGTGGTTGCTCACGCCTGTAATCTCAGTACTGTGGGAGGACTAGGCGGGCAAACTGCTTGAGCCCAGGAGTTGGAGACCAGCCTGAGCAACATGGCAAAAACCTGTCTCTACAAAAAATACAAAAATTAGCCAGGCGGGGTGGTGTGCACATGTAGTCCCAGCTAGCTGGGAGGCTGAGATGGGAGGATTGCTTGAGCTTAGGAGAAAGAGGTTGCAGTGAGCTGAGATCACACCACTGCACTCCAGCCTGGGCGACAGAACAAGACTCTGTCTCAAAAAAAAAAACCAAAAAAAGCAAACCCCACAAAACCCCCCCCAAATAACCCTCCCCTTCCCTGCACCCCCTCACCCCCGTAACTCTTTATATCTTACACAAGAGCTAAGCTCCTTAGCATGAAGGACAAGGCTTTTTACAACCCATCTCTACCCTAGCCAGCTTCCTCTCTTGCTTCTCAAGGTTCTAGTAACAGCACATTGCTTACAACACTGGCTCACACACCCACTCACATTATGTGCATACACACAGCGACTCATATAAACATCCTGCTCTTCCTTCTCGCTGGTCTTGTCAGTTTCCTTCTTACCTATCTACTTCTGGCTGACTTTAACTCTCCTTCAAAACGCATCTCAGAAAGAATGTCTTCTCTGGAAAGCTTCTCTGAACACCCACGCTGGGCTGCCTCTGGGCTCATGCATACTTCTATGACTGCAGTTACCATGTTTTATTAAGATACCCTGTTTACAAGTCTTTTTCACTTATGTGGAGTGCCTCAAGAGCTCCAAAAATGCCCTCCTCATTTGTCTATGCTTCCATACTTTCTATCAAGAGATACTGGTGGAAATGAACTGAGCCATATCCCCATGTGCCCTGGCAGCCCAAATTAGAAACCAGTGAGTCATCCTTAATTTCCTTCTCCTTTACCCCCACATCCAATTGTCAATAAGTCCTCACTATTTTACCTCAGAAATTTCTCTGATATCTTGACCCTTTCTCTCTCACTCCATAGCCACTACCCTAATCTTCTAAGTCTGTGTTTTTAAGCTTTCTTCAACCATGACCCACGGTAAGAAATACATTTTGCATTGTGACACAAGAAATGCATTCTGGGCTGGATGTGGTGGCTCACGCCTCTAATTCCAGCACGTTGGGAGGCGAGGCGGGCGGATCACTTGAGGTCAGTAGTCCAAGACCAGCCTGGCCAACATGGCAAAACCCAGTCTCTACTAAAAATACAAAAATTAGACAGGCGTGGTGGCTGGCACCTGTAATCCCAGGTACTTGGGAGGCTGAGGCACGAGAATTGCTTGAACCCGGGAGGCAGAGGTAGTAGTAAGCCGAGATGGCGCCACTGCACTCCCAGCCTGGGCAACAGAGCGAGACAAAAAAGAGAGAAGGGAAGGGAAGGGAAGTGTAGGGTAGGGTAGGAGGGGAGGGGAGGATTCTGTGAAAGCAAAATATCTTAGGCCTCCAAAATCACTATGGAGAACTCAAGCTGGAAACTACTTAGGGCAAACCTGCCTCTCATTCTATTCAAAGTCACCCCTTTGCTCACTGAGATAGATGCATATCTAATTGCCTCCTTTGGGAAGGCTAATCAGAACCTCAAAAGAATGTAACTGTTTGTGTATCACCTATCTGTGACCTGGAAGCTCTCTCCCCACTTCCAGTCCTCCTGCCTTTGCTTCAAGTTGTCCTGCCTTTCCAGACTGACCCAATGTACTTCTTACATACATTGATTGATGTCTCATGTCTTCCTAAAATGCATCAAACCAAGCTGTGCCCTGACCACCTTGGGTACATGTTGTCAGGACCTCCTGAGGCTGTGTCATGGGTGCGTCTTCAACCTTGCCAAAATAAACTTTCTAAATTATTTGAGACCTGTCTCAAATTTTCGGGGTTCATAATTCTGAAGTTCAGATTTTTAATAAAGTCACTTTTATATAAAACACAATTTTGTAAAATGTAGCCAAGAGGGAATCTACTCAAGATTTAAATCCAACAATTAACTATCCATGTTTTCCTCATTTTAACATTATACTTCATGGTTTCAATCTTGTCATACTTTTTATCCAAAATGACAGTGTCTATGTTGAAAGTTAACGTTTCTGTAGTTAAACATGCTAAATTTTAAGTAAGCTCACTTTCTTCATTTTAAATAGTTAAATCTATCATAGAGGAGAGTTTATTAAAAATTTAAACTGCCCAGAAAGTTTATGCATAACCTGTAATTATGAATACATAAAATGGGAGATGGATGAAACAACATTTTTTGGTTGTGACCCACTAAAATCATTTCAGGATTCACTAACGGGTTGTGAACCACAGTTTGAAAAACCCCTGTTCTAGGCTCTCGTGATCACTTGTCTAAGTTACAGTTACTTCCCATCTTGTCTCTTTGTCTCCAGTCTGGCTTCTGTGCAGCTACCTTTCTGAAAAAAGACAGCTCTAACCCTGTCACTTTTTTCTTAGAAAAAAAAAATGTCCTTGGAGCCTGACTCATTATTACCTGTAAAGTAAAATCCATATTTCTTTTCTTTCTTTCTTTTTTCTTTTCTTTTCTTTTTTTTTTTTTTTTTTTTTGAGACAGAGTCTCACTCTGTTGCCCAGGCTGGAGTTCAGTAGTGCAATCTCGGCTCACTGCAAACTCCACGTCCCAGGTTCAAGTGATTCTCCTGCCACAGCCTCCTAAGTAGCTGGGACTACAGGCATGTGCCACCATACCCGACTAATTTTTTGTATTTTTAGTAGAGATGGGGTTTCGCCATGTTGGCTAGGCTGGTCTTCAACTCTTGACCTCAAGTGATCCACCCGCCTCGGCCTCCCAAAGTGCTGGGATTACATGTGTGAGCCATCACGCCTGGCCAAAATCCATATTTCATAGCATGATATCTAGGGTCCTCCACAACCAGCCCCACTGTAATATTTCACCCTTATCTCTACCCAGTGCCCTCACTCTCCACTACACCTCACTTCCATGAACTTTCCCCCCACTTGCTAACTCTCCTATCTCCATCTTTTCACCACTGCTGTTCCCTCCACTTGACATGCCCTTCCCCTCCGGATAGGTCTGTTAATCCTACTTTATTCTTCCATAGCCAAGTATCAATGGCATTATTTCTTTATACCTTCTCCACCTTCACCCTCACCTCTGAGAGTCTCGCAGATTAATTGCTCCCTCATTCAACATAGGTACCATCATGTTGGACACAAAGTACGACAGGGTTGAAACCATAAAGTGCAATGTAGGGTTTATTACCTGGAAAATAAATGACAAAAAAAAATGGAGAGTTAATTGTTGTATTTAAATCTTGAGTAGATTCCCTCTCTTAGTTGCATTTTGCGAATTGTTCACATCGCATATAAAAGTGACTTTATTAAAATTTGAACTGCAAAATGCATTTCTTGTGTCACAATGTAAAATGTATTTCTTACCATGCCTCATGGTCGAAGAAAGCTTAAAAACACAGAAGATTAGGGCAGTGGCTACAGGGTAAGAGAGAAGGGTCAAATCAGAGAAATTTCCGAGGTAAAATAATCAGGACTTATTAAGGACTCGTTAAGCCTTGACAATTTTGGCATTTATCATAGTTGGCTTTATATGAATTTTAATAGGTACCTGTGTCATCCTTCTGAGCATCAGCCTCTTGAAGGCAGTCTGGGCAACATTAAAAGAGATAAAGACTGTAAAGCACTTGGAACACAAGTCGGCAGGATCAATAAATATACATTTCTTTTCATCTTCATTCATCTTTTGTGTCCTATCACCTAACCATATGATGCTCAATAAATGTGTGTTGACTTTCAGTACATAACTGACCACTTTACAGTTACATTGCATATTAATAATACTCAATATTTATACACTACTTTATATCTTACAAACTGTTTTTATTGTGATAATCCATGGGGTATATTGTAGGTAGGTAGGACAAAACAAATTCCAGTTTACCAAGAATGAAGCCAAGGAAGGACCCAGAGAGGCTGTGCTATTGGTCGAGGCCACACTGCTAAACTCAAATCTAGCCCTGACTCCAAATCTGGCTGTATCTTGTTTTCTTTTGGGCAGGACTATCCTAGGCCACGAATGCCTGCCTTGCAGTCACCCACTTACCAGTGGAGCCCTGCCAAGACTCAGAAGTGCCATGGGTCTCATTAGGTCCCAATATACACCTTTATATCCCCAGCCTTGACTCTCCCGAGTTTCAGTCCTACTTCTTCAAAGACATTATGAATAAAGTTTCTTTTCTGAAGGTAGCTTCCCTCAAAAAAGAATTTTGGGAGCCATGTTCCTCCTTAAAAAACAACCAGGCTGGGTGCAGTGGCTCACAGCTGTAATCCCAGCACTTTGGGAGGCTGAGGCAGATGGATCACTTGAGTCCAGGTGTTTGTGACCAGCCTGGGCAATGTGGCGAAATCCTGTCTCTACAAAAGAGCCCCGCCAAAAAATCAGCAGGGCATGGTGGTGTATGCCTACGGTCCCAGCTATTCGGGAGGCTGAGGTGGGAGGATCACCTGAGTCCGGGAGGCGGAGGTTGCAGTGAGCCAAGATAGCAGCACTGCACTCCAGCCTGGGTGACAGAGTGAGACCCTGTCTCAAAAACAAAAAACAACAAAAAACAAAAACAAACAAAACACAACCAATAAGCAGATCAACAGAGAAAATAAATGGAGGCAGTTTGCTTACTAACAACAGAGTGGCAATAAAAACTTAGGCCTAGGTTTCATAAGATGTCTTAAAACAATAAGCGATAATGATGCGGCATGTCTAGGAACCCACTCTAAACATCTTTCCCTTTCACTTGGAGGATGAAGGGTGACAAGGATGACAGGCACAAAGCATCAAATGGTAACTCCTAAGCTCCATTTTAGCAAGTGGTGGGAAAGACAATCCAGATTTACCCAATGTCTTTTACGTCCTGAGAACTCAATGTGCACATTTTTTTCTAATTCTCTCAACCCCAATCAATCAAACAGGTTCTTCCTGAGTGCCTACAACCATACACCTTGCCCTGTGCCAGGCATGGGGGAAATGGTGGTGACAGGACAGCTGCAATGTCTTTCCTGTGGAGCTGCCAGTCTAGGGCAGTGGCTCTCAGCCTTTCTCCCACCGTGACACACTGGAGGGGTGCAGCACAGGATGAGAACCAGGGGCACCCTGTGCTCAGTACACACTCATGGCAGACTGGGAATGGGGAGGAGTGGATGAGGTTTTGGGTGCAGATTGACAAAGTATCCCCAATGACTCTGCTGTATCCCCCTTCCATAGGAATAAGGACACAGATTCAGAAAAGTTAAAAGACGCTTAGAACACAGTGCACAGGTGCTGTGACGGGAAGTGTTTTGACCAAGCTGTAGGAGCACCTCCAGTGGAGCTGGGTGGGGTCAGGGACAGCTTTCTGGAGGAAGTGACATAGAGTAAGAAATGAAAGAGTAGTTGCAGCTGTTTAGTCAGAGAAGAAGGGGCATGAGGACGGGATGAGATGGGATGACAGCATTCATTGTAGGACTAGCCTATGCTAAAGCTCAGAGAAACAACAGCAGGATTTGGCATCTTTAGAGAACTGAAAGCATTAAGAGAGGCTGAAGCGTGGCATGCAAGCAAGATGAGCAGTGGGAGACTCAGGTATGGCCCAATTTTGAGGAGCTTTGTAACCCATGCCAAGCTTCATTCTGAGGGCAATGAGAGCCACTGAAGGGGAAAGATAGAGGAGATACAGCTGCTGGGATTTTAGTAGACAGAAGGCAGCTGACGGCCCAACCCGTGTTTAGCAGTTGGCCGTTAATTTCATGGGCTGGGTAAGGCAAAGAGGAGTGATAGCCAGGCTTTTACTTGAACAGCTGGGTGGGGACATAAATAGGTGGGGTAGATTCTTATCAGAGATAGCTGGGAGACAGATAATGAGCATTTCAGCTTGAAACATTTAAGTTTGAGGTATCCAAGAGGGAATGTTCTATATACAGTCAGATACAGAGGTCTAGAGCTCAGGAAAGAGGCGTGAGCAAGAAAGAGAAGCTGCAAGTGGTTACAGGGGCATGAACGGGCAAAATCACTCAAGGAGAGTGTGTTGAGTGATAAGAGACTGGATTTAGGGGGGAACACTGAGAAACACTAGCATTTAAGGGACTAGAGGAGGCCAGGCACAGTGGCTCACTCCTGTAATCCCAGCACTTTGGGAGGCTGAGAAAGGAGGATCACTTGAGTGACCAGCTTGGGCAACATAGCAAGTCCCCATTTTCACAAAAAATACAAAAATTATCCAGGCATAGGGGTGTGCATCTGTAGCATCAGCTATTTGGGAGGCTGAGTTGGGAGGATTGCCTGAGCTTGGGAGATCAAGGCTGCAGTAAGCCATGATTGCACCGCTGCACTCCAGCCTGGGCCACAAGGCAGCAGAGGAAAATGTCAGGAGTAAGGCTAACAGCAGATGGGTGGCAGGTTAACTTCCACCTTACAGAGGAGGAACTGGGTCTCAGACTCCATAGCTTATCTAAGGCCATCCAGCTGGGATGGGGCAGAGCTAGTATCAGGTACTTAGCTTCCAAATCAATCATTTTTATTATAGACAATTGTCGTTGCACAAACAGGTACAGCCCCCTCCCCTTAAACGTTTCCTCATTTGAATTTCCCTTCCCGGACATTACTCACAGGCAATACTTCCAAACCACTGGCAGTTTCCCTTCCCTGGCTCTTTCTTGTCTAGATGCTAATGATCAGAGGATAAGGCAACCAAAGGGGAAAGCAAAGAGATTTATCTGGCCTTGATTTAGGTTATCAGCTAATTCTGAACATAACCTCACTCCTAATTTACATGATAAATCACTCAGTTCTTATTTTCATTTATTTAGTTTGAGACAAGGTCTCACTTTGTTGTCCCGACTGGAGTGCAGGGGTGCCATCTTGGCTTACTGTAGCCTCAACCTCCAGGGCTGAAGTGATTCTCCCTCCTAAGCCCCCCAAGGAGCTGGGACTACAGGCACGCACCACCACACCTGGCTCATTTTTGTATTTTTTATAGAGACGTAGTTTTGTTAGGTTTCCCGCGCTGGTCTGGAATTCCTGGGCTAAGATGATCCACCCGCGTTGGCCTCCCAAAGCTCTGGGATTACAGGCGTGAGCCACCACACCCGGCCAAATCACTCAGTTCTTTAGTTTCCCTGTAGGTTTAATGAGGAGAAAAGAATCTGCCATTACCCAATGGCCTGAACTAGGAGTAAAGTGCTTATACAAAGATTAATCATTAAGCGACTTTATTATAGGATACTGTTGCAAACACGAGGCAATGAGAAAATGAGCTTAAGTATCTTGGGTTTTCCTAAAAAGTATCTCTTACATGAGGACACACAAAAAAACATGTCACCTGACACCTTCCGTGTTTAACCGGGACTAGGTTTATCGAAGTTGACAGGATAGCAGGATTGAATGAAAGTCTTTGCCTTCCTGGTATGAGGTGAGCCTGGAAGGTCCCCACCCAGACCTCTCCCCACTGTGATAATGCGAGAAGTTAAGAGGCTTTGGAGTCAGACTGCCTGGGCTCACCTTCTCTCAGCTGGTGGACACACGGATCCTCAGAGTCTGTTTGCTTATCTGTAAAGTGGGGTAACAGTACTGGCTTCAACCAGCTACTATGAGAATTAAATGTGATAATGACTGACAAAGCAGGCAGCATGCTGCCTAGAGCGTAACAGTCCATAATCATTAGCTATTATCGTCACCTTCGTGTGTGTTAAGCTTTGCCTAGGGGTGGAGTGGGGCAGGACCCTAGAACTGGTTACTAAGGTTACCTTCTAATGACCCTGAATGTAGGAGTGAGGGAACGACGGAGCAGGTGAAGCTAGTGTCAAACTCTTGAACGTGTTCCAAGAGGTCATTGGTACTAAATCACAACATTCTGTTTCACGTTTGTCCCTAAGGGATTTTTAACAGCAGCGACAAAACCTCAAGAGAAGGGTCCCTGATAGGGAACAATCTTGTGATCACATCCTTAAATACCGAGAAATGAGACCCTTCACAACGTGTTAAGAAATCGTCCAGTCCTGCATGCTGCTAGGATCTCTAACCACTCACCACTTGTATTCCTGGGGTGGACGTGAGCTCGCGCTAAACTAAGGACACCAGCCGAGCATTCAGCGCGGTTCCCTACGCCCTCCAGGAATTTTGGAAAGCTATCCAAGCTCGGCGCTATCTTTAAAAGGAATGAGTTGTGGCTCCTAACTAGCTTGCCGAGGAGAGCGTAGAGTGACACGGGACGGGGGCCCAGGGCACTGAGGCCAAGAGTTCCCGAGTCACGCCAGTGCTCGCCCCTTTGGCCTTTGCCTAAAATCCTGCGATGCCTCGCTGACAAAGCACCCAGTGCCAGAGCCTGCGGCCCAGCGAAGCTGCTCCCTGGAAACACACACACACACACACACACACACACACACACACACACACACACACACAAAAGGGGGTGGGGAGAGGGAAAGGTTTAGGTTTAGGAGAGGAAGCCAGCCAGCCAGCCCTGCAGATGCAACCGTTGCAATTTGGGTCTCTTCTGTCTTCTGACGTAATGCCAGTTTCCTGCTTTCGCGCTGCAGTGTGCAGTTCGCTGCTGGGAAGTCAGATCAATCGATTGAACGCCAAGATCATCACTGCCACTATCTTGCGATTTATTTTCCACGAATACACTTTAATTGGCCCGAGCCCCGCCCCCAAATTCCACGACTTTTGGCTTTTCAGGAAGCATTGTTCTCCCCTCCCCCCAGGAAGGCCGCCTCTACGCACAGCCAGCATCAGGAAACGGCGCCGCTCGGGGCTCCGATGGAGAGCCGGGGTGGGGTCGGCTCAAACCTTCTGCCCCCCGCTCTTTTGAGATTCCTGATCCCTGGCTTTGTCTTAAGCAAAAGTACTGTAGAAGCTGCAGCGTTTCCTCCCCCTTTCCAGAAACCGAGCGAGGACGTGGGGGAAAAGCCACCCTGGAACGTGTAAGGACGCTCCCCCACGCCCAACACGCCACAGGGCCGGGATGCGCGGCTGCCGCCCCGCCACCTCACGCGCGCAGCGCTAACTGCAGCTCCGCAGCCACCGCCGTCGCCGCCGCCCTGCCGAGCCCGGGGAGACTCCCAAGGGCTCTTTAAATACGAGCTATAAATACTACAGGCGCTCGGCGCGTGCGTCACGACACATCCGGCTCCCGATTGGGCGGCGTAACCTCGCTTATTTGCATAGGCCGATTGCACAACCGGGCGGCGACCTCAGCCCGGTGCTCGTGCCACGCCTTCCCCACTTCTGCGGGCACGCGGGGCCGCGGGCGGGACAGCGGGGTGGCGATTGCGGCGTCCAGAGTCCCTTGAACTCGGGAACCTTTCAAGTCCTGAGTCAGGCGGCGGTCCTCCGGGACGCCAGTGCCTCTCAGAAGGCTCAGTTTTGGCCAGCCAAGGGCTTACCGTTTAAACTGGGTCTTTTTTATTTCTACAGAAAAGGATAGTTTTCAGAGTGACACCCCAGCAAACGCTCTGGGTGGCTCGCAGAGGCTGAGTTTAAACCACGTGAGACCTGGCCGCGGCGAGAGTCCTGTCCAATGACTTGCGACTTGGGGTGTTCAAAAAGGGCTTTTCGCATGATCTCTAATAAGACCTCGTTATCTTGAAAACGAAACAGGGAGGGTTCGAAAACGCAAGATGTGTAATGCCTTGTGGTTTAAACCTAGTTTTTAAAAAATGCACCAATGAGCCAATATGAAACAGCGACATGGAGACTTTCCCCCATTGCGGCTCTGGGGGTAGAGAATCTCTTGTAGCAATGGAAAATGTTCAGCTCCTTGATCCAGACCCGAGTGGATTCTCTCCAGGGAGCGGGTGGGTGGCGAAGGTCAGAGAGAGGGGAAAAAAGACCACGCTTTGGAATTAGGGAAGCAACCCAGTGTTGTGGGTGTAGAGGCACCGAGGATTCTGTTGCAGGGGGTGCCAGTGATTGCCCTGTATAAATACGTAGATACTATTATATATTAATATTAGGTTGTTACAAAATCGTCTGTGTCTTCAGGATGCAAACTGAGAATAGTAGCTGTTTCTGCTATTTGCTCCAAACACCGCTATATTATAGTGAACTCTTTACTTTTGAGTGGGATTAAATACAGTGACTTTTAATGCCTTCGCTTTGCTTTACAATGTTCTTCCCTTAAAATGCTCGTGTCATATTCTAAAGTTCTAAGCCTTCCTGTAGCGATACGGGGATGACTGCTTAAGTATATATGTTGGTGTCTTACACAGTGGGTCCTCAGCAAATATTAGTGGAATGAATCAGACATAAACATTTATTCAGAAGAGTTAACTAAGCATGTACTAATAACAAAGACCTTATTAAATTATATTTCATAATTGTTCTACTTTGACATCCCCCCCACCGCCCCGAATAAAACTTAAAGCTCAGACGGACTCTTGTTATTTGAAGACAATACTTTCAACTACTGCTGAAGGTTGGATGTGTAGCGAATATGCTGTCCTAACAGCTTTTTAAAAAGAACTGCGGATTTTAACAGAAGAGCTCCCCCTGCTGTCAAATGGTTTATGGGCAACGCGCCTGGAACGTCTAGAACACCTGGCATGGGCCCACTGCAAAGCTGGAAAGCTGACCTTCAAGATAGTTTTCACTGAGACTCATCTCTTAAAGTTACTTTTAATCATTTATTGACAAGCAAGTGTGATCATTCAGTAGGGAATACTACCTGAAATATCTTTCTCATATCCATAGCAATCGAAACCGGTTTAAAACCAATCTTGATGATATTAAAGTAAAACATGGATTTGTTTCACAGTCATTATTCTCTGCGTTAATATACACCAATGTAACAAAAAAAGTTTTAGTCATCAAAATAGTTTTCCCAACAATTTTAGTACTGTACAGGTTGAATCATCAAGATGAACTGATGTGAATGCACACTACTTACACCAGTCTTACACCAGTCTTTCCCTTCTCAGCTTGTTTCCCTGTGCCTTCATTACTGTTTCTAGTATTCCAGACCAAGAATAAGTACGCTTATAACCACTGCCTTCTTGGTAATAGTCTTATTTTTCTTTTTCCTTAAGTGTTTTAAATGTGACATTCCTTTTTACTAATTTGTTTCTTTGTCGTCCTTATTAATATGCCAAGATGAAAACATATTTTTAAAAAGTCCCAAGTAACTGTGTAAGTTGAAAACTGCACATCTTGGCTGTTAGCTTCCATTGGTTTTCAGAACTGTTCATCTTGAGGAGGAAACAGCTACCTTCAGAGGTCGGCTGCTGGTACAGCTTTGAGTCACTAGGAGGTAAGAGGATAACTGGTAAACCACGAATGAAGCGATAAAGGAGGTGTGTCTCTACCATAAATGCTAATGTGGGCAATTCAGCTGCATTTTTCACAATAAGCACTTTACCACACTTTATAGAAGCATTCAGATAATGATCACCAATTATTCTGTGGTTCTCCGTGCTCTCTCAGTTGCAGAGGCAGCAATGGAAATAAGAGTTGGTCTTTATGCAGGAACATGTATTTAGAAAACGCTTTGGTATTCTACAGGGCTGGGAAGAGACTCTGTTCTTTTGTTAGCCAGGGGTAAACAGGCCAGCACTCTCATAGAAGTGAGAAGTACTCCTGCTGCTCTATGAACTGGGTCCTGTTATGGGCTGAATTGTGTCCCCCCAAATTGGTATGTTGAAATCCTAACTCCCCAGTCCCCCAAATTTGTCTGTTGAAGTTCTAATTCCCAGAGACTATATTTGGAGACACGGTCTTTAAAGAGATAATTAAGGTTAAATGAGGGCATTCGTGTAGGCCCTAATTCAGTATGGCTGGTGTCCTCATAAGAAGAAGAGCTTGGGTAGGGCACGGTGGCTCACGCTTGTAATCCCAGAACTTTGGGAGGCTGAGGCGGGTAGATTGCCTGAGCTCAGCAGTTTGAGACCAGCCTGAGCAACACAGTGAAACCCCATCTCTACTAAAAAATACAAAAAATTAGCCAGGCATGGCGGCGTGCACCTGTAATCCCAGCTACTTGGGAGGCTGAGGAAGGAGAATTGCTTGAACCCGGGAGGCAGAGGTTGCAGTGAGCTAAGATTGTGCCACTGGGTGACAGAGTGAGACTCCATCTCCAAAAAAACAAAAAAAAAGAAAGAAGAAGAAGAAGAGCTTAGCTGGGCGCGGTGGCTCACATCTGTAATCCCAGAAATTTGGGAGACTGAGGCAGGTGGATTCCCTGAGGTCAGGAGTTCCAGACCAGCCTGGCCAACATGGTGAAACCCCATCTCTACTAAAAATACAAAAATTAGCCAGGCGTGGTGGCACGCGCCTGTAATCCCAACTACTCAGGAAGCTGAGGCAGGAGAATCGCTTGCACCCGGGAGGCGGAGGTTGCAGTGAGCCGAGATCGTGCCACCACATTCCAGCCTGGGCAACAGAGCAAGACTTCGTCTCAAATAAATAAATAAATAAATAATTTTTTAAAAATGAAGAGCTTGGGATAGAGACAGGTGCTTGCATAGAGGAAAGACCATGTGCAGACACAGAGAAAAGGAAGGCACCTGCAAGCCAAAAAGAGAGGCCTCAAAAGAAAGTAAACCTGCTGACACCCTGATCTTGGACTTCTAGCCTCCAGAACTATGAAAAGATCAATTTCTGTGGTTTAAGCCACTGAGTCTGTGGTGCTTTGTTATGGCAGCTCTAACAAACTAACACAGGCCCATTTTCCCAGTTAATAGTCCAGGAACCACATCTTTTTCATATGTGTAGTCATGAGTTCACCACACCTCAAGCCAGTTCTAAGGTTAGAAAATGGATATTGGATGTTGGTGCCATCAGAATATGCCTGGCAACATGTTTGCCTTTTTAGTGGTAATTAAAAAAGTTGTCGTATCTATAGAAGTTCACATTTCTATTGTGCATGCACAGTAGATAAAAATATTTCAAGGCTTGGGGGTAGATTGGCTGTGTGACAAAAGCCTTATGAATTGGCCCAGCTTCCATGAAGTTAGGGCTGCAAGTACCTGAGGTCAGGGAATGATTAGACAGTTAATTAATCTGTAGTAGACTGCAATGCTGGCTTCTCAGATCTACCAGCTGAGGGATAGCCTCTGAACTGTAAGAAACTATAAGAAAAGTTCAGCCTCCCAAATAGCTGGGACTACAGGTGTACACCACCACACTTGGCTACATTTTTTTTTTTTGTATTTTTAGTAGAAACAGGGTTTTGCCATGTTGCCCAGGCTGGTCTCTAACTTCTGGGCTCAAGCAATCCTCCTACCTCAGCCTCCCAAAGTGCTAGGATTACAGGCATGAGCCATTGCACTCAGCTAAGTGTCACAAGTATTCTTAACACTTCTGGATTCAGATGGTATAAAATAACATCATTAATTGCACTTACTCTACTCCAGGTGTGTCCAGTCTTTTGGCTTCCCTGGGCCACACTGGAAGAAGAAGACTTATCTTGGGCCACACATAAAATACACTGACACTAACGAAGAACTTCAAAAAAAATTGGCCAAAAAAACTCATAATGTCTTAAGAAAGTTTACGAATTTGTGTTGGGCCACATTCAAAGTCGTCCTGGGCTGCAAGTTGGACAAGCTTGCCCTACTCTAAAGCAATATAGTTTATTTTATAACCATATAATGATTTTGAGATGATCTTTATGGGACTTTGAAGCTTCTCTTATCCTGAAGACATTTCCCTAAAGCCCTATAGAATAAATATCCAAATATCCAGTACCAGCCGGGCGCGGTGGCTCATGCCTGTAATCCCAGCACTTTGGGAGGCCAAGGCGGGTGGATCACGAGGTCAGGAGATCAAGACCATCTTGGCTCACACGGTGAAACCCCGTCTCCACTAAAAATACAAAAAATTAGCCAGGTGTGGTGGCAGGTGCCTGTAGTCCCAGCAACTCAGGAGGCTGAGGTAGGAGAATTGCTTGAACCTGGGAGGCAGAGCTTGCAGTGAGTCAAGATGGTGCCACTGCACTCCAGCCTGGGCGACAAAGCGAGACTCAGTCTCAAACAAACAAACAAAAAAACACAAAAGAATAAATATCCAGTACGGGTGGCAATCAGCCCCAAGACACAGCAAAAATGAAAACATCTCCTGAATCACCGAAACAGAGAGGCAGTATAATCTATGGTTCACAGTGAGAGGTGACAGCGTGCTGGCAGTCCTCACAGCCCTCGCTCACTCTCGGCGCCTCCTCTGCTTGGGCTCCCACTTTGGCGTCACTTGAGGAGCCCTTCAGCCCGCCGCTGCACTGTGGGAGCCCCTTTCTGGGCTGGCCAAGGCAGGAGCCCACTCCCTCAGCTTGCAGGGAGGTGTGGAGGGAGAGGCACGAGCGGGAACCGGGGCTGCGCGCGGTGCTTGCGGGCCAGCTGGAGTTCCGGGTGGCCGTGGGCTTGGGGGGCCCCGCACTCCGAGTAGCTGGCCAGCCCTGCCGGCCCCAGGCAATGAGGGGCTTAGCACCCGAGCCAGCGGCTGCGGAGGGTGTACTGGGTCCCCCAGCAGTGCCAGCCCGCCGGCGCTGCGCTTGATTTCTCACAGGGCCTTAGCTGCCTTCCCGCAGGGCAGGGCTCGGGACCTGCAGCCCACTATGCCTGAGCCTCCCACCCCCTCCATGGGCTCCTATGCGGCCCGAGCCTCCGTGACGAGTGCCACCCCCTGCTCCACAGCGCCCAGTCCCATTGACCACCCAAGGGCTGAGGAGTGCGAGCGCATGCCACAGGACTGGTAGGCAGCTCCATCTGCAGCCCTGGTGCAGGATTCACTGGGTGAAGCCAGCTGGGCTCCAGCTGGGCTCCTGAGTCTGGTGGGGACGTGGAGAACCTTTATGTCTAGCTCAGGGATTGTAAATACACCAATTGGCACTCTATCTAGCTCAAGGTTTGTAAACACACCAATCAGCACCCTGTGTCTAGCTCAGGGTTTGTGAATGCACCAATGGACACTCTGTATCTAGCTACTCTGGTGGGGCCTTGGAGAACCTTTGTGTCCATACTCTGTATCTAACTAATCTGGTGGGGACGTGGAGAACCTTTGTGTCTAGCTCAGGGATTGTAAACGCACCAATCAGCCCTCTGTCAAAACAGACCACTGGGCTCTACCAATCAGCAGGACGTGGGTGGGGCCAGATAAGAGAATAAAAGCAGGCTGCCGGAGCCAGCAGTGGGAACCCACTCGGGTCCCCTTCCACACTGTGGAAGCTTTGTTCTTTCACTCTTTGCAATAAATCTTGCTACTGCTCACTCTTTGGGTCCACACTGCCTTTATGAGCTGTAACGCTCACCGTGAAGGTGTGCAGCTTCACTCCTGAGCCAGCGAGACCAGAAACCCACCAGAAGGAAGAAACTTTGAACACATCCGAACATCAGAAGGAACAAACTCCGGACGCGCCACCTTAAGAGCTGTAACACTCACCGCGAGGGTCCGCGGCTTCATTCTTGAAGTCAGTGAGACCAAGAACCCACCAATTCCAGACACAACAGCACATGCCCTGAGGTGTGGCAGACTTGGGTTCCTATCTCAGTTCCTGGACACAATAGTTGCATGATCTCAGCATATTTATTCTCTCTGTGTCTTGGTTTCCTCAACTGTAAATTAGATTAGAATAACGTCTATCTCAAACAGGTGTTAAGAGGATTAAATAAGATATTCTAAGTTTAGCTCTGAACACAGTGTCTTACACAGAGTGAGTGCTCATTTTTGTTGATTTTATTTTTATTAAATAGCTCTATTTTAATCTATATAAGGTATGACCCAAGAGGAAGCACTACTTAGCCTAAAGTATTATTGAATTGTTTGCCCAAAGATTTAGTAGAGCCCATTGACATTACGTATAAGTGAGTCAATTACTTGGAAAATGGAAAAAAGGGAAAACTAGGTTTTTTCCTCAGAACCCTTCTATGAAAGGGTTTTCCTTGGAAGGATAACCCTTGGAAGATAACCCTTGGAAGGGCTATCTAGTGGATATTTATCCGCTAGAGCCTGGGTGTGACCTGGGAAGTCCTCACAGCCTCTTGCTCCACAGAGAAAGAGGCCACTGCTCAGTAGTTAGGATAAAATCTAACCCCAACTCCTGTGTGGACGGGATGGAGATGGCAGAACAATCTAAAAAAAAGGTATTGCTGGCCGGGCGTGGTGGCTCAGGCCTGTAATCCCAACACTTTGGGAGGCCTAGGTGGGCGGATCACAAGGCAGGAGTTCGAGACCAGCCTGACCAACATGGTGGTCTACTAAAAATACAAAAATTAGCCGAGTGTGGTGGCAGGTGCCTGTAATCCCAGCCACTCAGGAGGCTGAGGCAGGAGAATTGCTTCAACCCTTGTGGCAGAGGTTGCAGTGAGCCGAGATCATGCCACTGCACTCCAGCCTGGGTGACAGAGCCAGACTCTGTCTCAAAACAAAACAAAAAACATATTGCTTTCTTTCCTTTTCTGAAGTTACCATAGTCCAGGAATAAAAGGGAAGCTGTTCAGGATGCCCATTTTAATTTTTCAGTGGCTTGATTTTCAGGTATTTTTGGTAAAGATACATACTTTCTTTCCCCTTTATTATCAAAGGAGTATGTACTTGTAATAAACTCAAAAATACTGAGGCGTCTAAAGTAAAAGATGATGGTTGCCCTTGCAACACATACTTTTAAACTCAGAAATCTCTCTACTTCCAACTTTTATCCTTATGAGTATATTAAAATAAATATGAAAGTGTGTGAACAAAAGAAATTGGAATGCATTACTTTAAACTTAATTCAAAAGGCTAATTAAGTTTGAAATTATTCTAAATGACTCTAAGTGAGGATTCAACATTCATTCATTCAGTAAAAAAAGGTGTTTCCATCACATTTTTGGCCTCATAGAAAGTTATTCCTGAGGACACACTTCGCTGGCTGTCTTCTCACTTCCTTTTTCCTTTGACCTGAACTTATATAAAGTGCCATTTGCAAACCATTTCTTCTTTTTCAGCCCTCAAAAACTCCAGCTCCTACGAAGTTATTCTATCCAGCTTTATGGGAGCCTACCGTTTTATGTGCTGTCATCTATGATCTCTTAAATTACTTCATGTCCTTCGTTGAAGATTGCAGCACGTGGCTCACTGTCTCCTTCTTCACTCCGCTTTGGTCACCATTTTCAGCAACTGCGACATCCATGTGCTGTCCCATTCAACATCACACGTTCACAGTTTCCGGATCTCCTTCTTTCTAATGATCTTTTTATCTTCCTCCATTTCATCCTCCTCCTTCCAGTCATGACTTCACCTTCCTGTTACCAATAATTAGATTACCTTCTAAAACATTGATTGTTTCAAGCCTTTCCTCTCCCGCCAGTGCATTTACCCTTGGAACTCCTACTTATTGACTCTACAACTTTTTCAATATCCATTACCTAATGAATGGCTTCATTTCTGCCCCCGCCCTCACCGCCTTTTTTTTAACTTTACTCTGTATCTCTACCCAGTAAAATGTAAGCTCCACGAAGACAAAAGTCTACTTTTTCACTCTTAACTCTAGTGCCTGGACCGGAATCATGTCTGATACATAGAAGGAACTCAATAAACATTACATAAATGCATGAGAGGCCAGGCGTGGTGGCTCACGCCTGTAATCACAGCACTTTGAAAGACCGAGGCGGGCAGATCACCTGAGGTCAGGAGTTTGAGACCAGCCTGACCAACATGGTGAAACCCCATCTCTACTAAAAATACAAAATTAGCTGGGTGTGGTGGTGCACGCCTGTAATCCCAGCTACTTGGGAGACTGAGGCAGGAGAATCACTTGAACCCAGGAGGTGGAGGTTGCAGTAAGCCAAGATCGCACCATCGCACTCCAGCCTGGGCAACAGAGGGAGACTCTGTCTCAGTAAATAAATAAATAAATAAATAAATAAATAAATAAAATTCATGAATGCCTACTGCAGCCAAGCATTTGGCAAGAATAAAGAGACAAAAATAAAACCTCTACCCTCAAGAAGTTTAATCTATTTATGCATATGTATTTGCACATGCATGCACATTTCAACTATTTTTCCTTGAATCAACTGCCTATTCTTAGTTCGTTTAAAAAATAATCTTACATTTTATTATTCCAATGTCCTTATACTAGATTTGGAAAGTCTCTTACTAGTAATAAAATCTTTCAGCTTTCCAAGCATATCTTTTAGGTATATAAGTAATTGTGCAAGGCATTGAAAAACCCTAAAAATAATTAGCTATTTTTTAAATCTACTTGGTACAAACAACTATCAACTCGAAAACACTAGAAACTGATGATGTTGGCAATCAGTCTTCATGAACAGGACAGCATTCAGGTATGTTAGGAGTTTCATATTATTTTCATCTACTCTCATCTCTAGCCCCATTGATAGCCCAAATGTCACCATTGTGCAAAACAGAAAATTCCCCTACTCAAGACACTTTTTTGCCATCTCCTAGAAAATTGTTGTAATAACTATATAAATCTGCAATGATTACCAGTATGAATGGCTCCCATTAATGTTATACACTTCCACAGTTTAAAAATATTGTTCAACCCACTATTTCCAAAATTTATTTGATCATGGAAACTTTCTGTATGCTACTTAAACATATCAGATGGAACTAACATTATTATTATTATTATTATTATTATTATTATTATTATTATTATTGAGATGGAGTCTCCCTCTGTCACCCAGGCTGCAGTGCAGTGGCATGAACTCGGCTCACTGCAACCTCCGCCTCCCAAGTTTAAGCAATTTTTCTGCTTCGCCCTCCTGAGTAACTGGGACTACAGGCACCCACCACCATGCCCGGCTAATTTTTGTATTTTTTTTTTTAATAGAGATGGGGTTTCACCATGTTGGCCAGGCTGGTCTCAAACTCCTGACCTCAAGTGATCCGGCCGCCTCAGTCTCCCAAAGTTCTGGGATTACAGGTGTGAGGCACCACGCCCAGCCAACATTTGCTGATAGGTAATTTGAGAAGCATTGCTCTAGATTACCCATATAAAGTGGCTGGTTTTAGGCCTATGGCTTTTATTCCAATTGTATATATTTGTAATATTATTCTCTGTTCTTTAAGGGCTAGACCTGGAGTCGAATGGACTTAGATTTGAAATCTAGCTCTGAAACTAACTTTGAGTGAGTTATACAACCTCTCTAAGGATCAATTATCTCATTTGAAAACTGCAGATGGCAATAGTACTTTACTTAGAAGATTACCGTAAGGACTGCAGGAGGCCTTGCTATGGTCTCTGAGTGTGCTAACATCATTAAATGGTAATTATTCTACTCATAATGTTCTTCAGGCTATCGGATTTATAGAACAGAATTACTTAAAAGAAGGTATGTTTGAATGAGGAAGCATAAGTTTGAAGGAGTAATTGTAAAAAATAAAAGCTAACTGAATTTTGTTGTAATTTCATTTTTATAAAAACAAAAGTTGTTTTGAATTTTAACCAGAATTTCTGAGCTCTTCAATAGACAACATACACAAAACTCAGGTCATGTGTCAATATAGAAAGAAGACCCATGTTTAGCAAGTTTGGACTTCATGTTTTTGCCCAAAGTGAACACACATACTCCCATATTCATGCCATATGGGTAATGTAATCTCCCAATCAGAAAGAAAAATAAGGACATTAGCTTTACTTTTTGAGATGGGAGAATCACTAGAGCCTGGGAAGTCAAGGCTGCAGTGAAGGGAGATCACGCTACTGCACTCCAGCCTGGGGGGCAACGGCAGTGAGACCCTGTCTCAAAATAAGTAAATAAATAAATAAACAATAAAATGTGTGTGTGTGTGTATATATATATAAAATCCTTCCTGTAGGAGATTTTAAAAAAAAGAATACTAGTGACTCTTTACAAAAAAAAAAGAAAGAAAAGCAAACAGCCTATTAAAGAGCCCCAGTGATTCTCAGTCACATGTCTGTATCAGTCAGGGTCCTGATAGGAAAGGGATAGCACACCCAGCTGGGATTTTTAAAAAAGATGTGTTTATTAAAAGGATTATTTACAGAGTTGCAGGTGGATTAAGGGATTAAGAGACCCAACAAGGGATGTTGAGGCATCCGGGGATTAGTAACAGTGGGAAGCCATTACCTTACACATCCGAAGGGCAGGAGAGGAAATGGTATTATCCGAACCAGTGAGAGTCGTGACCTTGGAGGAGGCCTCCAACAAGAGCCATGGCTGTCAAAGGACCTAGCTACTGTCAGAACAGTCAGCTGGATGAAGCCTCAGTGGGAGAAAATGCTCCAACCAGAAGCCCGAGGACAATGAGAGTGGGGAGACTCCCACCCCAGGGTCATCCCCGCTAAGGTGCAGAGCAGGGTGGAGAACGGATCTGGGGGCAAACTGAGAAAAATAACCTAATATCTAGCAAGGCCAAATGTAAGGGTGATAATTTAGAGCCAAATAAGTCTCCATTACTTAATAGGAACAAAACTACATCTAATAAACAGCAGTACCTTGGGAAACAACTGACATAAATAGTACATTATTTTAGCTTTGAACTAAAACTAATGAAAGGCATTTTAATGTACATCACTGATTTATAGATTCTCATTCTCTCCTTTATTGTAAAAAAAATTAAGAATTTGCTTTTTGATGCTGCTTTTTTTTTTTTTAAGTTTTTTAATTTAAAAAACAAGAGAGATATGGTCTCACTATGTTGCCCAGGCTAGTCTTGAATTCCTGGCCTCAAGCGATCCTCCTGTGTCAGCCTCCCAAAGTGCTAGGATTACAGGTGTGAGCCACCACACCTAGTCTCTTTGATGATTCTTTTTAAACTTTTTGTTTAGAAATAATTTTAGACTTATTGAAAAGTTGCAAATCTAAAATAGAGAGTTCCTGCATACTGTTTACCTGGCTTCCCCTAATGTTAATAACTTATATAAGCATAATACAATGATCAAAACCAGGAAGCTATCATTGTTACAACACTATTAACTAAACTTATTCATTTCACCAGTTTTCTCCGTAAAGTCCGTTTTTTTGTTTGTTTTCTGGCTCCAATATCCCACACTGAATTTAGTTGTGTCTCACTAGTCTTCTCCAGTCTGTGACAGTTCCTCATTCTTTCCTTGTCTTCAGTGACCCTGACACCTCTGATGAATCAGTTATTTTGTAGAAAGCCTCTCAATTTGGATTTGTCTGATGTTTTCTCAAGATTAGACAGAACTGCGTTTTTAGCAAGAATATGCTGGAGGAATGTATCTTTCTCTGTATAAAATTTTAGGGGACCCATGATGTTAATGTGTCTTAGAAACAGAGTCTTACTCCTGTTTCCCAGATTGGAGTGTAGTTGCACCATCATAGCTCATTGTAGCCTTGAACTCCTGGGCTCAAGCGTTCCTCCTAACTCAGCCTTCCAACTAGCTAGGACTATAGGCGTGTACCACCATGCTCTGCTAATTTATTTATTTATTTGTTTGTTTGTTTGTTTGTTTGTTTGTTTGTTTATTTTGGTAGAGGCAGGGGCTCTTGCTATGCTGCATGGGCTGGTCTTGAACTTCTGCACTCAAGCAATACTTCTGCCTTGGCCTCCCAAAGTGCTGGTATTATAGGCATGAGCTACTGTACCTGGCCTGTTATTCCTATTTTAAAGATAGCAAAACTACATTCCCCCTCTCCTCCTTTTTTTTAATTTGAAGAACTATTGGATTTTCAGAATATTTACAAATACAGTCATATGATTTTTGACAAAGGAATCAAAAATTTAAATTTGTTTGATACTAGAATATTAGATTGATTGTTTCTTTCGTAAGTCTTCAAGTGCTGGAAATATGCTGGAACAGTCTTTAAAAGCAAATGATAGCTCACTCTGAAGTACCAACTTAAGAGCATGGCATGTCTCCAAAACTCATTTAAGAAACCAAGTGGTTAATTAAACCTTCAATCAGATTATTTGAGTGTTTTTTAATAAGGGTGCTGTGGTGCAGGCAAAAATGGTGGTGGAATATACTTTGAAAATATTATGTCATTATTTTGGGGACCAATCCAATGATCATTTACTACAGATAAATAATGATAACATGAATAACTATAATGATGACAACAATTTTAAGCTAGTTAGGATAAGAATTTGTCAATTAAATTGTTGTTGAATACCTTCTGAATAGACGTTAAATTTGAGTGAGCATGGAAAATGGCACATTATCTGAATTACATTTTTATTGGCATAGATAATAGTGTAACGTTGCCCAAAATGACTAAGGATCAGAAGGCTAAACAGACCCAAGCATTAGATATGTGAATACTTAATAATTGCCTCCAATAAAAAGAGAGTTTAAAATAAGTTGTCTTTGAATTTTGATTTTTTATAATAAAAACAAGAATTAAAAAAAACTAAAGCTAAAGATTTAATAAGTGATAATCCTTTTAAAAGAGATTTTAATTCTGTACCCTGTCCATATTTGATTCCAATTCCCCAGAGGCAAACATCTTCAGCTCTTTTTAGCTCTTATAATATTTACTTCTATATATCCAAATGCCCTTACACTGTGATATGGTTTGGCTGTGTCCCCACCCAAATCTCATCTTGAATTGTAACTTCCACAATTCCCATGTGTCCTGGGAGGAACCCAGTGGGAGGTAATTGAATCATGGGGGCGGGTCTTTCCTGTGCTGTTCTCATGATAGTGAATAAGTCTCAAGAGATCTGATGGTTTTAAAAACGAGTTTCCATGCACAAGCTTTCTCTCTTTGCCTGCTGCCATTCACGTAAGATATGACTTGCACCTCCTTGTCTTCTGCCATGATTGTGAGGCCTCCCCAGCCAGGTGGAACTGTAATTCCAATTAAACCTCTTCCTCTTGTAAATTGCACAATCTCAGGTATCTCTTTGTTAGCAGCATGAAAATGGACTAATCCAATAAATTGGTACCCGGAGAGTGGGGTGCTGCTGAAAAGATACCTGAAAATGTGGAAGTGACTTTGGAACTGGGCAACAGGCATAGGTTGGAATAGTTTGGAGGGCTCAGAAGAAGACAGGAAAATGTGGGAAAGTTTGGAACTTCCTGGAGTCTTGTTGAATGGCTTTGAACACAATGCTGATAGTGATATGAAAAATGAAATTCAGGCTGAGTTGGTTTCAGATGGAGATGAGGAACTTGATGGGAACTGGAGCAAAGGTGACTCTTGCTATGTTTTAGCAAAGAGACTGGTGGCATTTTGCCCCTGCCCTAGCGATTTGTGGAGCTTTGAACTTCAGAGAGATGATTTAGGGTATCTGGTGGAAGAAATTTATAAGCAGCAAAGCTTTCAAGAGGTGACTTGGGTGCAAAAAAAAAAAATTCATCTTTAAAAGGGAAACAGAGCATAAAAGTTCAGAAAATTTGCAGCCTGACAATGGGATAGAAAAGAAAAACCCATTTTCTGAGGAAAAATTCAAGCTGGCTGCAGAAATTTGCATAAATAACGAGGAGCCAAATGTTCATCCCCAAGAATATGGGGAAAATATGTCCAGGGCATGTCAGAGAACTTTGCAGTAGCCCCTCCCATTACAGACCCAGAGGCTGAGGAGGAAAAAGTGGTTTCATGGGCTGGGCCCAGGATCCTTCTGCTGTGTGCAGTCTAGGGAGTTGGTGCCCTGTTTCCCAGCTGCTCCAGTTGTGACTAAAAAAGCCCAATGTACAGCTTGGGCCATGGCTTCACAGGGTGCAAGCCCCAAGCCTTGGCAGCTTCCACATGGTGTTAAGGCTGTGGGTGCACAGAAGTCAAGAACTGAGGTTTGGGAACCTATGCCTGGATTTCAGAAGATGTATGGAAACACCTGGATGTCCAGGCAGAAGCTTGCTGTAGGGGCAGGGCCCTCATGGAGAACCTCTGCTAGGGCAGTGCAGAAGGGAAATGTGGGGTTGGAGCCCCCACACAGAGTCACTACTGGGGCATTGCCTAGTGGAGCTGTGAGAAGATGGCCACCATCTTTCAGATCCCAGAATGGTAGATCCACTGACAATTTGCACCATGCTCCTGGAAAAGCTGCAGACACTCAACACCAGCCCATGAAAGCAGTTTGGAGGGAGGCTGTACCCTGCAAAGTCACAGGGGTGGAGCTGTCCAAGACCAGGGGAACCCACCTCTTGCATCAGCATGACCTGGATGTGAGACAAGGAGATCATTTTAGAGCTTTAAGATTTGACTGCCTTGCTGGATTTCAGACTTGTATGGGGCCTGTAGACCCTTTGTTTTGGCCAGTTCCTCCCATTCGGAATGGCTGTATTTACCCAATGTCCATACCCCCATTGTGTCTGGGAAGTAACTACTTGCTTTTGATTTTACAGGCTCATAGGCAAAAAGGACTTGCCTTGTCTCAGATGAGACTTTGGATTGTGGACTTTTGAGTTAATGCTGAAATGAGTTGAGACTTTGAGGGACTATTAGGACGGCATGATTGGTTTTGAAATGTAAAAAGCACGTGAGATTTGTGGGGGGCCTGGGGCAGAATGATATGTTTGGCTGTGTCCCCACCCAAATCTCATCTTGAATTGTAACTCCCATAATTTCCACGTGTTGTGGGAGGAACCTGGTGGGAGGTAATTGAGTTATAGAGGTGGGTCTTTCCCATGCTGTTCTCTTAATAGTGAATGGGTCTCACGAGATCTGATGGTTTTAAAAATGGGAGTTTTCCTACACAAGCTCTCTGTCTTTGCCTGCTGCCATCCTTGTAAGATGTGACTTGCTCCTCCTTGCCTGCCTCCATGATTGTGAGGCCTCCTCAGCCACGTGGAACTGTATAAGTCCAATAAACCTCTTTTATAAATTGCTCAGTTTCCAGTATGTCTTTATTAGCAGTGTGAAAATGGACTAATATACACTGTTATTTCTTGATTTTTAAACAAAGGTGTTTAATATTAGCTATTGACTTTTTACTATGGGAGGTGAGGATTTAGCTTACCTATAGTTACATACCCTCCTTCCATTTCCCCTTTCCTAACACATTATTGTGATTTTACCATAATTCTTGGTAAGATAATATTCAGTGTTTATAATACTAGGAGTATGTGAAAGTTACTTGTAATTAAGCCATAGAAGGGGATTATGATTCCATTTCCTGCATTGAGCAACTTTTGGTTTTCCTTGGAATTCATAACTGTCTCTCTTTGCTTAGTTTTATATCATTAATCCTAAACCTCTCTGCTAGAAGTGTCACACCATAAAGTGATATAACAATTGCTATATTTCCTTCTCTTTTCTCCTCTCCTTCCCTCCTTCCTTTTCTCTCTTTCTCTCTTTCTTTCTTTCTCTTTCTCTCTTTTCTTCTTTTTTTCCTTCTCTTTCTCTCTCTGTCAGCACTCCTGGTGCTCTCTCTTACTTCAATCTGGACTGGTTGCTCTCTCAACCAGCCTGCTGTATAGTTTTCTTTTTTCAAGACAGAGTCTTACTCTGTCACCCAGGCTGGAGTGCAGTGGCACAATCTCGGCTCACTACAACCTCTGCCTCCTGGGTTCAAGCAAATCTCCTGCCTCAGCCTCCCAAGTAGCTGGCATTACAGGCGCCTGCCACCACATCCGGTAAGTTTTGTATTTTTAGTAGAGATGGGGTTTCATCATGTTGCCCAGGCTGGTCTCAAACTCCTGACCTTGTGATCTGCTCTCCTCAGCCCCCCAAAGTGTTGATATTACAGGCATGAGCCACTGCGCCCAGTCTTCCTGTTGTACAGTTCTTATCCTGGGATCTTCCTTCACTTTCATACTGAGTATTCTGTTTGCTTTTCCTTACAGTTTATTGGCTTGCTGGTATTGGCGGGACCACTTCCTGTAGTATCTTCTTGGAAAAAGTAAATGATAATTAAATCTTTTGAGACCTCACAAGTTTGAGAATTTCTTATTCTATCATTGCATTTACTTGATAATTTGGCGAGGTATAGAATGCTGGGTTTGAAATAATTTTTCCTCAGTACTGTGAAAGCTGCTTACAATTTTTTTTTTTTTTTTTGAGATGGAGTATGGCTCTGTTGCCTAGGCTGGAGTGCAGTGGCGCAATCTTGGCTCACTGCAAGCTCTGCCTCCTGGGTTCACATCATTCTCCTGCCTCAGCCTCTCAAGTAGCTGTGACTACAGGTGCCCGCCACCACGCTCGGCTAATTTTTTTTGTATATTTTTTAGTAGAGACGGGTTTCACCATGTTAGCCAGGATGGTCTTGATCTCCTGACCTTGTGATCTGCCTGCCTCAGCCTCCCAAAGTGCTGGGATTACAGGCGTGAGCCACCACACCTGGCCGCTGCTTACTATGTTTGAGCCTTAAAGCTGCTGTTGAGAGACCAGTGACATTCTAATTTCTGATGCTGTATATTTGACTTGTATTGTTTTCTGTACTGAAAGCTTTAGGGTATTCTCTTTGTCCTAGTGATATGAAATTTCAGAAATTATGCATTTTCCCATCTATTAAATGGGTATTTGACAGGTCCTCTTAATGTGGAAAGATATTCTTTAGATGTAGGAAATTGTCTTCAATTTCTGAAAAATAATCTTTTAAATTTAGTTTTCTCTTTCTGGGACTACTCTTAGTCATATGCCTGTCAGTACTTGTAGGTCATTTTCCTTGGGGTGATCAGTTTCCCAAAATAGGAATTCTCTGGGAGTGAAATGCCAGGCTGCTAGTGTTTTGAGGGCCCAATAAAAGAAAATGGCTGTGAAATTTCACCATTCAATATGTGAACACTCAACCATGCATCAACTGAAAGTGGAAGGCTCAAATTCAGAGACTGTCTCTCTGGTTCAACTTCACCAGAGAATAAGTTTCTCATCATACAGCTTAGAGGGCAAAGAAATCATTTGGCTGTCTAGGGTACAGGAGGAGACATGGAGGTCACGTGGCTTCCTATAGACTTTCAACCAATTCTACTATTCTTGGTCACACCCTCACCTCCATGAAAGTTACCATGTACTTCCAAGTTCTGAACTTTTCCAGGGTCCTAGGGTTTGCTTTTTGTTGGCATTCCCTCACTGCCTGGTTTAGATTTCCTCTTCCTCAGGTTTCTTAAGTCAGTTACCATATATGCAATTGCTTTCTTTCATTAAAAAATTTCTATGCATCTGTCTCCACTACCATTTTTTCCTTGTAATATTTTACTTTTTGAACTCTTTACTCTTATTTGAGTATGATTAAGAGAGAAGAGAGAATAGAAGTTTAAAGAAGCTGTATTTACTATGTCTTTAATTATTACAAGGCTATATGTAATATATATATACACAATATTATATTCAGTCTCCGTAGAGACTGTCAAAAATTGCTAATGCCAACTATATTACAAGTCTTCATGGCAGGATATTGGGAAATGTTTTCAATTAGCAATAATTGTGCCTCGGATAAACCTCATTGGCTATGATACTGCCACTGTGCAAAGCTTATATGTAATACTTTAAATGTGGATTATGAGAGACTATAAGAAGAAACATTTTCAGTTGCATGAAATAAATAATCTGAACAAGAATCTTTGCCTCCTGTTATCTGAGATTTTTCATGTAAATATGCATTTTATAGCTGGAAGACCACATAGCTTTACCACTTAGATTCATTGTTTAGCATATTTGGCAGTAAAAAACACAAAAGAAAAATGTTAAAAGTTACCATTCATACTCCCACCGTTTAAAAAGAATAATTTATTATACAAAGTAAAAAGTAAAAGTACAATTCCCACTTCCAGGAAGATGGAGTAGATATTCTTTTCCCTGTTCTTCTCACTAAGAACAACTGAAAACCCTGAATATTATATACAAAACAAACATAAGAGAAGACTGACGCTGGGAGAGAGGAAAGCAGACTGGCCAGGGACCTAGGAACCTGAGGATCAACATACTGGTGAGTTTCCCGGGGTTTTGTTTTTGGCTTATATATCCCAGCCCTGGAGCTTCAAAACCTGGCTACCCAGAAACATTAACTGGCATCGACAAAGCAAACAAACAAACAAACAATCCCAATAAAAGCCTGCTCTCTCTAGCCAAAGAAGTAGGAAAGAGGCAACCTACCAAAACAGAAATCTTTAAGACAATATTTACCCTACTATAGCCAAACACCACAGAAAAAACTGTGTCCCCACCCTCACTTGTGCCAGCGGAGGCCACGTGACAGAGCCTAGCCTTCCTGCCTCAAGAGGCTGTCACATTTATTCCTGTGGTAGGTAACAAGGCACGCCCCCTGCTGTGTCGCTGAAGACCACATGGAGAGTCTGGACATCAACCTCCACCAGGCAGCAAAGGGGCTACATACCCCTTCCCACTGGGTTGGTGTCAAAGCAGGCCTATTGGAGTCAGGATTTTCACCATTACCCAGTAGTAATGAGACCACCCCACCATGGAGAGCTGGAACTCCCACTGCTGCCCCACTCTTGAAAATACAATTTATCAAAATTTGTAGGACACGGCTAAAGAAGTGCTGGGGGAGAAATTTTAGCATGAAATGCTTACATTAGAAAAGAGAAAAAGTTTCAAATTAGTAACCTATGTTCCCACCTCAAGAGCCTGGGGAAAAAAAAAGAGCAAAATAAACCCAAAGCAAGCAGAAGGAAGGAAATAATAAAGAGCAGAAATCTGTGAAATTGAAAACAGAAAGCAATAGAGAAAATCAATGAAACAAAGAGCTGGTTTTTTTGTTTGTTTGTTTTTTGTAAAGGTCAGTAAATTTGACAAACTTCTAGCAAGACTAACGAAGAAAAAGAGAAGACACAAATTACCAATATCAGGAATAAAATGGGGGATATCACTACAGATTCTGCACCTGTCAAAAGGATGAGGAAATACTATAAACAGTTTTCACACATAAGTTTGAAAACTTAGGAAAACTAGAACAATTCCTCAAAAAACACAAACTACTGTAACTCACTCCAAATAAAATAGATAATTTGAATATCTCTGACATTTTCAAGAAAATCAGACTCATAATTTAAAAACTCCCAAAAAAGAAATGTCCAGGCCCTGATGATTTCAGTGGGAAATTTTATGAAATATTTGAAGAAGAATTAACACCAATTCTACATAATCTTTGCCAAAAAATAGAAGAAGAGGGGATGTTTACAAATTCATTTTATAAAACTACTATTATCCTAATACCAAAACCAGACAATAACAATACACAACACAAAAACGAAAACTGTGGACCAATATCCCTCATGAATATAGCTGCAAACATCCTTAACAAAATATTAGCTAATAGAATTTAGCTAATATTTATTCCAGGGATGCTAGGCTGGTTCAATATTTAAAAATCAATCAGTGTAATCTATCATGTTAACAGACTAAAAAAGAAAAGTTACATTATTATATCAATTATTGTAGAAGAAGCATTTATCAAAATTTGACACATTCATGATAAAAACTCTCAGAAAAATAGGTATAGAGAGAAACTTCCTCAACTTTATAAGGAATATGTATATGAAACCTATAGCTAACATTATACTTAATGGGTAAAAAACTAAATGCTTTGCTTTTATGATGGGGAAAAAGGCAAGTATGTCCAACCTTATCACTCTTATTCAACATAGTACAATAAGGTATGAAAAGGAAGTAAGTACATAAACTGGAAAGAAAGAAATAAAATTGTCCCTATTTGCAAATGATATGATTGTCCACATATAAAGTCTTAGGGAATCTACAAAAACAATCTCCTAAAACTAATAAGTGAGTTCAGCAAGGTCACAGGATGTGAAATAAACATAAAAAAATCAATTGTATTTCTATACCAGCAGTGAATTCCTGGACATTGAAATTCAAAATACAATACCATTTTCAATGACTAAAAAAAATGAAATACTTAGGTGTAAATCTAAGAAAACATGTACAGGCCTTGTATGCTGAAGACTGCACAGTGCTGATGAGAGCAACTGAAGAAGATATACATAAATGGAGAGACATACCATGATCATGGATTGGAAGATTCAATATAGAGGATATACCAATTCTTTCCAATATTTTTCTTTTCTTTCTTTTTTATTTGTTTAAATTTTATATAAACATTTTAAATAGAGATGGGGCCTTGCTGTGTTGACCAGGCTGGTCTTGATCTCTTGACCTTAAGCGATTGTCCCATCTCAGCCTCCCCAAGTGTTGGGATTACAGGTGTGAGCCACTGTGCCCAGCCAGTTCTCTCCAATTGATATACAGGTCAATCTCTTTTTTTAAAAAACATTTTTTTTTTTTTTGAGACAGAGTCTTGCTTTGTCACCCAGGCTGGAGTGCAATGGCACAATCTCAGTTTACTGCAACCTCTGCCCCCTGGCTTCAAGTGCTTCTCCTGCCTCAGCCTCCTGAGTAGCTGGGATTAGAGGCATGTGCCACCATACCTGGTTAATTTTTGTATTTTTAGTAGAGAAGGGGTTTCTCCATGTTGGTCAGGCTGGTCTCGAACTCCTGGCCTCAAGTGATCCACCCCCTTGGCCTCCCAAAGTTCTGGGATTACAGGTGCAAGCCACCATGCCCAGCTGCAGGTCAGTCTCTGTAAGAATTCCTAGAAGGATTTTTGCAGATATGTATAAGATTATTTCAAAATTTTTATGAAGAGGCAAATACATAAGAATGGATTAAAATGAATTCGAAAAAGAGAAATCAGTCTGCTTAATTTCAAGACTGATTTTATAGCTATAGTAATCAAGAATGCATGGTGTTGTCGAAGGGAGAAACAGACAGACCTCAGGAACAGAATAGAGAACCCAGAAATTGCCCCTTACAAATACACCCAACTGACTTGATAAAGGTGCAAAATCAATTCAATAAAGAAAAAATAGTCTTTTCAACAAGTGGTGCTGGAGCAATTGGACATCTATGGAAAAAAAAAAAAAAAACCACGAAAAGAAAGGATAAAAAAAAAAAAGAAAAAATACCTTTGGCCTAAGTCTTTTTTTTTTTTTTTTGAGATGGAGGGAGTCTCGCTCTGTCGCCCAGGCCGGAGCGCAGTGGCACGATCTCCACTCACTGCAAACTCTGCCTCCCGGGTTCACGCCATTCTCCTGCCTCAGCCTCCTGAGTAGCTGGGACTACGGGCTCCCGCCACTACGCCCGGCTAATTTTTTATTTTTTTTATTTATTTTTTATTTTTAGTAGAGATGGGGTTTCACCGTGTTAGCCAGGATGGTCCTGATCTCCTGACCTTGTGATCCACCGGCCTCGGCCTCTCAAAGTGCTGGGATTACAGGCATGAGCCACCGTGCCTGGCCGGCCTAAGTCCTACCTTATGCAAAAATTAACACAAAATGGATCATGGAATTAAATGTAAAATGTAAAGCTATAACACTTTTAGAAAAAAAATTATAGGAGAAAATATTTGGGATCTAGAGCTAGGCAAATAGTTCTTAGACTTGACACCAAAAGCATGATCCATAAAAAGAAAATTGATAAATTAGATCACATCAAAATTAAACATTTTTGTTTTGCAAAAGTTCCTAATAAGAGGATAAGATGGAAAGTTTCAGAGTGTGAGAAATATTTGCAAATTAAATGCAAATTAAAACGACAATGTGATACCATTACATAATTATCAGAATGGCTAGAATTAAAATAGACAACACCAAATGCTGGAGAAAATGCAGAGTAACTGGATTATTCACATATTTCTATTTTGAATGTAAAATAGTATGGTTACTCTGGAAACCTGTATGGGAGTTTCTTAAAAATTAAATAACTGTCATACAACCCAGTCATTGCTTATGTTTAGCCATTTCTTATGAACAAGGCTTATGTTCACACAAAAACCTACACATGAATGTTTATGGTAGTTTTATTTGTAATAGCAAAAACTGGAAGCAACTCTTAGGTGGCCCTTTCACAGGTGATTAGTTAAATATACTGTGATATATCCATACCATGGAATACTACTCAGCAATCAAAAGCAATGAACTACTGACACATGCAACACCGTGGGTGAATCTCCAGAGAATTATGTGAGTGAAAAAAGGAAATTTCAAAAGGTTAAATACCATATGGTTCCATTTATATAACATTCTTGAAATGACAAATTACAGTTGACACTTGAACAACACGGATTTGAACCACACGGGTCCGCTTATGTTTTAATTTCACTTAAATTTTTTTTTTTGTTTTTGAAAGGAAAGGTCTCACATATTCATTACTGAATCTAACCTACCACTACAGATGCAGCAAATACACAGAGAAAAAAAATAGTCCCAATAAAACATGTACAACTGTCCAGATAGTGGTGACATTTTCAGCTTGATATGGTAAGATGGTTGTGACCTTGACGCTATCTCACGTGCAATTCCTTACAGCCCCAGCTTGGTTCTTCTCCATTGTCTCCTTTTGGAGTTGTACCTGATTGTATTACCAGTTTTCATCCGAATCCACTGGGGAATGGGACGATTTTGCTTTTGTTTCTTGGCCAGGAAATGCTTAATCCTGAAAGTCTTGTGAGAAGACATGGTGATAAGTGGAGTCAAGCACAAACCATCATGTCAGAGAAAAAAAGAGAGCTAATTTTTTTTTAATTTTTATTTTTATTGCAATAGTTTTTTGGGTACAAGTGGTTTTTGGTTACACAGATAAGTTCTTTAGTGGTGATTTCTGAGATTTTGGTGCACACACTTTTTAAAAAATTACATTTTATTTGGAGTTAAACGTCGATTCACATCCAGTTGTAAAAAATAATACATAGAGATCCCATGTACCCTTAACCAGGTTTCTCCACTAGTAGCATCTTACAAAATTATAGCACAAAATCACAACCAGGGTGTTGACACTGATATAGTCAAGAACATTTCCAAGACCACAAAAATTCCTCATACTGCCCCTTTACAGCCACATCCACTTCTCACCATCTCCTAACAATTACTAATCTGTTCTGTTTCTATGTGGATGACCCATGAATAATGCAAGGGTTAGGAGACAGTTGAAAACCTGCATATAACTTCTGACTACCACGAAACTTAACACTAATCACCTACTATTGACAGGAAGCCTTACCAATAACATGAACAGTCAATTAACACATAAATAGACTATATCCGCACATATTTTATGCATTAGATAATATGCAGTAATAATATGTCCAAGACAGCTTTGTAGGTCAGTGCACCTAGTACTTCTCTCTCTCTCTCTCTCTTTTTTTAATGACTACAGAGTGGTCTGTTGCAGAAATATAGAATTTGTTTTCCCTATTGATAGGCTTCCACGTTTGTTATGAGTTGAATTGTGTCCTTCACAAAAAGCTATGTTGAAGTCATAATCCCCTCTACCAAGGAATGTGATCTTGTTTGGAAATAGGAACTTTATAAAGTGATCAAGTTAAAATAAGATCGTTAGGGTGGGACCTAATCCAATATGACTAATGACCTGTAAAGACACAGAGACAGACATGCACACAGGGAAGACTATGAAGATTGGAGTGATGCATCTACAAGCCAAGGAACACAAAGATTGATTGCTGGCAACCACAGAAACTAGGAAGAGGCAAGGAAGGCTTCTCCTTCAGCTTTCAGAGGAAGCATGGCCCTGCAGACACCTTGATTTTGGACATCTAGCTTCCAGAACTCTGAGACCATACATTTCTGTGGCTTAAAGTCACCCAGTTTGTGGTACTTTGTTACAGAAGCAGCTCCAGGAAATGAATACAATGATGTTCCGAATTTTTACTCTTATGAACTACTGCAATGAAAAATTCTTATATACATAGCTTTACATGCTCATATAATTTCTGTAGGATGTGTGCAATTTACGAATCATACTGTATGTATATGATACATGTGAGTATGCATATGATACACGATATACTCCCAAATTACCCTTGAGCATTATTTTAATGTGTGAGACCTGGAGAAATTTTATCTGTTATGGGGACTAGGGCTGGAGTTGCAGGTTCCATTGAAGGCCACTTCCCCGTATGGTAGTTACCGTACTGCCTAGCTAGACATTGTAATCTCAGTTATGTGTAAATAAGGTATTATTGCTTACCAGTTAACACTGACTTATTCTTAGAGAATAGTCACATTTTTGTACTACCCATCTTTGGATTCAATAGCAGAGACAAAAAACAGAGGATTTAACAAATACTTCAGAGCCAGCCTTAAGTCTAATTTCAGTCAAAGTTTGGGTTGGTCTTCTGTGCTCCTAGACTGACTTTTCTAGGCTCTTTCTCTAGGCCCTTCATAAATCTCCCTTCACTCCTTTTTCCTCCGTCCTCATAAATTTGCTAAATTTATTTTCTGAAAAAAAAAAAAAAAAAAAACAAAAAAAAAACAACAAAACAAAAAAAAAACTATAGGAACAATCATTTATAGAACTTTACATATTTAGCCAAATATGCATTTTCTTTTACAAAATTTGCTTTATAAGCCTGAAATTTTACACATTAATGAGCAGACTAGGGGAGTGTATAGAAAAATGAAGCACCAATCCTAATGCACTAAAAAATCAGACTGCAGGCTGGCGCGGTGGCTCAGCTTGTAATCCCAGCGCTTTGGGAGGCCAAGGCAGGCAGATCACTTGAGGCCAGGAGTTCAAGACCAGCATGGACAACATGGCAAAACCCTATCTCTACCAAAAATACAAAAATTAGTCGGGCATTGTGGCACACGCTTGTAATCCCAGCTACTTGTGTGGCTGAGACGCAGAGAATCGCATGAATCCAGGAGGCAGAGGTTGCAGTGAGCCAAGATCACTCCACTGCACTCCAACCTGGGTGACAGAGTGAGACTCTGTCTCAAGAAAAAAAAAAGAAGAAAAAAGAAATCATCAGACTGGCTGGGCGCTGTGGCTCCTGCCTGTAATCCCAGCACTTTGGGAGGCGGATCACGAGGTCAGGGGTTCGAGACTAGCATGGCCAAAATAGTGAAACCCTGTCTCTACTAAAAATACAAAAAATTAGCCCAGTGTGGTGGTGGGCACCTGTAATCCCAGCTACTTGGGAGGCTGAGGCAGGAGACTGGCTTGAACCCAGGAGGTGGAGGTTGCAGTGAGCCGAGATCGCGCCATTGCACTCCAGCGTGGGCAACAGAGCGAGATTCCGTCTCAAAAAAAAAAAAAAAATCATCCGACTGCAGAGGATCCCTTGTCCTATATGGGCCTGGTTAGCATGGTATTTCCTACCTTCCTTCTATTTCTAAACCTTTAGGCTGTGCATATCCATGATGTATTTAGGGTGATAGTCCAATCTTCAGCTACCTGGGAACTCTTCCTTTTCCTTGCCCAGCAAAAATGTCAGGAAAGGGGAAGAAAGAAGGAGTTTCAGCAAGTAGACAAGTGACGGAGCAACTCGCCTATTTCTCGACTCGGTTAAGTCTTTATTCTCCTGATGACCCTTGAAATGCAGTAGGCAACACATGTATCCTGTGAATGGAAAAAATTCTTGAAGAATAAGCTATGAAACAATGTTGAAGTCCAAACTCATCTTCAAGGAAGGCCTCACATCGTCCCTTTCTTGTCCTCTCAGCTCAACTATTCTCTTCTGGGTGTTTCTCACTTGCTTTTCTCTGCTTGTCCTGAGGTTTCTTCTTTTGCTGCTGACAACGTAAACTACTGATTTAGTAAGGGTTTGATTGAACTTTGGAATAAAGCTCAAGCACAACCTTTTCCTCCTCTCCATCATTTCTTCCTTTAAGTTGGAACCTATGATATTTTTAAACATTAGCCAAATATCTATATTTTACAATGAACATTGTGTTTTGAAAACAAGAGTCTCATTTATTTTTATTAAAGAACTGAAGTACCTGAAGTTTCTAGGACTTTAGCCACTCATGGTTCTGTTAAATATTAAGAAGAAAAATACTAAGAAGAAAAATGATTCATGGACTGTTTTGAATAGGATAGCTGTGGTCGTTATTTTTTTCTTGCCTCCTGCACACACCTCAGGAAGGAAAATACAAAAACGCCCTTTAGACTACTCTCTTGAGAAGTGCTCCTTAAGCTCAGAATAACCCCAAACAAGCAAAACCTTTATGTTGAGCAGAGAGTGGGTGTGGAGTAGAGAGAATGTTGCAAAAGACATGGAACATTGGGCTCTTCTTAGAAAGACATGCTGTTTTCACTGTCTCTAAATGCTGTTTACCAAGGAAAAGGATGGTAGAAAATGTACCCATTATACGAGTTGTTTGAATCTCTAAATTTGACTTCAGCTTTCTAAGCGGAACAACCTGTGTAAATAAAACTAAAATTACTTCAGGTTTCTGTATGCAACATTCCCCTCCCCCCCCCCTTTTTTTTGGCCCACGGTTGGCACTCCAGTTTGGGTCAAGTTTGTTAGTAAAACACCAGGTGTCCAGACAGGAAAGACTTCCTGAATGGGCCCCTAATTTCATCAACTCTCAACCCCTAAGTGGAAATCACTTGTCATTTGGGGAAGTAAAATATTTTTGATATTTGGTCTTCGTTTTGAAAGACGATAGTCCCATGGAATATTAGACTGTATTCACCTTGATGGTCCCATATTTCCAAATGTCTATTTTAAATATTCTAACATGCTGCCTTGTCATTATTTTAGATTCAACCTATCTAAAATCAAATTTATCATTCCTCTTTTCCTGGTCACTCACCAAATTTATTAATTTATTGGGGGAAAAACTGCATGTGTTATTTGTACCAGGGACAGGGCTACGTCAGGACAGAGGTGAATGGAGCAGATATCATCCCAGCCCTTATGGAGCTTACATTCTAACTGGTAGGATCAGATATTAAACCTTCATTACCTTAATGATCGTATACTTACAATTGAGAGAAATGTGATAGAAGAGATGTACATGGACAATGAATGTGTTTACGTGAGGGGGTGTGACCTAACCTGGAGATACATGAAAATTGCATTGAGGAAGTAGTGTCTGAGCTGTACCCTAAAACGACTAGATATTTTCTGACGGGGGACTGTGGAGTGTGTTCAGGGAAACAGCTTGTGAAAAGGACCTGAACTGTGAAGAAACATGACATGTGAAAGAAATTGGAAAAGGCTGGGTGGCTGGAATAGAGAATGAGGAGAGAGCAACAAAATTTATTTGGGGATGTAGGCAAGGCTTGGAGCATAAAGGACTTTGAGCCATCTGAGAGAGTTTGAATATTATCCTAAAAGCAATAGAAAGCCATTAAATGATTTGAAGCAGGAGAATGATATACCATCAGATTTAACTTCAAAAGGATGAAATAAAATAATTCTGGTTTCTATGAGCAGAATGGAAACAGACTCTAGTAGTTACAATTTTTGTTCATGTAGTTTCCCTTTCCCCCCAGTACTGGTGGACAGAACCCCTCTGCTGTGGGGAGCCCTTTCCATAGGACTTGGGTGGAATTGACTCTCCCTCATTGCCCAGCACAGGAATGAGGATATAATCCAGTTCTAACCAATCACAGTTCCCTATTCTCCTGGCCTTAGTGTTTGGTTCAGGATTGGGCACATGACCTGGGTTAGACTAACCAATGCCCTCTCTAATTTTTGCTCAAACTCTCAGGGAAGAGGTAATCCTTGTTCCTCTGGATTGCTACCTGTAAGGACCGGGTCAGATCAGTAAGGAAAAGATCAACAATTTTTTACATCATTTGCAGAGAGCCATCTGAGAATAAAACCAACACAGGGGGAAGTATAATTAAGAGTTAAGAGAAAAATAGGCAAGGCTGGGTGGCTCACTCTGTAATCCCAGCACTTTGGGAAGCTGAGGCAGGCGGATCACTTGAGTCCAGGGGTTTGAGACCAGCGTGGGCGACATGGCAAAACCCCATCTCTACACAAAAATAAAAAAAAAATTAGCCAGGTGTAGTGGTGCATGCCTGTAGTCTCAGCTACTCGGGAGTCTGAGGTGGGAGGATTGTTTGAGCCCAGGAGGCGGAGGTTGCAGTGAGCTGACATTACATCACTGCACTCCAGCCTAGAGACCCTGTCTCTAAAATGAAATAAACAGAAAAATTGAGCTCTGAATTAATTAGGCAAATCCATAGATCTAGTCATGACTAGTTCACTTCTTCTTGGTTATATAAATATATTTCCTTATTTTAAAAACATTAATCTGTTTGAAAAGAATTTCTGTCATTTGCAACCAAAAGTCCAGATCAGTGCTGGGGGTAAGAATAGATGCAGGGGGAACAATTTGGTAGGTTATTAGAGAGGCATAGGTGAGAGATGATGGCTTGAACTAGTGTGGTTATGATGGAAATGGAGAGAAGCCAACACATTTGAAATCTATTTAGGAGATACAAATCGGCAGGCCTGATTAGATTTGCGAGTGAAGAGGAATGACAGTAATGGTGTCAAAAACATCTGCTAGTTTTCTGGGTTGCATATCTAAGGATGCCATTCACTGAGACAGAAAACACCCAAGAAAGAGTAGTTTTCGGGGTGGTGATGAAAGGAGATTTTTTTTTTCTTTTTTTTGAGACGGAGTCTTGCTTTGTCGCCCAGGCTGGAGTACAATGGCATGATCTTAGCTCACTGCAACCTCCGCCTCCTGGGTTCAAGCCATTCTCCCTGCCTCAGCCTCCTGAGTAGCTGGGATTACAGATGCCCACTACCACACCCAGCTAATTTTTGTATTTTTAGTAGAGACGGGGTTTCACCATGTTGGCCAGGCTGGTCTTGAACTCCTGACCTCAGGTGATCTGCCTGCCTCGGCCTCCCAAAGTGCTCGGATTACAGGGGTGAGCCAACATGCCCGGCTGAAAGGAGATCTTTAGTTGAGTTGTGACCGTAATGAGTTTGGGATTGGTGAGAGACACATGTCCGTTAATGGCAGTATCATTCTACTAACCACGTAGACTTAAAACCATTATATTCTTTAACTTAACCTCTCACTGTCATCCCTGCAAACCCAGAAAAATCTTAAGGTTTATATTTTTAAAAATTCAACTTCATTGAAGCATAATTTAGAAAACTAAAGTGCATACATTTCATATGTACAGTACAATGAGTTGTGAATATGCACATACCCGGTAACCATCCACACAATCCAGATGTAGAACATATCCATCACCCAAGAAGTTCCTCTGTGCTTCTTCCCAATCTATCTGCTGCTCTCACAACCCCTGGTTCGAGGCAAACACCAATCTTCCTTTTATCACTGTAGATTGATTTTGCTTTTGCTTAGTCTTGTATAGATGGAACTATAGAGTATGCATTTTTTTGTGTGTCTGGATTCTTTAGTTCAGTATAATGTTTTTGAGATTGACCCATTTTATTGCAGTTACTCCATTGTATGGATATACCATAATTTGTTAATTCAGTCTACTGTTAATGGAGGTTTTTTTTTTTTTTTTGGAGATGGAGTCTCGCTCTGTCACCCAGGCTGGAGTGCAGTGGCGAGATCTTGGCTCACTGCAAGCTCCGCCTCCCAGGTTCACACCGTTCTCCTGACTCAGCCTCCCCAGTAGCTGGGACTAATAGGCGCCCGCCACCACACCCGGCTAATTTTTTGTATTTTTAGTAGAGACGGGGTTTCAGCATATGAGCCAGGATGGCCTCCATCTCCTGACTTCATGATCTACCTGCCTGGGCCTCCCAAAGTGCTGGGATTATAGGCGTGAGCCACCTTGCCTGGCCCAATGGAGTTTTAAACTATTTCTAGTTTTTGGCTTTTGGGAACAAAGCTGCAATGAACTTCTCACCTGCAAGTAAGTCTTTGATTGGACGTATGTTTTTATTTTTCTTGAGTAAATCTTAGGAGTTGGATTGCTGAGTCACATGGTAAGAGTGGATTTGCTTAATTTTATGGGAAATTGCCAAATTATTTTCCAAAGTGGCTGTACCTCCAGCAACGTGTGAGAGAGCCAAGTTGCTTCCACATTCTTGTCAACGCCTGGTATTGTTATTTTTTTAAATTTTAGCCATCCTAGTGCAAGTATAGTGATACCGCATTGTGGCTTAATTTGCATTTTCCTGATAACTAATGATGCTGAGCATTTTGAGAGGTGCTTATTTGCTATTTGTATGTAGTATTTGGAGAAGTGTCTGTTCAAATCCTTTGTTAATTTTTTCCTTTTTAGTTGACACATAATAATTGTACATATTTATGAGATGCAGAGTGATATTTCCATACATGTATACAATATATAAGAATCAAATCAGGATAATTAGCATACCTATCACCTTGGGCATTTATCATTTCTTTGTGTTGTGAACATTCAGAATACTCTATTCTAGCTTTTTGAAAATATACATGAAATCCTTTTAAACTATATTTACCCTACAGTGCTGTAGAACATTAGGACTTACTTCTCCCATCTAGCTGTAACTTTGCATCCATTAATCAACCACTTCCTGTCTTTCCCTCCCCACTATCCTTCCCAGCTGCTAATGTCCACTTCTATGAGCTCAATTTTTTTTTAGCTGTTACATGTGACTGAGAACATGTGGTATTTATCTTTCTGTGGCTGACTTATTTCACTTATTTTGTTAATTTTTTATAACACCTTTTCATTTTGAAATAATTATAGGTTCACGGTAAATTACAAAAATAGTACAGAGTGCTACGAATCCGTCACCTTGCTTCCCAATGGTGACATGTTAAATAGTTGTAGTAGAGTATCAAAACCAGCAAATTTATATCAGTATTACTATAATAAAGTTTATTCAGTTTCACCTTTGATAAAATCTGCATTCATTTGTGTGTGTGTTGTATAGTTCTATGCAATTTTATCTCATGTACAAATTTGTATAACCACATCAAGATACAGAGCTGTTCTATCATCACAAAAGAACTCCTTCATTACTTTATATTCATATACCTCACGCTATCCTTTTTCCTGTCCTCTAGCAAACTCTAATCTCTATCTCTAGAGTTTTGTCATTTTGAGAATTTTATATATTAATAAGTAGAATCATATAGTATGTAACATTTTGAGACTGGCTTTTTCACTCAGCATCATTCCTTCGAGATTTACTCAAGTTGTGTCTACAAATAATCTATTCCTTTTTATTTCTGTGTAGTATTCTATAGCATGATAGATGTATCACAGTTTTCACATTCACCCATTAAAAGATATTTGAGTTGTTCCTAGTTTTTGACTATTTATAAAGCTGCTATGAACATTCATATACAGGTTGTTGTGTGAACATACGTTTTTATTTCTTTTGCATAAATGCCCAACAATATTGGGTTATTTATTTTTTCATTATTGAGTTATAAGGGTTTAAAGAATATATTCTGAATAAACTCCCTGATGAAATATGTAATTTGAAAGTGTTTTCTTTAATTCTGCAGGTTTTAACAACTTTCTTGATGGTATCATTTGCAGGACAAAAGTGTTTAGTTTTCATGAGGTTCAAATTATCTATTTTTTCTTTGGTTGTTTGTGCTTTGGGTATCATACCTAAGAAACCATTGCCTAATCCAAGGTCACAAACATGATTTACACTTATGTTTTCTTCTAGGAGTTTTAGTTTTAGGACTTGTAAAGTGCTAAACTAATTGCTTAGGTCTTTGATCCATTTTCAGTGAATTTTTGATATAATGCAAAAGAGGAGTCTAACTTCATTCTTCTAACTGTGAATATCTAGTCCCAGATCATTTGTTGAGAAGACTATAATTTCCCTATTGAATTGACTTGGCACCTGTTTCAAAAATTAATTGTCCATAAATGTATGGGTTTACTTCCGGTAAACGTCTGTTTCATTGATCTACATGTCTACTCTTATACTAGTACCGCACAGTCTTGCTTGATTACTGTAGCTTTGTAGCAAGTTTTGAGAACAGGAAGTATGAATTCTTAAATTTTGCTCTTATTTTTCAAGGTTGTTAGGTTAATCAGAGTCGTTTGCATTTCCATATGAATTTTAGGATCAGCTGCTTAAATGCTTCAAAAAAGCCCACTGGAATTTTGATAATAATTCTATTGAATTTGTAGATCAATTTGGGATGTATTTTCATCCTAACAATATTAAGTCTTCAAATGCATGACCATGAAATGTCTGCATTTACTTAGGTCTTCTTCAATGTCTGTCAACTATGCAGTGTACAAGTCTTGTATTTCTTTTAATTATTTTATTTTATTTTATTTTGAGACAGTCTCACTCTGTCACCCAGGCTGGAGTACAGTGGCCCAGTGTTAGCTCACTGCAACCCCTGCCTCTCAGGTTCAAGTGATTCTTGTGCCTCAGCCTCCTGAGTAGCTGGGATTACAGGCATGCACCACCACACCTGGCTAATGTTTGTATTTTGGGGTTTTGCCATGTTGGCCAGGCTTATCTCAAACTCTTGGGCTCAGGTCTCAAATTCCTGGGCTCAAGCAATCCAACCGCCTCGGCCTCTCAAAATGCTGGGATTACAGGCACAAGCCACCATGCCTCGCTGTTAAATTTATTCCTAAGTATTTTGACACGATTGTAAATGGAATTGGTTTTTTAATTTTATTACGACTGCTTATTCATATTGTACAGAAATTCATTGTTTTTTGTATATTAATTTTGTATCCTGCAAATTTTTTGGATTTGCTTATTAGGTTGCATAGCATTTTAGTGCATTACTTAGGATTTTCTGTATACAAGATTATGTCATCTGCAAATAGAGATTGTTTTACTTCCTACCAATCTGGACGTGCTTTATTTACTTTTCCTAACTAATTGTCCTTGTTAAAACCTCAGTGTAATGTTGAATAAAAGTAGAAAGAGCAGAAATACTTTTCTTCTTAATTGTTCATCATTTTAGAGCTAAAGTTTCCAACCTTTCAACATTAAGTATGATATTAGCTGTGGGTTTTCCATTGATTCCCTTTATCATGTTAACAAAATTTCCCCAAACTAGTCCTGATTTGTTGAGTGCTTTCCTTCCTTCCTTCTTTCCTTCCTTCCTTTCTTTCCTTCTTTCTTTCTCTCTTTCTTTCGTTCTTTCTTTCTTTCTTCTCTCCCTCCATTCCCTCCCTCTCTCTCTCCCTCCCTACCTCCCTTCCTCCTTCCTTCCTTCTTTCCTTGCTTTTTTTCGTATGTTTTTACCATGAAAGGATTTGGATTTTGGAAGTGGGAGTAGGCATGGGCTATTTGGGGCTCTCTAACAGTCTCTAATACAAACTTTTATTTTAGACAAAACAAACTTTATTTAAACAGTTGATGAATATCTAGGCTGTTTTCAATCTTTTCTTATTGCAAATAATGTCACAATATACATTCTTGTACACATGTTTTAGGTATCTGAGAAGGTGGGATGATCATGTACACTTTCTTTTAATACATCTAGAGGGTATAACTAGCACCAGTCCTCTATATCAGGAAAACAGATCACGGCTGAATATATGAAGAAAATTGTAACAATGCAAACTGATTAGGACGAGAGTAGACTCCTAGATGAGGCAGTGAGCTTTCTCTCACTAAGAATGCTTCAGCGGCGGGTGGGGTGATTCCTTTGTAAAGAATGCTGTGGAAAGTACTCTTGCACTGATAGGAAGGTAGGCCCAAGAATTTATGATCTTTAGAATTTTACAGAATCATAGTATCTCATTATATTCTTGCAAAATATGTTCTCTTGACAATAAGAGCAACTCAGAGTCAGGGGCCAAAATATATTAATTCTTCAGTAAGTTAATAAAAAATCCTTTATGATTCTATTCTTTCATCTTAGAGGGCATCTGTCATTTGTAATTCAAATAATATAAACTTTTTTCTTCCAAACAACCTATTTATCCCAAAGAGGATTTTTTTCCCCAATCCTTTTGACAGAGATAATAAAAAAAAGATTTTTTTTCTCTCCTTCATTCAGGTCCAAGTATTTATTATCATAATCATGAAAGTCTTTAAAAATAATTTGGATTTACAGTGCTGATTTAGATGCTGTTGAGCAGAGATAATATATCAGACATACCCTGGGGTGACCGTATTTTTAGAATTATTCCTTATTCTCAGCCTTCGAAAATCAGATACTATGGTGGGACTATTGAGTCATATTTCTACCAAGAGACTCCGCTTGATTAAAACAGGAATGGTCATCAAACTCAAGGGTAACCAGGCCATTGACTGGGTTGAACAAACTTAGTTCCCTTCCTCAATAATTTACACCCAAAGGCAGAGAAGTATGGTTAGATGGTGTAGGGAACTGCAAATTCAAGGTCATGTAGAGCTAGGATTAGGGTTGACACAAGACAAGACAGAGCCACTTGCAGGTTTCTTTTGTGGGCAAATGTAACTAAATAATTTGGCAAAGGAAGTCAGTCTTCAGAGAGAAAAATGTGGCAGTGGTAAAGAAAAAAAACTGAGATGAGCATCAATGAGAGTCCAGAGAGGGAAACAGAGGAGGAGCTTCAGAGCTTGTTTATCCAGCTCCAAGCCTCATGTGAAAGCCGAAAGTAATTCCTTCCTATGGATGTATGCATTATTCAGTACACTTGAGACTTACATTTGATTTGGTTTAAAAAAATAAACTTTTAATTTTGAAATAATTTTAACTTTGCAGAAAAGTGGCGAAAATAGTACAGATAATTCCTGTATATTTCTCATCCAATTTTTCCATGGTTAACATATTACATTTCCACTGGATGTTTGTCAAAACTAGGAAACCAACATCATGCCATTACTATTGATACAATTCCAGCCTTTATTTGGGTTTCACCAGTTTTTCCATTAATGTCTTCCTTCTGCTTCAGGACCACTCCAGACACCATGTCTAGTTGCTATGTCTCCTTAATCTCTTTTAGTCAGTGACAGTCTCTCAGACTTTTCTTGTTTTTCATGACCTTGACAGTATTTTGTAGAATATCCCCAATCTAGGTTTGTCTGTTCTCTCATGATTAGATGTGGGTTATGGGTTTTGGAAAAGAATGCCACAGAAGCAAAGTACCCTCCTCATTACATTACAGCACGTCAGGGGTACCTGATATCCACATGACATCACTGGTGAGGTTAACCTTCATCACTTGGATTAAATGGTGTTTGCCAGATTTTTCTAATTCAGTGTTACTATTTTTCTCTTTTCCTGCTCTATTCTTTGTGAGTCATCAGTTCAATGTATTATTCATAGTTCTCCAGAGAAGCCAAACCAATAGGTTTGTAAATATACACAAACCCTATATATATGTGTGTGTGTGTGTGTGTGTATATATATGGTGTGTACATATATATGGTGTATGTATATCTGTATATAACCATACATATATACGCACACATATAAATATGTGTATATATACACATATATGTATATGTACTTGTGTGTGTGTACTATATATATAGTACACCCATATATATCTGTGTAAAAGAGATTTATTTTACGTAATTGGCTCACATAATTATGGTGGCTGACAAGTCCCAATATCTGCAGAGTGAGTCATCAAGCAGGAGATGCTGGAGAACCCATGGTGTAGTTCCAATCTGAAGGCTGGTAGGCTCAAGACCCAGGAAGAGCCAACATTTTATTTTGAGTCTGAAGGCAGGAAAACACCAAAGTCCCAGCTCAAAGGCAGTCAGACAGGAGGAGTTCCCTCTTATTCAAGGGAGGGTCAGCCTTTTTGTTCTATTCAGGCCCTCAACTGATTGAATGAGGCCCACCCACATTAGGGAAAACAATCTGCTTTGCTCAGTCAACTGATTTAATGTTAATATCCTCCAAAAACATTTCACAGAAACACCCAAAATAATGTTTTAGCAAATATCTGGGCAACCTGTGGCCCAGTCGACACATAAAATTAATCATCACACTCACTGCCAAAGTAGGGGCTGGAGGATTAAGCTCTACCTCTTGAAGAAGGAAGTATCTCTAGATATTATGTGGAATTCTTCTGTAAGGAAGATTTGTCTCTTTCCCTCACCAAGTAGGTTTTTATCGCTTGCACCCAATTAAATGTGCCCTAAAATATAAGGCCTAAATGTGTTCAAAGGATAAATAACCCTGCAGTACGGTTTTTATTTTAAATTTAAGTAGTATATATATTTTCTGTTGAGAGCTTTTCCTCATATCCTATAAAATTTAATGTCTCTTCTTGTTGACTCTTGGTGAACCAGACTCCCACTCTGCCACTTTGGTTCTCCCCAGCTCATCAGATATTTACCGAGTGCCTACTATGCACAGGGCTGATACTCAGCCTAAAGACTATGACGTTAAAAGGAAATCCCTGTAGTCAAAGCATTTGCCACCCAGCGGGGCAAGCAAAGCTGTAGTTAGGAGATGTAATTTACCACTTTCTCTGATCTTAGGCAGGTTAGTTTAAAATCCTTTGAGCCTCAGCTTCCTTATTTGTTGGAAGAATATAATGACTGTAATAATAATAATACTCAGTTCAACAGTAATAGTAACTAAATAAAATACTGCTTATGAGGAAAAAGTTAGTTTTTACATTGCCACACAAATGCTAGTTGTTGTTCTCAATAACAACTTATTGAGATAGATAAGAATAGATATGTCGCCCAGGCTGGAGTGCAGTGGTGTGATCTCGGCTCACTGCAACCTCAGCCTCCCGGGTTCAAGCGATTTTGCTGTCTCAGCCTTCCGAGTAGCTGGGATCACAGGCGTCCACCACTGTGCCCGGCTTATGTTTGTAGTTTCAGTAGAGATAGGGTTTCACCACTTAGGCCAGGCTGGTCTTGAACTCCTGACCTCAGGCGATCCACCCACCTCGGCCTCCCAAAGTGCTGAGATTATAGGCGTGAGCCACTGCGCCCAGCCAGATATTCTTATCTCTAAGGTTTATAGCTTCAGAACCAAAGTCCAAAATGATTAAGTTTCTGGCACAGAATCATGCCAGCAGTTACGTGGTGGGGCTCAGTTCAGAGCACAGATCTTTCCATTCTCTTATTTCTGCACCACTGCACTGCAAGAATCTTATACACTCCTGTTTATAAGAGCAGCCTATTAAAAAATATTCTGGGACACATCTAAAAAGCCATAATATAAGAAAAAAATAAAAGCTCTGTTTTGGATTTATCCTGGAAGCTGGGAGAAAACATATTTTTTGGACATGTTTGGAAATGTACGATAGTTTTTGATTCTTATCCTTGTGCTCCAGGCTTTCTTTGGGACACTTAAGAGATTATCTTTGGGATTTAGGAAAGCACCATGTCATTTTATTTTTCAAATCCTCAGAGTGCTAGAAGTTTTGGGTCTTATTTCCTAGTCTGACCTTTCATTGTAGCTATTATTTTTTGATATATAATATTCATAATTCATTTTGTTGAAGAGGAGATTTTATTTAATGTCAATAAATATGTATGAGTGTTGGGAGGAACATACCTGAGCTGTGAGGGCTGGCGAGAATTATAGAGGACAGTACAGTTAAATAGAATGTGGGGATAATGTCATTGACTGTAAACCTCATGATTGAGAAAAAGATGGGGATCATCTTCTGCTGAAATTCATCGTGGAAAGATTCTCAAAAGCATATTAGAAACAGATGACAACATTAAAAGGACACAGTTTATTTTATTTGGAAAATAGTATTCCCTTGTGGGAGATTTGGGATAACAGACTTCAAAATTTTGGCTCTGTTCAAAATTCCCTGACTCATTGGGTGGCTTGAAAAAATGATTTAAATCCACTATCCTGCAAGATAGAATAATGATAATTTATAACACTGTACTTGGCACTTGGGTGTAATTATATTAATGGCTAGTGAGTATGTATGATTACTATGTGTCAAATCATATGCCAAGCACTTTACAAGCTGTAACTCTGCATCCTCTGGGAAGCATGTACCATTCTTGCTCTTATTTCACATGTAAGAAAATTGTAGGGCCGGGCGCAGTGGCTCACGTCAGTAATTAATTCCAGCACTTTGGGAGGCCAAGGCAGGCGGCGGATCACATGAGGTCAGGAGTTCAAGACCATCCTCGCCAACATGGTGAAACCCCATCTCTACTAAAAATATAAAAATTAGCTGGGCGTGGGGTGTGCACCTGTAATCCCAGCTTCTAGGGAGGCTGAGACAGGAGAATTGTTTGAACCCGGAAGGAGGAGGTTGCAGTGAGCCAAGATTGTGCCACTGCACTCCAACCTAAGCGACAGAGTGAGACTCCATCTCAAAAACAAAAACAAAAAGAAAATTGTAGTAGGAGTTTTTCAGTGTATTGTAACAATATATTTGCATATTGGTCTTTTCCTCTGGATCTGAACTGGTGAAAGTAGGGATTGAATCATCATAGCATCTGTCTCCCATGCTTAGCATAGACTCTGGTTCGTAGCAGCACCAGATCAATAAATCTGATCTAATCTGTACTTTAGAAAATCACCATGCATAGGATGAAAGTATGGAAAGATGAGGCGAGGAAAGAGCTGAGACTATTTCAATTGTTTAGGCAAAATAAAATATACATTTATATTTGGATAAAAAAGTAAGAAAGGAGAACATGAAAAGATAAATAATTAGTGATACGAGATTTTAACTAAAAGCAACAAGGTAAGCCATCTCTAATAAGGCTATTAATATTTAGAACTATGTTGATGAGATAAAGAACATGTATATTTTATTTTAAAAATATCTTCTAGAATATCATAAGATGTATGTTGTGTTAATTTTTTGTTATTCTTCACTCTCAGTTTGATTTCTGTCCTACTTCTGAGCTTGAGAAGTCCCACACTTCTTTACTGAGAAGTCCCCAATAAATACAAATTTCATTGGGTGTTAGAGCTTTAAGTAGCGATTTGAAGAAGAAACCTGGTAAACAGTAACAGGATGATATAAGCTGCATTAGGATATTCTTGGCATACATCCTGCCAGAAACCTAGCCTGCACCTATGAGAAGCATCACTAATCAATAATAGAACTCTTCCCCAGTAAGCCTGGACTTGGCCTGGGAGTCCTCCTCAACTCAGTACTCCTGGTTCCCACAAAGGATACATTGAGGACTACTACTATTCTAGGGTTATTGTGTGGGACTTCTCAAGCTCAGACACAGGAGAGAGATCACACTAGATGTGAAGAATAAGAAAAAGGCTGACACAGCATATGTGTTATGATATTCTTGAAGATATTTTTTAAACATATTTTATTGGAGATGCACTTGTTTATTTTTTACTTCTTTGAGACGGAGTCTCGCTCTGTTGCCCAGGCTGGAGTGCAGTGGCGCGATCTCGGCTCACTGCAAGCTCCGCCTCCCGGGTTCATGCCATTCTCCTGCCTCAGCCTCCCGAGTAGCTGGGACTACAGGCGCCTGCCACCACGCCCAGCTAATTTTTTGTATTTTTAGTAGAGACGGGGATTCACCATGTTAGCCAGGATGGTCTCGATCTCCTGACCTCGTGAACCGCCCACCTCGGCCTCCCAAAGTGCTGGGATTACAGGCGTGAGCCACTGCACCCAGCCACTTTTTTATTTTTATTTTTAGAGACTGGGTCTTGTTCTGTTGCCCAGGCTGCAGTGCAGTGGCACGATCACGGTTCGCTGCAGCCTCGACTCCTGGGCCCGAGTGATCCACCCACCTCAGTCTCCTGAATAGCTGGGATTACAGGTGAGCTTCATCACGCTCGGCTAATTTTTGTATTTTTTTGTAGAGACGAGGTCTTATCATGTTGCCCAGGCTGGTTTGGAACTTCCAGGATCAAGAGATCCTCTCAAAGTGCTGGGATTACAGGCTTGAGCCACGGCGACGTGCATTTCCAGATGGGCGCTGTGGCTCAAGCCTGTAATGCCAGCACTTTGGGAGGCCGAGGCGGGCGGATTGCCTGAGGTCGGGAGTTCAAGACCAGCATGACCAACATGGAGAAACCCCGTCTCTACTAAAAATACAAAATTAGCCGGGCATGGTGGCGCATGCCTGTAATCCCAGCTGCTCGGGAGGCTGAGGCAGGAGAATCACTTGAACCCAGGAGGCGGAGGTTGCAGTGAGCCGAGATCACGCCATTGCACTCCAGCTTGGGCAACAAGAACGAAACTCCGTCTAAAAAAAAAAAAAAAAGCACTTCTGGCTGGGCCCGGTGGCCCACGCTTGTAATCCCAGCACTTTGGGAGGCTGAGGAGGGTGGATCATTTGAGGTTAGGAGTTGGAGACCAGCCTGACCAACATGGTGAAACCCCATTTCTACTAAAAATACAAAAATTAGCTGGGCGTGGTGGCACGTGCCTGTAATCCTAGCTACTCCGAAGGCTGAGACAGGAGAATGGCTTGAACCCAGGAGGCAGAGGTTGCAGTGAGCCAAGATCGCGCTATTGCACTCTAGCCTGGGGCACTCTAGCCTGGGCAACAGAGTGAGACTCTGTCAAACAAACAAACAAATGCACTTCTGTGGTAACTTTTTGTTTTGATATACTTTCAAACTTTCAGAAAAGTTATAACAATGGTACAAGGAATTCCTTTACACCCTTTACCTAGGTTCACCAATTGTATACATTTTCTCCATTTGCTATTTCATTCTAGCTATCCACTATATCCATCTATCTACCTACCTACCTACCTACATCTACCTATCTACCTACCTACATACATGTTTTTCTAAACCATTCAAGAGAAAACTGTAGTCATCACACTCCTTTACTCTTTTACTTAAAGCATTATTGTTATTAAATTTTAAAAAATTTACCTAGTGTAAAATTGACCGTCTGTTTTTGGTGTATTTTTAGCACACAGATAGAGCCATGTAACCATCACCACAGCCAGGATACCAAACAGTTCCATTACCATAAAACCCTTCCTCATGCTGCCCTTCTATAGTCAAACCCTACCCCTGCTCTTAAACCCTGGTCATCACTGATCTCTTATCCTTCTCCATAGTTTTGTCTTTTCCAGAATATCATAGAAATACAATCATGCAGAATGTAAACTTTTAAGATTGTCTTCTTTCACTCAGTATCATGCTTTTGAGATTTATTCATGTTCTGTGTATAAATCATTCATTGTTTATATTGCTGCTGAGCAATATTGCATTATATGGATGTGTCATAGGTTTGCTTATTCACTCACTGGTAAACATTCAAATTACCATTTCAATTTTCAAGGAATTATGAATAGAGTTGCTATAAACATTCATGTACAGGTTTTTATGTGAACATAAATTTGCATTTTTCTAGTGTAAATACCTATGAATGGGGTTGCTGGGTCATATGCTAAGTGTGTATTTAAATTTATAAGAAACTACCAAACTATTTTGCAAAGCAGCTTTACTCTTTTGCACTACCACCAGCAATGTATGGAAGCTCCAGGTGCTCTGCATTCTTGTCAGCACTTGATATTGCTGGTTTTTGCAAGTATTCCCACCTCATTTGTTTGGAATGCTTTGAGTAGGATCGGTATTAGTTCTTTAAATGATTGTTTGAATTCAACAGTGAAGTAATCAGGTCTTGGAGTTTTCTTTAATTGGAGAATTTTATTATGGCTTATATTTTGTTGCTTGTTATTGATCTATTTAGATTATATTTTGTTGCTTGTTATTGATATATGGCTTATATTTTGTTGCTTGTTATTGATCTATTTGGATTTCTTCATAGTTCAATGTTAGTAGGTTGTATATGTCTAGGAATTATCCATTCCTTGTAAGTTTTCCAATTTATTGGCATATAGTTACTCATAATAGTCTCTAATGCTCCTTTGAATTTCTGTGGTATCAATTGTAATGTCTTCTTTTTCATTTCAGGTTTTATCTTTTTTGATATTTTCAGTTTAAAATTTTTTTTAGCCATTCTAATAAATGTGTAGTGGTATCACATTGTGGATTTAATTAATATTTTCTCAATGGTTAGTGATGTTAAGCATCTTTTCATGTGTTTGTTTACCATCTGTCTATCATATGTAATAAAGCATTCATTCAAATCTTTTACTTATTTTTAAATTGGGCTGTTCATTTTCTCATTGTTGATTATCAAGAGGTTTTTTTTTTCAATATTGAGGTCCTTTGTTAGCTGTGTGATTTACAAATATTGTATCATAGTTTAAGTTATTAATGAAGTCCAATTTATTGATTTTTTCTTTTATATATTGTTCTTATGGTGTCATATTTAAGAATGCTTTGCTTTATGCAAGTTCATGAAGGTTTTATTTGTCTTCTAAAAGTTTGATAATTTTATGTTTCAACTTTGGGCCTATGAGCTGTTTTGAGTAATTTTTACATAAAGTGCAAGGTTTAGGTTGAGATACTTTTTTTTTTTTTGCATCTGAACGTTCAATTGTTTTAAAACCACTTGCCAAAAAAGCTACCCTTTCTCCATTGAATTGCTGTTCTACTTTTGTTCAAAATCAATTGGCCATATTTGTTTGAATCTATTTTTGGATTTTAAAATGCTTTTCCATTGATCTGTGTGTCTATCACTTTGGCAATACTAGACTGCATTTACTATTGTAGCTTTATAATAAGTGTTAAAATTGTCTACTGTGAATCCTCTAACTTTATTCTTGCTTAAAAAATTTTTCTGACTATTCTAGCTCCTTTGCTTTTCTATGTAAATTTTAGAATCAGCTTGTTTATATCTACAAAAAAATTATTCCAGGATTTAACTGGAATTGCATTAAATCTACAGATAAATTTGAAGAGAAATGACAAGGTAATTATACAGAATCTTCCAGTCCATGAACATAGTTTGCCACTCCATTTATTTAGGTCTTCTTTGATTTATTCATAAGCGTTTCCACTCTTATTATTTCTTTTCTGTCTGAAAAACTTTATTTGGCATTTTTTTAAAGAGCAGATCTGCTAATGATGTATTCTCTCAGTCTTCCTTTTTCTGAGAATGTCTTCATTTTGCCTACTTTCCTGAAGGATATTTTAACTGGATATAGAATTCTGGGTTAAAAGCTATTTTATTTCAGCATTTAAAAAATGCTTCACTGCTTACTTGTTTTCATGGTTTCTGATGAGAAATATAAAGTCATGTAAAAATCATCATTGCCACCCAGGCGCGTTGGCTCACACCTGTAATCTCAGCACTGTGAGAGGCCGAGGAGGGCAGATCACAAGGTCAAGAGATTGAGGCCATCCTGGCCAACATGCTGAAACCCCATCTCTACTAAAAATACAAAAAATTAGCTGGGTGTGGTGGCACATGCCTGTAGTCCCAGCTACTAGGGAGGCTGAGGCAGGAGAATCGCTTGAACCCGGGAGGCGGAGGTTGCAGTGAGCCAAGATTGTGCCACTGCACTCCAGCCTGGCCACAGAGTGAGACTCCGTCTCAAAAAAACAAAACCGAAATCAAAACCAAAACCAAAAACACCATATCATTTTTCTCTGGCTGTTTTCAAGGTATTTTCTTTTGTCTTTAGTTTTCAGTAGTTTGATTATATTATTTGGGTGTGTATTTCTTCAAATTTGTTCCGTTTGGGGTTTACTAAACCTTTTTAATCTGCAAGTTTATGTCTTTTACCAAATTGGGGAATATTTTAGTCCTTTATTTCTTCAAGTATCTTTCTGCATGAATCTCTTTATCTTTTGAAATTCCCATAAAACAAATGTTAAACCTTTTGGTATTGTCACACAGATGTATTAGGCTCTGCTCATGTTTTAAAAATCTTTTTTAAATCTCTATTGTGCAGACTGGGTAATTTTATTGATCTATCTTCAAGTTCATTTAGTCACCCAATCCAGTAAATTTTCAATTTCAGCTATTATATTTTTTTCAGTTCTAAAATTTTCTTCTGCTTCTTTTTTATATTTTCTATTTCTCTTCTGAGAATTTCTGTCTTTCCATTTGTTTCAAGAGTGTTCACACTTATTCGAGAATGATTTTAATAGCTGGGAAGCCTTTGTCTAATTTTAACATCTGTGTTCATGGCTGTTGATTATCTTTTTCCTTAAGAGATGTGAAGATTTTCCTGGTTCTTCATATGTTGAATAATTATGGATTTGATTCTGGACATTTTGAATATGATATTATGGGACTCTGGGTTTTGTTAAATCCTATAGGGCATTTTGCTTGTTTTAGCAGGAAATTGACACATTTAAGTTTAGGTTGTAAATTCCTATCCCACCTTCTGTTGGCTCTGGTTCCAACTTCAGTTCAATTTTCAAAGGCTTTGCAGTGCTACTTATATCCATCCTGTGTGTGTGCGTGACGCTCAGTGGCTATTCTGGGACTTGTGCAGTGGTCCACCCTGTAGATCAGTTCTCAATATCTTTTGCATGCTGTTTAGGGTCAGACCTAAATGCACAGCTCAAAGATGGGCCCAGTGATTCATACATCTTGGATCCCATATCACTTTCTAGAGCTTCTTTCTTTCCATAATTTCCCCCAGGGAGATCCTTCTTGCTTCCAGGTAACATCTTCCTGGTATTCGGTATTCTGACTAGATGGCCACTGCCTTAGTTTCCTTGGTCTGTTATACACTTTCCACAACTGTGTCTGCCTCAGGGACCAAGTGGTGAGAGGACAGACAGAAATGAGTGCTCCTTTACTTTTAAATACTTCAATGTATATTTCCTAAGATGAAGGACTTTCTCTTACATGACCACACCACAATGATCAAAATCAAGAAACTTAACATTTTAATAATACTATTATATAACCCACAGTCCATTTGATCAATCATTCCAGTGATTTCCTTTATGGTTATTCTTTCCCTGGTCAAGATCTAATTAAGGATCGTGAATTACATTGAGTTACCATGTCTCGTTAGTCTCCTTTAATCTGGTACAGTTTCTTAGCCTTTCTTTGTCTTTTATCATCTTGACATTTTATTTTTTATTTATTTATTTATTTATTTATTTTGAGAGGGATTCTTGCTCTGTTGCCCAGGCTGGAGTGCAGTGGCACCATCTCAGCTCACTGCAACCTCCGTCTCCTGGGTTCAAGCGATTCTCCTGTCTCACCCTCCAAAGTAGCTGGGATTACAGGCACACACCACCAGGTCCGCCTGATTTTTGTATTTTTAGTAGAGACGGGATTTCACCATGTTGGCCAGGCTGGTCTCGAACTCCTGAGCTCAGGTGATCTGCCCGCCTTGGCCTCCCAAAGTGCTGGGATTACAGGCATGAGCCACAGTGCCTGGCGATCTTGACATTTTAAAGAGTACAGGTCAGTTATTTTGTAGAATACCTTTCCACCTGTGTTTGATGTTTTCTAATGATTAGGTTCAGGTTATGTGTTTTTGGCAGAAATATCACACATGAGATGTTGTATTCTTCCTAGGATAGCATAACAGGAGGTACATGATGTCTGTTTGTCCCATTACTAGAAATGTTATCTTTGATACTTGGCTAAGCTGCTGCTTTGCAGTTTTTTCTACTCTAAAGTTACTATTTTTGTGAGTTTCTTAAGGACTAGAGTTTGAATATAATTACTTTGTTATGAGGAAAACTTTAGACTAGTGCTGTCCAGTAGAACTCTTTGCCATGATGGGACGTTCATTTTGGCACTGTTCAATATGGTAGCCATTGCCACATGTGGCTACTGAGCATTTGAAATGAGGCTAGTGTATCTGAGTGCGGTGGTTCAGCACTTTGGGAAGCCAAGGTAGGAGGATCGCTTGAGGCCAGGAGTTCAAGACCAGTCTGGGCAACATAGCAAGACCCTGTCTTTACAAAAAATAATAAAAAATGAACCAAGCATGGTGTCATGCGTCTGTAGTCCCAGCTGCTCAGGAGGCTGAGGTGGGAGGATCACTTCAGCCTGGGAGGTCGAGGTTACAGTGAGCTGTGACTGTGCCACTGCACTTCAGCCTGGGCAACACAATGAGATCCTGTCTCAAAATAAAATAAAATGAAATAAAAGATAAAATAAATGAGGCTAGTGGGACTGAAGAAATGTAAGGGATATAATTTGAATTTGAAAACTTCCAGAGAACATCATGTATTAGCATTTCCTAAAGAGTTTTTGTTGTTGTTGTTATTGCTGTTGTTGTTTTTTTACCCTGCTCTGAGAAAAAAGGTCTCCAGGGTCAAATAAGTTAGGGATCATTCTATATACCATACTTGGGAAACACAGTACTATTTCCTGCCATCTTGGCATCTACACATCTTTGTGTTTTCACTTGGCCTAGTGCTAGGTGCAGGTAAAATTGTCAGACAATTGCTCTGTGAGTCTCCAAACAGCTCCTTAATTAGCTTGTGTAAATGACTTGCTCAACAGCACAGCCAAGTCTGGCAATGGTGGGATTTACACCTAGGCCAGCCACGTGACTCCAAAGACTGTTTCTGGTACAGCAGAAATGGCAATGGAGAAAATGATATTGAAGCTTAGTTTACCTCATGAGCCTTTGTTTAAGGTTGATACAGGCTAGAGTTATTATTTAGTCTGTGAATTCCTTTTTACCAATGCAAAACTAGGAAACATTTAGCATTCACAGAATGTGGCCATTCAGTCTTCCTAAAGGAATTAATATTAACAGTCCTTGTCAACTCACAGCATAGTTCTCTGAGGATGTGTTTCTTTCTGTTTAAATAAAAGAATTCCTGAAACAGGCCAGTAGGTTAATACTTTACACAAAGTCATCCAGAGCAAATATTCTCATACAAATATAGTTGTCATAAGAGGCTCCAAGTGCCTCTTAATACCATACACATATTCAGTCAGCTACTGAAGGGAAGAGAGAATGATTAGAAAGTATGAAGGAAGGAGGCTTGGAGTGGAGAGAAAGGAGAACAATTTGCAAAGACAAAGAAATTTTAAGCCAGATTTAGATAAGAGTACTAGAGCTGGTTTGAATTAGAGGGGAATAAGCTGTGTAAGTTGCCTTCTTTCTTTTACTTCACCTGCAGTTCCTTTGGGAAGCTCTTTGCTGAGCCAGGATTAGAGAAATTTTATTCCTATAACTGTAACTTGTTTTGACCAGCTTGCCCCACCAGTTGAGAGCTATAGTTTGAAGAATTCTCAAGCAAAGAGACTTTACCTGGTTGATGAGTTCAGAATTCAGATAAAGCCTTGAAAGTGGGAATGAGTCATTGTTGGTGCCTGATGGCTATAATTCTCGAAGGTAATCGGGTTTAAAAGCAGTTTTTTTGGTGAATGATGTCATCCTCCATAAAAGCAGATTTTAATTTCTTTTAAGATACCAGTGGAAGTTGTGACCCAGAAATGCCCCAATGAGACCTTACAGATGGCTATTTTCCTGTGCTGTTTGGCATATGTTCATGAAAACCACAGGGGAAAATTGGCTTTGACATGCTTGTGCTTTAAGGTATATGCTGCAGTACCTTGTAAAGGTTCATTTTATTGCCAAATATAACATTCAGTTACCAACTGGAAGTGTAAAAGTTCATATTTTCTTTTTTCTGTTTTTTTTTTTTTAACTTTTAAGACATTATATTTACTAAGATTCTGGCGATAGCTTTATGTAACAAGACACAGCATACCAGGCTTGCTACTCAACTTGTTTATGGTAAGTCTCAGCCTCAATATGAAGCTGTATTTTTTTTAAAAATCAAAACCCTGCTTTTTATATGCTCAATATCTTGGCAAGTGTGCCATTAAACACAGCAGTGAACTTAAGACAGCAAGAGAAAGGAGTTAACAAAAGCTAAACATTGCAGCCTAAACAAACTTCATACAAAAAATAAAGGAACTATCACTGGTTACATGGAATTTTCCTGACTAATTAAAACTTTATGGTATGAAACATGCACTTTAGAATATTTAGTTTTCAAGTTCAAAAAGTACCAGTGTACCAGTGTCTATTTGAAACCATTTCTCTCCAAAGCCAAAGTGTCATCAAAATTAATTCAAATGACCCAGCATATTCTAATGCTAAAAAATATTCAGTATTATTGAAGTGGAGGTAAATCCCAGGGGTTTTGGGGCTTTCTCATGCTGCAAAAGGGCTGTTTCTCTGGTTCATTCAAAGAAGCGTATGACAAAATCCAAGGATGTCCCTAAGCTCAGTAAAAGGCAAGACTCCTGGCACCCAGCTCTGACCTCTCCATAAAGCCTGGCTACTCTTTCCTCAAATACAGGAAGTGTGAGGATCAAAGGCATGTTGTTCTCCTAGCTTAAAGAGACAGCAAAGCACCTCCTCCCTGCATCCTAAAAAGCACCTTTCCCAGGTAAATAAAAGTCTACACGGGGAAAAAATTAAAATACACTGATCTACAGAGTACGGATTTTGAAATGTCAATGTAATCCTTACTTCAAAAATTTTAACTACTTTAAAATTTTTAACATCTGGCCGTTTCTGATTCCACCTTAAAGATGTATTCAAGTTGGATTTCTGTTGATTTATCATTGTACACTTCTAGTCAAAAATATTAATTTTATTCCCAAATATTGTAACCACTAGTGCTACTGCAATGTATTATCTCCCAGAGTTATCAAGCACTGGAAGAGAAAAGAATAGATAAGCAGCAGGCAACATTTACGGCCCTTGCACACAGCGGCATTTGAATAGCTACTGGGTAGTCTGGGGATAATTCTTTTTTTTTTTTTGAGATGGAGTCTTGCTCTTTTGCCCAGTCTGGAGTGCAGTGGCACCATCTCAGTTCACTGCAACCTCTGCCTCCCGGGTTCAAGTGATTCTCCTGCCTCAGCCTTCCAACTAGCTGGGATTACAGGCACCAGCCACCAGGCCCAGCTAATTTTTGTATTTTTAGTAGAGACGGGGTTTCACCCTGTTGGTCAGGCTGGTCTCAAACTCTTGACTTCAGGTGATTCACACGCCTTGGCCTCCCAAAGTGCTGGGATTACAGGCGTGAGCCACTGCGTCTGGCCAGTCCAAGGATAATTCTAAAAACAAGAAAATTCATGCATTATAGTAAATATGTTGTAATTTTCACAGTTGAAATTTCCTTAGACATTGTACTTTCTCTATAAGGGAATCCTGATTTTTCTTAATATTATGATGAGTCAGGACTTGAACTAGCAGCCTTCTTTCTCTTCTTACTGTTTTTCTCATGCTCCTTTTTCCTTTTTTTGTGTTGTTTTTTCTCATTCTTCACTGCTTTTCTTCTTTTTTGCTCTTATCTCCTCAATATACTCTGATTCTGACAAGGACTCAGGTGATAAAGATTTATCTTCAGAATATGGGTTTCTTTTTGCTGAGTCGTTTAATAGCCTTTTTCTTTCTCAGTTGGGTCCTTCTTTTTCTTTAAAAAGAAGTCTTTCTTCCTTATTGTCTTTCTATCCTTACTGTCTGATTCAGTTTCTGACATGGAGCTTTCAGAAGATTTATGTGAATGGTTCTTTTTCTTTCTCCCTTTTCCATGTTTCTTATCCTCATCCTCAGAATCAGAAGAACTGCTGGAAGAATCAGAGCATGATGAAGACGATGAATACCTACCAGATTTATTCTTTTTCTTTTTTTTTCTCTTTTTTTGGATAAGCTCTTACTTTCACTTAACAATTTCTTCCTGTGTTTTTCTAGTTTTTTCTTCAAATTCATACAAAGCCTTGGCGCCTTTTTCTTTTTCTTTTCTAGTTGCTCTTGCACTTCTTCCCAGATAGGCCTTGGTTGACGGAGAGAATCCTGGATTGTTGGCCCTTAAGACTGGATTGGACCCCTTGATCTGGCCATTGCTGTTGGATTCACATAGGCTACCCGATGGTCCTGCTTCTCCTTGGTGCCCGAGTGAGCGCACAGTCACTCATCAAGGGACACGGTCACCCACCAAGGGAAACCTGGCTCGGGAGGCAGCTGAAGTAGGCCTGCCGCAGGTCCTTCTGCACTAAAAGTTCGTATTTTCATGAAAATCTTACCAATGTGTTTAGCAGGCTTGCTTGTTTCATTTTCCCCCCATTAGTCAGTGCCTACTTGGTTTACCACTAGAGGGCATTGTTGGCAGTGATATCAAGAGAAAGCATACTACAGCATTTTGCCAAAAAATTTTGTGCAATCTTTTTCAATTTTCATTTCAGCCAGTAAATAAAAACATACATTTAAAAGCTACTTCATTTAATATTTTATTTTTATATTTTATGCATCCCAAATACTGAGCTTCTAGGCTTTTTGTGTGTATTAATTTAATAAAAGAGAAATCATTGTAAACTTTGGTTCCAGTTTTCCAACAAACGCTAAATCTAGAATCTGTCAGTTTTCCCCCTGCAATGTAATACACTCTCACACATCCTTTCTTGGAATGTTATCGAGCACTTGGAGACTCATTATTTTTTATTTCCCAAAAGAGTGAAACTATTCTATTTTCCATATCATGGCTTTCCTGATATTTGTCAGAGGATCTCAAACTAGCAAGGGACCTTCAGTTTATCTAGTTCAACTATTTATAATAGACAGAATTTCTTCTACACAGTGATGAAGGGCTGTCTAAACCTCAAAATGATAAGAGAAGCGTTTTCCATTTTGGAACAACTGTATTATTTATTGGAAAGTTCATCAGGTGAAGGCAGAAGTTTGCCTCTTTGAAATGTATTGTATCAGATAAGATCTTTTAGTTGCAGATAACAGGAACCAAATCAAGCTTGCTTATGAAAAAGGGGGGTAGATTAATTATTAGAAAATAGAGGTGTCCGGGGCCTTTTGGGGGGTGGGGGGCAAGGGGAGGGAGAGCATTAGGACAAATAATGCATGTGGGGCTTAAAACCTAGATGACGGGTTGATGGGTACAGCAAACCACCATGGCACATTATGCCTACATAAAAAACCTGCACATTCTGCACATGTATCCCAGAACTTGAAGAAGAAAAAGAAAACAGAGGTGTCTTGTGGGCTGTGGGTAACTGGACACCTGAGATCTGTCGGTACTCAATCTCTCTCAGTCTGCTGCATCTGCTTCCTTCTATGTAATTACTTCATTCATTTCTCTCTGCACATCAGGATTTTCTGCTTCTCGCATCCCCATGGTGAAATATGCCATTTGAATGATAAAAATGACAAATAACTTTTGTTACCTAGCTGGAGTAGGCTGTTTCAGCATTCTATGAAGCTGGCCACCTCGGGATGGTGCAGTATGTGATTTGATCTGTCGTTCCCAGGGTCACAGGCCCACTCTCACACTGCCTTCATGGTGAAGTAGGTCTCTTGGTTGGATGCTTTGTTGTGTGGGTTTCCAGGTCTGTGGATGAGGCACTCCATAAGCCCTTGGTAATGGTGCTGGCTAAGGCTGTGCAGGCAGGAAAGGAAAACACACGCTTAGGACAGGTATCTGTCCCTGTGAGGATGAACGGCTGACTGGTCTTTCCAGGATGGAAGGGTTCCATGTGGTCAACTTGCTACTAAGTGGCTGGTTGATTCCCTCAAGGAATATGCCATATTGAAGATTCAATGTTTATTTCTTCGGATGTTCAGAGGTAACAGTAGGTAGACAGGCATTGGTAAGTGAGGTTCATGCTGTCAGGCTCACACATAGCCTCCATTTCTGCCACCATGTCCAGCCTGTTCATGTGTTCATCATGCCTGCTCTGGGTGACCAATGACAAAGACTAGTTAATGTCAAGAGGCTGAGTCATCTCATTTTACTTGGTTGTTCAGTGCTTTTTCCATGGTAGATGCTTTCTGGTGGGTATCCACATGTAAGACACAAGTCTTGACACTTTATACATTCACCCATTTGTCTACCCACATGGCTTTTCCTCAGACTCCTTGTCTCTGATCTTCCAGTCCTTTTCCTTCCAGTTCCCCGCCTGCACAACTAGGCCATTGGCCATTTCCTAGGAATTTATATATATTTTCACCTTGGGTCATTTCTCCTTCTATCCAAAGTGGATGACCAGTTATACTGCTCATAGATCTGCCATTGGGAAGATTTCCTCTTTACTCTCTTTCCCTGAATGTGGTTGTAATGAAGCCACTGTCTATTTTTTGGTTTTCATCCATATACTGAGCCAATCCATCCATAAACCAAGCTTTGGCTTCTTTCTTTCTTTTATCTGGTCATACAGGACCCCTCTGGCCCACCCTCCCTCATTCCCACCCAAATATGTTCATAAGTGCAAGAGTTGGGGGCATTGACTGGTATAGCTGTGCTTGGTGATATGGGGTCTTGGTTTCCTACTCATGAAACTTACTCAAGCCTTCCAGCCCTGTTCAGGTCTAATCCCACATATATCAGCACTCTCTTGCAATGGACTGCTACTAGCAGGACTGGAAGGCATGAGTAAGCATCATGTGGCTTTATGGTTTAGTGGATCCTACAGAATTCAGTGCATAATAAGCATTTCCAGATGGTCATTTGGTCTCTCGTGGTCAATTGTTCCATCACTTCTAGGACCCAAACACACCAAAAATAAGAGCTGTTTTTCAAAGTGCACATAATTTGATGTTGATGGCATGGTTTTGCTCCATAATCTCAGGGGTCTGAGTTGTGATTCTTTCACTTGAGCTTGCCAAACACTCTTTACTACATATTTTCCCACCACATGACACCTCTTACCATGGGGCCTGTTGAATCATATGGACCAAGTGACAGGGCTGATTGCACTGTGGCCTGGTCCTGCTTTGACACCTTTTCCTGCTCAAGGCCCCACTCAAAGCTGGAAGCTTCCCATATCACCTGATACATGGGCTGTAGAAATATTACCAGGCATGAAATGTATTACCTCCAGAGCTCAAGGAAGCTGACAAGTGGTGGCCTTTCTTTGTGGTAGGAGATGGAGACGCAAGATGCAGCAATTTGTCTTTAGTTTGGAAGAGCTAACCCTACACACCACTCACCTACTGGACTCCCCAAAACTTCACTGAAGTAGCTAGTCATGAATCTTCACAGGTTTTATCTCTCATCTCTTGAAATACATGTCAGTGATAATAAAAAATATAGATTTGCCCCTTGTCCCTGGTTTCTGACACAGGTCTTCTAAAATTCTTGGAATTTCCTTAGTGATAGGGGTAATAGAATCATCTTTTGGTATTCATAACAAATATCTTTCAACCATACCTGAGTTTATGCTAGCAGAGTGACTCTTGATGGGCCCCTAAATAGCTTCAGGAGGGGAGCTATTTGCCAGAGGAGTCGACCATTGTAATTAGTGGGTTGAAACTTTCAACTTCACCTCTGAACCTCCAGGGAGGAGAAAGAAACTAGAGATTGAGTTTAATCATGACCAATGGTTTAATCAATCATGCCTACATAGTTGAACCTCCATCATAAACCCTAAATGATAGGATTCAGAGAGCTTCTGGATTGACGAACACATCCAGGCGCTGGGATAGTGGTCCTCCCAGAGAGGGCATGGAAGCTCTACATTCCTTCTCCCATACCTTGCCCTTTGCATCTTTTCCATTTGGCTGTTGCTAAATTGTATCCTTTATAGTAAAGCAGTAAGTAAACTGTTTTCCGAAGTTCTGTGAGGCCTTGTAGCAAATTAACAAACCTGAGGTGGGGATTGTGGGAGCCCCATTTTGTAGCCACGTCAGACAGAAGTATGTGTTCACTGGAGACCCAATACTTACAACTGGAGTCTAAAGTAAGAGCATCCTTGTGGGACTGAGTCCTTAAATCTGTGGGGCCCAACTCGAATCCCACATAGTTAGTGCCAGAATTGGATTGAATCATAGGACACTCAATTGGTGTCAGAGGATTGGAGAGTTGCAGACTTTTTTGGTTAAGGAAAAGACCCTACACATTGATATCATAAGTGTTGTAAGTAAAAACAGCACAGAATGTCTTACCAAGGCCACCAGTATACTAGCTACCTCCTGCTTGACCTGTCCAAAGCATATGATGTCATGATGTAGTAGATGAGTGTGATATTCTATGTGATGTCCAGGTGGTCCAGACCTTTTAGGACCATATAGTAGTTCCTTATTATCCGTAGGAAATATGTTCCAAGATTCTCAGTGTGTGCGTGAAACTGTGGATTGTAGTGAACCCCATACATACTATGCATGAGTTTCTTTTTCCTTCTCAATTTAACAGATAGAAGATTCATTCTAACCATAGGTCTTAACAACCTCAGCATATGAGAACTTTTAGTTTCAACTTAAAGGAAGCAATTTACAGCTTTTCTTTGGCATATCGAATTGCCAGCATCACTACTCTTGCATTTTGAGGCCATTATTAAGTGAAATAAGGGGTATTTGAGGAAGCACTGTAATACTGTGACAGTCGATCTGATAACAGAGATGGCTGCTAAGTGACTAATGGGTGGGTAGTGTACACAGTGGAGAGATGCTGGACAAAGGGAGGATTCACGTCCAGGGTGGGCTAGAGCAGGACAGCTTGAGATTTCATTCTGCTACTCAGAATGGCATGCAGTTTAAAACTTTGGGCGAGGGCACCACACTAAACGTGTTCTTGATCCTGTCTGGGTACTCTTCCTGCATCTTGCTGATGAGGAAAGTACCCATCCCAGACCCAGTCCCCCGATCCAAAGAGTGAGCCATCTGGAAACCCTGTAGGCAGTCACAGCTCTCAGCTTGGATTGTTTATTTCCTGAATTTTCCACGTAATACGTTCATACCATGGTTGACCATGGATAACCGAAACTGTGGAAAGCAAAACCACAGATAAGGTGGGACTACTGTATTGTGAACAAGGGCAGAAGAATTCACGTAACATAAAGGCAAAAATATAGGAGAATATTACCCTCTATCCCATGTGAATGTGAAAGATTTATTATCCTGTTTTCTATTAGGGATGGAAAAAAGCACATGTGCCAAGTCAGTGAGCACATACCACGTACCTGAGGTTTAATTAATCCAGTCATGTTACCTCTTCCAGCACCACAGCTACAATTCAAGTACTTCTTGGTTAAATCTACAGTAGGCTATAGTCAGTCTCAAGGATCTATCTGGCTTCTGAAGGAATGAGATTGCTTGCTTATGTGGAGAAATAAGGGGTCATTATCCTTGCATTCATTAGGTCTTTAATAGTATCCTAATCTCTCTCATTCCTCCTGGGACACAATATTATTTTTGATTCATTATCTTGGCCAGGGGTATGGAGGGAATTTTCAGAGGTTTCCATATTACCTTCCCCACTATGATAGCTCTTGCTCCACAGAGCAATGACTCTTCAATATGAGGCTTTTTCCAAGTGGAAAATCTATCGATTCCAATTATGCACTTGTAGAGTGGGGAAATGACCGCAGTGTGAGTGGGCAGACTCAGTGGCTCCATTGAGAATCTGATTTTAGATAGGACTCCATTTGCTACCTGTCCCCTATAGGCCCTCATTCTAACAGGGAGGAGTTGTGATGACATCTCCAGGCATTAACATCATCATCTCAGGTCCTGTGTCTAATAATCCTTTCCACAGTGCACAGTCCATTGAGATTGAGTAAGCGGTTGTATATCCCTTTGAAGAAGGGCCAGAGGAATCATTATGGTATATATTTTTCATGGTATTGTAGGGTCCTTTCTCCTAGGAACCTGGATACATCTTTAATCAATGGGCCTAAATATGCAAGTTTGACTCAGCTCTGGGAACTGAGCAAACAATTGTGACTTATATTGGGGTGATTGCCCTCATATTCCTGCTCCTTCATTCTTGCTTTTTTAAAAAAATTATATATATTGAGCAACATCCTTGTTGACCGCCCGTCTGTTTTCCCTCAGAGACAGTGTGTACTATTAACCATCTTCACAACTCCTTGAGCATAAAGTCTCCTTGACTGTTCCCATGGTCTTGCTAGTTCTTATATTAGTTGTGGCCTCCTGGCTTCTGGGGGTTAAGTATAGCCACCTGGCCTCTATTACTTCAGGGCTTCATCGTCTCCCTGGATATTAATGAACCACACTCCTATAGCTAATATAGTGCACGTTACAATTTTCTCCATACTTTATTTTTTATCAGTTTTATTGATATACATTATAAATAAAAATTGTATGTGTTTACAGGTTCAACATGATGTCTTGATATATGTATAAATTGTGAAATGATTATCACAACCAAGCTAGTTAACTTACCCATTAGCTCACATAATTATCATTTTCTGTGTGTAGTGAGAATGTTTAAGACCTACTCTGTTGGCAATTTTCAAATACACAGTATATTATTATTGACTATAGTCACCATGCTGTTACAATAGATCTCCAGAACTTATTCCATCCTTTTACTTTCAACATTTCTGTGACCTTATATTTAAAGTTTGGTCTCTTATAAATGGCACTTACAAATCTCCTTGATGGGGTTACACCATGATAAACCCACGTAAGTTAAAAATATCGTAAGTTGAAAGTACATGTTTGATTTACAATATTGTCAATTTACAGTGGGCTTATCTGAGTGGAAGCCCATTGTAAGTCTAAAGAATGCATGTTGCTTTTGCACCATTGTAAAGTCAAAAAACTGTAAGTCAAAGGAATGTAAGTGAGGGACTGTCTATATTGGGCCTTTTTAAAAAAAAATCCAGTCTTATAATATCTGACTTCCTAATTGAAGCATTTAGTATGTTTACATTTAAAGCAATTACTGATATGGTTGGGTATAAATCTACAAACTTATTAAACTTTTTTTGATCTATTTCTATTTTTGCTTCTTCTTTCCTGCTGTCTTTGGGATGAATCAAAATTTTTTATTACTTTAGTTTTAAAAGGAATGTTTAAAAAGAATTAGTCTTTTAAATTTGCCCATGTATTTATTGTTCCTGGAGCTTTTCATTTTTTTAAAATTCCACATCTCCCTTTAGCCCAAAAAACTTCTTTTAGAATTTTTATAGAGGATATCTGCTGGTGATAAATTTCTTCAATTTCAGTATGTTTGAAAATGTCTTTATTTCACTTCTGATGAAAAAAATTTTCATTAGCTCAAAAGTCCTAGGTTGGCAGTTTTATCTTTTTTTCCACACTTTAAAGATGTCATTTAATTGTCTTTTGACTTCCACCATTCTTATAATAATTTCTGTGAGTATATCTTTTTTCCCCCGTCACCTTAAAGATTTTATTTTATTTTTAGTTTGAAGTAGATAACTATGATGTTCTTAGGAATTTTTTCTTGTATTGTCCTATTTGGGGTTCACCGAGCTTCTTAAATATGTGAGTGATGTCTTTCATCAGTTTTGGAAAATTCACAGACATTATCTTTTCAAATATTGCTTTTTCCTCCTTTTTATTATCAAAAAAAGATTTATTGAAACAATGCCTTACTAAAGGAAGATGAACTTTATTTTTTATTATTTTGAATTTTTTAAATTTCAGTAGCTTTAGGGGTACAAGTGGTTTTTGGCTACATGAATGAATTGTAGAGTGATAAAGTCTGGGATTTTAGTCACCTGAGGTAGGGTACATTGTATCCCAATAAGTAGTTTTTCATCCGTCACCTCCCTCCCATCCTTCCCCCTTCTGAGTCTCCAATGTCCATTATATCACTTTGCATGCCTTTGTGTACCCATAGCTTAGCTCCCACTTATATGTGGGAACACGTGGTATGTGCTTTTCCATTTCTGAGTTACTTCACTTAGAATAATGGCCTCCATTTCCATAAAAGTTGCTGCAAAAGACATTATTTTATTCTTTCATATGGCTGAGTAAGTATTCCATGGTATATATATCTCATTTTCTTTATCCATTCATTGGTTGATGGGCACTTAGGTTGATTCCATATCTTTGCAACTGTGAATTGTGCTGTGATAAACATACATGTGCAGATGTCTTTTTGATATAATGATTTGATATAACGATTTTTTTTTCCTTTGGGTAGATATCCAGTTGTGGGATTACTAGATCAAATGGTAGATCTACTTTTAGTTCTTTCAGAAATCTCCGTACTGTTTTCCAAAGAGGTTGTACTCATTTACATTTCCACCAGCAGTGTGTAAGTGTTCACTTTTCACCACATCCATGCCAAATATATTGTTTTTTGACTTTTTAATAATGGCCATCCTGGCTGGGTAAAGGTGGTATCTCCTTGTGGTTTTAATTTGCATCTTTCTGATGATTAGTGATGTTGGCATTTTTATCTTTTTTTTTTGGCCTTTTGTATATCTTTTCTTGAGAAATGTCTATTCATGTCATTTGCCCACTTTCAAAATGGGATGATTTGTTTTTTTCTTGCTGATTTGTTTGAGTTCCTTGTAGATTCTGGATATTAGTTCCTTGCTGGTTGCATGGTTTACAAATATTTTCTCCCATTCTGTAGGTTATCTGTTTACTCCGATGATTATTCCTTTTGGAGTGCAGAAGCTTTTTAGTTCAATTAGGTCTCATTTATTTATTTTTGTTTTTGTTGCATTTGCTTTTGGGTTCTTCATCATAAATTCTTTGTGTACATCAATGTCCAGAACAGTTTTTCCTAGATTTTCTTCCAGAATTTTTATGGCTTCAGTTCTTAGATTGAAATCTTTAATACATCTTAAGTTAGTTTCTGTATATGGTAAAACAGGAATCCTGTTTCATTCTTCTACATGTGGCTGTCCAATTTTCCCAGCACCATTTATTGAATAGGGTGTCCTTTCCCCTGTTTATGTTTTTGTGTGCTTTATTGAAGATCAGCTGGTTATAAGTATTTGGCTTTATTTCTGGGTTCTCTATTCTGTATCATTAGTCTATGTGTCTACTTCTATATCAGTATCATACTGTTTTGGTTCCTATAGCCTTGTAGTAATATTCAAAGTTGGGTAATGTGATGCCTCCAGGTTTGTTTCTTTTTCTTAGGATTGCTTTGGCTATTTGGGCTCTTTCTTGGGTTCTATCTGAATTTTAGGGTTGTCTTTTTCTCATTCTGTGAAGAATGACATTGGTATTTTGACAAAAAATTGCACTGAGTCTGTAGATTTCTTTGGTCAGTATAGTCGTTCTCATGGTATTGATTATTCTAATCTGTGAACATGGAATGTATTTTCATTTGTTTGTGTCATCTATGATTTCTTTCAGCAGTGTTTTATAGTTCTGTTTGTAGAGATCTTTCACCTCCTTAGGTTAAGTGTCACCATTACATTCAATAGCAAAAACTGCAATTACTTTTGCACCAGCATAATATATTCTTGATTTTTTTTTTGTAGCTATTGTCAAAGGGATTGAGTTCTTGATTTGATTCTCAGCTTGGACATCGTTGGTGTATAGCACTGACACTGATTTTTGTTCATTGATTTTGTAACCTGAGACTTTACTGAATTCGTTTATCAAATCTCAGAATCTTTTGAAGGAGTCGTTAGGGTTTTTTACATATAAGGCCATATTGTTGGCAAACAGAGATAGTTTGACTTCCTCTTTTCCAATTTGAATGCCCTTTATTTATTTATTTATATTTGCCTGATTGCTCTGCCAGGACTTTCTTTTATCCCATTCTTTTTCTTCTCTTTTTCTAGAACTCTAATTACACATATATTAATATTAGATCATTTGGCAGTATCTTCCATCTCTTGTTCTCTTCTTTTTTAAAAAAATTCTCTATGTGCTTTAGTTTAAATTGTTTACTTTGAGCTGTCTTTAAATTCATTGGCTCATTCCATGATATCTTAATTTCATATACTGTAGAGTTTTAGAAAGCTAATTTGCTTCTTTTGGGAAATTCCATTTATCTGCTTAAATTCTTCATAGCTTTATCCATTTTGTTCATCTTTTCCTCTATTTTATTTAACATATTTATAATAGCAATCTTAGTATGTCTGTGAATTCCAACCTCTGGGTCATCTATAGGTCTGCTTCTATAATTTTCTTGATTACAAGTCACATTTACTGGCTTCTTTGCATAGATTATTTTTTATTTTTTAACTTTATGCTGCGCATTATGTAAAAAGATGTGTAGATACTGAAATACATGTATTTCCCTCTAGGAAGGACACACTTTTCCCTCTACCAGGCAGTATGTTTGACGGCCAACTGCTTCAGTCTCATCAGAAATTGAGTTGGGATGAGGGTGGGTTACAGTTTTAGGTGGTTTCAGTTCTCACCTATTTTCCAATATATTGATAATAAAATAGGTTTGCTTTTCATTACAGCTGTTCTATTTGACTTTGGGATATAATTCTTAAGAGACTATGGAGATCTCTATCTACCTTTCTAAGAGTACTCCAACTTTACCTACAGCCCGGCATTCATCAAAAGTCTTCTGGGTAAAGGCTGACTGGTGTGGAGGACTGGATATGCTTTTGGGGGATCCTCTGGATTCCAATATATCAGTCATGCTAATTTGGCTATTAGAAACTCTGCTGGATTTTCCTTTGTCTTGGAAGAAGAAACCCTCTCGTTTACCCATCCCAAACTCGGCAAATGTCACCAGAGAGGAAAAGGCTCTTCCGTATCTGGAATTTAAGTCTTCCAGACTTTCAGACTTCTTCACATCCTTAAACTTTTTCCTTTTTCTTTTTTTTTTTTTTTTAGTTTATCCATCTCCCCTCACCCCCACTACTTGTTACAGTGAGAGCTATGGTCTACCACACTCTTTTATATCATAATCTATAACAGAACTCATCTAAATTATTTGTAATCCTTATGAAAACAATGCAAATTAGAGGTTATCATCTTTACTTACAGATTAAAATTAATCTTACCGAGGGCCACTTGCCTAACAACATCCTACTTGTTAGCAACAGAGTGAGAATTTCAGTGCAGGTTGAACTCTCTATGCCTCTAGAATGTATACACACCTCTTTTCCCCACCCTGCCCCCTTTACTCTTTCTATTGTTAAGTGTGGTGCTGCAAGGTGATTCAGAAAATATGAGGTACTTTGTGGTCAAATCAATCTAAGAAATGTTGTAGGCTATTTCCCCTCCTTAAGATTCACAATATCCATCAGCATGTTAAAAGTCCTACGGTAAACAACTTTAATAGAATACTTTCTAAACTTATTTGACCTCAGGACTTCCCCCAACCTCAGCAAATAAAACCTATTAACAGTCCACAGAACTAGAGTTACGTGGAGTACATTTTGTAAAAATGCAGCACTACACTACATTATTCTGCCTCCCAGATACTACTGGTTATAATATTCTAAAAGGTCATGTCTGCATTATTTAATAATAATAATTCACCAAGGCATTTGACAAAAACTTCAGTGCTAAATTTTATTAATTTTACCATTCCCTATGGAAGAAACACACAATTTAACTGAATATTTAAAATAAATATATGTTAAGCCATGACTTTAAAAAAAAAAGAAAATAGTAAATGTAAGAGAGAATAAACAGTTAGCATAATAAGGTTCATCCTTATTTCAAACATATTCTCTTACCTAAATTATGAAATGAGTTGCTCTACCCATATCAGTAATGAATCATTTTGTTGCATGTAAAAATGCTATTTTAAAAGTATTTTCATATCAAAATGGCAAGGAAGGTCAGGAATGGAGAAATTTATAACTGTTCATACAGAAGTCATAAAAACAGAAATATTTTCACCATAGGGTAGATGCATTAGATATCACTAGCTTGCCCTGAAGTTTTTACCTGGATTTGACTATCAAGGTTAAAGTAAAACCTGTAAAATATTTATTTTGCAGGAAATGTGTTAGAATATGTTCATTTGGTTAAGACTCATGGAGTGAAGTTTCTTATGAACTAACAATTAAGCTGGACTCCACTGGAATTTCGACTAAATTTTAAAGTAAATGAAGATCCATGATCTTCTTTGAGGCAGAAGGAGTCTTTTGTGTGATTTGAAGTCATCATGGCTATAATCTGCTTAGTGGTAAAGTTCAGTGTATTGAACACAGATGTACCAAGCAATTGCTATGTCCCATAACATGGTGACATACTCCCTGATCCCAAATACCAGATGTTTGCTGAGGAACGTGTGACTGTCCTTGACTAAGAAGACTCATTACATTTATCTCCCCTGTGTTAAATCTGTAAATGCTGTTAAATGGTGCCCATTATAGGGAATATAAAAACACAACTTCTACCTTAGAAAAATATAGTCATCTCTCACATACCCATAATCTCAGTTTAATCACTCGTCAAGTCTTTATCAATCTTGTTTCATCCATACCTCTTTCCACTTTCCATCAGCCCTAGCCCTTCCACCCGAAATGGATTCAGAATGATTCCCTAAAAACTTTTTGTTGGCCAGGAGCGGTGGCTCATGCCTGTAATCCCAGCACTTTGGAAGGCTGAGGTGGGCGGTTCACGAGGTCAGGAGATGGAGACCGTCCTGGCTAACATGGTGAAACCCCATCTCTACTAAAAATACAAAAAATTAGCCTGGTGTAGGGGTGGGCGCCTGTAGTCCCAGCTACTCGGGAGGCTGAGGCAGGAGAATGGTGTGAACCTGGGAGGGCAGAGCTTGCAGTGAGCCAAGATTGTGGCACTGCACTCCAGTCTGGGCGACAGAGCCAGACTACGTCTCAAAAAAAAAAAAAAAACCACCTTTTTGTTACCTATACATCGCTTTCTTGTTTAATAAACCTTTTATTTTGGAAGCACTTTAGGTTTACAGAAAAATTACAAAAAGCGCATAGAGACTTCCCATATACCCCACAGCCAGTTTCCCCTATGATTAACACTTTATATTAGTGTGGTATATTTGCCACAATTGATGAATGTTAATGTTAATACATTATTATAATTAGAGTCTATGATTTATACAGATTTCCTTAGTTTTAAAAAAATCTAATATCCATGTTTTGTCCTGGGAACAGATCCAGGATACCACATTCTATCTAGTTGTCATGTATCCTTAAACTCATCTTGGCTGTGGGTTTTTTCAGACTTTCTCTGTTTTTTATAATCTTGACAGTTTTGAGGAACAGTGGTCAGGTATTTTTGTAAAATATCCCTTAATTGGAACTTTTCTGATATTTTCCCATGTTCAGATTGAGGCTTGGGGGTTTGGAAAGGAAGATTACAGAGGTAAAGTGCCATTCCCCTCACATCATATCAATGGTACATAACTATCAGCATGACTTGTCACTGTTGATGTTAACCTTGATCGCTTGTCAGTTTCTTCACTGCAAAGCTGTCCTTTCCACCCTATTTCCATACAGTACTCTTTGGAAGGAAATCATTATGTGCAGTCCACACTAAAAGAGTGAGAAATAAAGCCCCACCTTCTTTAAGGTGAACTCTCAAGATAAATTATTTAGAATTCTTCTGCCAAGAAATTTGTCTATTCTCCTGCATTTATCTGCTTATTTATTCAATCATTTATTTATATCAGTATGTACTCATGGATAGTTATCTTATATCTTGGATTATAAATACTTATTTATTCTGTTGCTTAAATTGTTCCTTCTTTGGCCATTAGGAGCACCTGCAGTTGATTCCTGTGTCCTTTTGACATACTGCCATCATTGGGAGTTTTTGTTTATTTGTTCATCTTTTGAGCATTTCCTTAACTGTGATTCAGGCTCATCTTATATATTACTTCTCACCCAGTTCTGGAATCAGTCATTTCTGGGTCCTTTATTGGAAAATGATACTAGAAACTATGATCTGGGCTCCTCTAGGTATGCTCATTGCTGCTGGGATATCACTGCTTCAAGGACTTCTCAGCTGACAGAGCAGGGAAACATATGCTTATGTCCACATATCTGTAAGGATTTCCGCCCTGCTGGATTTTGGACTTGCACGGGCCCTGTAACCCCTTTGTTTTGGCCAATTTCTCCCATTTGGAATGGCTATATTTACCTAATACCTGCACCCCGATTGTATCTAGAAACTAACTAGCTTGCTTTTGTTTTTACGGACTCACAGGTGGAAGGGACTTGCCTTGTCTCAGATGAAACTTTGGACTGTGGACTTTTGGGTTAATGCTGAAGTGAGTTAAGACTTTGGAGGACTGTTGGGAAGGTATGATTTGTTTTGAAATGTGAAGACATAAGACTTGGAGGGGCCAGGGGTGGAATGATATGGTTTGGCTGTATGTCCCCACCCAAATCTCATCTTAAATTGTACTCCCACAATTCCCACATATTGTGTGAGGGACCTGGTGGGAGATAATTTGAATCATGGGGCGGTTTCCCCCATACTGGTCTCACTGTAGTGAATAAGTCTCATGAGATAGGATGGTTTTATCAGGAGTTTCTGCTTTTGCATTTTCCTCATTTTTCTCTTGTTGCTGCCATGTAAGAAGTGCCTTTCACCTCCCGTCATGATTCTGAGGCCTCCCCAGCCATGTGAAACTTTAAGTCCAATTAAACTTCTTTTTCTTCTCAGTCTCAGGTATGTCTTTATCAGCAGCATGTAAACGGACTAATACATTACACATCTGAAAAAGGTCTAATATATCCAGCATCTATGAGTAACTTAAATTTACAAGAAAAAAAACAAAAACAAAAACAAAAAACAAACACCCCCATTAAAAAGTGGGAAAAGGACATAATCAGACACTTTTCAAAAGAAGACATACATGTGGCCAACCAGCATATGGGAAAAGGACATAATCAGACACTTTTCAAAAGAAGACATACATGTGGCCAACCAGCATATGGAAAAAGCTCAACATGACTGATCATTAAAGAAATGCAAATCAAAACCATAATGAGGCATCATCTCACACCAGTCAGAATGGCTACTATTAAAAGGTCAAAAAATAATAGATGCTGGCGAGGTTGCAGAGAAAAAGAAACACTTATACACTGCTGCTGGGAGTGTAAATTAGTTCAACCATTGTGGAAGACAGTGTGGCAATTCCACAAAGACCTAAAAAACAGAAATACCATTTAACTCAGCAATTGTGTTACTGGGTATATACCCAGAGGAATATAAATCATTCTATTATAAAGACACAAACTCACATATGTTCATTGCAGCACTATTCACAATAGTAAAACATGGAATCAACCTAAATGCTCACCAATGGTAGACTGGATAAAGAAAATGTGGTACATATACACCATAGAATACTATGCAGCCATCATAAAAAGAATGACATGGATAGAGCTGCAGGCTGTTATCCTTAGCAAACTAACGCGGGAAGGGGAAACCAAATACCGCAGTTCTCACTTATATGGGAGCTAAATGATGAGAACATATGAACACATAGAGGGAACAACACACACTGGGGCCTATCAGAGGGTGGAGATTGCAGGAGGGAGAAGATCAGGAAAAATAAATAATGAGTACCAAGCTTAATACCTGGGTGATGAAATAATCTGTACGACAAATCCCCATGACAAAAGCTTATCTATATAACGAACTTGCACATATGCCCTTGAACTTAAAATAAAAGTTAAATTTAAAAAATGGTGATATTTTAATTTTGTTATTTTTAGGCATTTATGACTTGCAATTCTTTCATAAAGAACTTTACCTATTCAACTATTTGGTTTCCATGAAAAACAATTTGTACAGGAAGACTTGATTTTTCTCTTTATATTTTAGTTTTCAGCATAATAAATTGACACTCTAACATTCCTTAAAGGCGGCCAATTAGTTTTTCAGTAATTTCTTTCTTTTTTTCTTTTTTTCTTTTTTTTTTGAGACGGAGTCTTGCTCTGTCGCCCAGGCTGGAGGGCAGTGGTGCGATCTCGGCTCACTGCAAGCTCCCGGGTTCATGCCATTCTCCTGCCTCAGCCTCCCGAGTAGCTGGGACTATAGGCACCCGCCACCACGCCCGGCTAATTTTTTGTATTTTTAGTAGAGATGGGGTTTACGGTGCTAATGGTTTTCTGTTTGAAATACAGTTTTGAAAGCAGTTTCTACTCTTCTGGTTGAACTCTGACTGATTAAAAACGTTGTAGGGGAGAATTCAAGATGGCTGACTGGAAGCAGCTGATGCACACGGCTCTCACAGAGAGGAGAGTGGAGAGTAAATCCTAGCTCTTCAAGTGGATTATCCAGGAGGCCACGCTGAGATTCATCAAGGAAGCAACAGGACCCACGGAGAACAGAGAAGAGTAAAGCAGGGTCGCTGACCGCCTGGGATGGGTGTGGAGCTGGGGAGACTCCCCACCAAGGGGAAAGGGTGAGTGAGCAAGATTCCCCCGGGACCCACACTTCCCCCATGCTCCTTTGCAATCCTGGGCATGAGAGATTCCCCCTAAGCGCTCGCCCCGCCCCTGTTAACCTCCCACCCTGGGCCTCCAGACTGACACAGAGAGCTGCCTGGATTCTGGGCAGAGCCACTGCTGAAGCCCACATGGAGCCCCACAGACCTTGGATCCTTGAGCACCCTGTAGCCAGCTGCCCTACCTCCACCAAAAAAGAAGGGCAGGCTCCTTCACATGCTCCCAGGATAAGTGTTGATAAGGAGTGAGACTGCAGGCCCTGTCTCCACTGCTCCTCCCCAGCAAAGGCCCCCTGGCCTAGGCTCCCAACGCAGCCACCTCACCCCACCTGAGCACTCTGGTCCCCCATTAGGGCTCTGCATTTCTTTGCAGTGTAGCTCCCAGAGGTAACCAACAGCCCCTCTGCCACTCTGTGGTACCTTCTGTTGCCCCCAGACTAGGGAGGAGGAACATGGAGCCTGATTGCTTTCACAGGCACCTCCAGCACACCGCAGCCACCCAACAGAGAGGAGGTCAGACTGTCTTTCCTGCAAGCTCCTGCCCACTCTGCGCATTTCCAGGCAAGGCCCCTGGGCTTGGAAGTGCAGTCAGTCCTATGGCCAGGGCTCTGCATTTCTCTGTGGTGGAGCTCCCAGAGACAACTAACAGGCCCTCTGCCACTGGCTGCCATTGCAGTGCCCTCCTGCTGCTGCCCCCAGGCTGGGGAGGGAACAAAAAGCCTGAGTGCTTTGGGGAGTCTCCAGCAAGCCAGCAGCTGCCCTGCAGAGAGGCCATGACCCCACTGCACCTTCCCAACAGGGCTTGCTGCTTTCTGACTTCCAATGCACCAACATCGCCCATGTATGAACATTGCAGCCGTGAAAACCTTATCTTCACAGGCCTGTGATCTTCCCTCGAGATCCCACCACCTGACCCTATGTGAGAGTTCAGCTGGTAACTCAGGGACCAGCCTGGCCCTCCCTATCACAACCAGCAACTCAGGCTCCACCCGATCCAGCCCCATCAAGACTCATACACGCTGTCCAGCTGGCCATTTAGGGGCTGGGGAGTTGGAGAACCCCATTCCAATTCTGCTGACACCTGACCATTTCTCCCAGGGCCTGAGATTGGACCCACCCACCCAGCCAATATCACCACAACCTGCACAGGCCCAAAGGCGGAGGCCCCCTAACCCCTTTTACATGAAGATGCAGTGCTATCACATTGGAGAATGGTGAGCCACAATGCCATCTGTATTAATTAGGCTGAGTGATGAAGTTCTGCCCCAAAACCACTGCCACGGAGAGTCACAAATGAAGCAACCCCTGAGGCTCTCAACTACATTGTGGTTCAGAAAAAGGCTACAGTGTACATCTGATCTAGGAGTCATGAGCTCTGGAACAGAGATGTGATAGGGCAGCAGTTCAAATTCCTGTCTATCTAGGATGAGGTGGTGGTGTACCTTGTATGTCTGGTAGGTAGAATTCATCAGTGAATCTGTCTGGTCCCAGGCTTTTTTTTTTTTTTTTTTTTTTTTTTGGTAGGTTTTTTATTACTGATTCAATTTTAGAACTCAATTTTGGTCTGTTAAGGGTTTCAATTTCTTCCTAGTTCAATCTTGGGAGGTTGCAAGTGTCAAGAAATTTATCCATTTCCTCTAGATTTTGTAGTTTGTGTGCACAGCAAAGAGTTGGTACCAATTCTACTGAAACTCTTCCAAAAAGCTGAGGAAGAGGAACTTCTCTCTAACTTATTCTACAAAGCCATTTATCACCCTGATACTAAAATCTGGCAAAGATACAACAAAAAAGAAAACTATAGGCCAATTTTATTTATTTATTTTTTTGAGATGGAGTCTCACTTTGTTGCCCAGGCACGATCTCGGCTCACTGCAACCTCCGCCTCCCAGTTTCAAGCAATTCTCCTGTCTCAGCTTCCCGAGTAGCTGGGACTACAGGTGCCTACCACTAGCCCCAGCTAATTTTTATGTTTTTAGTAGAGACAGGGTTTCACCATATTGGTCAGGCTGGTCTCGAACTCCTGACCTCAGGTGATCTGCAGCCTCCCAAAGTGCTGGAATTACAGGCATGTGCCACCACGCCAAGCCAGGCCAATATTTTTGATGAACATAGATGCAAAAATCCTCGAAAAATACTAGCAAATTGAATTCAGCAGCATATCAAAAAGTTAATTCACTATGATCAAGTAGGCTTTATTCCTGGGATGCAAGGTTGGTTCAACATACCTAAGTCAATAAATGTGATTCACCACATAAACAGAACTAAAAACAAAAACCATATGATTATCTCAATAGATAACAGAAGAAGTTTTCAATAAAATCCAACATCCCTTCATAATAAAAACCCTCAACAAACTCAGCATATAAGGAACATACCTGAAAATAATAAAAGCCATCTATGACAAACCCACAGCCAACATCATTCTGAATAGGAAAAAGCTGGAATCATTCCCCTTAAGACCTGAAACAAGACAAGGACGCCCACTTTCACCACTCCTATTCAACATTGTTCTAGAAGTTCTAGCCAGGGCAATCAGGCAAGAGAAAGAAAGAAAAGGCATCCAAAATTAGAAAAGAAGAGGTCAAATTATCTCTTTTCACTGATGATATGATTCTATACCTAGAAAACCCTAAAGACTTCACCAAAAGCCTAAAACTGATAAATGCCATCAGTAAAGTTCAGGATACAAAATCAATGTGCAAAATCAATAGCATTTCTATACAGCAATAATGTTCAAGCTGAGTGCCAAATCAAGAACACAATCTCATTTACAGTAGCCACAAAAATAAAATAAACTACTTGGGAATACATTGAACCAAGGAGATGAAAGATTTCTACAAGGGAAATTACAAAACACTGCTGAAAGAAATCATAGATGACACAAACAAATGGAAAAACATTCCATGCTCGTGGATTAGAAGAATCAATATTGTTAAAATGGTCATATTGCCCAAAGCAATCTACAGATTCAATGCTATTCCTATCAGACTACAAATGACATTTTTCACAGAATTAGAAAAACAATTTTAAAATTCATATGAAACTAAAAAAGAGCCTAAATAGTGAAAGCAATCTTAAGCAAATGGAAGAAAGCTGGAGGTATCAGATTACTGGATTTCAAACTATACCATAAGGCTACAGTAACAAAAACAGCATGGTACTTGTACAAAAACAGACACATAGATCAATGGAACAGAATAGAGAACCCAGAAATAAAACCACACACCTACAACCATTTAATCTTTGACAATATTGACAAAACTAAACAATGAGGAAAGGACTCCTGGTTCAATAAATGATGCTGGGATAACTGGCTTAGTCATATGCAGAAGAATGAAAGTAGACCCCTACCTTTCACCATACACAAAAATTAATTCAGGATGATGAATCAACGTTTTAAATGTTAAGACCTCAAACTATAAAAATCCTGGAAGAAAACATAAGAAATGCCATTCTGGACATCTGCTTTGGCAAAGAATTTATGACTAAGACCTTAAAAGCAATCACGCTGAAAACAAAAATTGACAAGTCAGACCTAATTAAACTAAAAAGCTTCTGCACAGCAAAAGAAACTATCACAGAATAAAAAGACACCCTACAGAATAGGAGAAAATATTCACAAACTATTCATCCAACAAAGGGCTAACATCCAGAATCTATAAGGAACTTAAACAAATCAACAAATAAAAACCATCCCATTAAAAAGTGGGCAAATGACATGAGCAGACACTTCTCAAAAGAAGACACACAAGCAGCCAACAAACATGAAATAATGCTCAATGTCACTAATCATCAGATAAATGCAAATTGAAACTTCAGTGAAATACCATCTTACACCTCTCAGAATGTCTATTATTAAAAAATCAAAAAAGAGTAGATGCCGGTGAGGCTGTGGAGAAAAGGAATGCTTATACTCTGTTGGAAAGGTAATTAGTTCAGTCACTGTGGAGAACCGTTTGGAAATATCTCAGATAACTTAATACAGAACTAATCATTCAATCCAGCAATCCCATTACTGGGTTTAAACCCAAAGGAAAATAAATCATTCTACCAAATACACACATGTACACATATGTTCATCGCAGGACTATTCACAATATCAAAGACATGAAATCAACCTCGGTGCCCATCCATGGTGGATTGGACAAAGAAAATGTGGTGCATATACATCATGGAATACTATGCAGCCCTAAAAAATGAAATCATGTTCTTTGCAGCAACATGTATGTAGCTGGAAGCCATTCTCCTAAGTGAACTAACGTGGGAACAGACAACCAAATACTGCATATTCTCATCTATAAGTGGGAACTAAACCTTGTGTACACGTGGACACAAAGATGGGAATAATAGACACTGGGGACTACAAAAGTGGGGAGGAAGGGAGGAGAACAAGGACTGAAAAACTACCTGTTAGGTACTATGCTCACTACCTGGGTGATAGGATCAGTCATACCTCAAACCTCAGCATCATGCAACATGTAATAAACCTGCACATGCTCTGAATCTAAAATAAAAGTTGAAATTAAACAAAACAAAAGAAAAAAATTGTTAATAGAGTGTCTCTGTCTTAAGTTGAAATGGGAAGACCAGTTTAAATCTCTGATGATAAAGAAAATGGGAAGACACAAAGCAAGTTATGAAGCAGAAAAAAAGAATCCCATTTTTACTTTAAATACAAAAAGAACAGCAAAGTCATAACTCAATATTTTGCTTTGTCTTTTTCTAACCATAAATATAAGCTAAGTCTACTTTAATCTTCACCACACCCCCTACACTGTCATCTCTCATTCCCTTCTCCCTTCCCCAGAGTAATCACTAAGATGAGTTCGTTTATATTCTTCCAATCCATTTTTATGTATAAGTAATAGGTAGTAATATTTTATATTTTTAAAAGTAATATCATGTGCACGTATTTTCTATCTTGCATTTTCCCTTCAACATCAAATTTTGGATCCATGTTAATATAAGTGGATTTAGCTTTGTTTCAACTGCTTCATTGCGTTTCCTGATGACTATTCCACATTTCATTAATGTGATCCCCTATTGATGGCATTTAGGTAGTTTACAATTTTTATGCTGTCATTAAAACAACAGTATAATGAGCTTCTGTTGTTTTCAATGCTGTTTGAGACTTACGTTTTAGGGAAGCTAAGATAATACATATATTTTAAAAAGTATCTTCTCACCCCTTGTTTTTTTCTTATAAGACTTTTGCTTAACAGTGACATGGTCTTTTACCTAAAAACTGAAAATAGTTTTTTAAATGATCAAACAAAAGAGACAGTTTAGATAAAAAGGCTTTTTTTTTTTCAAACTCCATTCCTTTTGATTCTATGAAGTCATGAAGACAGAAAGGAATTATCAGTGTTACTAATTAATTGTGGACCCTCAGCTTTTAAAGTGCATCATTGTGTATTTGCTCTTATAGTACCTTCTTGGGTTTATATAAAAAAGTAGCTGCATGAAGCTCTTTGCCTCATTTGGACTTTGTTTATCTATACTTTTTGCTTATGCTCAATCCCAGTTTATTACTCCCTGACGATTTCCCTGGCAGTACAGAAATCGATGTTGGAGCACAGTATCTAAAATGTGACAATTATCCTTAGTGACTGTCTGGTATTGTCCTTAACAAGAGTATTTAGTCAATCCACTCGATGGCATGCTTTGTACAGAAACATGAGTTGATGCAGAGATACAATTCCAATAGGGATGAAAATGAGTCATAGTAGTCAATTAGCTTTTGGTGATGATGAGTCACAGGAATCAAAACATTTTGCAAAGCGTTTGGCAGACGACCAAATGCTCTAGCTTGAGCTACCGAGATGTGACATTTTAGAAAATGGGAAGAAAATCGTCATATCTTAGTATCTCTTCATGGAAGATGTTTGTCAGTTGCCTAGAGGAATATTTTCATTCTTGCACATACTGCTCCCTAGACTTGGAACACCCACTCTAATGCCACCACCTCTGATTGGCAAATTCCTGTTACTCAGGACCCATCTCAGACCGGAAGCATTTCCTGAGGCACAATTACTCACTCCCATCACTGAGCCCATAGCTGCTGGTTTCTCATGTTATTAAACCATCTATCAAGTGATATTGCAATTTACCTGTTCCTGTGTTGATCTTTTCTCCCATTCTCTGGAATAAAAACCCTGTCTTAGTTGTCCCTATGTACTTAGTAAATGACATATAACAGGGCTCAATTCATTTTTGTTTCTTTGTTAAGTGGATGTGTTTCTATTTATGTGGGCATTATGAAATACTAACAATTATAAGAACAGTAATAGTTAACATTTACTGAGTGCTTCTTACATACTAGGCACTGTCTGGAGTGCCTTCAGTGTATTAACTCATTTAACTCTCCCAACATTATACAGGAGGTAAGTACTACAATCCTCTTCAGAGATAAGAAAACTGAAGCACAGAGAGTTAAAGTAACTTGTCCTAAGTCACACAGCTACTTGGTGGTGGAGTTAGGAATTGTACTCAAGCAGTCTGACATCTGAAGCTACATACTTAAGCAATGTGCTATATGGCATCTATTTTTTTCCTTAAGAAAAGAATCTAAAGACAATTTTAATGGACAGGATAAATAATTTTACATAGAAAAATAAAAATTGCCATCACCAAAAGACAGTGTCTCAGGATTAACCTGAAAGCTATTTTTGAATGAGGCAGAGCTATACCTTTTTGCCTGAAGAGAAGTCTATGATGTATAGTTAAGAAAACCAAATTGTAAAGTAATTTTGTAGTGATTCCTTGTGAATAAGAAGAAAATAGTAGAAGGCTTATACAGCTTACACTTCTTCCTTTCACATCTTTCTCCTTGCTTACAAAACATATACCTGTTGATCAGGCTGTAAATATCAGTTATGGTATGGAAGTTCACTACAGTGGGAGGTGTTATTATTATTATTTTTTCTTGCATTATTTCATTGGTTTCAGTGGCAACATCACTCTGAATATTTGAAGAGGAATTTAATAAAGAAAAATTTATTGGCGACTAATAAACTGAAATTCCAGGGAGAAATCCCAGAGAAGATGACTCTCCAAGTCACGCCTGGAGCAAGCAGGCAAAGTCAGCTTCGTTCAAAGCAGTTTCCTTGACACCCTCATACAAGAAGCAGTAGTTTCATTCTTAACAGGAAGCACTGTAGGAAACGAGGAAGTTGCAGTGAAACCAGAGGACTAGGCCTAGTGGTGTATTACATAGTCACGGATTCTTCTCCCCAGGCTCGCTTCGCCCCATTGCCCCTCAGGCCTGGGCGACTTGCTCGCTGCCCCCACCTGCCATCTCAGCCTGTCCTGGGTGAAGACCTCCTCAGTCATCCGCATCTGATGGAGCATCTCACAAAGGCTTTGGCTCCTGCCGCCATGTCTGGGTTCAGAGGAAGGACTTGCCGCGGGACAGGCGATCTGGCTTCCCCTGCAGCGGCCCCAAGGGACTGGGGACACAATCTGGAAGCACCAGGGAGGTCATGCTCTGTGCCGCAGGCTTGACAGGAAATGGAAAAGAGCCAGAGCATCAACCTCTCTCTCATCCTCCCTCGAACACGTCTTCTGAGGCCCACTGCTTCCACATAGCCTTTGCAGAGATGTCCGTTGACCAGGCAGCAGACTAGGTCTTCTCGTGAAGCTACAGCTGCTCTGTAATGCACTGCCTTGTCTTTGCTTTCTCTCCTTCGCTGCTCCCTTCCCATTTTGCTCTCAGTCTTGCTGTCCTGGGAGCCAAGAGTCAGCAGTAGCAGGTTAACTTTCATTAGGCTTCGTCTTCTAGGGGCCCAGGGTTAAGGCATAGTGAGATATCCAGGTTTTAGAAACGTTAATATCTGATGTTATAAATAGACTTTAGGTTGAAAATTGGGAAGCACTGTTTGAAGTTCAAGCACATGACTGATAGGCTTTGGGAAGGATACTATGCTCCCTATCTGGGTGATGGGATCTGTACCCCAAACCTCAGCATCATGCAGTATGCCCATGTAACAAACCTGCACATGTACCCCTGTATCTAAAATAAAAGTTGAAATTTAAAAATTTTTCTTTGTTTGATACAAGAAAATGTAGGCTAGACATAATTATTCTGGAAAATAAATTTTATTTAAATTACATAGAAAAGAATTAACTTAGGATTTTTTGCAGAGCAGGATGTTGTGAATGTTTAAATACCTTGTTTTTAAAAATTGTATTGTGTGTCTTCACTAATAGTGTTATATCTTTTGAATTAACAATCTGTTATGTCCAAGTAAAAAATGGTAGCTTTATCGAACAAATATTTTGTATTTTGACCACTATATAGTTAAAATAAAATAAATCCAAATAAAAGTAACATATGCTTATTTAGAAGTTTGATAAATAAATGAATGTATGAAATAAATAAATGAATGTATGAAAATTAACAACCACCTATAATCTTATCATCCAAATACAGCCACGTTAACATTTTGGTAGATGTTTGCCCATGTTTTCTATGAATAGAATGGATATATTTTACATATCTACAGATTTACTTATATATTTTACATTAATGGATATAATAGGGTAATATATGTACCATGCATATATGTAGAATATTTTTCACATGTGCTATGTTAATATTTGTATGTAATTTATAAAACCTGAATATATTATATATATGATTTAAAGTTTTATTGTTTAACTTAATATATTATGAGATATTTCCTAAGTTACCAGGTGTTCTAAGACATGCATTTTAATGGGGATATTCAGTATTTCACGGTATGGGTAGGTCAGAGTTTATACTTAACCAAATACTGTTGTTGGATATTTGAGATGCTTGGTTAAGAGTCCCTATATACCTTTACTTTTTTCTTTTCAGAAATGTAGAATTCAGAGGGACAAAAGAAATCTTCTAAAGATGGTCTAGTTTACTCCTCCAGTACTATCCTTTAATCATGTCTATAAGCAGGACATTAAATTCCATTTTCTTTTGTTCTTTCTGTTTAGGTGCCCAATACCTTCAGCCTCCTATCGCTTTGTTTCTTGCAAAAAATGATTGTCAAAACTTCATCTGTATAGTAATAACAGTAATAACAGCTAGGCATATAATGCTTACCATGTTCCGGGTTCTAGTCTAAGTATTACATGTATTTCAACGCATTTAATTCTTGCAAAGCCTTCTGAAGTAGATACCCATAACTATCCCCAAATTAGAGCTGAAAACACAGAGAGATTAACTTACTTATTTAAATTCATACAGTTAGTAAGTGGTAGAACTAGAATGTGAGCCTAGACAATCAAGTTCCAGAATCTGAATTCTAATTACTATGCTCTAATGGATGACTCCTAAAAGAAAGATGCAAAGAGGTTTCATTCTGAATTCTAATTTCAATCACTGGAAATGGCTGCCTGGAACAATACGTTCAGAATGATTCTGATGCTGTATCTGAGCTTAGAGGGGAAAAGGGCCATGATATATGAATAATATTCCCTTGTTTGAAAGAGGAGAGTGATTGTATATTTGCCATTTTTGCCCTATAATTTTAGTTACCCTAGAATTATTTAAGTTCAAAAAGATAAAACTCTAGAGATTAAAAAAAGTGTAGGTGGAATAGGGTTTATGTATTTATTATTTTTGCAGGAGGGAGATGAGGGGGCAGAGGTTTGTGCTATTTTAGCCTGTGCTACCTCTGTCAGTGCAAATGACTCCATATGCATTTCAGGACCTCCATTTTTACAATTGTTTTTAAAAGGAGCCTGTTGCATTCTGTCTGTCCTTGGTAGATACAAAAGCAAAGAACAATGAAAACACAAAGAGTTTGGAGACATAGACATATGGGCTTCCTTTTTCTGGTTCCATCAAATTAACTGTGTGTTCTTCTAGGATAGTTACTTGACCTTTCTTACCCTCAATGTTCTCATCTGTAAAATGAGAAAATAATTCTTACTTCTTAAATTGTTGTGAAATTAAGTTAGGTAATTGTGTATGAAGTCCTTTGCATACAAAAGACAAATGTTCTCTCCTTTACTGTCTCATATGCACCAACAGATTGTATCCTTGCATATTGTTTTTCCTTTGATTACTTCTCATAGAATCCATTTACTAAAATCTTTAATAGCTTAAAAGTTTTTTGTTTCTTGTTTATATGGAAATATTATCAAGTTTTAGTTATAGATATTTCAGAAATTAACATACAAATGAAGTCCTTGCTAGTCTTTGGTAACCATACAAAACTGTACAATGGGTCAATTTAGTGCTTGCTTGCTCAATAATTATGTTTTAAAAAGTTTTAATAGAATGTCTGTTCTTTTTATGTTCATAATAGCACCACTATCCAAGGCAGAAACTTGAGTCTTTATATCAGTTTTCTTTCATTTTAGATTACTTCTATTCCTATTTCTTCATGTTCACTAATCTTTTCTTTGGCAATATCTAATTTGCTGTTAATTCCATCTGTGTAGAAAAGACATAATATAGCAGGCTTGATGTTGCTACCTTTAGAATGATCTGCTTGGGGGGCTTGCCCTAGACTATCATCTGGGAACTTGGCTTTGGAATGTTCCCTACACTGATAAGGATGATTTGCTGACCTGAGACACCGAACTCTTATATACCAGCTTGCCTAGATTATTTGTGCAAACAATGTAATTAATGGTGAATGCCAGCCTTTCTACCAGATGTCTAAATTTGGTAGCTGTGGCTTATCGGAGGCAGAGACTGCCAAAATAATCAGCCCCCAGTGAAAACTCTGAACTTTGAGACTTAATCAGAAACACTGCATTTTGTTGGCTAAAAGAGTGTGTTCTATGTGGCCACCCCGTCTCTCTTCAGCCCCAGAGGGAGAACTTTGGAAGCCAGTGCCTAAATTCCTCCAGGCTTCACCTGGTTTGTCTTTTTCCCTTGCGAGGCTGGCTGTATATCTTATGCTTGATAAACCATAGCTGGGATCATCTTGCCTCTGAGCCCTATGAGCCCTTCTAGTGAGTCCTAAATGTGTGGGTGGTAGTTATGAGACATCCAAAGCACCATCCATTGAATTTTTAATGCCTAGAAGTTTAATTTGAGTGTTTTAAAATATCATCCAGCTGGGCGTGATGGCTCAGGCCTGTAATCCCAGCACTTTGGGAGGCTGAGGCAGGCAGATCACTTGAGATCAGGAGTTCGAGACCAGCCTGGCCAACATGCTGAAACCCCATCTGTACTAAAAATAAAAAAATTAGCTGGCGTGATGGTGCGGGCCTGTAATCCTAGCTACGCGGAAGGCTGAGGCAAGAGAATTGCTTGAGCCCGAGAGGTGGAGGTTGCAGTGAGGCAAGGTCACACAAGTGCACTCCAGCTTGGTTGACAGAGCGAGACTGTCTCAAAAACAAACAAAAAACCAAATATTATCCATGTCTTTTTTTAACAAGCTCAATATTTTCTCCACTTTCTTGGGCATATGGAATATATTTATCAGAATTGTTTTAATGTCCGTGTCTACCAATTCTACACTGTGTGTCATTTCTGTGATTGTTTCTCTTGAATGATTTATTTTACTCCTCATAAGAGGCTGTATTTTCCTGCCTTTTGGCATACCTAGTAATTTTTGATTGGATGCCAGACATGATGAATTTTACTTTGTTACATATTGGAAGAATATTCCTTTAAATATTCTTAGGCCTTTTTTTTTTTTTTTTTTTTGGTTGGCAATTAAATTACTTGGAAATAGTCTGACCCTCTTGAGTCTTGCTTTTAAGCCTTGTCAGACACAGCTAGAGCAGACTGTGGTTCCAGCACTGAGGCAATCCTCTTCTGTGTTCTCCATCTTATGCCCTGTGTATTATGAGGTTTTCCCATTTTGACTGGTGGGAACACAACCTGCTCCCAGCCCTTTGTAAGTCCAAGGGATTGTCCTACCTGTTTCAGGTGGTTCTTTCCTTAGTCTCAGGTATCAAGACTCAAGGGGAACTCAGGAAATCTCCAGAAATTTCTCTCTGTGCAGCTTCTTTCTCTCTTGTCTGGTACTCTCCTTCTCCAACCTCTAGATGGATTGACCTCCCCTGATGCTCAACTCTAGCTCCTCAAATCAGGGAGACTGCTGGGCTTTGTGTGTGTTCTCCTTCCCTATGCTGAGGACTGGAAACCAGACAGTGAGTAAGGCACCCCCAGGGCTCACCTTGTCTGTTTCTCTTCTCTAAGGGATCACTGTTCTCTACTACCTGTTGTCCAATGTCTAGAACTCATTGTTTTATGAACATGTTAATGAACATGCATTTCGTTCATTTCTTTTTTGTTATTTAAGCTGGGAGGGTAAACCCAGTCGTGTTTCTCTGTCATGGTCAGAAGTGAATGTCTATACTTTCTTTCTTTCTTCTTTTTTTTTTTTAATTTTAAAAATAGTATGGCTTGTGATGCGATTTTTTTCTTTTTTTTTATTATACTTTAAGTTTTAGGGTACACGTGAGCAATGTGCAGGTTAGTTACATATGTATACATGTGCCATGTTGGTGTGCTGCACCCATTAACTTGTCATTTAACATTAGGTATATCTCCTAATGCTATCCCTCCCCCCTTCCCCCACCCCACAACAGGCCCGGTGTGTGATGTTCCCCTTCCTGTGTCCATGTGTTCTCATTGTTCAATTCCCACCTATGAGTGAGAACATGCGGTGTTTGGTTTTTTGTCCTTGCGATAGTTTGCTGAGAATGATGGTTTCCAGCTTCACCCATGTCCCAACAAAGGACATGAACTCATCATTTTTTATGGCTGCATAGTATTCCATGGTGTATATGTGCCACATTTTCTTAATCCAGTGTATCATTGTTGGACATTTGGGTTGGTTCCAAGTCTTTGCTGTTGTGAATAGTGCCGCAATAAACATACGTGTGCGTGTGTCATTATAGCAGCATGATTTATAATCCTTTGGGTATATACCCAGTAATGGGATTGCTGGGTCAAATGGTATTTCTAGTTCTAGATCCCTGAGGAATCACCACACTGACTTCCACAATGGTTGAACTAGTTTACGGTCCCACCAACAGTGTAAAAGTGTTCCTATTTCTCCACATCCTCTCCAGCATCTGTTGTTTCCTGACTTTTTAATGATTACCATTCTAACTGGTGTGAGATGGTATCTCACTGCGGTTTTGATTTGCATTTCTCTGATGGCCAGTGATGATGAGCATGTTTTCATGTGTCTTTTGGCTGCATAAATGTCTTCTTTTGAGAAGTGTCTGTTCATATCCTTCACCCACTTTTTGATGGGGCTGTTTGTTTTTTTCTTGCAAATTTGTTTGAGTTCATTGTAGATTCTAAGGGCTCTGTTCTGTTCCATTGGTCTATATCTCTGTTTTGGTACCAGTATCATGCTGTTTTGGTTACTGTAGCTTTGTAGTATAGTCTGAAGTCAGGTAGTGTGATGCCTCCAGCTTTGTTCTTTTGACTTAGGATTGACTTGGCAATGCGGGCTCTTTTTTGGTTCCATATGAACTTTAAAGTAGTTTTTTCCAATTCTGTGAAGAAAGTCATTGGTAGCTTGATGGGGATGGCATTGAATCTATAAATTACCTTGGGCAGTATGGCCATGGTGAATGTCTATACTTTCATGTGATTCTTTGAAACATTAAGGGTTTGGATTTCTCATCACTAGGGTCAACGCTTGGCACATAGTAGGTAGTCAAACATTATCTGTTGAATAACAAAATAAATAAATAACTGGTGTCCTTAACTTTACTGTGAAGTTGAAGATACGGTATTATTTTTTATTCACCAGACTAGACACTATTAAAGCTTCAAAAAACTCTACTGAGATCTATGTAGGGTTGGGTTAAAAATTCCCGCCCTGCCACAGCAACTCTCTGATCCTGCATCTTTTCCCTTCCTAGAATGACATGTACCTTGTAAGGTAGGCATGAAAGTTAAAGGAGAGGGGGTGTACGCAAAGCACACGGTAAGTTCTCAGTGAAAATGGGAGTTCTTGCCGTTCTTGGTGTGCTGAAATAATAACCATACATTGATACAGAGATTTTGTCATTCATGTGCTTTTTATATATGTATCTTATATAATCCTAACAATTTATTTCCCCCAAATAATTAATCAGCATTGTCATAAAGCAAATGAAAGTCCACAGAATCTTCCAGAATAATAAAAAAATAACTGGCTAAAATTGGAATATTTGGAGACTTGACAACAGAGCTTTGCTTGTATGGAGGTCTCTTAAACACCACCTCTATTTCTGGTTTTCAAGAAGAACATCTGAGCTTGCATGATAGACCTTGTCTCTCAAGTTTTCTACCTGTTCTTTCTCATCTAGTTGTGTGTGCCAAAAACTATTTCTCACACACTCTCCTTTGTACTCACCTTTTATAATGTGAGGCCTAAAGTTAATAGTATGTGCTGTCTTGACATCTGGTAAAATTGGGAAGGCCTTGAATGGCCTAACTGCAAGTTCTCCTCCCTACTCTCCTCTCACAGATGACATCCCCCCAGCCAAACAACCCTCCTTTTTGAGGGGACCAGGTGCAGTTCCTATTTAACCCTGAGTAGTGGGTTTTAATTTCCTCCTAAGCAGTTTTTCAAACAAGCCAATTACATCCTCCTGTGGGAACCAGGAGGCACCACACCCTCTTGACACTACAAAGCCTGCCTCTCACAGCCCCTGGTTATTCATTCTGTTCCCGATTGCAACCCCTGTGTGGCCCTGAATGGTGTGCTGTGTCCTCCTCCCCTAGGCTGGGGTATATGTGACTAATGAACTGCTGTTGGTCTCATCTGTCCAATGCTTAGTGTCGTGTGTTTGGCCATCTTCCTAACCCTAAGGGGGAATCTCTCTGTCACTGATAGGATGAATAGAAACCCATTCAAACCCACTATGCCTCCTACTTGCATTGCCGCTCCCAGTCTTTCAGTTCTTATAGTGAAATGTCAAGGCAGTGCCTCCAGATTCACTCCATTGAACACGAAATTTAGGTTAAAGAGTGTGAAGGGGAGGAATGGGAGGAAGAAATATGGCATTTAAAAATGTGCTTGCTAATACTTTGAAAACTCTGGAGGTTTAAAGATAGGTTCCTATAAGAGATCAGGGAGGAGGGAATAAGAAGTGAGACCTGGTTTCTCTTGCTCTGGCTTTGCCATATGTTGGGAGAGGATAACCTGAAGTTTGGCAGACAGGATGCTCTTCCTCTTCACTCTATTCTTCTCTTCATTCGCACCCATCAGGGGAAGGAGTCTTTAAACCCCATTATATATCCAAATTATGCTGTGAGATGTGGCCGGTAATTGGGAAGAAGAAACCTTGCTTGTTTAATGACCTCTTTGGTCAAGGCTCCCAATAGGAATATTGGAATCCACTGTTACATCCCAAAATAGAACCAGAAGCAATGGTCTGGTTGTCTTGAAGAGCTAGTAGGTAGGAGGGACGGAGCCAGAGTCTTTGGGTGAGAAAAGGGAGGGAAAAACAGAAGTATCAGTACAGCATCTGTCCTATTGGAACTGATCTATTTAGGGGTATAAAATATAATTTTTACCACATATATAAATAATAAGAATATAATTAAATTAAAAAATATGATGTTTCTGTCTATAGTGTATTTCCTCATAAAATTCCTAGTTTTAGACACATTTGATTGAATACTTTCAGTTAAAAGGAGAATTTTAGATGAATCTGGGAACTTTTCATAGGTAGCTGAATTTATAGTTTTCCTGCTAGCTGGTAAGATGTGTAATTGTCTCAGCTGGCAAAGATCTTCTTTCACCTTGACTAAGAATGGTCTTTCCTAAGATAATGAGAGAGAATTCTACTAATATTCATCGAACAGTCTGGGAACCATACAAATAATACACCAGGCTCTATGCTAAGTACTTGCTTCCACGTGTTAACCCATTTAGTCCCCATAAAACCCTACAAGACAGACGGTGTCACTGGTTGTTACTTAACTTCTCTGGGCCCCATCTATAAAATGGGTGGAGTCACAGTACCCATCTCATTGAAGTTCTTGTGAAAACGAAGTGACAGAATCAATGTAAAGCACGTCACCCAATTCCTAGTACACACTAATTGCTAAAAACATTAGCAAAAAAAAGCTACACTAATTTTATTCCTGACTATTCATGGGAAGTGTTCACAGATGTTAAAAATATTTGAAATTTTTAAAGCACTCAAAATGTTACACATTTCATCACTGGGCCATGATTTGAGCACAAGCTTGGATCAGTACCTGTTACAGCTAGGTCATCTCTCAGACCACAGAGGTGTGTTGTGTTTTCTGGCCCACGGCACAGGGTAGGCAGTGCAGTATTTGGGCTAGCACAGGGGCTAAGACAAGGACTGTGGAGCCAGATTGCCGGCCGTTTAGTAGCTGAGTAACCTTCGGCATTTACTTAAACTTCCTGCGCCTCAGTTTTTGTAAAATGGAGAGAACTAGTACAAACTTCAGAGGATGGTCATGAGGATGAAAGCAAACAGTGCATGTAAAGTGTGCCTGGCATGTAATGAGCACTTATAAATGGTAGTTATGACACCTCGATGAACAGCATTTGAGTAGATCCTAATACAAATACTAACAAGGCATGAGACCCGGAGTTCTCACCATTATCATGTAGAGAAGCCTTTGATAAGAATGGGTTTGGGTGTTTAAAGAGCCAGCATGTATTATTTGCAAGGCATCATGTTAGCACTTTACCCATTTTATTTAATCTTCATACTAATGCTGTATGATAGGCACTATTGTTCTTCCTATTTTACAGATGAGGAAACTGAGGCACAGAAAGGTTAAGCACCCATTACTCCAAGCAGTCAGCATGACTCATTACACTGAAGGGCCATACAAATGTGGTTTAGGGTACAGGGTACAGCGCTCACTCAGCGATAGTGTTCACATGCTCAATGCTGGGCCGTTGATCAGGAGGCAGCAGCCTGGTCTTGGAGGGCAGAGGGCATGCTAAGCCCTTGCAAATTCATTTGTTTGTTAGCAGAGAGGGCCAGATGTGGTGGTGACGGTCTGCGGGCACATTTCTTACCCGTTCGCTGAGAAGCCACTGTCTCAAGAGGCCACCTCACCGAGCCTATTAGCTAAGGAGATACCAGAGAAAGTCTTTCCCAAACTGTGGGTACCTGGCCTTAGGGTGAACTGAAAAAAATCAAGGGAGAAAGGGATGGATCATGTTTCCTAGAGTAACATGCCTCCCAGTACAACACTGAGATGAGTCAGTGATGGCTTGTTTCTGCCCAGAAATATCCATCCTACCACCTATCTAAAAACCTCTCTATTTCCAGAATTCCCCGTTACAAAGGGAAGGACACAGGGGCCATGTTTAACTATCTTCAGTTAATCCCTCAGAGTAGCTGCTTTATGTATATTTGCTGAAAACATCAAATTTAATGTCATCCAGCTGAGGACAACAAAGGTAACAAGGATGGGAAACTAAAGGGTGTTTGTGGTTGGGGATAGGGTGGTGTGAGAGAAAGGATGGGGATGGGGAAGGAGGAAATCTGAGAGGGAAATTGGTTGAGCACCAAAGACAGTCCCGCTGGCTTCCAATTTCTCTTAAGCAGCCTTGGAAATGGCATTCAGGAGGACCTCGTGATTTCTTGGCATGTGAGTTGTACAACACTGACCTTAGAAGAGGAGTATTGTTTCTTTCATCTTTAAAAACACTTTACTTTCTATTCAGCAGCTGTCTTATTGCAATTTGAGTACCCATCAGTCAAGTAGACATTAAGTGGTTTCTTATATAAATACTTACAGAGTTCTGACTTTGCAAGCATCTCTGAAAAGCATTCTGTTCCTTCTAAGTTCTTTGAAATTTTCTTTTGGCTCCACCAAGTGTATACAGACATATCCAGAGATGGAAACTGTTCCTGTGCAAATTAACTTCACAATCACAAAGTTAGGACAAAAGATAATGCTCAAAATTCACTACTGGAAGCCCTCTGGAGGATCATCACCAGGCAACATGATTGGGAAATTTCTTTTGCTATAAATTATTGACCTCGTTTAGAAGAGAAACTTTAAGAACTGTTTTTCTTGACTTAAAATGGTCTTGATAAAATGGTGTCCCGGCTCAAGCTATCCTCCCGCTTCCACCTCCAGAGTAGCTGGGACTACAGGCGCGCACCACCATGCCCAGCTAATTCTCTTTTTTTTTTTTTTTTTTTTTTTTGTAGAGACGGGGTTTTGCCTTATTGCCCAGGCTGGTCTCAAACTCCTGGGCTCAAGCGATCTGCCTGCCTCCACTTCCCAAAGTGCTGGGATTACAGGCGGGATCCACCGTACCCCATTAACAAATTTTGTTCAGATTTTTTTCTGTATTCTTATCTTTGTCTCTATTGATCTACCAATTGATCGATGAGCACAATACCATTTTGAGATATTAATAACTTTTTATTATGCATTTTATTGAAGTATCGTATATAGACAGAAAAGTACATAAATCACAAGTATACTAAATGTGTTTCTGTAAGCTGAACACACTTGTGTGCCTAATACCCGGCTTAAGAAACAAAACATTACCAGCACTGGTGTGTATCTCCTCTGAATTTACTTGTACCCCAAGGCCCTTTCTTCACCTCAAGCATGTAGGATTTTCCACCTTCATGCCTTGGGAAAAGGAGACATTAGCAGATGTAGAAAAAAAGAGCAGATGTAGAAAATAAGCCAAGGGATTTGGAAGAACATGAATCAGTTTGAGCTGATATTTTGAACCTTAAGTCTTGATAAAGGATTCTTGTTGAGGGGGAGGAGAGAAGACAATAAGGAAATGGTGCATAGACATTGGTGAGTCTCCCAGAAGTGCCATTGGTCCTGCTTTAAGTTCAGAGATTCTGTAAGAGAAGCTGTGGATATGAATTTTGATGCATATGGAAATATTTCCAAATCTTCCTACTTCAATAGGGTGAAGGCCTGAACTCTTGTTCAATTCAGCCAGAGCAGCCCCCAGTGTTCCACTTCTCAATGAAGCCTTCCATGTCCTAATGTGCACATCTCAGACATGCAGGTGACTCGGATGCAGACGGTCCTTGGTTCTCACTTGCAGAAACGTAAGTATAGGTTTTTGTCCATGCCATGACCATGGTTCTCAGGCTTGTCTGTACATCAGAATTACCTGAGGATCTTATTAAAAACAGATTCCTAGGACCAGCAGCTGACTTTTATCAGGTCTGGCAATCCGAATGTTCACCAACTCCCTAAGTGATTATTATACACCAGTCTGGCATCCATTGAAGGGTTAGATTTGGGATGGCTCGTCCCTATGGCCTACGAACTGTATCGTTGTATGAGGGCAAAGATTCAGTGCAGTGCTGTCCAAGTGACCCAGCAGATCCCATCTGATGTTGATGGGAGGAGAGGAGAAGGTGTTGATGGGAGGCGAGAAGCTCAGATGGTAAGGCTCCTTACCTGCCTCTTATTCAACCAGACCAGTCCCTTCTACCTAACGGATACTTGCAGAAAGGATTCCAAGGTCAAGAGAGGTTTTCAAATCACTCTCTATGCCACAATACCAACCATTATCAACCATACCTTTTGCTCTGTCATTTGTTTTATCAGCAGAGGAATTTATGTGAGGATAAGGGCACCCCCTTTGTAGGCCAAAGTCCTCTCTTATTCCCTGAAGAAGATCAGCACTATCAGCTCTGATACTGCTGATCTCTTCTTTTTAGCACCATGCCAGCATCTTCAGGCCTCCTGAGGCTCCTAAGAGATGCTGTCACGGATTAGATTATGTCCTTTGATTACAAGGTCCCCTGAGCATGGATGTGGAGGCTTTTAGAATTCTGTTGTCAATTATTAAAAATGTAGTAAGGGTCCAGAGAACACTTACAATTAAAAAAGACCTTTAAAAGCCACAGTTATAACAGAGCTGTATGTATAATTTTTTTTAAACCCCTCTAGGGGAGCTACTCTAAAGTGAGAACTCCAAGTGCAATGGACTGTTAGGATAATATATAAGCCATTGATCAGTTACATTTAGAATATGTTCTGCTAAAGCCAGCACCTGGCACCACTAATGATGGGGCATGTCTTCTTGTTTAGGGCAGCTGCTGACTGGGATGAAAGTACAATTGAGACTCCATGTGTGTCAATGGGAGCAAATGGAAAAAGGAGAAACAAGATAGAGCAAAAACTGAGAATTTCAGACCCCCTCAAAACAATCCTTCAAATTTGATACTGAAGGATAAGTTAGAGAGGATACAAAAGAACTCACAGGAGCCAGGTGATTTTCATTCAAAATATGGAACTGGCCAGCAAAAACAAAGGATGATGAGGTCATCATTCTGTCATTCAAAATCCTGGTACTGGCTGTAGGGTAAGATGGTGTCTTAGTCTGTTTTGTGCTGGTATAACAGAATACCTGGGACTAGATAATTTATAATTAACAGAAATTTATTGGCTTATAGTTCTGAAGGTTGGAAAGTCTAATACTAAGGTGTCAGCATCTGGCCAGGGCCTTCTTGCTGCATCAGAACATAGTGGAAGGCAAAAATGTGAGAGTGCAAGAGAGCAAACCCATTTTCAAAAGCTTTTTAAAATAATGTTTTTACTCAATTCATGAGCGCAGAGCCCTCATCACCTAAACACCCACCATTAGGCCCCATTTGCCAACTCTGTTGTATTGGGGATTAAATTTCCAACACATGAATTCTGAGGGACACATTTGGACTATAGCAGGTGAGGAACATTCTAACCTCTCAACTGGATTTAAGAAGCAAGGATAGGAAAATCAGAATCAGGTGGTGTTTTGTTTTTAAATTTTCTTTTTTCCAAGTAAACTTCGGTGGTTTTTTTTTGAGACATCGTCTTGCTTTTTCACCCAGGCTGGAGTGCAGTGGCTCAAACACAGCTCACTGCAGTCTTGACCTCCTGGGCTCAAGCCCCTCCCACCTTAGCCTCCTGAGTAGCTGAGACTAACCATGCTTGGCTAACTTTTTTTTAGTTTTTGTTGAGGCAAAGCCTCACCTTGTTGCCCAGGCTGGCGTCAAACCCCTGGTATCAAGCAATTCTCCCTCTTCAGCCTCTCAAAGTGCTGGCATTACAGGTGTGAACCACCACATCCAGCTCCAAAGTGGACTTCTTACTGAAGAATATTGTACATACATGAAAGTACTAAATCATGAATGAATGGCTAGGTGAATTTTGATAAAGCAAACTTGTCATTTTACAAAGCGAGCACAAGATGATAAGACAGGACATTCACAGTTCCTCAGAGGCCCCATCTTGCCTTCTGATCACTGCTTCCCAGGAAGGAGACTCCTATTCTAATTACTAACACAACAAATTCATTTTGCTTATTTCGAGCTTATATAAATGGATCCAGACAGTATATACTTTAAAAATCTTCTTTAGCATTATACTGTCATTCATCTATGTATTTGTGTGCAGCTGTTCATTTTCATTACTGTAGAGTGTTCCAACATATGAACACACCACACATCCTCTATTCTGTTGTCAGACCATTTAGCTATTCTCAATCTTTTTCTATCACAGATAATGCTACTATAAACTTATGCATTTTTAAAATAATTTTTATCCTTTATATTATTATAAAAAGAATTCAACTACTTTTATTGAAGGAGAAAATGTAGAACAAACAGCAAAATATTTTCTTAGAACTAGGAGCCACATTACAGCAATACTATTTTTTCTATAATAATAAAATATAATTAGCATACATATTATTGATTAATCATGATCTTTTTTACATTTGAAATAGTGGTAGAAACCCACAAACACACGATTAAGGGACTGAGAAAGTATTAAGTGGCAATACAATTACATTTATGGGTGGAGCTTCTTTAGTTGAGAAGACAAATGTATAATGTAGTTTTCTGCTTTCCTTATTGTCTATAATCTCAGTGATCTTTTCATGATAGGAAATTCTTAAACCAATTCATAATACGTTATAACTGTATCTTTTTTTTTTTTTGAGACGGAGTTTCGCTCTTGTTGCCCATGCTGGAGTGCAACCTCTGCCTCCCGGGTTCAAGCGATTCTCCTGCCTCAGCCCCCCGAGTATCTGGGATTACAGCCACCCACCACCACGCCCAGCTAAATTTTTTTGTGTGTATTTTTAATAGAGATGGGGTTTCACCATGTTAGCCAGGCTGATCTCAAACTCCTGACCTCAGGCAATCCACTCACCTCGGCCTCCCAAAATGCTGGGATTACAGGCGTGAGCCACCGTGCCTGGCCTATAACTATATCTTAAAGTTTCATTCGAAACTGTTATTTCCCCATGTGTGTGTTCTAATTCTGGTCTTGTCTTTATAAGCACATAATGAATGAGTATTAACTCACTGCTGTTTCTCCCCATTCTCTGTAACTTGCAGGTGATCTCCGTGTCTCAGGGTTAAGCTCAGCTCCACATGACAAAACGTCAATATGGAGCAAACAAAAAAATAACTGGTTTAAACACAACAGAAATGTATGTTTCTTAAGCAGTCTAGGGATATAATATGATATCTTAAAGGTAATATCAGAGATACAAGCTTTTATCTTTCTTATCTGTCATCTTAAGCACATGGCTTCCATTTCTGTGGCCATTTTGTGGCTCGGCATGGTTGTTAATGATCTAGCTGACAGCATATTCATGTTACAAGCTAGAAGCAGGAGGGAAGAAAGAAGGGCATGCCACCTCTGTCTAGAAAGATTTCCTGAAAGTCACATGTACTTCCATTTACATCTCACGGGCCAGAATTTTATTGGGAAATATGGCCACCCCATATGAATTGCAGCTATATTGAGGAATGGGAAAATTGGTAGAAGTAGGCATTAAAAATGTTTGCCACATCTTTCAAGGCCCCAGGAAAATTCTGGATTTTGCTCAGGGGTGTTGGGCCAATGCTGTGTAGCAATGTGATGGATACCAGAGAAAGACACAGAAGGCTGCAGAGATATAACTGTATCTGAGAAATACCAGGTGTTAGGCCTTACCTGGCATAAGGAACTCTAGATTACTCCTGTAGGGGCACCTTCCTTAGTGCCATGCTCTTTCAAAATACAAAAGATAAGTGAAGGGAAAAGAAATACCTTACTTTGATTAGGAGCATGAAGAGACAATGTGTTTTTGTTTGTAGATTGGTTTTGCTTTTGCCAGTGAGGCAAAGAAAGACAATAGAACCACCTCTGCGGACTTTTATTAATTAAAAAATATATATCTGGCTAAGTTGGTGTTAAATATGGTCCTTTCTGAAGGAAGGAGTATTAACTAGATTACATTGTAATGGATTTTTAAATCTAGTAGGAGAAAAGAAATCTAAGTTTAAATAGCTCTTACTGGATTTTTAAAATATTTAGCAAATGACTATTATTTATTAGTATTATATAGTGTTCTCACATTGTAAAAACTTAAAAAAAAAACAAAACATTTAAATTTATTTGAAATATAGCTCTCACTGTATATATATCCAGAAAACAATTTTTGAATATTTTCTCTAAACTGGCTTGGGAATTCTGTACTATTCATTTCTTATATAATTTGTTTGGTGTACTTATAACAACAAGAAGAACAAAAACAATAATAAAATCGTGTTACCCTTTAAGTAAAAATGAGCATGTAGGTTGAGAACAATCTGAAAAAATCAGGGAACAACATTACTTACTCCAGCTTTGGGAATATGCATGGATCCGGATCCCATAATGGAATCAAAACCTCCACTGAATATTTAATGAAATGTGGCACAGTTATGGAAAAAAGAGATTTATCAGTCAATGTAAAATGGTTAAACAATTGCACGTGCTCTTCTTTTGTGAGTTCTGTACCCAAAATAACTTTGTTTACAAAAAGAGAAATCTAAGGCAAATAGCAATTTTATCCATTGAATAATACTAACCATCTGCTTGTTTTCTGCAGGGATTTGGAAGGCAGGAGTGGTAGGACTTGTGATTTCATCAAGCATCTATAATTCACCAATTCTACAGCAATACAAATTTTGGATCCTTTTTCCATATAGAAATGTGATGTCTTCACCCTCTCATGGAATAGCAGGGAGGTTGCAGAGCAGGCCTCAGGGATTTGAGTTCTCTTTTGCTTTTCTAGTAGCTGGTTGAGGGTGGACTAGATTACTAGTAATTATACAAAATGAGAGTGATCTGTTATTGAGCTCTATGTGTCAGACTATGCTAAATTCTTTACACTACTGTCTCAATTAATTTAATCCATACCATAGTTCTATGAGGTACATGTGCTTACTCTCTTCATTTTACAGATAAAGAAATCAAAGAAGAAAGAGATTGAAACTGACCAAAGGTTGCATGGATGCTTGGGTTGAATTGGTAGAACTGAGAGCTCTAGACTAAAGGATTTCTATGATTTTCCCCAGTTTTGACCTTGACTTCTAGAGTTTTTTTAATGTGGATATTTAAACCATGTTGGAAAGTCATCTATGAGCACACTGGGCAGAACTCCTGACTGAAAGCAGCCCTGGATAACTGACTAATGGAATAATGTCCTCAGTGTTTATGTTGTTGGAATTATTTACAGAAATAATTTTTTAAAATCTCCCAGGGTCTCCAGGACAAATCGAATAGATAGCCGAGGTGCAGCTACTGCCATGGCCAGGGTAATCCAGGGCCATTATCACCACACCAAGGTGAGTTTCCTGAGGCAGCGTGACCCATATTCCCTCTGTGCCCATCCCCAGACCCTTGGAGAATCAACACATGGGCCTCACGGAATCCATTAACCTCCTGAAAGCAGATGAGACATTTGAATGTAGGCTATATGAACGTTTTTCTGAGAGGAAACTGACAGCTTTTCTATGGAGAACTATTACATTATTATTATTTTTTAAAAGAAGTTTGTCAATGAAGAGAGAATAAGATGGTAAAGACATCTTGAAGGGAAATTGGGGCTGACAGAAAGTTTATTTTAACATACGAAGGAGCTGGGGACATCTTTGACTTCAGGGGAAAAAGGCGACAGAGAGAGGGAGAGAGAGAGAAAGTGAAGAAATAAGAGGAAAAGAGTCAATAGAACATTGTTCTAGTGGGGATTGGTGGGGATAAAATCGGTCGTAGAAAGCAACCGTAGAAAGTGACTCTTTCCCCTGAGAGAAAGGAGAGGATGGTGAAGATGGAGGATAATAGTTGGAAGGAAGAAAAATTGAAAGGTAAGTTACTGGTTAAGAGTAAGAGATCAGGGATGAGATTAAAGTCAGGAGAAAAGTAGACAAGTTTGGAAAAGCTGTCTTGAGGGATGCCACCAGCATAAGGAGCCAGCTGGGATGGAAGAACAAAGATTTGTTTTTTTCCTGGTGGAGTGACCCAAACTTTCATTCCTGAAGGGCCTGGGTGATTTGTAGTTCTGCCTGGATTGGGCTATTGTAGTTTCCCATTGACCTTTATCACAGGGCATGGTAATAGTAAGGGATACCATATATATACATATATATGCAGGGATTTGGAAGCAAGAGTGGTAGGACTCTTATTATTATTAAAACTTATTAAGTTTTAAGTCACACGATCACAAGGTCCCACAATATAGGCTGTCTGGAGGCTGACAAGCAAGGAAAGCCAGTCTGAGTTCCAAAACTGAAGAACTTGGAGTCCGATATTTGAGGGCAGGAAGCATCCAGCGCAGGATAAAGATGTAGGCTGGAAGGCTAGGCCAGTCTGTCTTTTCACATTTTTCTGCCTGCTTATATTCTAGCCGTACTGGCAGCTGATTAGATTGTGCCCACCCACCCAGATTAAGGGTGGGTTTGCCTTTCCCAGCCCACTGACTCAAATGTTAATCTCCTTTGGCAACACCCTCACAGACATACCCAGGATCAATACTTCAATCCAATCAAGTTGACACTCAGTATTAACCATCACAAGTCCACCCTTTGTCAACTTGAACCCATACACATCTCCTGAGATCATACATAATCTTCAAATAAAGACAATAATAAGGTCATAATTACACCTAAGATAATATAACTATCCTTCATACAACCGGAAATGCACCAATCCCCAACCCAAATACTATTACATAAAGTTAACAATACTTTATGCTGATGTGATGTGCTGATGTGAAGTCAATAAATCTTACATGATAAAAGAGAAAGGAAATAAAATGAAGATATTTTCTTAGTACAAGTGTATACATGCACAAACAAGTTTTTAACAAAAGAAGGTGGCTCATGCCAGTAATCCTAGCACTTTGGGAAGCCGAGGTGGGCGAATCACCTGAGGTCAGGAGTTCGAGACCATCCTGGCCAACATGGTGAAACTCTATCCCACTAAAAAGTACAAAAATTAGCCCGGTGTGTTCGTGGGTACCGTGTAATCCCAGCTACTTGGGAGGCTGAGGCAGGAGAATCACTTCAACCTGGGAGGCGGAGGTTGCAGTGAGCCGAGACTGTGCCATTGCACTCCAGTCTGGGCAACAAGAGCGAAACTCTGTCTCAAGAAAAAAAAAGCTGGTATTGATGACTACCTTCTTCTACTACCCCTTCTGTATTCCCTTTGCCTTCAGCAAACATCTCAGCAGGTCATGATTTTTTTTTTTTCTTGGTGGAATGACCCAAACTTTCATTCCTAAAGGGTCTGGGCCATTTGTAGTCCTACCTGGATTGAGCTGTTGTGGTTTCCCATTGACCTTAATCACAGGGCATGGTAATACTAAGAGATGCCCTAAGGGATCTCCTGTATTCCATGAGTACTCTTCCCTACCTCTGTTGTGGAGTAGTAAACTGATTTCATTTTGATAGCTCGAGTCAATCACCCCAGCCAACACTGTAACTCCCTTCTTAGCCTGTTGACTTAAAGGTAGGAGGAGCCCAAAGTGTACAGGTGGCAATCTTAACTTCCAGTTTAATGGAATCGCTGTTGTGTCTACTGGTGGAAGCATTCCTCCTTCTGGAACTAAGACCTCTAGACTAGCAGAACGTATTGTCGTGGGAATAGGAATCAAAAATTTTGCTAGTGGATCACTAGGGGTGATGGTAAGTGGTACTACTTCTACTTCTACCCCTTGATTCCTAGCCCTGTGAATCCTGGCTATGGGAGAAACAGTACCATATATTAGATGCTGATTCAGAACATACACAGCCTTCTGGAGAACTTTGCCCTAGCCCTGCAAAGTATTGTCATGTAGTTGGCATTGTGATTGTGACTTCAAAAGGCCATTCCACTGTTTTATCAATCCAGCTGCTTCAGGATGATGGGGAACATGGTAAGACCAGTGAATTCCATGAGCATGAGCCCACTGCCGCACTTCTTTAGCCGTAAAGTGAGTGCCTTGGTCAGAGGCAATGCTGTGTGGAATACCATGACGGTGGATAAGGCCTTCCAATGAGTCCACAGATGGTAGTCTTGGCAGAAGTGTTATGTGCAGGATAGGCAAACTCATATCTGGAGTAAGTGTCTATTCCAGTGAAGACAAATCGCTGCCCTTTTCATGATAGAAGAGGTCCAATATAATCAACTTACCACCAAGTAGCTGGCTGATCCCCTGAGGAATGGTGCCATATCAAGGGCTCAATGTTGGTCTCTCCTGCTGGCAAATTGGGCACTCAGCAGTGGCCGTAGCCATGTCAGCCTTGGCGAGTGGAAGTCCATGTTGCTGAGCCCATGCATAACCTCCATCCCTGCCACCATGACAACTTTGTTCACAGGACCATTGGGCAATGACAGGGGTGGCTGGGGAAAGAGGCTGAGTGGTGTCCACAGAGTGCATCCTATCCACTTGATTATTAAAATCCTCCTCTGCTGAGGTCACCCAATGGTGAGCACTCACGTACAATACAAATACCTTCACACTCAGATTAAATAGTTCCTATCCAGACTTATTCACACCTTCTTCTACATGTGTGGCTGCCACACATGGTTGTATGGTTTGTGCAGTGTGCAACTTGAGGGCATGCACTCCCATTGTAGGCATGGTGCATTTGTATTTTATCATGATTTTCTGGCAGATGGCAGTAAAGCATCTTGTTCTCACAACATCAGTATGCCACAGCTTTCCAGTGCTGAAAGTAGTGTCTTGAAGGGACACTTGAGCCTTTCTCAAACTTGCAGAAAGGTGTTCTGTGGCCTAGCAGCAGCCCTAGGTGCAGAGGGATAGCAGAAATAATGTAGTAGGTGGAAGGATGCAAGGCGGCTCCTGATCCTATGCTGTAGTCAAAAAGGTCAATCCTCTGTCTGCTCAATAGACCTGGGCTTTTCTGTCTTGGCCAATGCAGATCATCTTACTTTGTGCTGCTCTTTCCAAATACCAAGGATGGTTAAAAACCTAGACCCATTCTCCCTTTATCCTAAAATCCTTTCCAGAATTGAATGCCTGATTATTTTTCTCTGCTAAGTTTATTTGCCAGCACCTTATCTGCTTCTAACAAGGCACTACCTTGTATTAATATTACTATATTTTCAGATGCATATGTCTTTATAGTCCCTAAATAATTTGAAATCCACAGATAACAGCAAAGCTAGTTGAGCCAACAAGGCACTATTGATCCATGTGGGTCAACCATGAGGTAAAGATACCCTATCTCACAGGTGGGCCTGTCTAGCTTGCTGTCCAAATAACTGAGGCCTATACTATTCCGTAAAGTCAAGAATCTTTAGGCATCAAGGTAATTTATTTCACAAGGCTCTACAAGACCTGCTCTACTGGTTGCCTCTCTGATCTACTCTCCTCCCATACTCACTGGTCCCAGTTATACCCCCCTCTTATTCCTCCCACCACAGAGTCTTTGGGCTTGCCATTTCTACTGCTGAACTCTTCACTCCACATCCCACGTGGCTTGTTCCCTTGCCTTCTTCAGTACTGGCTGACATGTCACCTTCTTAGTGACACCTTCCTTGTCCATCCTATTTGAATCAAAGTAAACCTCCTTCAGCAGTTCCTTATCATCCTTCTCGGTTTATTTTCCAGCATATCACCACCTTCCAACATGCTATCTTAAAGTATTTATTTTGTATATTGTTCGTTTCCCATCACTAAAGTACAAGCTTCATGAAGACAGATAATTTTGTCTGTTTCTTGCCCTTGGCACCAGTCCAGGATCTCCCTAGCACAGAGAACATAGCAGGCAAGTCATTCTATATTTAAGTTGTTTGCAAATAACTTCATATATTACTCTCCTAGATTGTGTGTACAACCACCAAAGTATTTTCTAAACCAAAATTTGATACACGTGTCTGACGTTTTAAAGACACTTCCAGATTTCTGTGCAGCCTCAACATAGACTTTGGGCACTAATGCTGCCATATTTTGGGAAAATTTTGAGGATTCAAAGACAATAAAATGGTGATTTGAAATCAGGATCGTTCTGTAAAACATAGAACTTATCACTGCTAAACTGTGGCTGGATAGACAACAGGCTAAATCCCAATAGAAATTCTTTAAATCTCTGAAGAGGGTATCTTGTGTGACGGCTGTGGCTGTAGAGAGATTCTCGAGCACTCAGGTTCTTTCAAATCGCAACCTAACTACCTAGTTTACTTACGTGAGGTCATCAACATATAGTAATATATTGCCTCTTCACACACACACACACACACACACACACACACACACACACACATATAGTGAAAGGTGGTTGAAAAATTTCTCTAGGTTTGTATTTAAAGACCCTCAGTTGAGCAATAATGTTTCTTTGAAACCTAAGTCTCTTCAGCAGTATTTTCCTTCCCTTGTGGTAATGGAAAATAGCTGACTATAGAAATAAATGAAATAATTTGGAAAACATTTCAGGATAAGTATGAGGATAAAATGGATGCAAAAAATGAAGAAGTAATTTCTCATATTCTGCTTTAAACTTTAGGCTATACAATTGCTGTCATCAGCATGTACACATTTGAAAGTTATGAGGTAAAGTGATGAACTGGCTGTGTTTGATTAGAATCAATAGAAGATAACATGTTAAGAACAAATAACTTAACCCTGCATGTTAATCCCAGAACCACATTAACTTCAGCAATCTCCATCAGCTTTAATTTTACATCCCCCAGTAACTATATTTTTTTATAGTTGTCAGAGACAGTCAATCTTAAAGTTCTAAGATAGTCCATCTACTTTCATGAAGAAAAAAAAGAAACTGAAGCCTTCGATTTAACACAAATCTAAGTGCTACAATAAGGGATTATTAATACAGATCTGTTGACCCATTATGCTTTTTGACAATGAATTGGGGATGTCTCTTTTCCTTTGAACAAAATCAGCTAAATTTTGAATATATCTTTGAAAATGTTTCCAAGTGTCAATCAGTCATAAAATTTAAGCGTTAGAAACAAGTGGCTGCTCCTAAAATGAAGAAACAGGAAGTGGTATCCATCTTATTTTCAGTTTTTCCAGAAGCCTCTCTTGTGTGTCCAGAGCAAGCACAGAATGTCTGCAGGACCCTTCTCTAATCCTCCTGGTGCTGAGTTGGTGAGTGTGTTTATGTCCTGCCTCTCACTTGAAGAGGCACACGCTTAGGAAACAGCTGTTGACAATTAAATTAATTATCATTTGTCAACAGCATTCTGAGGCCCAGAAAGTCTGTGTTCACGGAAAAGAATGCTGTCGGGCCGCAGTGCACTTTGGAGCGTGTGTTCACTTACAGGACCCATCTAGTTTGGTAAAGTATCTTTAAGATTAAGGTTTTCAAAGCAGTGACAATAACAACTGCCACACAGTTCAGTAATCTCTGCCTCCTAACTTTAGGGTACTTGCTCATCACTTATTTCAGCATTTGTGTTTACCTTGCATTTTAACACAACCCTTAAAAATTAAGGACAAAGAGCAGAGACTAAAATGGATATAAGAAGTCTTAATGTGGGCTGGGCGTGGTGGCTCATGCCTATAATCTCAGCACTTTGGGAGGCTGAGATGGGAGCACTGCCTGAACTCAGAAGTTGGAGACCAGCCTTGGCAACATGGCAAAACCCTGTCTCTAAAAAAATACAAAAATTAGCCAGGCGTGGTTGTGCGCACCTTTAGTCCCAGCTACTCGGGAGGCTGAGGAGGGAGGATTGCTTGAGTTCAGGGGTTGAGGCTGCAGTGAGCTATGATCATGCCACTGCACTCCAGCTTGGTGACAAAGGGAGATCCTGTCTCAAAAATTTATATTAAACAATTATTTTAAAAAGGAAATATCAATGTGGGCATTTAAGAATGAGTAGTTAGGCTGGGCATGGTGGCTCATGCCTGTAATCCTAGCACTTTGGGAGGCCGAGGTGGGTGGATCATTTGAGGTCAGGAGTTCCAGACCAGCCTGGCCAACATGGTGAAACCCCGCCTCTACTAAAAATACAAAAATTAGCCGGTCATGGTGGCGCTTGCCTGTAGTCCCAGCTACTCAAGAGGCTGAGGTTGAAGCATCATTTGAACTCAGGAGGCGGAAGTTGCAGTGAGCCAAGATTGCGCCACTGTACTCCAAGCCAGGGCGACAGAGTGACATTCCATCTCAAAAAAAAAAAAAAAGAATGCATAGTTGACGGTTAAAGCTTAAGTTCCTTGGGTAATAACCCCAAACAATCTATGAATGAGAAATCTAACCATTTAACTCCTTGGTTAAAACACTTGGACATAAATAGTCTGAAGAGCTAAATATGACAGAGGACCAAGAGCTTTAACTTGCTGACTAACCTTTCTTGGTTATGTCTATTTCTACAAAGTTCAGCCAAAAAGCGATTAACCTCAAACTTGACAGATGACTGAGAAAAAAACAAGTGTATTTAAGTCACCCGGATAGTTAACTTTTGTGTTTTTCTTTTGTAAATTAAAAAAAAATGTTGGGAGTTGAGAATGAAAGAGACATATTTAGAAAATATACTTTATCCAATTAGAGCTTTCAATTAAAGTCAACTTCTTTCTAAATTATTTTTGTTTTTAAAATAAAAGTGTTTACGTAGAAAAATAATTTGCATGAATATGCTTCTTGAAGCATTGTTGTTTTTCGTTTTTTTGTTGTTTTAAGAGACAGGGTCTCTCTATGTTGCCCAGGCTGGTCTTGAACTCCTGAGTTCAAACAAACCTCTGGCCTTAGCCTTCCAAAGTGCTGGGATAACAGGTGTGAGCCACTGCGCCTGGCCCAGCATTGTTTGTAATAAGAAACATTTGGTAAGGAATTTAAATACCCCCTAGGTGAATGGGTGAGTACATTATGAGAGAATTGACCCAATAGCCATTTCTTTTTAAATTTATTTTTTTATTATACTTTAAGTTTTAGGGTACATGTGCACATTGTGCAGGTTAGTTACATATGTATACATGTGCCGTGCTGGTGCGCTGCACCCACTAACTCATCATCTAGCATTAGGTATATCTCCCAATGCTATCCCTCCCCCCTCCCCCCACCCCACCACAGTCCCCAGAGTGTGATATTCCCCTTCCTGTGTCCATGTGATCTCATTGTTCAATTCCCACCTATGAGTGAGAATATGCGGTGTTTGGTTTTTTCTTCTTGCGATAGTTTACTGAGAATGATGATTTCCAATTTCATCCATGTCCCTACAAAGGATGTGAACTCATCATTTTTTATGGCTGCATAGTATTCCATGGTGTATATGTGCCACATTTTCTTAATCCAGTCTATCATTGTTGGACATTTGGGTTGGTTCCAAGTCTTTGCTATTGTGAATAATGCTGCAATAAACATATGTGTGCATGTGTCTTTATAGCTGCATGATTTATAGTCCTTTGGGTATATACCCAGTAATGGGATGCCTGGGTCAAATGGTATTTCTAGTTCTAGATCCCTGAGGAATCGCCATACTGACTTCCACAATGGTTGAACTAGTTTACAGTCCCACCAACAGTGTAAAAGTGTTCCTGTTTCTCCACATCCTCTCCAGCACCTGTTGTTTCCTGACTTTTTAATGATTGCCATTCTAACTGGTGTGAGATGGTATCTCATTGTGGTTTTGATTTGCATTTCTCTGATGGCCAGTGATGGTGAGCATTTTTTCATGTGTTTTTTGGCTGCATAAATGTCTTCTTTTGAGAAGTGTCTGTTCATATCCTTCACCCACTTTTTGATGGGGTTGTTTGTTTTTTTCTTGTAAATTTGTTTGAGTTCATTGTAGATTCTGGATATTAGCCCTTTGTCAGATGAGTAGGTTGCGAAAATTTTCTCCCATTTTGTAGGTTGCTTGTTCACTCTGATGGTAGTTTCTTTTGCTGTGCAGAAGCTCTTTAGTTTAATTAGATCCCATTTGTCAATTTTGTCTTTTGTTGCCATTGCTTTTGGTGTTTTGGACATGAAGTCCTTTCCCATGCCTATGTCCTGAATGGTAATGCCTAGGTTTTCTTCTAGGGTTTTTATGGTTTTAGGTCTAACGTTTAAATCTTTAATCCATCTTGAATTGATTTTTGTATAAGGTGTAAGGAAGGGATCCAGTTTCAGCTTTCTACATATGGCTAGCCAGTTTTCCCAGCACCATTTATTAAATAGGGAATCCTTTCCCCATTGCTTGTTTTTCTCAGGTTTGTCAAAGATCAGATAGTTGTAGGTATGCAGCATTATTTCTGAGGGCTCTGTTCTGTTCCATTGATCTATATCTCTGTTTTGGTACCAGTACCATGCTGTTTTGGTTACTGTAGCCTTGTAGTATAGTTTGAAGTTAGGTAGTGTGATGCCTCCAGCTTTGTTCTTTTGGCTTAGGATTGACTTGGCGATGCGGGCTCTTTTTTGGTTCCATATGAACTTTAAAGTAGTTTTTTCCAATTCTGTGAAGAAAGTCATTGGTAGCTTGATGGGGATGGCATTGAATCTGTAAATTACCTTGGGCAGTATGGCCATTTTCACGATATTGATTCTTCCTACCCATGAGCATGGAATGTTCTTCCATTTGTTTGTATCCTCTTTTATTTCATTGAGCAGTGGTTTGTAGTTCTCCTTGAAGAGGTCCTTCACATCCCTTGTAAGTTGGATTCCTAGGTATTTTATTCTCTTTGAAGCAATTGTGAATGGGAGTTCACTCATGATTTGGCTCTCTGTTTGTCTGTTGTTGGTGTATAAGAATGCTTGTGATTTTTGCACATTGATTTTGTATCCTGAGACTCCTGAAGTTGCTTATCAGCTTAAGGAGATTTTGGGCTGAGACGATGGGGTTTTCTAGATATACAATCATGTCGTCTGCAAACAGGGACAATTTGACTTCCTCTTTTCCTAATTGAATACCCTTTATTTCCTTCTCCTGCCTAATTGCCCTGGCCAGAACTTCCAATACCATGTTGAATAGGAGTGGTGAGAGAGGGCATCCCTGTCTTGTGCCAGTTTTCAAAGGGAATGCTTCCAGTTTTTGCCCATTCAGTATGATATTGGCTGTGGGTTTGTCATAGATAGCTCTTATCATTTTGAAATATGTCCCATCAATACCTAATTTATTGAGAGTTTTTAGCATGAAGGGTTGTTGAATTTTGTCAAAGGCTTTTTCTGCATCTATTGAGATAATCATGTGGTTTTTGTCTTTGGCTCTGTTTATATGCTGGATTACATTTATTGATTTGCATATATTGAACCAGCCTTGCATGCCAGGGATGAAGCCCACTTGATCATGTTGGATAAGCTTTTTGATGTGCTGCTGGATTCATTTTGCCAGTATTTTATTGAGGATTTTTGCATCAATGTTCATCAAGGATATTGGTCTTAATCCTGAGTTCTAGTTTGATTGCACTGTGGTCTGAGAGACAGTTTGTTATAATTTCTGTTCTTTTACATTTGCTGAGGAGAGCTTTACTTCCAAGTATGTGGTCAATTTTGGAATAGGTGTGGTGTGGTGCTGAAAAAAATGTACATTCTGTTGATTTGGGGTGGAGAGTTCTGTAGATGTCTATTAGGTCCACTTGGTGCAGAGCTGAGTTCAATTCCTGGGTATCCTTGTTGACTTTCTGTCTCGTTGATCTGTCTAATGTTGACAGTGGGGTGTTAAAGTCTCCCATTATTAATGTGTGGGAGTCGAAGTCTCTTTGTAGGTCACTCAGGACTTGCTTTATGAATCTGGGTGCTCCTATATTGGGTGCATATATATTTAGGATAGTTAGCTCTTCTTGTTGAATTGATCCCTTTACCATTATGTAATGGCCTTCTTTGTCTCTTTTGATCTTTGTTGGTTTAAAGTCTGTTTTATCAGAGACTAGGATTGCAACCCCTGCCTTTTTTTGTTTTCCATTTGCTTGGTAGATCTTCCTCCATCCTTTTATTTTGAGCATATGTGTGTCTCTGCACGTGAGATGGGTTTCCTGAATACAGCACACTGATAGGTCTTGACTCTTTATCCAATTTGCCTGTCTGTGTCTTTTAATTGGAGAATTTAGTCCATTTACATTTAAAGTTAATATTGTTATGTGTGAATTTGATCCTGTCATTATGATGTTAGCTGGTGATTTTGCTTGTTAGTTGACGCAGTTTCTTCCTAGTCTCGATGGTCTTTACATTTTGGCATGATTTTGCAGCGGCTGGTACCGGTTGTTCCTTTCCATGTTTAGCGCTTCCTTCAGGAGCTTTTAGGGCAGGCCTGGTGGTGACAAAATCTCTCAGCATTTGCTTGTCTGTAAAGTATTTTATTTCTCCTTCACTTATGAAGCTTAGTTTGGCTGGATATGAAATTCTGGGTTGAAAATTCTTTTCTTTAAGAATGTTGAATATTGGCCCCCACTCTCTTCTGGCTTGTGGGGTTTCTGCCGAGAGATCCACTGTTAGTCTGATGGGCTTCCCTTTGAGGGTAACCCGACCTTTCTCTCTGGCTGCCCTTAACATTTTTTCCTTCATTTCAACTTTGGTGAATCTGACAATTGTGTGTCTTGGAGTTGCTCTTCTCGAGGAGTATCTTTGTGGCATTCTCTGTATTTCCTGAATCTGAACGTTGGCCTGCCTTGCTAGATTGGGGAAGTTCTCCTGGATAATATCCTGCAGAGTGTTTTCCACCTTGGTTCCATTCTCCCCATCACTTTCAGGTACACCAATCAGACGTAGATTTGGTCTTTTCACATAGTCCCATATTTCTTGGAGGCTTTGCTCATTTCTTTTTATTCTTTTTTCTCTAAACTTCCCTTCTCGCTTCATTTCATTCATTTCATCTTCCATTGCTGATACCCTTTCTTCCAGTTGATCGCATCGGCTCCTGAGGCTTCTGCATTCTTCACGTAGTTCTCGAGCCTTGGTTTTCAGCTCCGTCAGCTCCTTTAAGCACTTCTCTGTATTGGTTATTCTAGTTATACATTCTTCTAAATTTTTTTCAAAGTTTTCAACTTCTTTGCCTTTGGTTTGAATGTCCTCCCATAGCTCAGAGTAATTTGATCGTCTGAAGCCTTCTTCTCTCAGCTCGTCAAAGTCATTCTCCATCCAGCTTTGTTCCGTTGCTGGTGAGGAACTGCGTTCCTTTGGAGGAGGAGAGGCACTCTGCGTTTTAGAGTTTCCAGTTTTTCTGTTCTGATTTTCCCCATCTTTGTGGTTTTATCTACTTTTGGTCTTTGATGATGGTGATGTACAGATGGGTTTTCGGTGTGGATGTCCTTTCTGTTTGTTTTCCTTCTAACAGACAGGATCCTCAGCTGCAGGTCTGTTGGAATACCCTGCCTTGTGAGGTGTCAGTGTGCCCCTGCTGGGGGGTGCCTCCCAGTTAGGCTGCTCGGGGGTCAGGGGTCAGGGACCCACTTGAGGAGGCAGTGTGCCCGTTCTCAGATCTCCAGCTGTGTGCTGGGAGAACCACTGCTCTCTTCAAAGCTGTCAGACAGGGACATTTAAGTCTGCAGAGGTTACTGCTGTCTTTTTGTTTGTCTGTGCCCTGCTCCCAGAGGTGGAGCCTACAGTGGCAGGCAGGCCTCCTTGAACAGTGGTGGGCTCCACCCAGTTCGAGCTTCCCGGCTGCTTTGTTTACCTAAGCAAGCCTGGGCAATGGCGGGCGCCCCTCCCCCAGACTCGCTGCTGCCTTGCAGTTTGATCTCAGACTGCTGTGCTAGCAATCAGTGAGATTCCGTGGGCGTAGGACCCTCCGAGCCAGGTGTGGGATATAGTCTGGTGGTGCGCCGTTTTTTAAGCCGGTCTGAAAAGCGCAATATTCGGGTGGGAGTGACCTGATTTTCCAGGTGCGTCCGTCACCCCTTTATTTGACTCGGAAAGGGAACTCCCTGACCCCTTGCGCTTCCCAGGTGAGGCAATGCCTCGCCCTGCTTTGGCTCGCGCACGGTGCGCGCACCCGCTGACCTGCGCCCACTGTCTGGCACTCCCTAGTGAGATGAACCTGGTACCTCAGATGGAAATGCAGAAATCACCAGTCTTCTGCGTCGCTCACGCTGGGAGCTGTAGACCGGAGCTGTTCCTATTCGGCCATCTTGGCTCCTCCCCTCTCAGTCCCCAATAGCCATTTTAAGTAGTTATGAAGAAACTCGCTTGTAATGAAATTGCAAAAGAAATGAAATTACAAAAGAAAACCTGGTGATATTATTGAAAAATAAAAAGGTGAATGACGATTCAGGATATAAGGATTGTATGTACTGATTTCAAATATTTGAAAGCACTTCCAAAATCTTTATGTTGAAAAAGCTTCCAAAATCTTTATGTTGTGGCTATAAATTTATTGGTTTCACTTGAAGTAATATATCAGAAAGATTTATTTTGATGCCAAAGAGAAACTGTAAAAACGGTACTGATAAAAATCTAAAGGAAACCAGAAAGCTTAGTTTCTTTTTAAACTATTTGACTGTAAATAAAAACCAGTTCAGCAAATATCCTTTCTAACTCTCTGCTTCTCCACCCCACAATTTGTTCGGTATCTGAAGGCTTTGGATAAGCCTGTAATGTGTAATGTATTCTTCTGTAACACTATCCCTTACTTTTCTCTAATCCCTCCTGTTTAAAAAGTTAGCAAGAAATAAGCAAGCAAACAAACCTACAGCTAGCGAAGAAACTATGGAAAATGACAGATATTCACAATGGGTTTTTTGCTAGTTGCAAAAGAACTAGCAAAACTCCACTTGGGAAGTTCAAAGAGGGTCTATTGACCATAATATTTTTTTTAACATTAAGTGAAGTTTAAACTATAATATCCTTTTTCAAGGGCCTCATTTCTAAAACACTTGGCAATTACAAATCTGAACAAGGTATATACTCTTTAGTTGCCAATGAGCAAAAGTAGTAAATCTATTATCTAGGTGGAATGGATCATTCTATAAAAGTTAGAAGTGAAGCCCTTACATTCTTACATTTAAGGTATGGAAAAAGGAAACCTCATTTTACAGAGGTGCGGAAGGGAACTATAAACATGAAAATCAGTTTTTAAGTTTTTGCAAATAGTTTAAATTCAGAACTAAAGCCTTCCCTTTATTTTTGGACAGTTATTTTGCTGCTGCTTCTGGAAATATAGGGTCATCAATGTCCTCTAATGCTGAGCCAGCAATCCTAATTGAATACAGACATTAATCAACAAGAATCTATAAAGATACTGTGAACCTAGTAATATATGGAGATTTGTGCTTCTCTAAATCTGATGTGCACACTAACCACCCAGGAAGAGAGTTAAAATGTGGATTCTAATTTGGTAGGTCTGGGTGGGTTCTAAGATCTTGGAGTTCTAACAAACTCCCACCTAATGCAATGCAACTGCTGTAAGGACTAGTCTTTGACAAACACAATTCCAGGGTTACAAAAGGCAAAGTGGCATGCCTTTATAAAAGTGAAATCAATAATTGACTGAGGCAAACCATATGGCTCTTGCCAGATAGAGATGGAGCAGCTACAGATGAGCTCTAGCTGGCTACTGGTGTTGGGGCCCAGTGCCGCCTGAGGATGAAATGATAACTAGTTAAAAGTATCTAGTTCAGTGGCTGATTACCACATAGGTGCTTGATCATTTTTTCCCCTTTTTTCTATAAAATAATTACCAAAGGAAACTTAGCATTTTATACGGAGAAAATCAAATGTTGATCAAGAGAGTGGGGCAATGGGTATAATGCAGTATGAAGCAGACATTGTATCTGAAATGTGTTTCTTTTGGAACAAGACTAACCTTATTTAACCAAAAAAGCTTGAAAGAGAAACTTTCTATAAGAGAAGTAACAGGAAAGTCTACAGAGGGGTGGTGGGGAGGAGCTAGAACTGGACTATGAAGCTAAGGAAAAGAGACGAGAAAGGAAGGTTGATGGAGCAACGTAACGTGCCTGTATGGGGAGAAAGTCCTTGAGAAATTGCTAGAGATGGGAATGCCCAAAAGACTTCAGAGACAATAAACTTTCAGTTCTAAGTTATTTGCTGGGTTATAGACCAAGTAACAAATTCTCTCTATTGCCCCAAGGCAATGTGGGCTGGACACATACAGTCTTGTGTAGAAAGTAGTTTGGTGCTGGAGGATTTGAGGTGGTGCCAGCCTGATGGTGATGTGCTGCTGGGAAAGAACAGCATGCACAGAAGGCAACACAGGGATAGACCATGGGGAATTCACCAGGAGGTCATTAGTGACCAGGGAAGCTTAACCCCTAAACAATCAACATTCCTCAGAGTTATTAGGAGAGACAATAGGTTTCCCATTGTGGGGGCAGGTTACAAGCCAATTTTTTGTTAGCCTTTTAAAAGGATAAGGTAACTTTAGCAAGCTGGAGTCCTTGGGAACATTTAGGGAGTTGATAATTTACATAAAATAAGGTGCTAATTGAGGCAGTGATTGCACAAATAAACACAGAAGGGAGAGATATACGTCCAGAAATCAACCAGAAAACTTAGCAAACATTAGAGTTTACTTTAGATTTCAAACTATGGGAAAGTAAGAGTCATTGTGGGATCTTGAACAGTAATGTGAACTAAATGGTGCAGCATTTTGGCAAAACCAGCAGGACAAGTTTAGAAGAACATATCAGTCAATCTTATGAACACATTTTTTCAAAAGTCTTAAGACTGGAATATCCATCAAGTTTTTACCTGAAAATGTTATAGCATAGGCTTAGCATAATAATTCAAGCCAACTTTTCAATTTAGGTTGATACTCTTAAAGGATGTCCTTCTTACTTCCTGAGACAGCTCCTTGCACATGTCAATTTCCCTATAGCATATTTTCATAGCGGAGATGGAACAATGTGTAATTTATTAATTAGGGATCATGAGTTGCATTGTATAGATTGATATTGGCTTAACACTGAATTTTTAGGGGAAAAAAACTTGTCACGAATATTTTATGCTTTGTTCATTCAGATAGTAGATGATAAAGGAGAGAAGAATTTTAAGAAGTCTATGCTGATAACAAAGGCAGACATTTACTCTGAAGCCAAAGCTAGATGTCATCACTGTATTTGATCAATCAATGATTTTTAGGTTTTATATCTATACATGTGAGCTAGAAATGCTATGATCCATATTTTCTTTGGTAAACCTTTTTTCAAGCAAGTCATAAAAAGCAAGATTGAAAAGGTTGAGGTTTCTTAGAAAAATAACCGCTATTTTATAGTGGAACAAATTCTATCTTCATCTCTCACTATCCTACATGCTGCTGGATTCCAAAGGAGAAGCTGGGATTACTCTTTCTCTTCTATAACTTATGGGAGCATGTTCAAACACTTGGCCCCAGAATACAAAGCTCACAATCTACTTTTCTGGACTCATCTCCTTGTTCCTTCTTTTATTCCATATTCTAAACGTACCAACATAAATGACCATTCCTTAAAGCTGCCCAGTGTGTTCCATGTATTTGCTGCATGTCCTGATCAGCCTTCCTTTTCTCCATTAGCCTGAAACATCTAGCCTGTCTCTTAAAATCAGCTCCTTGGCACCTATCTGCAATTATTGTTCTTCAAAGAACCCTCAGGATTTTGTATTTGGTTTTGTTGTAGTACTTCTATGATTCTTTAAATATTTGATTACAAGTATCTTTCCCACTGGTCTATGACTTCTTTAAAGGTATGAACAATGTATTATTCTTACACATTATTTTCATGCTTAGTGTATAATAGATGCTCAAAAAATATCTGATGATTACAATGCATAACAGGGAAAAATAAGCTTGAAAGGTAAAAACTAAACAAAACTACAAGCCCTTCACAGTATATCTCCAGCTAATCCCACTGGATTTTAGTGACTAAACGAAGAGGGAAAGATGTTGAGGGGTCCTACAAAGGTGGTGCGAGGAATTAAGAGTTAATTTATAATCTGTAGAACCAATTGTTGCTTCAGAGAAGTATTCAAACAGATTCTCCTTGTTTCAATTAAATTCACAATATACCCACCCAAAACATAAAAGGCCATAGTCTCTTCCTTTGTTCTGATTCTTTGAAACATCAGGATTCAATGGGTCCACCAACTGAATTTGGGGTGGACTTGGAATATATTTTATTGTCAGTGATTGGGGCAGACATTCCCGTTCCCAATGCATTTAGAAAGGCAAGATCAAGTTGAAAAGTAGTAATTGGTTGGCAATTTACAAATAATAATGGGTTTAAAATGGCACACAATCCTTTGACAGGCCTTCTACAGAGAGGTGAGTTCTATATTCCCTCCCTTTGAATCCAGGCTCTGTAACTGCTTGACAAATAGAACATGTCTGAGGGATGCTGTTGGTTTCTGCATCCATACCCTAAGAAATAGGCAGCTCCCACTTCCTGTTTCTTAGGCCACTCACCCTTGGAACTTAGGGACCAGGTGTGAGGAAGCCCCAGCTGCCTTAAGGAGAGGACGTTGTGGACAGGAATGTGCTGTCAGGACCGCTTTGCCAACCATGTGAATGGGGAGTCGTGGAAGTGGATTCCTTCCCCACCCCAACCTATCCAGGAGGCTCCTTGTTTTCTGCATAGTAGGAGGCATAAGACATAAACTTGAAAACCATTTCTTGTGGTAGTTATGCTCCTGTGACTACGTTCCTCCTTCTGTCTGAACTCTATTCATTGACTAATATAAAACACAATGTGCTATGCAGATAGAAGGTAGAGAAGAGTTTTATTACTGACCTTTGCAATCTGTTGATATTAAGGTAAAATTTGGTCACTTCGTAATCATATTGACTTCTTATTTAGAGAAACTTTCCCCTCATTTTCCGGACCATAATCCCGATACATACATAACTTATTTAGGACAGAATAATACTATTCTCAAACAATTCCAAAAGTTTTACATTTTTTCATATTGCTGTAAAATTTAAATAACAGGCTGATAATCTTATGGCATTGAATATACTGAAACTATCGTTGGCCTACGAAAAGTAAAAGTTTAGGAAAGCAAAACCTCAAAAATAAAACAAAATTTCTACTTGTCTCTGGTTTGTCTCCATAATGTATTCCAAAGAATATGATTATGAATAAATTTATATAGATATATTTTAAGTCAGTACTCTCATAAGCATAATTAAGTGGTAACCATCTATATTGTCTAAGCACAAAGTCACATTATTTTTTTCCCCCAGCTTTATTAACATAGGATTGAAAAATAAAAATAGTAAATATTTACAGTGTACAACATGGTATTTTGAGGTATGTATACATTGTGAAATGATTAATTATATATTGTGAAATGATTAATTCAATCAAAATAACATTTATGCTCACATACTTAACATTTGTTTCGTGGCAAAAACATATAAGATCTACTCTTTTAGCAACTTTCAAGTATACAATACATCATTATTAACTGTCACTGGGGTGTAAAATAGATTTCCAGAACTTGTTCATCCTGTTTAACTGAAGCTTTGTACCCTTTGAGCAACAATTGCTGCAAAGTTGTATTGTTATTACGAATGTAAAACTTAGATTGGTTAAGTGCTAATGTCCCCTCTACTTAGACACTGGAGGAAGGGCCAAGAATAGCAAAAGTTTGCCCTCTAAAAGAACTCTAGCCCTGATACTTATCTGAGAATTTGGATTTCTCTTCAAAGCTCATTGGTAATTAATCAAAAACATTATCATAGGACCAGTGCTTACCATTTCATATTTTCTTTTACTATTTCCTGCCAAAATCATAAAGTGTGTACGTGTGTGTGTGTGTGTGTGTGTGTGTGTGTGTGTAGGCAGGATAGTTTAAAATGCTTATCTATTTGGGGGTATAAAGCAGTAGGTAAAGTTTTGGATTTATTTTTCATTGTATTCATCTAGTTCATCCATCTGTAGATGAATTTGTTTCCCTAAAATGAATATTATTAATGCTACTCATTCAAATGTTAATGAAGTAACACTCACAATTCCTGCAAGATATTTATAAACAGAGTGCTGTTGCTAACTTGCAGAGGGCGATGATGAAGTGGCAAATTTCTGACACCATAAGATAAAGCCCATTGCTATCTAAGGCTGTTGAAACCTAAAAATCAATCTTTTAGCTTTTATTCATAGAAACTTAGGAAAATAAAATGCTGCAAAAACACATTCTTTCTTTATAATGCCTGAATAGTCCTGCATGAACATCAACATTTAGGCAGTTAATTATTTATACCATCAGAGATGAGTCTATCTTCCCTCACCTATGCCTTACTAGACAGTTCCTGAGCAGCAAGATAGTGGAGGCATTGTGCTGGAATGCCCTGTGGTGATGTAACTGACAAGGAATCTACCACAAATCCCAGTGCTGAGCATTCATTTCTCTCTTTCTTGCAAGGGCAAAGGTTATATACTTTCTAAGAGCACACTTCACAAAATAAATACTTAAATATACCACATTTTTGGCTACTCATGGAGGAAATAATTGTGTAGAAGAGCTCCAAGGAGATGCTTTATTGATGAAGATCAATGAATCAGAGATATGTAGATGAAATTTTCCTGAGATAACACCATCTTCAAAAATAAGGAAAACCCTTTGAGCTGAAACATGTTTTGGATCCAGGAAACCTCTGTTCATAGGAGGGAAATAATTGAAAACACCTGAACCTTACATACCACTTGTTTCACGTGTTCCTATTACAAATCTTTGAGGAAAAGAGGTTGGGAGGGAAGTCTGTTAGGGGTGAGATGGCTTATTGGCCATAGTCACCAGAGCCCTTTTGGTTGTATGTTTATACTCCCAATGTGAACATGATAATCATCACAAATGGAGACAGCTGGAAGAAATTTTAAACCATGAAATAAGTTAACTTTTATTGTACACTCTTAAATTTCCTGCTAGTCTCCTCAAAACATTATGACTGCACAGTTTCCATAGTAACCATGAACAAAACGGAACAGTCTACACGATTTGGCCAACACCTGATTCAAAGATAACACTTAATGGTGCAAAGTGGCAAAAAATGTTATTGACAGTTTTCTGAAAATGTACAAGTCTGCTCCGGAGTGTCCAAAAATGAGGAAATAATGTCAACGGTGTGGCCCAGCAACTAGAAAATATTTATGTTGCAGTATAACCAGAAAGTATACGTAAAGTTGTTTTGTTGAGCAATGGATATCTTCTCAGAGGCTTGAGACTAGAATATGATTTTCTTCCATCTTGGAAATACTAGCTATATTTTATTAGAAGTACTTTGTAAACCATTTTAACCATTTTAGTGTACAATTCAGTGGCATTAAGTACATTCACAATGTTGTGCAACCATCATCTCTATCCATTTCCTGAATATTTCTCATCATCCCCAACAGAGACTCTATACCCATTAAATAATAGCTTTCCATTCTCCCCTTTCCAGCACAGCCCCTAGTAAACTCTGTTATACTTTCCATCTCTATACATTTTTTATTCAGATAAGTGAAATTACATAATATTTATCCTTTTGTGTATGGCTTATCTCATTTAACATAATGTTTCAAAGTTTATCCACGTTGTAGCATGTATTAGAACTTCATTTTTTTAATAACTGAATAACATTTCATTGTATTATACACCAGATTTTAAAAAACCCATTCATCTGTCGATGAACACGTGTTGTTTCTATTTTTGGGCTTTTGTGAATAATAGTCTATGAACACTAGTACAAAAGTGAGTCAGCCAGGTGGGAGGGGTTCCCTGGAAAAACTCCAATCAGCCTGCAACTGAGGTGGAGCCTTGGGTTCCTGCCCTTTGCAGCGAGGATGAGACCGGCCCCTCCTCTTCCTGTGTGGAACCTGGTATTTCAACGGCCGGCGGGAAGCACTGTAGCAGGGGACTGGCCTTGCAGAGGATCCCTGTTTCTCCCATTTAACCCCCCTTTCACCCAATAAAACCCTGCTTTACTCACCCTTTAACCATCTGCGAGCCTAAATTTTCATGGCTGTGGAACAGACAAGAACCCCGTCTTTAGCTAAACTAAGGAAAGGTCCTGCAACAAAAGCATATGTTTGCGCCGGGCATGGTGGCTCATGCGTGTAATCCCAGCACTTTGGGAGGCCAAGGCAGGCAGATCACCTGAGGTCAGGAATTCGAGACCAGCCTGGCCAACATGGTGAAACCTCGTTGCTACTAAAAATACAAAAATTAGCCATGCAGGGTGGCGGATGCCTGTAATCCCAGCTACTCGGGAGGCTGACGCAGGAGACTCACTTGAACCTGGGAGGCGGAGGCTGCAGTTAGTGGAGATCACACCACTGCACTCCAGCCTGGGCAACAGAGTGAGACTCCATCTGAAAAAAAAAAAATGCATATGTTTGAATCCCTTGGCATATTTTTAAAAATATATTTTTAGCTCTTGGTGCTTGGGTGTAATAAACCAACAAAACTCAATGAATTTCTCTTCATGGTCACCACTGATAAAATTTTTGGGTTATTTTACTTTTAATCTTTTAAAAGAAGATATTGGGGAAAAATTCTCACTTCTCTCCTTCCCCTCAAACTCCAAGAAAGTATGCACCATATCTTCCTGTATATGCTATATAAATATACATGAATCAATTTAAATAGAGCTACAAGGAATAGGCAGGATATTGTCACAGAATCTGAAGCAATCATACTTTCTCACTACAAATAGGGTCAACATTAATAATTGGCATATTTCATTTTTTTAAACTTTTAGACTGTTGATAGGTATAGAATAAGATAGCTGTAGAATAAGGACTGAGGATGGCATTTTTAAAAGGTAGCTCCATTACATTATTTAATTAAAATATTTTTGTTCCTTTGTCATTTCCTGTTCTGTCCATGGGATTTTGCACATAGTAAGTATCACAAGCTGAAAGGTGAGACTTTTTTGGCAAATTTTAGATAAGTGTAGGCAGGTTTAAAAACTCCCAGCTGGTTACTCCGTAGAAATTTAACTCATTCTTTCATTAGGAAGCTGAATTAACCCCATACTTCAAGGAGACAGATTCCAACTGTAGAGAATCAGACAGACTCCAAGATTCATAATTCCTGACACATATGCTTTTGGAAAATGCATCTGTAGAAACTGTGGAAGTTGTAGACTTGATAGTTGGGTTGGATATAAAAGACTGAAGTCACAAGGGCACTTCATGTGAACAAAATAAAGACTGTGCTGGTTTTGCTTTTGACCAATGTTTTTTTCTCAACTGCTTAGAAAACAAATACTTTAACTTGTCCACTAACTCTAGCTTTTTCTTTCAGAAATGGTGACAGTAAAGTCCTAAGGAATTATTTTTTTTATCTAAAAGAAACTATTTTCTTGCTTGCTTGCTGCTGGCTTCCTCTCCTGTGTGATGAAGGTTGGTTGCAACATGCTAGGCATCTTCATTTTCTCTAGACTTGGATATTATTGTCCTGAGCAAAAAAATTAATGGCAATGCCTGGTGAAATGTAATTCTGACCGGAATGCTTCAGTTGTTATAGCAATATGAAGTAAAGGTGTTCAGAGTCTTTCCATTCATATTAACCTTAAATTAAGACCCAGAATCATCAGGTCTTGATCATACTCACAGATGCACGACAGTAACAGCAGGAAAGAAATTCTTTTTTGTTGTCTTTTCAGACAGGGTCTGGCTCTGCTGCACAGGCTGGAGTGCAGTGGCATGATCCTAGCTCACTGCAGACTTAACCTCCTGGGCTCAAATGATCCTCTAGCCTCAGCCTCTCAAGTAACTGGGACTACAGCCAGGTGCCAACACACCCGGCTGTTTTTTAAATTTTTTTTGTAGTGACAGAGTTTCACTATGTTTCCCAGGCTGGTCTTGAACTCCCACCTCGGCCTCCCAAAGTGTTGGGATTACAGGCATGAGCCACAGTGCCCAGCCATGGGAGGAAATTATGAGAACTCAACTTTTGCCAAGGTGAAAGGATTATTCATTTTTTTTTCCCTGTGAACTCAACTCTGTAATGTGCACTTGTTTAGTTTACAGTTTAATGGTGATTTATGATGTTCAGGGCTCTTTTATGCCTAAGCAGCTTAGCTATTATATTTCATTATCTGGGTATGGATACTGTTTACTTCTGGTTTTGAATATGGGGATCAAAATTGTTTGGAGGCAGCCAGTTTACTGACCCATTTTTAAATGTTCACACCCTTCATTTTCTTCTTGCTGGTACTTGAGTAGTGCCTAATTATCTTTTCCTTTAAATATTTTAGGTGTGCCCCAGACTTGAAAGAAACCAGGTAACATACTTAAAGTGTGATAGAAAAAAAAAAAAACAAAAACAAGCTTTGTTTTCCTGTGTGCAGCAGGCTTGAATTTTCTGTAGAAGTCTTAGTAGGAGGCATTACAGCCTGAGATGTTTGTGTTCTATGCCTCCTCTATGAAAGCGGAACCCGCTACGTTTGCTCAGGCATTTGATTTTCTTTAAGTTGTGGAATGTCTTTGGCCAGCATGGCAGGGAGCCTAGATTGCAGGTCTTTTTACTCTTCCATACAACTGGACCATGACACCATAAAGGTAAAGCTGGGAAAACAAGAACAGGGTAACTAACAAGAAGTGCACAGTGTACTTCTTTGAAAGAAGGAGGTTGTGGGAAAAAAAAATTCATGAAATTTCAACTGACTGAAAAATTTTGGAAATTGATAGATCAGCTTGGGGCTGAGAGGAGAAACATATTATCAGTGCAGAGATTGAAGGAATATGCCACAAAGTAGAGATAGAAAACACTGATATCAGAAAATGTAACTATTAGACTTTCAAAACTCCTTTAGGGCAGGTTTCACATTAAAGAGCATTAAATATTAGTCCCTCTCTCTGGGGGTTAAATACCAACTCCCCATTGACAAAAAGTGGCCCCAGGAGAAACTGTTATAAAAACTTCTTGTCAGGTCCCAAGGAACACTCCTTGGAGGGCTAGAAGAATATCCCATGTTTGGACTGTCCAGTTTAGACCACTGAGGACAGTAAGAGATATGTGAACATAGCTCAGTTCATGAAAAGACTCCATCACCAGCACTTTTATTAGGAATGCCTCCTATGTGTAAGAGCGTTTACTGGTTGTGAGTTTATATGCTGTGTTTGCAATGTTGGTGCTTTCTATGGGTCCTAAGCAATTGCATACTCTTGAGGACAGTTCTGGTGATCTGTAACAAGACCCATTTGTTCCCCTGCTCTTTCTTCCATTTTTATACTTTTTTTGAGAATCCTCAGTATTTCCTAGCAAGTCTAAACGTTCACACGACAGGTGGCAGCCACACAGGAAAATTACCTGGCCTTTCCAGAATTCTCTTAACTTGCGAAAAGTTCTGTTTCTGTGGCATTCTTTGGCATCGCCCACAGACACTGTTCATTAGTCACACAACAGAATGCCCACACATTCTTTGTAAGGTACTGAGTAAGGAGAGCATTTGAGAGCCTGACTCTGAGCACATTGCATGCTTTTAATCAGTTGTTGCACAGAAATGTAATTAGTGGTCAAATAAACTCGAGATTGAACTTTGTTTTTGTCTGTTTGTTTGTTTTTGTTGTTGTTTTGAGACAGAGGCTCACTCTGTTGCCCGGGCTGGAGTGCAGTGGTGCAATCTCAGCTCACTGCAGCCTCCACCTTCCGGGTTCAAGCATTTCTCTTGCCTCAGCCTCTCGAGTAGCTGGGACTACAGGAATGTGCAACAATGCCCAGCTAATTTTTGTATTTTTAGTAGAGATGGGGTTTCAACCATGCTGACCAGGCTGCCTTTGAACTCCTGACCTCAAGTAATCCACCTGCCTAGGCCTCCCAAAGTGCTGGGTTTACAGGTGTGAGCCACTGTGCCCAGCCATGAGATCGAACTTTCATTGCTTGTTTGTCTCTGTAATTGGCATTCTGTTAAATTAGCAATTTTAGAAGTAGAACCTAAATCTTTCTTGCAGTTTGGAACAGTGGTAGCCCACTCCTCCTTTTGTGAATGAAAATGTTTCTTCTGGTCCTGCTTCTAAATGTGTGGTGTTTCTTTCTTTCAGACAAATTTGAGTGGGGAAAAAAGACAAAGACAATCTTAAAGGTTAATTAGCAGAGTGGTGTGGAAGAGCAATGGCATCATGTTGAGATTCTAGTCTTAACTTTGCTACTTACTATCTAAGTGACTTTGGGCAAGTCACTTAATCTCTCTGATCTGAAGGTTCTTTAGCTATAAACTGGAGATAGTATCAGCCCTGCCTACCTCAAAGGCTCAAGTGACATAATGTAAAGCCATGAAATGCTATCCAAATGTCCAGCATTACAGGTTGCCAAGGATGCTCATGAATACCAGTAAGAACCAAACAAACAATTGCCTCATCTCTGAACAATTTTCCACAAACTGACAAGTCCGACTCAGGAGCTGATAGCAATAGATAAATCATCCACTCATGAACAGTTAAACTGAATAAGTAAAATTTTGCTCCCAGTAAGGCTTCAGAAGGGCACAGTGAAGGGCACATTGATGATCAACTCTGAAGATACCACCAGAGGGGGGTGGGAGCTCTGAGAAAACAGAAGTAAGGCATCTTAGGAGGCCCAGAACTTTTCAAAACAGGGTGGGCAGATTTTTTTAAAAAATCAAAGCTACCAAAGAATATGCCACAGAGAGGATCAATGAACAAGTCTTTTACCGTGGTAGTTAAGCAAAATAATAACCGAGGAAGATCAACGAAGGCTAAAAACCTCTGCCAAATTGTTATTCAATATCCAATGGGATGATTCAGAACATTTTTTTCCAAGCAAAACATAAAAAATTCCCCCCCTTTTTTTTTGTATACAATAAAATGTCCCCTTTCCAACTCATATGCAAATTCAGTAGAATTCTCTCTGGCTACAGGGAGTGAAACATAATCAAATTATGGAAGTGCTGTTGCTAAATGCCTGGGCAGATTTCAGACCTCATTCTTTGCATTTCAATTGCACACTACTAAAGCTTATGACAACTGAAGGAAATTGATCACCAGGTAGACATAACTCAGGATCTCCGGGAGCAAGGACTATATTACTAGGAGCCAAATCTGAATTCTTGGCTCCCAGTAATACAATTCTTGCCATTAAAATACCTTGGGATTAGTTCTGGCTTTGTGGTTAATTACTGGTTAATTTTGGTAAATAACCTCTTCAGACTGCAGTTTCTTTTGCCCTAAAGGAAAATGGTTGGATAAGTCCCTTTTCAGTCCCAATGTCCTAGAAATGTCTGTGAAGGAGGCTTTGAATAGAGAAGTTGTGGCTATCACATTTTCAGGAAGTTGGCAGTTCAAGGATATGATGCTATAGGAATGGAGAGAGTGGGCTTGACAAAGAGCAGTTGACTTTCAGAAAAATAGAAGATGACAATTAGGGAAAATCTAGGGAGAGACAGGCTGAAAGAAACTGGACAGCTGAGCAATCAGACAGAACCTGATAGGCTTGTGCATACATGAGGAGAGCTGGAGAAACCCGGAGAGCCAGTAGGCTGTATGGAGTAGTAAAATTAAGTCATTTCTACCAGGAGAGTCCAGAATACCAACAAGTTAGGGTTCACGTGGCTGTAGTTTTCATCTTAAGTCAAGTAAAGAATAGGAAGCCTAGGCAGAAAACAACAACAACAACAAGAAAACATATAAATAGACCAGTAGTGAACGAGGGCAACAAAGAATGTGAACTAGAGAAAGACACAAACCAAAAGGAATCTTCATCAAAACACCACCTTGTCATTAGCTATTTAGGGAAGCATTTAAACTCAACCACTTAAAAGACAGAAAACCAACTTTGTTGAGATATTCCTCAATTACTTAGTTGATATCATCGTGAAAAAGAGATGATACAACATAGGAATTGACTCATTAAATGATACAATATCATTTAGCAAGTGAGAACAGCTGCAGTCTCATTAGCCAGAGTGATTTCTGTGATGTAATTAATACTCTCTTGCTCATAGGAATTAAAATGTACTGGTGTAGTTGCAGAGTTGTTTTTTGAGTGTTTGAAGTGACTCTGGAGTTCAAGGGCTCATTGCTTAGCCATCAACAAGGATAAATTGAGGATATGGGGCAAAAAGTAAAGATGTGACATTTCCAATTTCCCATTCTTAGAAAGCTTATCATTCAACATGAAGACAAAAACTGATGGCTCTAAAGGCAACATAAATATTTAACAGAAAATTAGTGACTATGGAATATATAAGGACAACCCATGTTCTGATGACTTTCAAAGACATTTCTGCCCATTACTTTAGTCATATTATTTTTCTGTGGAGAAAGCAAATTTGCAATACAGTTACTTACCTTTAAAGGTTGAGTTGACTGCTTATTGCTTTTGTGACTCAGATGTCTTCTTTTTCTTAGACCCTGAAAATTAAAAAAAATAATTAAAAAAAGGAGAGAGGCTAGGTAGGGAAGGGCAAGAGTTCAGTCCAGTATTCCAAGTATTGATTTTTCCATGTTAAAACAAATCCTGGAATAAGCTAACAACAAAAGGATTTTCTTTCACTTGAAGAAGAAATTTGTGGCTTCAGGATAGTATTTAGGGGAGACTTGAACAAAGTGGTTTAAAAACCACCTGAAAAGTATTATTTGATTCTTATGAAGTTCAAGTTTCCAATGAATCATTCTAAAAGGAAGCATATATTTCAGGACATAATTAGTCAAAATTTTGGGACACAAAATATCCATCTGGAAGATATATTTTTTAAAATGGAGGTTTGCAGAATAATTTTACCAGCCTGTAAAATTCCTCAAATGCTTTCTATATGTAGAACTGCCATAACGACAAAGTAGCTAGGGGAGGGAGGTCCAGCAATTGGCTGCATCAGGAGGGATGTGACAGAAGGGGATGATGCTTCGCCTGCTATGTCAGTCAACTCCAGCCTGGTGATGAATGAGGTGACAGATATGGTGGCCTTCCTTACTCTCATCTACTTAAGCAGGAATTGAAAGTCACTTTGTTTAAATATAATTTCCAGATATGAAGCAAGTGTATCAAACTAAAATAGTGTTGAATTGAATGATACCAAGTACAAATTACTTCTAGACCAAAGATGAGTGTTATTTTTATTCCTGTAAAACAAAAGAGAAGAAAACGAAATAATATCCTAGGTGTAGACGATAATGAGCTCCTTTGGAAAAAAACAAAATAAAACAGGAAAATATCCTCAGTCATACCTAAGCCTTTCTTTTTCCATGCAAGCTCAGAAGAATTATCAAGTTAAATTGCTGGTATTTTATTACAGAGAAACAATATCCAAAGCTGGAAGTGAAAATGTGATCTACAAGGAAGATTAACAAAAATGAAGAGTGTTTCTGATTATCACGGTAATTTTCTTAGCCACAAATAGGATTCTGAATCTAAAGAATCAGGATGCTGTTTGGCACATCACAGTATAAACTTGCTAAATAGTAAGTTATGAACCTAGAATATAAATAGGCTTCTAAGATATTTTCCTTACTATAAGCAGTGGCTTAGATATAAGAAGACTCTGGCTAATCTTCTAGAGCAGTTTGTTGGCATGAAATAGACCTTGTAAATATTTTATGTATGTCCTTCCAGACTGACTAATCTAAGAACAAAGGTTTTCAATTGTACCCTGAAAGTTTATCCTCAAGAAATGGTGTACTCTATATTTTAGAGCTACAAACATCTGTAGAAAATTCCCATCTACAAGTTTTTGAAATTGAATGACAGGACTGTCAGTAGTGGTGGTGTCTGTCTGTTTCCATGTCAGTGGGTAATGGCAATTTTGGGTTTTTTTTTGAGCCTCAAGCATTTAGCACCTAGTAACTTTAATCTAAATCCCCTGAATTTCTGAAATCATATTTTTTACTTGTGTAAAGAAATGGACATCTATTTCTGTAAAGAAGGTTACAATCTTTCATAACTAAAGGACAATTTAAAACACTTGTTTTGTAATATTGAAATGTTTTGAAATAAAATATCTGGTCATAATGTTACCTAATTATTCTGTTACTAAGACTAATACCTTGGAATTCATTATTCAGCCATTAAAGAAACGTTTATTTCAATTGTAAGAAGCAGCACATAAACTGTTCTTACTTGTCTATTCTTTTTTTAAAAAGTCCTGCAGAAATATGGTGACTTTTTAATCTAAATTTTCTGAAAGTAAGCAAGGGAAGAGAAAAATTATTACTTTTGAATATACGATGCAGTAAAATTTTCCTTTATATAAAAGTTTCTTTTGGAAAAATTATTTGATAATAGAATATGCACAGGACCCGTTAGTATTTTGCAATGTTCCTTCAAATTATTGTTTTCTACTCAGTCTGATGATAAGTGGTCCAATACAGTAATGAGTTTTTTCTATCCCTCTGGATAGTCAGTTTTTTTCATTTAACATTTTTTATACATTAACTCATATAATTTCTAGTTATGTCATTGACTAATTTAGCCATATATGTTTATATGTATATAATATTGACTAATACTCTGCCTATTCACAGAAACGTCATGTTATTCCAAATTCCTAGTCTGACAAATTTAAACCATGCAATACATGCAAACATCAATAAACAGAACAGACACTAATCTGAGGAATATATAAGGAAAAACTCAAAAATCTCAAACTTGTATTGGAGGCAATTTCTTATGGGAAAAATATACTTTGATCCTAAGACAGATAAGTCAGATCTATTAAATTATAATGAGCCCACAGTCCAGCTTAAGTAAAATTCTATAGATATGATCTTAATGTGGAGCTCACATTGATGAGATTTTAAGTGTTTCATTCCTGCGTAAGGTTATCTATGTTCTGCTTTTATTTATTTTCTAGCAGTTAGTTTTTCACAGTGTGGCTTTGCCACACTCAGAAACAAAGGAGCATCATCATTATTATTACTATGATAACATTTACATAGAAGACAGTAGCAGGTGCAGAGTCCACAATTAAGATGAATTCCACTGCAGTATATGAGATGGATTGCAGAAGACAGGCAAAGCGCATTCAACCATGAACAAATAAAGTACATTAAACTGAATATGCTCACAATATCAACTCGAAACAATGCAAAATACTATCTTCAGACTAGTTTCTGTCATTTAACTTGAATTACAGAAGAACGCTGGCAAAATTGTCGATAATCTACAAGCTAATCAGAGCAAGAAGAAAGCACATTCTCTCTAGGTGTAGGATGAATAATGGCAACACAATGTAAACTTATCTGCTGTGTTAAAGGGCCGTTAGCCTTCATTCTGACGACTCCTTCGTGCTGTACTCAGGGCCTTGCCTTTGTGCTCTAACAGCTCCTGGTACATACTAGATTCTATCAAAAAATTGGTCTTATTTATTTTACTATTTCAAATTTTTATTGTGAAAAATTTAAACATACAGAAAATGTTAATGAATAATATAACCAAATTTGTATACTTATCACCCAGATTTAATCATTAATATTTGCCAAATTTGCATTATCTTATTTATTTATTTATTTTTTGAAATGGAGTTTTGCTGTTGTTGCCCAGGCTGGAGTGTAATGATGCGATCTTGGCTCACTGCAACCTCCACCTCCCGGGTTCAAGCAATTCTTGTGCCTCGGCCTCCCGAGTAGCTGGGATTACAGGCATGCTCCACACCTTGCTAATTTTGTATTTTTAGTAGAGACAGGGTTTCACCATGTTGGCCAGGCTGGTCTCAAACTCCTGACCTTAAGTGATGCACCCACCTCGGCCTCCCAAAGTGCTGGGATTACAGGTGTGAGCTACTGTGCCCAGACACATTATATCTATATATGCCTACATGACCAGACCATTAGAGAGTAAGATTTCAGTATGAATCTCCTAAGAACAACTAACATAACCACAACACAATTAACACACCTAAGAAAAGCACAATGACTCAATGTCTAATATTCATTCTGTATTCAAATTCACCTAATTATCTTAAAAAATGTCTGTTCTGGCTGTGATTTTTGTTTTCTTTTTAACCAATAGCCTATTAAGGGAAACTAAATCTTGAAATGGTAGCTTAATTCTATGGGCCATCTGGCTCAGACACAGATCCAACTTAAAAATGGCATAAACAAAAGTATTTCTCTCTCATTTAACAGTCTGGACATGTGCCAGTACAGGGCACTTTGGGTGGCTCTTCCATCCTCAGCTCATGGCTTCATCTCTCAGTTGAAATGTGGCAGCTCTAGCCCCATGGTCATGCCATAGAGAAGGCACAGGGGAGCACACACTCCCAGGGCATGATCCAGATGTTGTAGATACAAGTTCTGTTCACATTCCATTATATAGGATGTTGACACATAATCCTACTATTTGCAGCAGAGGCTGAGAAAAACAGTTCTTATTATTGATGGCCATGTGTCTAAATTTCCCTGGACCTGTGAATCTTGTGTATAAAGGAAGAATATTTTAAGGGCTGCAATTAGCTTTCTCTGCTATGAGGTATTTCTGGAAATGACTGAGCTATGACAAACTATATTAAAATTAATTCCCAAGACACTGCAACATAATGATGGGTTTAAGCTTATTAATGGTTAAGACTGTTTTTCTCTTACACTGAATAAGCTTCATGTTATTAATATTCATTTTGAGTTCATCAACGTGTTTTTTTTTTTAGATTTTCTTTGTCCCTCCTTGTCAGTATATAAGCTGTCCATGCTCATTAATGGAACCATGCTTTCTTCCCTTACCAGTTTTTATTGTTAAGTTTTTTAAAATAAAATGTATTTAAGTATTAATATACATGAAGGAAAGTTCACAAATCATAATTTACAGCATGGTGAAGCCAGTAAAACATACTTGTAAACACCACTTGGATCAAGAAATGGAACATGTCAGTGTTCTAGAAGCATTTTTGGTAACCTCTAAATATTACTCCTTTCTTCTCCCAAAGATAACGATTATTCTGACCTTTGACACCATGGTTCAATATTGTATGTTTTTGAATTTTATATACGCAAAAATCATTCAATACACATTCCTTTTTGTCTGACATTTCTTGTTCAATAGTATGCTTATGAGATTCACTGATATTATTGCATGTAGCAGTAGTTCATTCATTTTCATTGCCTATGGGATTGTATGAACACAGTATAATTTATTTATCCATTAAATAATTGATGAACACCTGGATTGCTTCTAGTTCTTGGCTACTACAAATACAGTCACTCAGACCATTATTGTATGTATATTTTGGTGCACATATGTATATATTTGTTAAATATATATAGTTCTTGGGAATGAAATTGCTGGTTTATGGGGTAATTAGTATGTGTATATTCATTTTTCTTGCCTTATTTCACGCAGACTTCTAGTACAATGTTGAATAGAAGTCATCATAAAGAGAATTCTTGTCTTGCTCAGGACCTCAAGGAAAAATCTTTCGCCACTGCACCTACTTCACCGTTAAGTATGATATCGTTTGCTTTAGGAGTTTTGCAAATATCATTCGTCAGATTAAGAAAATTCTTTCTAGTCCTAATATTCTAAGGTTCTCTTGTGGGTATGGAGTGAATATTTTATCAAATGCTTTTATTATTGAGGTGATTATATAATTTTCCTCTTTATAACCAGCCTTGCATTCCTGAAATAAACCCAATTTCTTGGTGATATATTATCCCTAAATATCCCATGTATCAAAGAAGATATTACGTTGGAAATTATATATGTTTAACTGAATTATAATGAAAGTATGACATATATCTTTTTGTTTTTTGAGACAGAGTTTCACTCTTGTCGTCCAGGCTGGAGTGCAATGGCGTGATCTCGGCTCACTGCAACCTCCGCCTCCCAGGTTCAAGCGATTCTCCTGCCTCAGCCTCCAGAGTAGCTGGGATTACAGGTGCACACCACCATGCTCAGCTAATTTTTGTATTTTTAGTAGAGATGGGGTTTCACCATGTTGGCCAGGCTGGTCTCGAACTCCTGACCTCAGGTGATCTGCCTGCCTCGGCCTCCCAAAGTGCTGGGATTACTGGCATGAGCCACTGTGCCAGGCCGACATTCTTCTACTATTCTTTTAGTTTCCATCCTATATTACAACATGTATTTTTGATTTATTAAAATCTAATATAAGTTGCTATTTTTACAACCTATTGGAAAAACAGAAAATTTAGAGAACTTTAACTCCATTTAGTCCTCTCCCAACTTTTGTTCTATTTCTGTTGTAATGGATTGAATTGTGTCTCCCTAAAAGATGTGTCCTAACCCTTGGAACGTGCGAACATGACTTTATTTGGACATAGGGTATTCGGAGATGTAATAAAATTAAGATGAGGTCCTGGTGGATTAGTATAGGCCCTAACCCAGTGACTGACATTCTTATAAAGAAGAGAGAAATTGGACACAGACACACAGGAAGTTAAGGCCATATGAAGACAGAGGCAGAAATTACAGCGATGGATCAACAAGCCAAGGAGTATCAAGGAATGCCGGCAATGACTAGAAACTAAGAAGATGCAAGGAAAGATAATTTTCTAAAGTCTTCAAAGTGAGCATGGCCTTGCCAACACCTTGCTTTTAGACTTCTGCCTCAGTATTGTGAGAGAATAAATTTCTATTGTTTTAAGACATCAAGTTTGTGGTGCTTTGTGAAGGTAGCCCTCCCTAGGAAACTATACAGTTGTCATGTATTTAAATTCTATCTAAATTTAAAACCCTGTAAGACAACATCGGTATTATTTTGTGTAGTAAACATTTATGTTTGTTCATGTTTTGATTGTTTCCAATTTTTTTTTACTTCTCTCTATAGCTCTGCGCATTCATGTGGGATAATTTTCTTTCTATTTGAAGTATTTCCTTAGTGTGGATTTGCCATTAATGAATCCTTCCAGTTTTTTTTTTTTGTCAGAAAATGTCCTTATTTTACCTTCACCCTTTCAGTTATATTTTTCCTCAATATAGAACTCAGGATTAGAAGTTCTGCTAGCACATTGAGGCTATCATTCCATTATCTTATGACTTCCATATTTTGTTTTCTGAAGTTTTATTATGATGTACATAGATGTGGTTTCCTTTGTATTTATGCTGCTTGGGATTTATTATTATTCTTAATTCTATGGCTTGATGTCTTTGTATCAGTTTTTGAGAATTTTTGCCATTATTTATTTAAATATTGTTTCTGTCCCAACCTCTCCATCATCTCCTTTTGGGATTCAAATTACAACTCTACTAGACTTACTTGTGCTCAGTCTTTCTCTCTAATCTTTTTTTGTTGTTCCTTTCTTTCCTTATCCTTTGCTTCCTTACTGCTTATTTTTTTCTAGATTTGGGGATATTTTGTATTCCATTTTATTTTTTATATTCCTTCTAAAATTCTCATTAAAATACCAGTCTAACTCTATGAGATGTCATTTAAAAATCTTCGGTGTCTCTTTTTCAGTCTGTCCTTCAGTATACACATATTAACTCCTATGTGTCATGTACTGAGTTTGGTGCAAGTGACAAAAAGACAAGCAAAATAAAAGCAATTTAACACTTATAGTCCAGAGATAAAAGAGAATTTACAATACAGTGCAATAAATGCTTTGCTTGGTGAGTGTAAGATATTACTGAGAACACATATTAGGAGCAAAAAACTCATTTGGTGGGGACCAGAGAGGGGTTCTTTGGAGATAGTGACATATAAGTGAAACTTTAAGGATGAAAAAGAATTATCCATGAAAAGAGGAGGGGTGAAAGAATGTGTGAAGGCCTGGAGGTAGTCAGGGTGTGTTTGAAGAACTGAAAGAACTTCAAGATGATTAAAGCATAGAATGCAAGAAGGAGAATGTGTGATGAGATAGGACAGCCCTGGCTCAAAGATACTTAAACAATTTTATGGATTTGGACTCCACCATGAGGGCAATGGGGAGAAAATGAAGATTTTTAAGTAAGAGAAGAAATGTTTAGGATACCTAAACAAGATTGATTATACTTGGGAGTTGAGGAAGGAAAAGGAGTAGAGAAAGACCGTTAGGATACCTCAGGTTTCTGAATGGCATTCACTTATATAAGGAAAATCAGTGGAATGACAGACTTTGAAGGAAAGACAATGATGAGTTGTTCTGAACATTCTGAGAATGAGACACTTGTAGGGCATCCAACTAGAGATTATAAGTAATTAGCCTCATAAATCAGAAGTTCAGAATAGAATGTTGGGCTGGAGATAAAGAGTTTGGAATCTTTCCTACTCCATTTCATTTTTCACATTGCTTTTAAAATTCTCTTTTAAACACAGATCTAACTATATGAGACTATTAACTATAACTATTAACTATTAACTATAACACCTATTTAAAATCCAATTGTTGCCTCGTCAGTATTTTCATAATACAGTTGAAACTCTAACATGGTGGTGTACAAATACCTCTAACATCTAGTCCTTACCAAACTTTCTGGACTAACACCTCAATTTCTACTTATATTTCAGTCGGATACAATTTCTGTCTGTTCACTGAACCCAAAGTTTATTCTTGCCTCCTTGTGCTTTTAATATGTACTGTTTCTTCTACTCAGAATGCTTTGCCCCCCCTCTTTTCAACCTGAATAACTCCTATTCGACCTTCAATACCTTAGTTCCAATGCTATCTCCCCTGAGCCTTTTCCATTGCTCTCGTCTTTTCATAAATATTTCTAAAGCAATGTTTCTTAAACAGCAAATCTTTCCCTCTCTATTGGTTATGAAATAAATTTAGAAGGTCATGGCAAGTATTTTAAAATGAAATAAAAGAGTAGGAAATATCAGAATCTGTCATACTTAGAAAAATCAGTATTGTCTTTTGCAACATTTGCTTTGGTTATATAGGTTTGAAATACATATTTGCAGCTACAGCTGAGTTTTTTGAGCTTCAACAGTTGACAGTGGAAAAATGTTTGAATTTGAAGTTAGATTTGCATTAAGCAGCAAAAAACGAGACAATAGCAAAAAGAAAAAATATCCCTAGTTCATGGATGTTGCTTTAGGGAGCAAAGGAGGGGAATAGGACTAGGACTAGAAAAAGAAATCTAGGAGACGTTTGACATGTAATGCTTATTTTAAAAAATAATTAATGCAAATACGACAATGTATTAATATTTTTCATTTGGGGAAGTGGGTAGAGAAGTGTCTTTTTTGTTCTTTACGTATTTTATAACATTAAAAAAAGATTCAAAAGCGGAAAATTTTCTAGCTCCATCACTTACTAAATTCTTATTTGTGAAGTCGAAATAATAGTGGAATTTATAAGGAGGTGAAAATGTTTCCTCTTGACATCTGCTGTCAAATTCCTCTTAGGATAGGGGGAGGATACCTTACCAGGCTTTTGGTAGAAGGTATGGTGACTCCTGAAGCTATGGGAGTGAGAGCTTCTGAAAGAGACAAAGAGGGCAATTATGGCAAGAGCTTTGGTAGTGCATGGGGTAAGGGGCCAAGGGTAATCCCTCTTGGGGCCAGTTGAAAGGATTCTTAGGAGAATCTACTCACAATTTTTTTTTTATGGGGGGGGGCTTTAATGAAACCTCTTCTCATGACTCCCAAAACATCAGAAACATTTATTGCCCATGAGTGGTTTCTGGCATTTTAGTTTGTTGTGAACACCGAGGGGCAGGATGAGTGTCACATCGTATTTAATCCTTTAATAATCCATAGCCACAAACTTAGCTAGAGGCCCTGTGCATTTGATCTGTATTATACTGAATAAAATTCCTAACCGCCTACATTGTAGAATTCAGAACATTCCCCCAAATTTGTGCTAATTCCCACAGGAACAAATTCTCAGCAAAATGAATGCTCAGTGGTGACTTTCAGCACATCTTCCACTAAGATGCATCCCGATTAAAAATATGAATAAGACAAAGTTGGCCATGCTCATTGGAACTATCTCGCATTATTGCCAATGCAATAATGCAAGAACACGATATAAATTTATAAGCATTGGAAAGAAAGGATGTCATTTGTACACAATTACACAATACAGAGGGGAAAAAACAACCCATGTGGCCAGGCACAGTGGCTCATGCCTGTAATCCCAGCACTTTGGAGGGCCAACACTTGAGGTCAGGAATTTGAGACCAGCCTGGCCAACATGGCAAAGCCCTGTCTGTACTAAAAATACAAAAATTAGCTGGGTGTGGTGGCGTACACCTGTGATTTCAGCTACTCGGGAGGCTGAGGCACGAGAATCACTGGAACTAGGGAAGCAAAAGTTGCAGTGAGCTGATACCGTGCTACTGCACTCCAGCTACAGTGAGAGAGTCAGACTCTGCTTCAAAAACAAGCAAGCAAACAAACAAGCAAACAAACCCATGAGACTACAAGCTATCAAAACTAAAAAGTTCAGAAAATTTGTTGAAACAAAAGCAATATACAAAGATAATTTTCCTCTTCTTTAAAAAAGTGAAAAAAAGTTATAGAAAGAGATAGCATTTTCAAAAGCAGTAGCAACAATAATAACAAATCAATACACCTGCCTGGGTGAGAAATCTACAAACGATATACAAGAATTTTATGGAAAAAAATGAGAAAATATCAATGAAAGCCATGAAAGAAATCTGAATGAACTGACAATTGATTTCATATACCATGACTCAGTATCATAAAGGTATCAACTCTCAACATGACCTTTAAAATTCTTACCATTTTAATCACACTACCAACAAGATGGTTTTTCTATGTGAAACTTGATAAAAATGATTCTTGTAAAGAGGAGTAAAAAGTTTAAGAAAAGCCAAATCACACTGAAAGGGAAGAGCAAGAAGAGAGCAAAAGAATGATTACGTACCAATAACAACAGGAACAGTGTTATTGGCACAGTGATAGATCAATAGAACAGTCTAGGGAGCACAGACCCAGACCCAAGCATAGGAGGGAGGTGGTACTAGAAATCAGTGTGCACGTGATGGACACACTCTCTGGTGTTGAGACAAATGGTTTTCCATATCGAAGAAATCTGAGGTCACTATTTCATACCATACATAAAAACAACTTCAAATATATTAAAGACATATACAAAAAGCAAATTGGAAAAACTATCATAAATAAATATAAACACACAATGTTCTCACTTATTTGTAGGATCTAAAAAGTAAAACAATTGAACTCATGGACATACAGAGTAGAAGGATGGTTGCCAGAGGCTGGGAAGGGTAGTGGGGGATTTGCAGGGCAGGGAGGTAAGGATGGTTAATGGATACAAAAAAAAAAAAGAAAGAATGAATAAGACCTACTATTTGATAGTACAATAGGGTGACTACAGTCAATAATAACTTAATTGTACATTTTAAACTAACTTGAAGGGTGTAATTGGATTGTTTGTAACTCAGAGGATAAATGCTTGAGGGAACGGATAATCCCCAAAAATTAATAAATATAAGCACATAACTTTATTATTATGAGAATTATTATGAGATAGGGAAAGATTTTTTATTTTTTTACATATGAAAATATGCACAACACCACTATTAAAGAAGAACTTCACATTAAGATAATGAGTTACTAGTTAATGTCCATCAGATTGGCACATAATTTAAGATTCTGGCAATATAAAGTTAGGTGAGAATAAGGGGAATGGGAAATATTTTACTATGTTGGTGGGAGTATAAATTAGCAAAATTCTTCCTAGAGCAGTTGAGCAAAATCTAATAAAGTTGAAGATACAGGTACCATACAACTGAATAAGTACATGTAGGAATTTTAGAAGATTTTAAAAGTTTAGGTATGAACCCCAAAGGAACCTTTGTATGTATGCACAAGTAGACTTGCACAAGGATAATCATTGCCGTAGACATAACATTTTCTTGGATGCATTCAAAGACTTGGTAAATTTTTTTTTAAGTAAAAAAGAAAATTAAAATATTTAAAAATTTTTTCATCTATATTATTGACGAGAAAAACATTAATAGGGGAATAAACAAGATACAGTAAATTTGTATAATAAAATACTACATAATGGTTAAAGTGACTGAATTAGGTCTCTCTATATTACTATAGTTAAATCCCCCAAATTACAGTAAGTCAAAAAGAGCTGGCACATTTAGCATGATGCCATTTATGTAAATTAAAAATACACAAATTATTTTAAATATATATATATGGATCCATATGCATGTAAACAAAGTATAAAATGAGAACCAGAATGATTTATTCCAATATCAGATCAGAACTGCAAATACAATTAAAGGGAACTTCAAATTTATGAATTTTTCTTTTTGGTAATGTGAAACAATACAATAAAATATTAACATGCATTCATTCTGCATGATTAATATATGGGTGCTTTTAACATTATACTTGCTGTATTTTAACATGTTTTTAAAAACAAAATGTGTTCAGCATGAGTTGGAAATACAGTGTGTAGATGTTTCTTTAAAATTATCCTATTTATTAGTCTCTAGGCTCCTCTGTAGCATATTTGAGAGACACAGTTTAAAACAAGGCAACCATTTTCAGATAGAAGATAGATTTCTTTCTATCTAAGATTCTTCTGTAACTCAGCAAACTAGCCTATTTATTATTTTAGGGTAAATGGAGCAGGATTAAACAACTTCCAAGTATAATTACTTTTTGTTTTGTCTGGTTTTTTTTCTTTGCCAGCTATTGTGTGTGCTAATGGTGGCAAATTTTCCAGTAGCAGGCAAATTAAAAAGATAGTGGATAATTAACAAACCATGTAACTTTCCCTTGAAGAATCATGTTACAAATCCTTTCAAGGAGATGAACTGGTAATTCAGGGATTACTTGATTCAATCAATCAGCAACCAATCATTCATAACATCTGTTTCTTTGTGGCCATCTTTTGTGGTAGAAATCAAAGAAAAAATCGTACAATTCTGATGTATATCTGTTCATACTGAAAATTAACTGAATGGAAAAAAAAGTTATGTAACGATGTATAAAGACTTTAGAGGTATCAAAGCAACTATTTTTGAATTACTACTACAAAATATGCACATACGGTGAAGTGCTTTGTGTTGAATAGCAAATGTTATTGAATAATCAAGATAAGTTGCCACCATCATATTATAGAAAAGTGCCTCAAAAATTTTGAAATCAAATTTCTCTGGAAAATAAGTTGTTCTGAATAAGTAAACTAGTGAAGATGATCATTAATTAAAGAAAAACATAAATTAATGTATTTCTTGAAAGCCTCAAATTTAAGTCATAAAGTACTAAAGATTATAAAGGGCTAAAGTTGTTTACATCTATCTAATATATCTATATCTATATCTAAAGTTCACACACATGCACAGAGTTTATTGCTAAAGAGACCTTCAATTTCAGAACCATATCTTTACAGATGAGGAAACTCAGACATAGAGCTACATGGTACACAATTTTATGAAAAAGAAATATAAACTAAAGAGCTTCTGCACAGCAAAAGAAACTACCATCAGAGTGAACAGGCAACCTACAAAATGGGAGAAAATTTTTGCAACCTACTCATCTGACAAAGGGCTAACATCCAGAATCTACAATGAACTCAAACAAATTTACAAGAAAAAAACAAACAATGCCATCAAAAAGTGGGCGAAGGACATGAACAGATACTTCTCTAAAGAAGACATTTATGCAGCCAAAAAACACATGAAAAAATGCTCACCATCACTGGCCATCAGAGAAATGCAAATTAAAACCACAATGAGATACCATCTCACACCAGTTAGAATGGCAATCATTAAAAAGTCAGGAAACAACAGGTGCTGGAGAGGATGTGGAGAAATAGGAACACTTTTACACTGTTGGTGGGACTGTAAACTAGTTCAACCATTGTGGAAGTCAGTGTGGCGATTCCTCAGGGATCTAGAACTAGAAATACCATTTGACCCAGCCTCCCATTACTGGGTATATACCCAAAGGACTATAAATCATGCTGCTATAAAGACACATGCACACATATGTTTATTGCGGCACTATTCACAATAGCAAAGACTTGGAATCAACCCAAATGTCCAATAATGATAGACTGGATTAAGAAAATGTGGCACATATACACCATGGAATACTATGCAGCCATAAAAAATGATGAGTTCATGTCCTTTGTAGGGACATGGATGAAATTGGAAATCATCATTCTCAGTAAACTATCGCAAGAACAAAAAACCAAACACCGCATCTTCTCACTCATAGGTGGGAATTGAACAATGAGAACACATGGACACAGGAAGGGGAACATCACACTCTGGGGACTGTTGTGGGGTGGGGGGAGGGGGGAGGGATAGTTTTAGGAGATATACCTAATGCTAAATGACAAGTTAATGGGTGCAGCATACCAGCATGGCACATGTATACATATGTAACTAACCTGCACATTGTGCACATGTACCCTAAAACTTAAAGTGTAAGAATAATAATAATAATAATAATAATAATAATAATAATAATAAAAGAATTCTAAGCAGGAAAAAAGAAAAAGAAATATATTCAGTGATTTACAAAATTTCCATCATTCCACTTCTAAAAGGTACTGTTTTGGGGGTGCCATTTCCCAGTGATGTGCTAGCATATTAACACAATGGTTGTCATATTGTTTCATGGAGAATCTTGTGATTTCGTGGTGTCTTAAAGATCACAGGCAAAGAGAAATGGAAGAATAAGGGGGTCATGAGTAGTGGAAATTGCTACATCCTCCTCACCTTGGGTAGATCTGTTTTTATGCATTTTATATATTGGGATCTCGCTTAAGATTTCATTTTTAAAAAAACAAGCTCTTCTTTCCTAAGTCAAAGTTTGTGAATCATTACAACTTCACCAGGATATTGCTGGTGTACTAAACAGGCTTTCTCCAATAGTTGAGTCTGGTTCCTTCTTGGCTTTATGTTCTTCTACTCCAGTTCTTGTTAAATACTTGTGGACATCTGATGAACTTCATGGACTCTCTCCCCAGAAAAAATCATATAGACACACACAATTTTGTGAAAAATGTAGCAAGTGCATGGATTTCCTAAAATCCATTCACAGAGTGTGTGTTAATCATACTAACTCTAAAAGCTTTATTTAGAGGACTTAAGAAACTTCTGAAGGAGAAAGAATTGGGGATTAACATTAGAGTGTGTTTGGAAAAGGTGGAATTTTTTTCAACACAGCATAACTTGTAAGAACAGTTTTTGCTGCCTGATGAAAAAACAAAAAGTGTTTTTTCATTGAACTTCAAGAATCATACATACTCTTGCTGGCCACGCTGTTCTTTTAATTCATTGATTCATTCAACAGATATTTATCAAAGACAGATGTTTATCTAGCACAGTGGAAGACACTGTGCTAGGGGAAATGTAAGTGAATGGTTAACAATACTTCCTTTAAGAGCCATCTATTCTTGAGAATATGAATCATCTTTAACACTTAGCACATTTTAACCACTTAACCCACTAGTTAACACATGTGCATGCACACACACGCACTCTCCACTGGAACAAGCACTCTTTTAACTGACCTGAGGCTCGATTAGGTCTGGTTGACCGAGTCCTGGGCTGTCTATCCAATCTGCCTCCAGCGGTGGATGTATTGTGTGGTTCAATCAGAGGACAGTAAGGATGTGCAGAGACATAGGGATTCTGGCACCAAGGGCTGCGATTAGGGAAAACGGTTGGTGGGATTTCCTTCTCTCTGTAAAAGAAAAAAGCCTAAATGGAACTCAAAAGCCATTTTATGCTGTGGTGTTAATGTTGAAGGCACAATTAAAGGGGAAGCATATTTCAAAACCAAGAGAATATGACTTTTTAAACTTTGTGGGCAGAACTTTTATTATAACTTCAGAAGCATTTGCTACAAATGAATAATATATTCTGCACCTCTGTCCATAGGCAGCTTTTGATCCAAGATAAAATTCCTGGATAATGCACCTCTCCCTCCACCTAAGCACTGCTAAAGACTTGGGGATACCTCACCTTTTCACCTCTCTGCAGCAGCCTTGCCTCTAATAACAGTGCCCATGAAAAGTGAAATGGCGGCCGGCCGCGGTGGCTCACGCCTGTAATCCCAGCACTTTGGGAGGCCAAGGCGGGCGGATCACAAGGAGATCGAGACCATCCTGGCTAACACGGTGAAACCCCGTCTCTACTAAAAATACAAAAAAAATTAGCCGGGCGTGGTGGTGGGCGCCTGTAGTCCCAGCTACTCATGAGGCTAAGGCAGCAGAATGGCGTGAACCGGCAGGGCGGAGCCTGCAGTGAGCCGAGATGGCGCCACTGCACTCCAGCCTGGGTGACAGAGCGAGACTCTGTCTCAAAAAAAAAAAAAAAAAAAAAGTGAAATGGCCAGAGGGGTCTCAATACTACCTAGTGAAGATCGCCAGCCTTCATTGCCCTATGAGTATTTACCTGCTCATTCTGTTTTCGTGCTTTTCCTATGAGTTCTATTCAAAATAGTAGTTTCCAAAAATCACTATTGATTTAATTTATACATCACACATCCATTTGTCATCTAGTCGTTCCCACATGCTTAGTTACTAATTGTGGGAAGGACCCATTAAAACAAACAAACCAAACAACCCTTACCTCTTAAGAAGAACTTGAGCTTGTTCCACCTGATAATTTGAGATATCTTTCTTAGGTTGATCTTGTTTTTCTTTAGTTATTGTAGCTGTAGATGCTGTCCACTGAAACACACGCTTTCGGAATGTTGGAGATACTACTGAACATCTGTTAAATTCAACGTCAGCATCTAATTTTTCCCACGCTTGCTTCCAGTGGATAGGGGTGTACCACGCAATGGCCTAATGAAAATGATTTATTAATGTTGGCTATGTATATTTGAGGTTTACAACATGCTGTTATGAGATATACATATATATATATATATATATATATATATATAGTAAAATGGTTACTATGGTGGAGCAAATTAAGGTATTTATTGTCTCACGTAGTTACTTTTTTATGACAAGAGCAGCTAAAATCTACTTAACAAAAATCCCCAACACAATTTCATTAACTATAGTCCTTATATTGTACACTAGATCCCTAGACTTCATCCTACAAATCTCTGCTACTTTATATCCTTTGACCTACATCTGCCTATTTCCTCCCCTGCTCCCATCCCTGTGAACCAGTTTTATTCTCTTTCTCTGTATGTTTGACCTTTTCAAAAATTCCACATATAAGTGAGATCATGCAACATTTTTCTTTCTGTGTCTGACTTATTTCACTCAGCATAATGTCCTCCAGGTACCTCCATGTTCTTTCTTAAGGCTGAATAATATTCCATTGTGTATAGCTACATTTTCTTTATCCATTTGTCTGTTGACAGACACTTAGGTTGTTTCCATATCTTGGCTATTGTGAATAATGCTGCAATGAAGATGGCTGTGCAGATACCTTTCCAAGGTGGTGATTTCATCTTTTTTGGGTATGTACCCAGAAGAGGGATTGCTGGGTTGTATGGTAGCTCTACTTTTAATTTCTTTAGGGACTTCCATATTGTTTTCCATAAAGGCTGCACCAATCTACATTCCTGCCAACCATGTACTGGGGTTCCCTTTTCTCCATACTCTCACCAACATTTGTTATTATATCTCTTGTCTTTTTTGGAATAACCATCCTTATGAAGTGTGAAGTGATAGCTCATAACGATTTTAATTTGCTTTTATTTGATGCTTAGTGATGTTGAGCATCTTTTAATGTATCTGTTGGCCATTTTTTAAATGTCTTTGGAGAAATGTCTATTCAGGTCTTTTGCCTGTTTTCTAAATCAGGTTATTTGCTTTTCTGCTATTGAGTTGTAAGAGTTCCTCATAGATTTTGAGTATTAGCTCCTTCTCAGATATGAGGTTTGCAAACTTTTTTTTTTCCCAGTCGGTAGGGTGCTATTTTATTTTGTTAATTGTTTCCTTTGCTGTGCAGAAGCTTTTTAGCTTGACATACTCCATGCCCACTTTTATTTATTTTTGTTTTTGTAGCCTGAGCTTTGGTGTGATACCAAGAAATCATTGCAAAGGACCACGTCAAGGAGCTTTTCCCCTATGTTCTTTCCCAGCAGTATTATGGTTTCAGGTCTTACGTTTAGGTCTTTTAGCCATTTTGAGTTGTTTTTTATTTACCATGTAAAATATGGTACAACAGAATTTAAAAACTGAACTATATAATGCCATTTACCTGTGTGTGCGGCTTAGCGAACTACATGATGAGGATACAGAGTAACGCATCTTGGCCTTAGTTTCCTGTTCTGAAAATTACAAGCAGCATAATCTCAGGTAGGTAAGTTACTTTCTAACTTGAACTGTGACTTCATGTGTAAAACTGAGAGGGTGGTATTGGGAACTGCTTTATTGAAGTGTTGTAAAATTCATCCAGCTATTGAATTTCACAACTCTAAAGAACCGAGCAAAAAGTAATGGTAACATGAAAAAGTTAAGATTTTAAACATTTAAGACACTGTGTGTGTGAGTGTATCTTATCTGAGATGGGAAAATGGACAGTAGAGCTAGAGACATGGACAAGAAAACACGTTCTTCAGGCTAGAATCCTAGGTGAGAGTATTAAGGAGACCCATAAGCACTGAAGCTGGAGTTTGTTTGGATTTCCTGAATATGTGACATGTGCACAACATACACGTGCAAAAATTATTCAGGAAAATCCTGTATAGACACTAACAGTTATATTTCTATTCAACATGAAAAACGTGCCCTAACATTCTACTTGTTCTAGTGATCTGTTTTTAGTTTACCAAATTAGAGGTTTGGACTTCACACTGTAACCTTTGAACATCCCTCTGCTTGGCTTGACAAATAACATAGACATAAAGACAACACAAGGTCAGTTCAGCTAGGCTAAGCTTCTAGCAGAGAAAGAAGATGAATTCTTTTTTAAAAAGTTTATTTTCATAGATTATGGCAAAAAAATGGACTTTTGCTACAGATCATTAGTTACGAATCCTCCCTTTTTAGTAGCTCAAACATATTATATTTTGAAAATATGTTCATGATCTTTTTAGTGTGATCTCCCTTATTGAGGTGTGTGCCTTTCCTAGACAAGGCAATATTTTATTTTCCCCTGTATTGTAGGAACTTGAGAGAATTTTCGATGACAATGATGATAATGTGATAAAATTTAGCCTCAGCTCTAGAATGTCGGCCACATGAAACTTACAAACTATTTTTAGTGCAATAGAAAAATTATTGAGAGTTAGAAGATATGGTTTTATTTTAGTTCTATCACATTACTTATCATGTGACCTTAAGCAAGCCATTTAACTTTCCAAGCCCCATTTTTTTTCCCCAAGATACTGAAACATTACTGAGAATCAACTGTAATAAGGCATATATAAACAGCCCTTCAATGAGTTCCTATTGTATAGGACTGGTCTGTTCCACATCTGGATGTCTAATGCAAAACAATGTATTGGGAAAGTACCAGGCATTGATAAACATGAGACATTTATTAATTATTTGACATGTAATTTAGAGGCTGCAAACCTGTCCCTGCTTTAAAGGTCCATAGACTCATGGAATCTTAGTGATTATATTATACAGTCTCTTACTTTACAGATGGGAAAGTAGAATAACAATTATGTAGTTAATACATGGCAAAGCAAAACTAAAAGCCACTTTTATATTAAGCCATAAGATTTGTAGCTGTATCGAATATTAACCACTGCCATGTTAGTGACAAGATGACTCAAAAAGTAGTCTAAGACATACTTTATTTTAGCCTCCTTTTAATTTTTTAAATTTGTTTTTATTTTTATTTTTTTTCGAGACAGAGTCTTACTCTTCGCCCAGGCTGGAGTGCAGTGGTGCAATCTTGGCTCACTGCAACCTCCGCCTCCCAGGTTCAAGCAATTCTCCTGTCTCAGCCTCCCTAGTAGCTGGGACTACAGGCGGGCACCACCACACCCAGCTAATGTTTGTATTTTTAGTAGAGATGGGGTTTCACCATGTTGGCCAGGCTGGTATCAAACTCCTGACCTTGTGATCCGCCCGCCTCGGCCTCCCAAAGTGCTGGGATTACAGGCATAAGCCACTGCGCTGGCCTAGGCTTCTTTTTAAAAATGACCCATAATATAACTTCTCTTTGCCCCATCTTACAAATATAAAATATTATTCAAGTCCAGAAACAGGTTCTATTCTGATCTGTATAGCTGGCTATTATTTTAGACAGTAGATTACAGGCTTTGTGACTTTTTCCACAAGATATGGATTATTTTCTACATACAAATAGAAAGCAATTCCAGGGTCATGATGACACTTTGAGTTCGTGTTTCAGCATGTCTATGAGAAGGCAGTAAATTGTCTTTTTAAGGAAAATTTACCTGGCGGTTGCAGATAGTAATATCCAGTGCTATGAAAGTGAGAATGAAAATGAATTTATTAGAAAAGGAACTCTATACTTACATTAGGGTTTCAAGCTGATTTTAAAGTCACATTTCCACCTATTTAAGGGAAATACTTTCTAGTCGAATTAAATAATGCATATGGCTTTACCATAAGGTAGAATTTCCAATGGGATGTGACTCAGGTAAAAAAAAAAAAAAAAAAAAGCTTGAGCTGAGTTCTGAAGGGCAGGTAGGATTTAATAGGTAAAAAGGGAGGGAAGAGAGCCTATTGAGAGGCAAGAGCATGCGCAAAGGCCCTGTGGCATGAAGGAGCAGTCAAGCACTGGAAAGCAAAAGTAGTATGAGAAGTAGGGCAGTGTGGCTAGAACAGAGTGCATGAAGAAGCATGGAGAGAGGAGAGTCCAGAAGGTGAAAATGGGCAAGATCACCATGGTTCAAGTTAGGTGGGCAAACTCCTCTCCACTACAGATTCACAACACATGGCTCTTCCTCTCAATGCTTTTTCTCATGCTCTCCTTTACAGAGTTGATATTTCTGACCTGGGCTGCCCATATTTTATTAAAGCATTGTTTCACTGTATTGCAATTACTTATTATTACATATCAGTTTCTACTAGCAGACTCTGAGTTTCTTGAGGACAAGAAGTGTGCAATATTTATGTTCTTTTTTCTAGCACCTAGCGCCATTCCTGACAGATACGAAATATATTTAAATATTTTCCGTATGGATCAATCAGTCAGGTTTAGTCTTTCATTAGCAGGCACAGTTACTTGTGCTTACATCACCCCACAGAAATGGTCTGATTCTATATGTGCAAAGTCATTAAAATCACTGGGTAAAAGGAACAGTCTAAGTACAAAGCCTAATTCAGTTGCAAGAAATGAAAACTTTTTAAAATCTGCATTCCAGGAGCTCAGGGACCTGGTCTGTCTGGTTCAATGCTCAGTGCCTGGAGCAATGCACATACAAAGTAGAAATCACAAACTGGTTTACAGAGTGGATAACTATGATGAAAGTTCTGAGATAAGAATGTCTTAATCCTAAACTGGGTTTTGCTAATGATTTCTTATGAGGCTGAGTAAATAACTCACATTGTGTATCCTCATTTTCTCCATCAATGAAAATTAATCTAAGTAAATAACTTAGATTGTGTAGCCTTATTTTTCCCATCAGAGAAGTATTATAAAATTCAGTTCGAGCCCACAAGGAGATCTAAAGCTGAGTGGGTGAAGGCTGCTAAGTTATATCTCATGGGTGCTCTCCTCATCTAACAACAACTGTTCCCGCAGAAAGACAGTAAATGGCTCTTAAGAAATTAGCCAAGTCTATTTTAAAGGGAAAGTCCATCTCAACATAGATTATATTGCAGCAAAAAAGAAACTCAGAGATAGATTCTTGTTAACATATTTTGTTAGTAGTTATATGACATAGTAAGTTAGACTGAGGGTAAGAAAAATCACAGGTATGTAAAAATGATCTAAAAATCATTTTGAAAAAGGATTCACTTTTTTGTTGTTGTAAAAAGAAATACCTTTGAACCTTATTGGTGTGTCCATGGGTATATATGTATGCTAATATTATACCGAGAGAAAGGTTGAGTGAAAATATAAAATTGTCAAATACTGCGAACAAATTACCCAAAGCTATTGCTAATGCCCTTAATTTTATAAGGAGTAAAGTATAGTCATTTCAAATTAATACTGTAAGCTCTTTCATTAGAATATTAGTTCCTTGGTGCAGATCTTAATCTGTTATATTCCCAGTACTTAGCATAGCTGTAAAATAGAGAAGAGTATCAATAAATATTTGAGAAATGAAAAAATAAATGGAAAAGACCTGTATGGAGTACCTTCCTTATCCCACTCTTCAGGCTAAATATCACAAATTAAATCTTCCCTTGACTTCGAAAGTTGAAGAGGCTTCTTAGGAATATGAGATATCAAAATTATTTTTGCCAAATTGTAAGTAACTCTTGGGCCCTTTGACATTGGGAAGAGAATGCTGTTGATTTGCCTGATGTGTTGTGGCATTTAGTGATGGTTCTTCCCAAGCTTTAAGGATAAAAAAAAATCGGGTGAGCTAAGAGGATGGGGAACATAAGGATAACTATCCATTCTATGAAAAAGTAGCCCAAATGCCCATCAGGCAACAAGTGGATAAAGAAAACGTGGTATATACGTACCATGGAATACCACCACTTAAGAACTAATGAGTGCTCTTCCATTTGACAACATGGTTATCCATGTAACCAAACACCACATGCTCCCCCAAAACGACTGAAATTAAATAAATAAATAAATTTATAAGAACCTGACAATAAAATAATCTTTTAGGCATAAAGTCAATTTTACTGACATTTATGCACTTAGACACATTGTATAAAATAAAAAGAATAAAAAATACAGATATGCTCAATAAGCACAATATTTAAAAAAAAAAAACGATTGTTAAGAACCAGAAACTAACTTGACCGTTCGGTTTGCACAGGATTGTTATACAATCAGGACTTGCTCTAAACTTGTCTTGTTCCTTCCAAAGAAAATCTGATGGAGGTTGATGCTTTGCTTCAGATGCTGCTGCCCACACCTGTAATAAAATTGTTAATGACAAATGCCACTGGAGTTGAACACAATTTTGTAAATGTCATAGGGTTACTCCAACATAATCTTTCTGAACAGATGAGGTTTTAAAATATAATGACTATATCATATACAATGTCAAGCTATGCAACACCAAACAGCTACTCTACAGGGATTAAAGGAAAAAACGAGAAAGAGAGGACCCCTCCTGCATGAGCTAATTATCTGTTCTCTAAGCAAATAATCTCTTTGCTTGTCTTTTCAGGTTTATATTTACTTGGTTTCAGGAAATTAAGAATTTCATTTTAATAGTTAAATTATAAAAACAAAAGATATTGTACACAAAATTGAAGACAGCTGTGGAAATTTAACTGTGGGTATTAATTAACATCCAGAAGATGGACAAAGTGCGGTAATTAACCACCAACAACAAAATCACATCTTACGTACAGATCCAGATAGAGTGATAACGAGACAGTGCTGAGCCACAGACTGTCAGTGTCAACAAGTTTGTCCTGTACAATTCTAATGTACAGTATTTATACTCTTATACTCACTGTTACTGTGGAATTTGCCTGCATTACGATGTTTGGAAGGAATCGGTACAAAGAAATGGTTTGTCCATTCACATTTTGCTGGAGAATATGATCTCCAATTGCCATTTCTTTGTCAAGGGAAGAGTTAATGAGCTTCACGAACAAACCCTTGACATTCACTTCAGCTATTTCAACATCTCCAAGAGAACTAGAAAATAAAACACAAAGATTGTAAGCTGCCTTCAGATAGGAGTGTCTTTGACTCACTTTAAGAAGTGATTAATAAACTGCTTGAAAGTTGTTCTTAAACTGTATATTCTATTGGGCAAGTTCTATATAGGAATAGTATATTTTGTAACCTCAGACAAATGGCTTGAGTTTTTAGTTCTATTTCTTTATCTGTGCAATAAAATAACCTATTTCACTTAAAATAAAGAAAACTTAAAAAGTATTTTAGGTGTCAAGGTATAAAAGCCACAGGAAGTTGAGAATTATAATAGTTTAAATTTCCTACTGTTCAAGATAAAATCATTGAGACATGAAACTCTCAAAAGTAGATCAAGAGACAAATCATTTACTTTATTTCTGATAAAGTGACTGAAGATAAATAGCAACTATGTGATTAAAAGATTTTTGAAAGGTAAAAACTTTAAATAAACATAGGATGGTGTTTTTCACCTTTTAACTTGCATTGAGAGCTTTCTATGTACGATCCAGGGACCAGGCTAATCATTTACATATCATTATGTATCAGCATTTTTCAGATTGTGAGTCACAACTTATTAGTGGGTCAAAAATCACTTTGGTAAGTGAGGACCCCCATCTTGGAAATAAGATATATCTGTACCAATAATAATAACAATACCACTTATATGCCAGGCACTTAATAACACTATATATATATATATATATATATATATATATATATATATATACACACACACACACACACACACACACACACACACACACATATACACACATATATATACATATATATGTATATCTATGTCTATGTTTCTATTTATTTGTCTACCTATCTCTGTATATAGTTCTCCACAATTTCTTATCCACAGTTCCAAAATCCAAAAAGCTCTGAAAAAGCAAAAAAATTTTTTTAAAACATATTTGAAGCAAAGCCTGGTCCAAAACTGAGGTGAGGCTATTTATAGTCTTTGTTCATGGTTTATGTGAATATTTATATATTTTTCTGTGAAAAGATTAATGTTTGATTTTTGATACTTTTGTAATCCCTGACAGGGTGTTATATGATATGTGTTCTAAAATTTCCTTTCCTAAAATTGTCAAAATTCTGAATTTGGAAATATGTAAGTCCCCAAGTATTTTGGTGAAGGCATTGTGGACTAATAGTAACTCATATAATTCTCACAATAACATACGTATTTCTCATTAAAATACTTCTACATGTTTCTTATTGAAGGTCACACTAAAAAAATGTGAGGAACACTGTATTATCTCATTTAATTCTTAAAACAACTCAGACAGGTAGTATTTTAGCCCCATTTTATAAATAGAAAAACTGAGGTTTAGAGAGATTAATTCCCATGTCCAAGGTCACTCAATAAATGTTAACCCTTGTCCTTCTGCCTCATTCAACAAGTAAAATCTCAAATAGGTTTGACCTAACCATTCAGGTTGTTTAAATTCTGTACACACCATGGTGGTTGAACTCTGCTAGAAAACGCACACACAAAGATTGCTGCTACCAAAAACTTAGTGGTCTCCAACCACCTGGGCCCTTGCTGATTGACAACAAGTTGTCATCTTCATGAGCCAAGTCAGCAACTTCTGCCATCCTTCAACAATATCTCTATTCTCACTCTTGACAAATTATCTCACTAAGAAAACATGGCCATCAGAGAGAATAGTGTATTTCCCTGCTTCACACTTAGAAACAGACTCTCCTACAGCTGAGCCTACCTCTTCTCCATAGCCCACCCCATTTCCATGGAAGAGGCCCCTTCTTCCATCTGCAGTGAAGCCCTCTGGTCACCAACTCCTCCTGATGCTTCAGCAACTCAGTACCCTCATTGTCCTTCCTTTCTCCTTTAACACCAACTTCTCCCTCTGGACTACCTATTTCCCCCAAATAGGTACATATCCTTGAGGGGCTACCACCTTAAAAAAGAAAAAAGAGAAGAGTCCTTCTCCAGCTTACAATTCCTACTGCCATCACAACCTAGCTTTTGGAAAAGGCTATGTCACTAATTAATCACCTCTTATTTACTTCACAACCACCTGCCTCTGCTGGAGACCCAGATGACCAATGCCCTTCACAATCGGTAAATTGAGTGGCAACTGTTAGTCTATATCTTCATGTCTCCTCAGTATTGGCCTCTTTTTGGAAACTCTTCCCTTTGTTTCTTGAAGTCAACTGTTTTGCCTCTATCAGTTTTGTTACTTTTCAGCCCCTTTTTCTTATTTCACCCAGCCCCTTCACGCATCTCCCAGATGTTGATCCCTGGGATTCTGTTCTTAGCCCTCTTTTATTTCCCTCATTTATCCTTATAGGTGATGTTATCCATGAACAGTGTTTACTAACCATTAATACACTCATGACTGCTAAAACTAAATCTTTTGCCTAGACCTTCCTACTGAGCTTCGGATCCACAGAAACAACTGACCACAAGATCTCAAAAGGTACCCCTGAACTCATCACTTTGGCCTGTTGTAAATTTACTCTCCCAACTAGGAAACTATTCCAGTGAATTGCACCATTTACTCTGTTGGCCAAGCCTGAAACTTCCAATACTGTCCCAGTTTCTTATCCTTCATTCCTTATTCGTGACCAGGTTCTGCTGATTCTTCCTCTTTAGTGGCATCTATTTACGTCTTTTCTCCATCCCTGACTGCTGCCTTTATCACGCTCTCATCATTTCTGTGAGACACTGAATCAACATCCTAACTATTATCCTCAGTCTTACCCCCTTCTAAACATTCTCCACTTTGCTTCCAGAGCAATCTTTGTACAATCCAAACCTATTTCTGCTTGCCTTGTGGAAATCCTTCAATATCTTACCATTTCCTTCTATAGAAAACACAAAAATCACAGCACTCAAACAAAGCCCTACCTTATCTGTCAACTTCTTTAACCCCTTTTTCCTTACTTCCTACCTTATGCTGAAACTGCAACCATAAAGAATTCCTTGCAAGAGCATGATTCATGCTGCTGCAGGCTTCACTCACCATGCACACACATACTATTTCCTCTTCTTGTTTCCCATGTCCTTATAAACACTTCAAATTTTCAGCCTTCTTATTATTTTCCTATCATAGGTACAAAATGGAATCTCATTGTATTTAAATTTGTTTTTCCCTGATTATAGTGCAGTTGCACAAGCTGCTTATTGGCTACTCAGTTTTCCTCTTTGATGAACTGCATGTTCATATCATTTCATTCACTTTTCTGAATTTACATTTTTATAATTTATTTATGGTATTCGTAGCATAGTATTTAATTATATGCACATATTTTCTGCAAGAAGAGACTTTAAAAATACTTCATCTATAATGTTTCTTATGGTATAGTTTACATTTCTAAAATTTTTACTGTGATAAAATTTATCCATCTTTTTCTTTATAGTTTCTGCTTTTGGTGTCCTATATAAGAAATCTTTCCCTGCTCTTATGTCATATTTTCTTTTAAACGTTTCAATAATTTGCTTTGAACAGCTTTGTTTGTATGTATATATGTGTGTGAGAGTGTATTTCATATAAGGAGCTAATTTTCCTAGTTAATTAGATTGTCCATCATCTCCCTGCTGATTTGTAATGTCACCTTAGTCAAACAGCCAGTTTCTGAATATTGTAAGGCTTCCTAGCTGTTCCGTTGATCTAGCTGTTCATCCTGTGTGTATGCCAAATGGTTTTAATTTATATTGTTTTAGATGAAGTCTTGATTTTGGTTGGACAAGTCCCCTCTCATTTTCTTTTCCAATATTGTGTTAACTCTTTTTAGACTTTAACCCTTTGTGGTAAGCAAAATAGCTGTCCAAAGATGTCTATCTCTAATCTCTGGATCCTGTGAATATGTTATGTTAGATGGCAAAAAGGACTTTGCAGATATAACTAAAGTTATGAATGTTAAGACAGGGAGAGTAGCCTAGGTTATTCAGGTGGAATTAATCTAATCAAATGAACCTTAAAATTAGAGAATTTACTCCAACTGGAAGCAGAAGAGAGCTGCAGCGGGAGGGAAGTCAGAGAGAATCCAAGCACGAGAAGGATTCGATGCACTGTTGCTGGTTCTGAGATGTAGCGGCCCATCTGCAAGGACTGGGGAGTGGCCTTTTGAAGCTAAGGGTGACTGCATGCTGACAGTTAGTAAGGAAGTACTATCACAGCAAGGAATTGAATTTGGCCAACAACCTCAAAGAGCATGGAAGCAGATTTATTTCAGTGTCCAGATAAGAGCCTATTTAACATCTTAACTTTGACCTTGTAAGACTCTTAAGAAATCAGCTGAGACAACCCAGATTTATGGCCTAGAGAACTATGTGTTAATAAGTGGGTGCTATTCATGTTATTTTAAGTCACTAAGTTGGTGGTAATTTGTTATGGCAGCAATAGGACACTAATATATATTTCTTGTGATTTTTAGAGTCAGTTTGTCAGAAATGTTGCCCTGTTGGCCTGCAGTTTCAGTCCCAATGTTTTCATTGGATATTTAGTCTAGTGTCTCGTTATTCTATTTTTCTGTTGATAAACCAACTGCCAGCCAATATTTTTGTTGTTTCTTTGAAGGTAAATGTCCTTTTTCTCTGGCTGACTTTAAGACTTTTTTTGTGTCTTCTGTTTTAAAAAGTGTTTTTGTTTTTGTTTTTTTTAAACAATGTACCTGGTTTGTTTGCTGGCTTGTTTTCTTTTAGCCTGCTAGATGTTGGTAGTGCTTTTTGAATATTTGGCTTGATGTCTTTCATTAGTCTGGGAAAATCTTCTTCTGTGTTTCCATCAATACCATTCTACCTCAATCTTTCTTCTCCTTCAGTGACTTTAATTAGAAGTAGATTAAAACAAAATCTTGCCTTATTCGTCTCTTATACTTATTTATAACCTTGCTATCTGTGATTCAGTCTAGATATTTACTTCTGAGAATATTCCAGTTCAGTGATTCTCTCTTCTGCTATATCAAATGTAATGTTAAACCCACCTACTGAAATATTAATTTCCGTTACTGGATTTTTTTTACTTCTAGAACTTGTTTATGATTCTTTTAGTTCCCAGGTTTATGTTAAAATTTTTATCTTATCATTTAATTACTTGAATATTTTAGTCATTGTTAGTTTGAAATCCTGGTCAGAAGACTACAATGTCTGGACCTTATCCACCTGTTCCTGGTGTCCACTTTTAATCTTGGTGTTTGGTCAACTCTTATCTTTTGTATACGTTGTTTTTTTTGTTTGTTTGTTTTTGTTTAGTGCCTAGTATTACAGAGAAAAAACTGCAGAGATAATTTAAGGTTCTGTATATTTTTTCACTCAAGATTTACTTTTGCTTCTGGTAGGCATCTAAGTTGGGAACAAATCACTTTAAATTAAATGTGAAATAATTGGACACTGTACTGGTCTGTTTTGCATATAGACTTACTCTTCCATCTTTCCTTGAAGTTTCAACTGAAAGCCTCAAGTGACCCTCCATTTTTTTTATAGGCCCTAAATGCCAACTTTTATTCACCCAGTCATACGAATCTTGAGAAAAACCTCTAACTTCTCAGTCTCTTAGTTGCGGCTTTCAAAATTGGCAGCTGTTTTGAGGAGAAAAGTGGCTCTAAATGTCAGGCTATCACTCTGGATTTTGTCTCTCAGAAGAGGAATTATGAAATTAATGGGTGTAACCTTCTATGAAATCTCGTGATATACATTATCAAATTCCCTTCAAAATAGTGGTCTCACCTACATTGTATGAGAATGCCTTTTTTACAGAGGTTCACTTTTGAACAATTTATGTCATAATTTCTTTTCTTCTTCTTTTTCTTTTGCATTATCATTATGGTTCTTACCAAATTTTGGATGTAGCATTTTACTCTTTGACATCCCTGGAACTCCTTTGTGTCATCCTCATCTTACTGTTACTAAATTCTCTGCAGGATGTTTTTATTTTTTGACAGAACATCCTTTTGTTTTTCAGACTTGCTTTTTCTGCCTGGGAAGATGAGCACTAATTTGACTTTTGTTTTTAAACAGATAAGACCCTGGAATAGCTCAGCTATTCCTTTGTTATTATACATATAACTGGATATTTACAGTTGCTTTTCAAAAATCCTTCATTATACAAGCAAAGTGCTTATTTATTAACCTCAAATTTTTATTTTATGCATATACATAGAATAAATGTTCTTGTCTGAAGGAAAAAACAACATTGTCCATATCAGAGCACTTTATTTGCCTTCTTTTTGATATAAGATCAATGCATGGAAATTCACAGAGGCAGGCTGTTAATCTGCTGTCACACAGCCTTTAGTAGTTATCTTTTTCTCTTCCCTGCCAGCCTTCCCATTTATCTTTAATAGGAAAGTGACCTGAGACCTCTACTTATAATTTGTGATTGACTGAGAGTGGAGAGTGATGTTGCAATCACCATCAGTAGCCTTTGCACAGTCTCTATTTGTAAAGAGATTGAGGAGAAACATGGCTAAGTCACTTTTTAAACAAAATTACTTTCCATTATTTAAGCACTAATTTATCTATTTGTTGGGCTCTCCTTGATAGCTCCATGCTATTTATTTGCTTTTAGGTTTTTTGATATTCTGCGGTTTGCTAAAATTATCTTTGAAGTTCCAGTTCTTCCAACCTGTATATACCTAACATTTCCTATATAGGTGTTTGTAGTTGGGGATATATGGGCTGATGAAAGGGTACAGCATTTAAGAGTCCTTAAATTTTTAAAGGACAAAGTTAGAAAGATTCAGGGAACTTAATTCAGTTCATTGGTACTACAAGAGCCCTCACGCCTGAAAGTTTTGATGGTAGATCCTTAATGTAATGGAGATGTAAATTTGTACATCACTACGACAAGGTTCTAAATCATCCAAGGGAAGAATAAATGGGGTTTAGTCTGAATAAGAATCCTTTGGGAAGATGAGGATATTTGCAGCCTCAAAATTGTTTTAAACCAGAACCATTCGTGTGTTTATCATGATCTCAGTGAGGCCCATCTGAATCCAGAGCTTACTATCATTTTGACTCTAGACTTGTAGGATGCAGAATTTCTTAGAGGTTGAGATGGAGGATGAATGAGAAGTTAGCCTTCTTAATATAGTTTGATCACACCTGAGACATCTAGAACTAAACTTGAAGCCAAGGTAAGGTCTTGGATATAGTGTAACTAGTGAAAATCCTAATAATGTCTCTACTTTGTTTCCTGTTTGCCTACAACTCCTTTTTTTTTCCTTCTGCTGTCAGATATTAAACAAATCCCTAGAGATAGTGGGTGGTAGTAGGAAAGAAACAACAGCTTTGATTGAAAACAACCAAATTGAGAATCAGCTTCTGTTTCCAGCCTAGATGAAGTTACAAGAAGTGACTTTAGCCTTCCATCTGAAACAACTAAAAATCTGGAAAAATATATGAAACAATATTTTTGAAGATATTTGATACTTGTCAACAAAGAATAGTGATACTTGAGAGACAGAAGAGAAATGTAGTGAGACTTAAAATTTCCCCAGATTATTTCTCGAGAAAATTTCAAGGCTGCATCATGGAGGGTGCATCCTCTCTGACTTGAGGAGATGGAGCTGAGAGTCTGGGGAGACCAAGGTGGCTGGAGGTCACAAGGAGAGTATCAGACATGGGAAGCTGCAAAAAGAGCGCTGGCGATTTTCAGATGGTCCCCTTTGAGTATTTAGCAGAAGACTGATCAGCACATGTATTTGAGTAAATGCCCCAAGACTGTAGAAAAAGACTATTTTGAAAAGATTAGAAGGAACAGTACTTGAAGCTGTCACAGGGTAAGGAAGTTCCCACCAGCCAGACTGAAAAAGCTCATAATTAATGGGGCCTTGTGTACAGTACTAAGGAGACTTTTGCCTCACTAGTGGAGAATAATTAATAACAAAGTGAAGACATTGATTTGTTTCCACCTAACAAACTGTAAAAGCTAGTCCTTAAAGCCTCAAACTATTTCCAAGTAACTTAAGTGGGTCCCAGAACAAAACTCAAGAAATGAAAATTCATAGAAATACAAAAATATTCTAGCCCCCAAACAAGGCAAAATCCACAATTTCTGACATACAATAAAAAATTACCAGGCATGCAAATAAATTGAAAAATACAACCCATAACAAGGAGAAAAATCAATAAAAAATGATGCAGAACTGACACAGATGTTAGAAACAGTAGAAAAGGAAAAATCCTTATAACTGTATTTGTATGTTCAAAATGTAGAGACATGACTGAGATTTAAAAATACACTGGATGGGATTAACATAATAGTAGTCATTGCAGGTGAAAAGATCAGTGAACATGAAGACATAACAATATACACCATCCAAAAAGAAACAATCAGAGGAAAAAGTACATAAAAAGATAAAAAATAACAGAGCATTAGTAAACTATGGTACAACTTCAAGTGGCCTAATATATGTGAAATTGGAGTCCCTTAAAAGGAGAGAGGAAGCAGGGACAAAAAATATTTGAAGAAATAATGGTAAAAATTTTCCCAAATTTTTAAAATTCAAAATATATAAATATGCTAATCAAAAAGCATAACAACCCCAAGCATAGGAAATTTGAAGAAATTTACACCAGGCACATCATAATCAAATCTCCCAAAAATAATGATAATGAGAACATCTTAAAAGCAGAATATTTGTGCAGAGGAGCAAATACAAAAATGAAAGAAAATTTATTGAAACAATTTAGACAAAAGTAGTAGAGCAAGATCTTGAAAATATTGAAGAAATGAGAAAAACTGGGACAAAGAAAAAACAAATAACAAGATGGTAGACTAAACCTAATCATATTAATGATAGCCTTAAATGTAAATAGTTTAAATGCCCCAATGAAAAGACAGAGATTTTTCAGATTGGCTAAAAGAGCAAGTCTCAACTATATGCTACCTACAAAACATTCACTCTAAATATAAAGACACAAATAGTTAAAAAGTTAAAGTATGGAAAAATATATACCATGCTAACACCAGTAAAAAGAAAGCTCCTGTGGCTATATTAATATCAGACAAAATATATTTCAGAACAAAGAATATTGCCAGGATAAAGAAAGTCATTTCATAATGATACAAGGATCAATTCATCAGAAGGATGTAACATTCCTAAATGTTTCTGTTTCTACATCTAATAACAAAGCTTTAGAATACATGAAACAAAAGTGATTGAATTGCAAGGGAGAAATCAACAAATCCACAACTTTGGTAGATATTAATACCCCTCTCTCAATAATTGATACAACAAGTAGACAAAAAAATCAGCAAAAAGACAGTAGACAACACTATCAACCAACATGACATGGTTGACATGAAACATTCTACTAAACAACAGCAGAATACATATTCTTTTCAAGTGTACTTGGAACATTTACCAGAATAATTAATATCCTGGCTATAAAAGAAGTCTCAGTCAATATAAAAGGATTCAAGTCATACAAAGTATGTTCTTTGACCACAATGGAATTTAATTAGAAATCAATAACAAGAAGATATCTGGAAAATCACTGGAACTGAAAAATCTGTAAAACACTTTGAAACTAAATAACACACTTTTCAATTACCCAAGGATAAAAAAGAAAATGAAAATTAGAAAGTATTTTGAACTGAATGAAAATAAAAATACAATATATTAAAATTTGTGGGATGCCACTAAGCTGTACTTAGAGGAAAGTTTATAACACCAAATATCTGTAGTATCAAAAGAGAAGAAGGTATCAAATCAATGACCTCAAATTTCACCTTAAAAAATTAGGGGAGAAAAAAAAAGCAAATAAAGCCCAAAGTAGGGGAGGAGCCAAGATGGCCAAATAGGAACAGCTCCAGTCTACAGCTCCCAGCCTGAGCGACGCAGAAGACGGGTGATTTCTGCATTTCCATCTGAGGTACCAGGTTCATCTCACTAGGGAGTGCCAGACAGTGGGCGCAGGTCAGTGGGTGCACGCACCGTGCGCGAGCCGAAGCAGGGCGAGGCATTGCCTCACTCGGGAAGCACAAGGGGTCAGGGAGTTCCCTTTCCTAATCAAAGAAAGGGGTGACAGACGGCACCTGGAAAATCGGGTCACTCCCACCCGAATACTGCGCTTTTCTGACGGGCTTAAAAAACGGCGAACCACGAGATTATATCCCACACCTGGCTCGGAGGGTCCTACCCCATGGAGTCTCCCTGATTGCTAGCACAGCAGTGTGAGATCAAACTGCAAGGCAGCAGCGAGGCTGGGGGAGGGGCGCCCACCATTGCCCAGGCTTGCTTAGGTAAACAAAGCAGCCTGGAAGCTCGAACTGGGTGGAGCCTACCACAGCTCAAGGAGGCCTGCATGCCTCTGTAGGCTCCACCTCTGGGGGCAAGGCACAGACAAAAAGACAGCAGTAACCTCTGCAGACTTAAATGTCCCTGTCTGACAGCTTTGAAGAGAGCAGGGGTTCTCCCAGTACGCAGCTGGAGATCTGGGAATGGGCAGACTGCCTCCTTAAGTGGGTCCCTGACCCCTGACCCCCAAGCAGCCTAACTGGGAGGCACCCTCCAGCAGGGGCACACTGACACCTCACACTGCAGGGTACTCCAACAGACCTGCAGCTGAGGGTCCTGTCTGTTAGAAGGAAAACTAACAAACAGTAAGGACATCCACACCAAAAACCCATCTGTACATCACCATCATCAAAGACCAAAAGTAGATAAAACCACAAAGATGGGGAAAAAACAGAAGAGAAAAACTGGAAACTCTAAAAATCAGAGCGCCTCTCCTCCTCCAAAGGAACGCAGCTCCTCACCAGCAACAGAACAAAGCTGGATGGAGAATGACTTTGACGAGCTGAGAGAAGAAGGCTTCAGATGATCAAATTACTCTGAGCTATGGGAGGACATTCAAACCAAAGGCAAAGAAGTTGAAAACTTTGAAAGAAATTTAGAAGAATGTATAACTAGAATAACCAATACAGAGAAGTGCTTAAAGGAGCTGATGGAGCTGAAAACCAAGGCTCGAGAACTACGTGAAGAATGCAGAAGCCTCAGGAGCCGATGCGATCAACTGGAAGAAAGGGTATCAGCAATGGAAGATGAAATGAATGAAATGAAGTGAGAAGGAAAGTTTAGAGAAAAAAGAATAAAAAGAAACGAGCAAAGCCTCCAAGAAATATGGGACTATGTGAAAAGACCAAATCTACGTCTGATTGGTGTACCTGAAAGTGATGGGGAGAATGGAACCAAGGTGGAAAACACTCTGCAGGATATTATCCAGGAGAATTTCCCCAATCTAGCAAGGCAGGCCAACATTCAGATTCAGGAAATACAGAGAACGCCACAAAGATACTCCTCGAGACGAGCAACTCCAAGACACATAATCGTCAGATTCACCAAAGTTGAAATGAAGGAAAAAATGTTAAGGGCAACCAGAGAGAAAGGTCGGGTTACCCTCAAAGGGAAGCCCATCAGACTAACAGCGGATCTCTAGGCAGAAACCCTACAAGCTGGAAGAGAGTGGGGACCAATATTCAACATTCTTAAAGAAAAGAATTTTCAACCCAGAATTTCATATCCAGCCAAACTAAGCTTCATAAGTGAAGGAGAAATAAAATACTTTATAGACAAGCAAATGCTGAGAGATTTTGTCACCACCAGGCCTGCCCTAAAAGAGCTCCTGAAGGAAGCGCTAAACATGGAAAGGAACAACCGGTACCAGCCGCTGCAAAATCATGCCAAAATGTAAAGACCATTGAGACTAGGAAGAAACTACATCAACTAACGAGCAAAATAACCAGCTAACATCATAATGACAGGATCAAATTCACACATAACACTATTAACTTTAAATGTAAATGGACTAAATGCCCCAATTAAAAGACACAGACTGGCAAATTGGATAAAGAGTCAAGACCCATCAGTGTGCTGTATTCAGGAAACCCATCTCACGTGCAGAGACACACATAGGCTCAAAATAAAGGGATGGAGGAAGATCTACCAAGCAAATGGAAAACAAAAAAAGGCAGGGGTTGCAATCCTAGTCTCTGATAAAACAGACTTTAAACCAACAAAGATCAAAAGAGACAAAGAAGGCCATTACATAATGGTAATGGGATCAATTCAACAAGAAGAGCTAACTATCCTAAATATATGTGCACCCAATACAGGAGCACCCAGATTCATAAAGCAAGTCCTGAGTGACCTACAAAGAGACTTCAACTCCCACACATTAATAATGGGAGACTTTAACACCCCACTGTCAACATTAGACAGATCAACGAGACAGAAAGTCAACAAGGATACCCAGGAATTGAACTCAGCTCTGCACCAAGCGGACCTAATAGACATCTACAGAACTCTCCACCCCAAATCAACAGAATATACATTTTTTTCAGCACCACACCACACCTATTCCAAAATTGACCACATACTTGGAAGTAAAGCTCTCCTCAGGAAATGTAAAAGAACAGACATTATGACAAACTATCTCTCAGACCACAGTGCAATCAAACTAGAACTCAGGATTAAGAATCTCACTCAAAACCGCTCAACTACATGGAAACTGAACAACCTGCTCCTGAATGACTACTGGGTACATAACGAAATGAAGGCAGAAATAAAGGTGTTCTTTGAAACCAACGAGAACAAAGACACAACATGCCAGAATCTCTGGGACGCATTCAAAGCAGTGTGTAGAGGGAAATTTATAGCACTAAATGCCCACAAGAGAAAGCAGGAAAGATCCAAAATTGATACCCTAACATCACAATTGAAAGAACTAGAAAAGCAAGAGCAAACACATTCAAAAGCTAGCAGAAGGCAAGAAATAACTAAAATCAGAGCAGAACTGAAGGAAATAGAGACACAAAAAACCCTTTAAAAAATTAATGAATCCAGGAGCTGGTTTTTTGAAAGGATCAACAAAATTGATAGACCGCTAGCAAGACTAATAAAGAAAAAAAGAGAGAAGAATCAAATAGACGCAATAAAAAATCATAAAGGGGATATCACCACCGATCCCACAGGAATACAAACTACCATCAGAGAATACTACAAACACCTCTACACAAATAAACTAGAAAATCTAGAAGAAATGGATAAATTCCTTGACACATACACTCTCCCAAGACTAAACCAGGAAGAAGTTGAATCTCTGAATAGACCAATAACAGGATCTGAAATTGTGGCAATAATCAATAGCTTACCAACCAAAAAGAGTCCAGGACCAGATGGATTCACAGCCGAATTCTACCAGAGGTACAAGGAGGAACTGGTACCATTCCTTCTGAAACTATTCCAATCAATAGAAAAAGAGGGAATCCTCCCTAACTCATTTTATGAGGCCAGCATCATTCTGATACCAAAGCCGGGCAGAGACACAACCAAAAAAGAGAATTTTAGACCAATATCCTTGATGAACATTGATGCAAAAATCCTCAATAAAATACTGGCAAACCGAATCCAGCAGCACATCAAAAGGCTTATCCACCATGATCAAGTGGGCTTCATCCCTTGGATGCAAGGCTGGTTCAATATATGCAAATCAATAAATGTAATCCAGCATATAAACAGAGCCAAAGACAAAAACCACATGATTATCTCAATAGATGCAGAAAAGGCCTTTGACAAAATTCAACAACCCTTCATGCTAAAAACTCTCAATAAATTAGGTATTGATGGGACATATTTCAAAATGATAAGAGCTATCTATGACAAACCCACAGCCAATATCATACTGAATGGGCAAAAACTGGAAGCATTCCCTTTGAAAACTGGCACAAGACAGGGATGCCCTCTCTCACCGCTCCTATTCAACATAGTGTTGGAAGTTCTGGCCAGGGCAATTAGGCAGGAGAAGGAAATAAAGGGTATTCAATTAGGAAAAGAGGAAGTCAAACTGTCCCTGTTTGCAGATGACATGATTGTATATCTAGAAAACCCCATTGTCTCAGCCCAAAATCTCCTTAAGCTGATAAGCAACTTCAGCAAAGTCTCAGGATACAAAATCAATGTGCAAAAATCACAAGCATTCCTATACACCAACAACAGACAAACGGAGAACCAAACCATGAGTGAACTCCCATTCACAATTGCTTCAAAGAGAATAAAATACCTAGGAATCCAACTTACAAGGGATGTGAAGGACCTCTTCAAGGAGAACTACAAACCGCTGCTCAAGGAAATAAAAGAGGATACAAACAAATGGAAGAACATTCCATGCTCATGGGTAGGAAGAATCAATATTGTGAAAATGGCCATACTGCCCAAGGTAATTTACAGATTCAATGCCATCCCCATCAAGCTACCAATGCCTTTCTTCACAGAATTGGAAAAAACTACTTTAAAGTTCATATGGAACCAAAAAAGAGCCCGCATCACCAATTCAATCCTAAGCCAAAAGAACAAAGCTGGAGGCATCACACTACCTGACTTCAAACTATACTACAAGGCTACCAAAACAGCATGGTACTGGTACCAAAACAGAGATATAGATCAATGGAACAGAACAGAGCCCTCAGAAATAACGCCACATATCTACAACTATCTGATCTTTGACAAACCTGAGAAAAACAAGCAATGGGGAAAGGATTCCCTATTTAATAAATGGTTCTGGGAAAACTGGCTAGCCATATGTAGAAAGCTGAAACTGGATCCCTTCCTTACACCTTATACAAAAATCAATTCAAGATGGATTAAAGACTTAAATGTTAGACCTAAAACCATAAAAACCCTAGAAGAAAACCTAGGCATTACCATTCAGGACATAGACATGGGCAAGGACTTCATGTCTAAAACACCAAAAGCAATGGCAACAAAAGACAAAATTGACAAATGGGATCTAATTAAACTAAAGAGCTTCTGCACAGCAAAAGAAACTACCATCAGAGTGAACAGGCAACCTACAAAATGGGAGAAAATTTTTGCAACCTACTCATCTGACAAAGGGCTAATATCCAGAATCTACAATGAACTCAAACAAATTTACAAGAAAAAAACAAACAACCCCATCAAAAAGTGGGCGAAGGACATGAACAGACACTTCTCAAAAGAAGACATTTATGCAGCCAACAGACACACGAAAAAATGCTCACCATCACTGGCCATCAGAGACCTGCAAATCAAAACCACAATGAGATACCATCTCACACCAGTTAGAATGGCAATCATTAAAAAGTCAGGAAACAACAGGTGCTGGAGAGGATATGGAGAAATAGGAACACTTTTACACTGTTGGTGGGACTGTAAACTAGTTCAACCATTGTGGAAGTCAGTGTGGCGATTCCTCAGGGATCTAGAACTAGAAATACCATTTGACCCAGCCTCCCATTACTGGGTATATACCCAAAGGACTATAAATCATGCTGGTATAAAGACACATGCACGTGTATGTTTATTGCGGCATTATTCACAATAGCAAAGACTTGGAACCAACCCAAATGTCCAACAATGATAGACTGGATTAAGAAAGTGTGGCACATATACACCATGGAATACTATGCAGCCATAAAAAATGATGAGTTCATGTCCTTTGTAGGGACATGGATGAAATTGGAAATCATTATTCTCAGTAAACTATCGCAAGAACAAAAAACCAAACACTGCATATTCTCACTCATAGGTGGGAATTGAACAATGAGATCACATGGACACAGGAAGGGGAACATTACACTCTGGGGACTGTTGTGGGGTGGGGGGAGGGGGAAGGGAAAGCACTGGGAGATATACCTAATGCTAGATGACGAGTTAGTGGGTGCAGCACACTAGCATGGCATATGTATACATATGTAACTAACCTGCACAATGTGCACATGTACCCTAAAACTTAAAGTATAATAAAAATAAATAAATTAAATAAAAAAAGAAGAAAAAAAAAGCCCAAAGTAGACAGAAGAAAGGGAATGTAGCCCAAAATGAAAATCAATTAAATAAAAAACAAAAAATAGGGGAAACCAATATAACCAAACACATGTTCTTTGAGGAGCTCAATAAAACTAAATCTCTAGTGATATGATCAGGAAAAAGAGAAGATACAGATGACCATATGAGAAATGAGAAAGGTGATACCAATAAAGATTCTACAGTTCTTAAAAGGATAAGAGAATATTATAAATGACATTATGCAAATAATTGGACAACTTAGATAAAAATGGACACATTTCTTGAAAGACAAAAACTACCCAAGCTTATTCAAGAAGAAATAATTAGAATAGCCTAATATCTATTTAAAAACAATTTATAGTTTTAAAACTTTACCACCAAGAAATTCCAGGCCCAGATGGCTTCACCAATAAGTTCTATAAGACATTTATGAAAAAAAATTACTTCTACACAATCTCTTCTAGAAAAGGATAAAGGAGAGACTATATCCCATCTCATTCCATAAACAGTGGAATTACCGTGATACCAAAACAGACAAGGACATTACAGGGAAAGAAAACTACAGACCAATAATCTTTACAAACATTGATGCAAAAGTTTGAAGCAATATTTTAACAAATGGAATTCAAACAGTATAGTAAAACATAAACATTATGACCAAATATTTATGGTAAAAGTGAAGGGATGTTTAACATTAAAAAAGAAAAACCATATGATCATCTCACTAGATGCATAGAAAGTATTTGATACAATCCAACACCATGGAAAAAAGCCAACTTTTTGTTTGTTGATCTATATTTTTTGGTCTCAATTTCATTTATTTTTCTCTGATCTTTATTGTTTCTTTTCTTCTACTAATTTTCAGTTTGTTTTTTTTTTCTTGCTTTCCTAGTTCTCCTTGAGATACGTTGTTAGATTGTTTACTTGAAGCTTTTCTTTCTTGATATAGGTATTTATTGCCATAAACTTCCCTTTTAGTACTGCTTTTTTTTGTGTCCCAGAGATTTTGGTATGTTGTGTTTCCATTTCCATTTGTTTCAAGACATTTTTAAATTTTCTTCTCAGTTTCCTCACTGATCCATTGGTTGCTTGGAACTGTGTTTCTTAATTTCCATGTGTTTGTGTATTTTCCTAAGTTCCAAGAATTGATTTCTGGTTTTATTCCAATGTGGTCACAAAAGTACTTGACATAATTTTTACTTTTTTGATATTTGTTTTGTGGCTTAAGAGAGAGTCTATTCAGGAAAATGTTCCACGTGCTGATGAAAAGAATGTATATTCTGCAGCAATTGGGTGAAATGTTCTGCACATGTCAGGCCTCATTGGTCTAATGTGCAACTTAACTCTGATGTTTCTTCGTGATTTTTGTGTCTGGTTCATCTGTCCATTACTGAGAATAGGATGTTAAAGTGCCCTACTACTGTACTGCAGTCTATATCTCTGTTTAAATCTATTCGTTTGCTTTATATACTTGGGAGCTTTGGTGTGGGGTGTACAGATATTTATAATTATTATATCTTCTTGCTGAATTGACCCCTTTATCATTATATAGTGACCTTCTTTGTCTCTTTTTATAGTCATTGATTTGTAGTCTATTTTATCTAAGTATAGCTACTCCTACTCTTTTTTGGTTTCCAGTTGAATGGAATAGTTTTTCTATCCCTTCACTTTCAGTCTGTATGCCTTTGTAGGTGAAGTGGGTTTCTTCTAGGCAGCATATAGCTGGATTTTGTTTCCTTATCCCTAAGCCACTCTATGCCTTTAAATTGAGTATTGAGTCCATTTACATTAAGTATTATTATTGAAAAGAAGAATTTATTTCTTGTTTTTGGGTTGTTTTATAATTTGTCTCTTCCTTTTGTCCTTTATTACTATATTCTTTTGTGGTTAAGTAATTTTCTTTGGTAGTATATTTTAATTCATTGCTTTTTATTTTTTGTGAATCTATTATAGGTTTTTGCATTGTGGTTACATGAGGCTTACAAAAAACATCTTACAGCTATAACAAGTTACTTTAAAGAGATGAATACTTACCTTGAATCACAAAGGAAAGAATAGAAAAAAAGAAAGAATAGAAACAAAGAAAAAATCTCTAGACTGGAACTCCATCCTTCCATATTTTGACTGTTAGTTTTCTCAATTTACGTATTTTTATACTGCCTATCTCTTAGCAGACTGCTATAGCTATTACTGTTTTTGATAGATTTGTCTTTTGGGATTCACGCTAGAGTAATGAGTGGATTGTATACCACAATTACAATTCTGGGTTTTTCCATGTACTTAATTTTACCAGAGGTTTTATACTTTCAGGTGTTTTCTTTTTGAACATTAGTGTTTTTTTGTTTCAGATTGAAGAACTCTCCTTAGCATTTCTTATAAGATAGGTCTCGTGGTGGTGAATTCTCTTAGCTTTTGTTTGGGAAAGATTTTATCTCCTCATATTTGAAAGATAGCTTGGCTGGATACACTATTCTTGGATAGCAGGGTTTTAACACATTAAAAACATTGTCTCATTACCTCCTGACCTACATGGTTTCCACTGAGAAGTCTGTTGCTAGACAAATTCTTTTCTCTCACAGTTTTTAGCTTCTTCTCTTTGTCCTTGACCTCTGGGGAGCTTAATTATTATACGAGTGTTTCTCACTTCTCTGTGGCCTCAGGAATTGTCTCATCCTCATATTTGAGTTCTGAGATACTGCTGATGATAATGATAATCTTGGCACTGTATATTTGTTTTTGTTTTCTGGGGTGGCTGGATAGGGATTGAAGACATCTTGCTTCTACACCACCATTTTTAATAGGATTGCATTTTAACAGAAGCTTTGAACATTTTATTTTGTTCCAAACTGCTCATCATTTTAACATAGTAGGTACTGAATGAAGGATCTGATGAGGTGTTTTTAGACAGTAGAGAAAAATGCTTAGGTATTCTCCACTGTTAAATTGTAATAGGGCATGGGTGATTGATTTTAGGAAACATGGCATAAAGGGAGAGAAAATTTCCTTCATATCTGACCCTCAACTCTGATTTCTTTTAGCCATCTAACAACTTCTATCAACATGTCTTATTACTAGCATTTCAAATTCAGTATGTTGTTCATGTAATAAGTAAGGCATGGTTATATTAATATAAATGAATTGATCATAACTCTTTTATTTTAGTCTTAATATCAACTTTCTTCCTGATCAATTTCTTTTTGCATAGATACTAACAGTCATAAAAATGGATCAATGAAGTAAAAATTTATCTTTCTCCTTCTGTCTTGAACTCAAGAGCTACTAGAAGAAAATATATATATTAGATCCATCTAAATAATTCAACAACGATAAAAAAGTGCCTTGAATAATTGAGTTGACCCTATTAGTAAAGATTATGTAGCATTGTTTACTCTGGCATCTTTGAAGAAGTCACATTTCTTGTTTGGTTCTTTAGACCATTATATCAATTTATTTTAATTGCTCAGAAGATGAAACAGTTATATTTCAATGAACTGATTAGTGTTTTAGATAAAATAATGCATATAACTACAGATTAGAACTTTGTTTTCTGCTGATTTATTGGTCCTACCCCGACAGAAGATACTAAGTAGTTCAAATAAAATATGTACCTGGAGGTAAATTGGCCAACTTCTTCAAGAATCATAGAAAAGTATTTTAAAGTTTTCTGAGTGTAGTTTGAGTGTGCTGTAAGTTTCTTTGAATCACCAAACAAAGAAAGGAAATAATCTTCTCCATCCCCAATCATGGGTGATTCATCCTGTTTCTTCGGAACTGAGAAGGGGCTGGCATCTTTCAAGTAGACAGAAGAAAGAAGTAACCAGGAAAGAAGTAAATAAAATGACATTAAAAGGACCTAAAGCCATTATCTTTATTCTCTGCTTCTACAAAATTATATTTTTACATTTTAATATCACTATCAAACTTAATGAGAATAGTTAGAAGCTTTAAACAAAAGCCTATAAAATAATCAGTAAGTGGATATTTATAGTGACATCTTCAGTTCCTAAAGAGTATTTCAGTTATCTTAAACAATAAATTATATCATTAGAATAATGACTATTTAACTGATTATTTAGTTGTACTAGAAGCATCATCCATTTTGAAATAGGGAAAACATTTTAGTCTGTCAAATTTAGATATGTTACATATAAATATAGCCTTATTCTACTTCATGTATGCTAAAATTCCCAAATGGCTACCCATAAGTTAAAGCCTCATATGAATCCTTTCCTGCAATGGTTAGTACTCTTGCCAGGTAAAGACTTAAACTTCCTCTATTTAATTAAAATACTTTATTAGAAAGATAAAGTCATGCTTAATCAGATTCCAGTGTCCTATTAGAAGTTTGCTCTTTTAAATCCTCACTACTTTGATTCAAATACAATATAGTTTTCATAATTTTAAGCATAAAGAGCCATTCTGGACAAATCTAATAATATATCCGCAAAGGGGGAGTTACATTACAAAGACGCGTCGTGATGAAGTGGAAAGAACAACGTGTCTTGCATTTAGACAGACTTGTAATTATATTTCAGTTCTGCCATTTACTAAGCCACGTGATGTAAGTTTTCCAAGTTTCCGTTTTCCTGAACATAAAATAAAGATACCATCACCACCTTGTGTAAGGAGATAAGAGAGCTGGAGATCATGTAAGTGTCTAGCATAATATTTAATATTTATCTGCTAATAAATGATAGCTATTATTACAGTACAGAGTTTTGGTTAATGTGACTCTCGGTCCAAAATCCTCAAAGGATTAAGACAATCTAGAGTTTAAATCTTACATCTTTAGCAAAACCAAAACAAGGTGAAAGATATAAAGAAATAAAATCATCGTTTTTAAAGCAGATTCCTCAAAGTATTTTGCTGAGAAAAAAAAAGCATTTGGAATTACATTAGTTCATTCTCAGTCAAGTACTTCCTTAATCCTTAAATTCCTTTGGGGAAGGATAATATACAGCATCTTTCTTAACAGCTCATCTTGAGAAATAAAAGCCTTGGTATTCCAAAAGAAAAGAAGACACATTAACTTTGGTCCCAGTTGTTATTTTGTCTAGAACAAAAGATAACAATGAACCAAGTGCAACAAATCTCAGTGAACCTATACATCTATCTAGAGAAGTGGAATCTACAGTAATGGAAGGAGAAGACTACATCCCAATTCAGCTCCCATACCATAAGGGGAAGCCACTGTATTTCATTTTTTTGCCCCATTACAAGGAGCCAAAGTTTAACCCAAATATAGAACATATGCCATGATGATATAATGATGAATGATAGAAAATCTTTTCTTCCCAGATCTAAAATTTGTATTTTCATTTTCAGTATATGGGTTTTGGTCATCCTAAAGGTCAATGTAAACTTAGGAGGTTTCTTGGGAAATTTTATACTTGTCATACAAAAAATGAAACATAGGGAATCTGACCATAATGGCAGGAGAAAAAAAAACCCTATATAACCCATGTCAAAGATTTTTTTAAAATATCAGAAACAAAATGAAATATATTAGAAACAAAATGAAATATAGATGAGGGGCAGCCAGGCTGTAAATGGGCACAGAATGTTAGAGGATAATGGAGGCATCAGATAGTCACTGGACTATTTGTGCTACCAGTTTTGAAACTTGAAACTTGTTAGTTGATTGGCAATTGAAACACAAACCCCAAATCTCATCTATTTTAAAAGAAGGTGCTTACAGGTAAGTTCAGATTCATAACTAATGTTTATTGAGTATTTATTATGTGCTAGGTAATTTTCATAAATATTTAATCTTTAGGATAGCCCTGTGACATTTCTATTTTAATCCCCATTTGCATTTGTGGAAAATGAGATGCAGAGATGTTACGTACTCTACCTGGTGCCTAACATTGTAGAAAAACAGTAGGTCCTGTGTTTCAAAGGATGATAGTGTTTTCAGTAAACCACGGAAACACACCCTCAAAGTTCCCTAAACATGGTGAGAAACAAACACCCTAGAGCATGGGTATTGCTGAGCACATTGTTGATAATAGTCAAAACTTTACTTTTTCTGATCATAGTACTGTTTTCATTTTCCTCTCCTTCAAGTTCTCTTTATTGTTTTACCATTTTCTCTCCATTATTTTATACCTACTTTATGTTACTTCTTTGTCTCATCTACCTGTCTATTCGTTACTTAAGCCATACATCTCGTAAAGGCACAAAATACACAATCCTTCTGGTATTTAATCCTTCTGGTAGTGTTCAGAGGAAGGGCAGTTAATGCTATACATTGGAATTTTTAATTCTCTAGCAATTCTAATGTATGTTAGCGGTCAACTCATGAACCATCATGATAACTCAAGATACCTTAATTATAAGGATGATATATTTGGCACATGCATGTATGTGGCCTGAATTTAATACCCCAGTTCTAGGATCAGTGATGACCATAGTTAAGTTACTTTTCATAAGATGCTAGGAAGTTAGCATTTTGGGGGAGTAATAATAAAACATCATTCTGACTGAGAGTCATATATGCAATCTATTGAAATATAAGCTTTAAAAGTACTCTAAAAATATGGGTTCCATATTTTGCTTACCCAAGCTGTTTTCCACTCTGGAACAGCTACCTACAGTAGCTTTAGAAGTCAATTGTCCAGTTGTTGATATAGTTACTCTACTAATCTGAGGACTAGACAGATAGTAACCAAGAGGCATTCCACTGGAATTTGAAGATGACAATGGCAGTGTTGTGGCAACTGAACCCAACATCTTTGGGGAAAAATGTACTAAAGAATATACTCCAAGTTTGTCTTCTCTTCTGTGTACAAAAAATATAATATAAATAAATAAATAAGAAAGTAAAAGTGGCTGTGAATAAAAGAAGCATGGGCTATTATTATTACCCAGAATTCTGCTTTTCAAAGGTAATATGCATCCAACACAAGCACAATAACATCTTGTATTTCTAGTTTTAACAATCTAAATAAAACACTTTATTATCAATATGTTGTATGCTTTAAAAATATTTGAAAATTAACAAATTTCTATTGTAGATAGTTCTGAAAATGTGTAAGTAGAAAAAAGATAATACTAATCATTACAATGCCACCAACAAGACATTTTACCATCTCCTTCCAGGCTTTTAAATGTACTTTTTACTCTAAGTGGAGACTTTATAAGCCATTTATACCTCCACTTTGATCACTTACCATTATTTTCCCTTTCCGTTATCATAAAATCATGATTATAATTCTGGTTTAATATATCATTGTTTCCTATATGCTTTTCCTTTAATTCTTGTTGCTGCTTAACTAACTTTTCTATATTAATTAAGATTGTTTAGTGAATGTCTGCCTTCAAATAAACTGTACATGTTTGTGTGTGTGTATGTGTATTGGAGGGAATGACAGAATAGAGGGAGAAGAAAGATCATTTTCGTGTACTATTTTTATAAGTGAATCTTACTATGAACAAAGATTTCCTTTTTATATCTAAAGGAACATTTGTTAACTAGTGCACAATCATTTGAACAAGGTTCATAAGCTTCAGTACAATTATTTTACAAGTTAAACAACACTTCATTGACATGAATCCTGAAAAGACTTAGGACGTTTCATTTTATGAGTCACACTGAGGCTCTTCCCAGTGACGTCAAAGCAATTTTTGTGGGTGCATGTGTGTATGCATGCGTGTTCAGTGCTTAAATTGTGAACAAAATCCTCCAATCCAAACCCTTTATTTCTCTGAAAAATGAGACAAATGGCCAGTTCAGCCATCCCCTTTCTGGGGGTCCACATATCTATCCACTATAAGTCAGGAACTAATTATTTTGCCTCCATGAATTATCTCTGTTTTGATCTATTTCCCAAAGCTCTTATAAGATTATGTTAGCCAACCTCTCCTTGTTGTTCTTTCAGGTTCTTACAGGAGAATGAGGGCCTGGAGTTTCCTACTCTGCCATCTTGCTGCTGTCACCCTCAATATCTCTGTTTACCAAGAGGTATTCACAATCATTTTGTTCTACAATGTGAAAGTTCCTTTATCAGAAATCTTATACCTGGAGAGTTTTGTATTCAAAACTAGACTGCTCTTTAATGTGCCTCTCAGCAGACACAGACATCTCAGGCAAATTTTTAAAATAATTAAATGGCATTGGCTTTGAAAATGTCATGATTACTAGCCCAGTGCTTAAGAAGCATGTGCACTTAACATCCTGCTGACACTCCAAGCATTCATATTTGTCAGAAAAGCTCTAACCTATGAAGATACACTATTGAGTATGACCGTAGAGGTAGTGGGAAGGAGACTTTAGAGGTAAACTGTCAGATTACAGATATTTCATCTGTGTTCAACATGAGACAGGATTGTAAGACACGACTTCTCCCTGACATTGACTACAACAGCAGAGAAATGCAGAGAAATGCTTTTCTCTTTCAACATTCCTTACATCTGGGCTTCATAACAGACTGGCTATTCTTTTCAGCATGTTCATTTTATAAGATCTCAATTTTTTTCCTCTAGTAAAACAATAGCACTTTAAAATAAATTTAATTCCACAGAAGACTCCCAAGAAGGCTTAACAAAATCTTTGCAATCACAGAAACCTGTCCTGGAGCTATAGGGTGTTCTTATTTTGGTAGGTGAATAAGAAATTTTTTTCTTTTCTTTTCTTTTTTTATGAGACAGGGTCTCTCTCTGTCATCCAGGCTGGAGTACAGTGGTACAATCATAGTTTACTGCAACCACCAACTCCTGGGTTCAAGTGATCCTCCCGCCTCAGCCTCCCAAGTAGCTGAGACTACAGGCACATGGCACTATGCCTGCTAATTTTGAAAAAAATTTTGTAGACATGTGGTGTTGCTATGTTGCCCGGGCTGTCTCTAATACTCCTGGCCTCAAGTGATTCTTTTGCCTTGGCCTCCCAAATTGCTGGAATTACAGGCATGAGCCACTATGCCTGGCCGAATAAGAAATTTCTAATGGCTGCACACATCTTTGAAAGAGCTGAGACATTTCAGGAACAAACTCGTGTGATACAGCCCATCACCTGAACCTTCCACTTGCCTACCTATTAGTCTTCTTTTGGAAGATGAGAGATTTTTCTCAGTGGTTAGTTAACTTTCCCTTAAGCATAAGTAATTTTCTAAGCCCCTTCTTGGTATCTCACTCCCTCCGTAATTGATTAACATTAAAACAGGGGCAGTTACAAAAGCTCAAGTCTAGCATTTCAATGTTACTTTGGGAGACGCTGCATTGATAATATTGACGACAATCATTTCTCAGAGGACCTCTAAGAACAAATATTTAAAAATGGACTTGGACTGAACAATAAACATAGGACTTGTAGGTCCAAAGTAACAATAGCTTTAAATTATGTATACTCAATAAGTCAATTTTAAAGAAAACATTGGAAAACCAATGGTAATGCTTTAGTTGATGAATGATTTATATTAAATGTAAAAATAGGGATTATAATTTTATATAACATTCTTACGGACATTTCCAAAACCAATATTCTGGTAATTTTTTTGTCCCCAGTTCTGTAAAATAGTTCTAGAAAGAAACTATTTCTGTAAATTGACTTAACATATTAAATGGGAACTTTGGAGGCCAGGCGCGGTGGCTCACGCTTGTAATCCCAGCACTTTGGGAGGCCGACGCGGGCAGATCACGAGGTCAGGAGATCAAGACCACGGTGAAACCTCGTCTCTACTAAAAATACAAAAAATTAGCCGGGCGTGGTGGCGGGCGCCTGTAGTCCTAGCTACTCCGAGAGGCTGAGGCAAGAGAATGGCGTGAAACCGGGAGGCGGAGCTTACAGTGAGCCAAGATCGCGCCACTGCACTCTGTCTGAAAAAAAAAAAAAAAAAAAACGGAACTTTGGCTGGAATCTCAGCTAGGTCTTATACTATGGAGATCTGTCCAGGTGGATTTTTATACTTCTCAAGGACTAGAACCTTCTAAAACAGTAGTTGTGGAAGTAGTTGTATGCTACAGTCCATTATTTCTAGAAAATTTGTGAGATATATTCTAGTTCTAACTGGTTCATAAGAGTATTGAAACAAAAGAGGTCAAGCATGCCATCATTCCTCCTCTATAACTCAGCTCTAACTCTGCTTCCATCGCATCTATGCATGCTCACTGTTTTTGTTTCTCATTCTTATCTTCCTGCTCATGGACTTTATTCTGCATTGCCTTCGAAGCTTCCTGAATGTCTTGTGTATCTTTCATCTTGGCTAGAAAAGAAGTCTCTTTTCTTTCCTAGGAAAGCAGATCATGACATCAGATGACGAATATGGCTGAGGTTCAAGGCAGATTTTTCTTTTCAAAGTGACCTCACCTGTTAATCCAACTACCTTCAAGCATCAGCTAGGTTTAATAATTTCTTTACCAAACTAGTACCAGAACCACAATTCTCATGAGGATATGTAAGTACCAACATAGCCAATCCTGATCTTGGCTAAGGATGTCGGACAAACCATGGTGCAGGTGTGTAGCATTCACTGGAAGCAGCTTGAGAGGGCAGTAACTTGGCAAAGAGACCTTTATGACTACAGTTGTTGCTTCTGGCCAACACTGCCTCTTAGAACTATGAGGTAATGTCTCCATAGTAACCAAGTTCCAGTTTCTGAACAATTCCTATGTTGATGCTGTACCTTCTTTGCAGTTTGCAGACATTAAATAAAGTAATTTGCTCTTAGGAAAGCCATATCTTCCACTAGACTTTGCCACCAAAATTATTGATATCTTGTTTTGTATTTCTAAGAGTCAAGGCCAGTATGTACATACTGGGGAAATTAATCACAACTCTTTTCTTCTTTTTTTTCTTTCTCTCTCTCTGGACAAATACTTTGAGCACATGGAAACAGCTAGGCAGCAAGAATAGAAACCATAAAACTTCAATGCAAAAAGAAGTCTATTGGTAGAAATCATAAAATCAAAGCCAGAACACCTAAATTCTTCTCCTAGTTATGCCAGCAGTATGATTTAGAAGAAATCACTTAATTCAGTTTCTCCTCTGTGTAAAACACTCACACTTAATGTTTCATGATAATGATAGTATGGCAATAAAATTAATAACTATGAAAGTACATGATTATATACAGTAATAAGATATATAAATGATGATTACTGGATGAGTAAGCTTATTAAAAATAGTTAATAAGATTCTACTATTTCTTAAAAACTGGCTAGGTACCATGAATAAACAATACCTGCTTTCAGAAATAATACTAAAATATCTTCTAATATAGATTTGAAAATGATTTTTAAAGACAATAAAGTAACTGTCTTAAAAAGCCAAAAAGAAAAAGTCAAGACGTGTAACACGTAATAAGGTAAGTTAAAAGGAAGTAAACGTTTGACCGTATTTCCTCCCTCTCAGAGATGAAGCACAATTCCTTATGAACATTATGGGCCAATTATGTAAATATAGCATCAGAAGGTTTATAAATTTTTACTTACGCTTAGTAAAGAATTAAAAATGGGCTTGTCATTTCTTGTCACTCTCCCAGTCTCCCTACCTGTACCAGTCTGGATGGCTTTCTAGCTGTTAAAAATTTCTCTACTTGAACTGCATATATTAGCATAAAGTCGTTATGACCTCATTGGTTTTATCAGAGAGCCTGCTCATATTTTCCAACATATTTTGGAGAAATAAAATTCTGTCAGCTGAGAAAAACTTTTGAAGGCTTTGAAGTTGTGAGTGTTTCAATACTCATTCCCCATAGTAGACATTTTTCTTATTTCCTTTTCTTAAATTACTGTATATATGCAATGAAAACCAATTTCCTCTTTTGTTGTTGCTTAAACTAATTTAGTGGTTTTCAACAGGGGCCAAAGTGAACCATAGAGAGCATTTTGTAAATGTAAGAGGATGTTGATAGTAGTCATTAAAGATTCGGGTCGGGTATTAGTGGCATTTGGTAGACAGAACCCAGAGATGCTAGACTTTCCACAATGTGGCAGATAATCCTACTTAGTAAATAGTGTTCCCACATGACACGTGCCTTTCTAGGCATTCATGCAGGTGAAAAATAGATTACAATTATCTGGCCAGGCACAGTGGTTCCCACCTGTAATCCCAGCACTTTGGGAGGCCAAAGGGAGTGAATTACTTGAGGTCAGGAGTTCAAGACCAGTCTGGCCAACATGATGAAACCCCGTCTCTACTAAAAAAATACAAAAATCAGCTGGGTGTGGTGGCGGGTGCCTGTAATCCCAGCTACTCTGGAGGCTAAGGCAGGAGAATCGCTTGAACCGGGGATGTGGAGTTGCAGTGAGCTGAGATCGTGCCACTGCATTCCAGCTTGGGTGACAGAACCAGTCTCCGTCATTAAAAAAAAAAAAAAAAGATTAGAATTATATGAACCTAAAGCCTAGCTCTATATGTCATATAAATACAAAATATTTTTGCAGTTTTAGTATATACCAAAGTCTTTAGGATGTAACTATTTATTGTTTAAATTCCGGAAAGACTCTATATTGATTTGTTCAGACGTTTCCAAGAGTTATCAGTTTGGAAAAAATTACATCACCAATAGCAATACAACTTGGTAGTATTCATGTGGTTGATACAACTTATTGGACAGAGAATAACAGTAGCAATAATACCATCAGCAGCAACAAAATCAACCTGAATCTGATGAATCCTCTGCTTTACATGTAATACAGGAAACAGAAGAGCACATTAGCTAATCAACTAAGAAATTTAAAAGACACTTTTTGTAATTTGTGGATATAACATATCCTAATTCAAGCAAACTGTAGAAATTTATAAGACAGTAGAAACTTAAGCACATGGTACTTAATGATATTAAGGAATAACTGGTAAATATTTTAGGTGTGATATGGTGTCATGATTATGTTTTTTGAAAAGGGTTCTTATCTTTTAGTGATACATACTAAAACATTTATAGATAAAATGATATGACGTCCTCTGTTTCTAATGAATACAGACAGTAGGAAGCAGATGAGAATGTAGATGAAAAAGTTGGGCCATGACTTGTAATTATTAAAGCTGAGTAATAGTTACATGGAGATTCATTATAGATTATGATTATTTTTGACTGCAAATATCTAAGTTCTCCATAGCAAAAAGACTAAAATAGAAGCCTCAGTTTGGGATGCACAGACTCAAATGTTAATGGTGTCATCAACATGGCTGTGTCTGCTCAGGAAGGAGAGGGTCAGCAAGAACTGAAAGGAAGAAGCAGAGGTGCATGAGGTGCAATAATCTTTTTTTTTTTTTTTTTTTTTTTTTTGAGATGGATGTCGCTGTGTCATCCAGGCTGGAGTGCAATGGTGCAATCTCGGCTCACTGCAACCTCTGCCTCCTAGGTTCAAGTGATTCTACTGCCTTAGCCTCCCAAGTAGCTAGGACTACAGGCATGTGCCACCACGCCCGGCCAATTTTTGTATTTTTAGTAGAGACGAGGTTTCGCCATGTTGGCCGGGCTGGTCTTGAACTCCCGACCTCAAGTGATTTGCCTGCCTCGGCTTCCCAAAGTGTTGGGATTACAGGTGTGAGCCATTGTGCCAGTGCAATAATCTTTATACGGTTCTTTCACCACAGCTCTAGAAGATGAGAATTTCCCCATTTTCCAAATGAGGAAGTGGAAGTTCCAAGAGATGAAATACCTCTTCCAAGCTTATACAGCCAGTAAATGGCAGAGCCAAGATTTAGTCTCATCCATCTATTAGAGAGACCTCCTCACTGTACTTGCTGTTTCTGCTTTACTCTTGTTCCATATCTTCCTTTTTCTGTGGTATCTGCCTAAATGCTTGTCCATTCCTGAACCAGCTTCATCCTGCTTTTTCTGGTCTGGTCTCAAATCATCTCAAATCACTCTCTCCTCTGTCTTCTTGGCACTCTGTCAATTCTCTTTGCCTTTACCCCGCGTTGGGAAAGTACGAGAATTTTGCTGGGGAATTGAAGCCCCATAAGAGTAGATGTGGGTCAAATTAGGGTAATGAAAACTGAGTTTCATGTTGTGAGATTTCTACCTTAAGAAAAAATTAAAAGTGGCAAAATTCCATATTCTTAAGTTTAAAAAACAGACAAAATATTACATATACACAATTTTTAAAGATTTGAAGAACACAAAGAACTGGCTTTATATATTTTAGTTCTCTGCCTCCACATGTGGAGAAGATTTGCACAGCAAGAGATTTTATTAAATTGGTAATACAAATAAAATGTCTTGTGTGAATGAAGGCAGCATATATAAAGATAGTTTTCTTCCCCTCTCAGGCCATGGGTAATATGCAGTTGAGTAATAATCAGTTCAGGACTACAATTTTAAACACTATGACATGTTCCATTATCTAAGATTCAAAGAGTTTGGAATACAATTGTAGGAATTCAATTTCATATTTACACCCACATAAAAATAGTATAAATTCCTATTATAAAGCCTTTTGCTAGTCCAAAAATGTACTCAGTCAATTCATTTCTTTTACACAGATCCACGTGTAATAACAGCCTCAGACACAGATGCTATTATTTTACCTTCAAGTTAGAGTCACATTAAGCTCCTACGAGGGGTATTTCAAGAGAGGCTAGAGGACATGTATTGGAAGTTTCAAGTTTCAGACAGTTTGTTCAAAGTAATCTTCATGGAGCTTCCCAATCACAAAATCCTGTTGAAAAACAACACTAAGGTCTTAGATCTGCATTTCTGAGGCTGAGTCTCAAACACTGGTTTGAATCCTCAGACATACCAATTTTAGCAATAGTTCAAAATAACTGTCTAATTACTTTACACATTACATGTATTTTAGGAGTAGTCTGTCTGCAAATCTTTTCTATTCATACTCTTTAGAGGAATATAGCACTTATTTTTCCAAGTCAAGTCAGGACACCTCAGACTTGTTCAGGAGACAAAGATTCATAACATTTGCTCTTATTTGCAGAACACTATATTCTGTATAGTAATTTTTAAAAAAATACAAACCAATACATTTATTTCACCTATACTCTTTTAATCTATCTTATGAAATCACAACCACCAGCCCATGTGTCTTGAAACAAAATAACACCCAACAAATGGTTGAACCAAGAGCAAATAGTTAATTTTGAGGTTTCCTATTGATATAAATTTGCAGTTTCATTTTCTTCTATCATATATGGGCAATCTCTAGCAGAAAAGTAGTCTGGAGCCAAAGCCTGTAACACATTATTGGAGAACAATTTGAATTGAGAAATTCTATTCATTAGCTTTTATTCCCTCTGCAAACAGGATAAAGGCAGTCATTATTCAACATAACAGCCAAATATTGATTCTCTAGTTTATGGAACACTAGCGCCCCCTAGGAACCCTGTTTAAAATATGTAAAAATTTTAACCTATGAGAGGAGCACTCAATTAAAGGAGTAAGAAAGATCAGTATCAGTTGTAATGTCTCCTTTTTCATCTCTGACTTTATTTATTTGGATCTTCTCTTTTATTCTTAGTCTGGCTAAAGGTTTGTCAATTTTGTTTAACTTTTCAAAAAACCAACTTTTTGTTTTATTGATCTTTTGTATTGTTTTCATTTCAGTTTCATTTGTTTCTGCTCTGATCTTTATTATTTCTTCTACTGATTTTGGGTTTGGTTTGCTCTTATTTTTCTAGTTCTTCAGATGCATCATCAGACCTGTTATTTGAAATTTTTCTTCTTTTTTGACGTAGGCACTTACAGCTATAAAATTCCCTCTTAGTACTGCTTTTGCTATATTCCATAGGTTTTGGTATATGTGTTTCCATTATTTGTTTCAAGAAATTTTCAATTTTCTTTTTAATTTCCTCATTGACTCACTGGTCATTTAGGAGCATATTGTTTAATTTCTATGTTGTATTAGTCTGTTCTCATGCTGCTAACAAAGACATATCCGACACTGGGTAATTTATAAAGAAAAGACGTTTAATGGCCTCACATTTCCACATGGCCGGGGAGGCCTCACAATCATAGCGGAAGACAAAGGAAGGGCAAAGGGTTGTCTCACATGGCGGCAGGCAAGAGAGCATGTGCAGGGGAACTCCCTTTATAAAACCATCAGATGTCATAAGACTTAGTCACTATCATAAGAACAGCATGGGAAAAACCCACCTCCATGATTCAATTACTTCCCATTGAGTCCCTCCCATGACACGTGGGGGTTACTACAATTCAAGGTGAGATTTGGGTGGGGACACAGAGCCAAACAATATCACGTGTATTTGTATAATTTCCAAAATTTCTCTTGTCATTGACTTACAGTTTTTTTTTTTGAGACAGTCTTTTTTTTTAGAATGCTAATCCCCCAATTTTATTTAATCACTATACTTCCTGCATAATTATTATAATTATTATTATACTTTAAGTTCTAGGGTACATGTGTACAACATGTGGGTTTGTTACATATGCATACACATGCCATGTCGGTATGCTGCACCCGTTAACTCGTCATTTACATTAGGTATATCTCCTAATGCTATACCTCCCCCCTGCCCCCACCCCATGAAAGGCCCCAGTGTGTGATGTTCCCCACCCTGTGTCCGAGTGTTCTCATTGTTCAATTCCCACCTATGAGTGAGAACATGGGGTGTTTGGTTTTCTGTCCTTGCAATACTTTGCTCAGAATGATGGTTTCCAGCTTCATCCACGTCCCTTCAAAGGACATGAACTCGTCCTTTGTTATGGCTGCATAGTATTCCATGGTGTATATGTGACACATTTTCTTAATCCAGTCTATCATTGATGGACATTTGGGTTGGTTCCAACTCTTTGCTATTGTGAATAATGCCGCAATAAACATGTGTGTGCATGTGTCATTATAGCAGCATGATTTATAATCCTTTGGTTATATGTCCAGTAATGGGATGGCTGGGTCAAATGGTATTTCTAGTTCTAGATCCTTGAGGAATCACCACACTGTCTTCCACAATGGTTGAACTAGTTTACAGTCCAACCAACAGTGTAAAAGTGTTCCTATTTCTCCACATCCTCTCCAGAACCTGTTGTTTCCTGACTTTTTAATGATCGCCATTCTAACTGGTGTGAGATGGTATCTCATTGTGGTTTTGATTTGCATTTCTCTGATGGCCAGTGATGATGAACATTTTTTCACGTGTCTGTTCACTGCATAAATGTCTTCTTTTGAGAAGTGTCTGTTCATATCCTTTGCCCACTTTTTGATGGGGTTGATTTTTTCTTACAAATTTGTTTAAGTTCTTTGTAGATTCTGGATATTAGCCTTTTGTCAGATGGGTAGATTATAAAAATTTTCTCCCATTCTGTAAGTTGCCTGTTCACTCTGATGGTAGTTTCTTTTGCTGTGCAGAAGCTCTTTAGTTTAATTAGATCCCATTTGTCAATTTTGGCTTTTGTTGCCATTGCTTTTGGTGTTTTAGACATGAAGTCCTTGCCGATGCCTATGTCCTGAATGGTATTGCCTAGGTTTTCTTCTAGGGATTTTATGGTTTTAGGTCTAACATTTAAGTCTTCAATCCATCTTGAATTAATTTTTGTATAAGGTGTAAGGAAGGGATCCAGTTTCAGCTTTCTACATATGGCCAGCCAGTTTTCCCAGCACCGTTTATTAAATAGGGAATCCTTTCCCCATTGCTTGTTTGTGTCAGGTTTGTCAAAGATCAGATAGTTGTAGATATGTGGCATTATTTCTGAGAGCTCTGTTCTGTTCCATTGATCTATATCTCTGTTTTGGTACCAGTACCATGCTGTTTTGGTTACTCTAGCCTTGTAGTATAGTTTGAAGTCAGGTAGCATGATGCCTCCAGCTTTGCTTTCTTGGCTTAGGATGGTCTTGGCAATGAGGGCTCTTTTTTGGTTCCATATGAACTTTAAAGTAGTTTTTTTCCAATTCTGTGAAGAAAGTCATTGGTAGCTTGATGGGGATGGCATTGAATCTATAAATTACCTTGGGGGATATAGCCATTTTCACAATATTGATTCTTCCTATCCATGAGCACCAAATCTTCTTCCATTTGTTTGTGTCCTCTTTGATTTCATTGAGCAGTGGTTTGTGTTTCTCCTTCACATCCCTTATAAGTTGGATTCCTAGATATTTTATTCTCTTTGAAGCAATTGTGAATGGGAGTTCACTCATGATTTGGCTCTCTGTTTGTCTGTTATTGATGTATAGGAATGCTTGTGATTTCTGCACATTGATTTTGTATCCTGAGACTTTGCTGAAGTTGCTTATCAGCTTAAGGAGATTTTGGCCTGAGATGATGGGGTTTTCTAAATATACAATCATGTCATCTGCAAACAGGGACAATTTGACTTTCTCTTTTCCTAATTGAATACCCTTTTTTTCTTTCTCTTGCCCGATTGCCTTGGCCAGAATTTCCAACACTATTTTGTTGATCTTTTCAAAACACCAGCTCCTTGATTCATTGATTTTTTGAAGGGTTTTTTGTGTCTCTATCTCCTTCAGTTCTGCTCTGATCTTAGTTATTTCTTGCCTTCTGCTAGCTTTTGAATTTGTTTGCTCTTGCTTCTCTAGTTCTTTTAATTGTGATGTTAGGGTGTCAATTTTAGGTCTTTCCTGCTTTCTCTTGTGGGCATTTAGTGCTATAAATTTCCCTCTACACACTGCTTTAAATGTGTCCCAGAGATTCTGGTTCATTGTGTCTTTGTTCTCCTTGGTTTCAAAGAAATCTTTATTTCTGCCTTCATTTCGTTATGTACCCAGTAGTCATTCAAGAGCAGGTTGTTCAGTTTCCATGTAGTTGAGCAGTTTTGAGTGAGTTTCTTAATCCTGAGTCTAGTTTGATTGCACTGTGGTCTGAGAGATAGTTCCTTATAATTTCTGTTCTTTTACATTTGCTGAGGAGTGCTTTACTTTCAACTATGTGGTCAATTTTGGAATAAGTGTGATGTGGTACTGAGAAGAATGTATACTCTGTTGATTTGGGGTGGAGAGTTCTGTAGATGTCTATTAGGTCTGCTTGGTGCAGAGCTGAGTTCAGGTCCTGGATATCCTTGTTAACTTTCTGTCTCGTTGATCTGTCTAATGTTGGCAGTGGGGTGTTAAAATCTCCCATTATTATTCTGTGGGAGTCTAAGTCTCTTTGTAGGTCTCTCAGGACTTGCTTTATGAATCTGGGTGCTCCTGTATTGGGTGCATATATATTTAGGTTAGCTCTTCTTGTTGAATTGATCCCATTACCATTATGTAATGGCCTTCTTTGTCTCTTTGATCTTCGTTGGTTTAAAGTCTGTTTCATCAGAGACTAGGATTGCAACCCCTGCTGTTTTATGTTTTCCGTTTGCTTGGTAGATCTTCCTCCATCCCTTTATTTTGAGCCTATGTGTGTCTCTGCACATGAGATGGGTCTGCTGAATACAGCACACTGATGGGTCTTGACTCTTTATGTAATTTGCCACTCTGTGCCTTTTAATTGGAACATTTAGCCCATTTACATTTAAGGTTAATATTGTTATGTGTGAATTTGATCCTGTCATTATGATGTTAGCTGGTTATGTTGCTCATTATTGATGTAGTTTCTTCCTAGCATTGATGGTCTTTACAATTTGCCATGTTTTTGCAGTGGCTTGTAACGATTGTTCCTTTCCATGTTTAGTGCTTCCTTCAAGAGCTCTTGTAAGGGAGGCCTGGTGGTGACAAAATCTCTCAGCATTTGTTTGTCTGTAAAGGATTTTATTTCTCCTTCACTTATGAAGCTTAGTTTGGCTGGATATGAAATTCTGGGTTGCAAATTCTTTCCTTTAAGAATGTTGAATATTGGCCCCCACTCTCTTCTGGCTTGGAGAGTTTCTGCGGGGACATCCGCTGTTAGTCTGATGGGCTTCCCTTTGTGGGTAACCTGACCTTTCTCTCTGGCTGCCCTTAACATTTTTCCTTCATTTCAACTTTGGTGAATCTGACAATTATGTGTCTTGGAGTTGGCTCTTCTCGAGAAGTATCTTTGTGGCGTTCTCTGTATTTCCTGAATTTGAATGTTGGCCTGCCTTGCTAGGTTGAGGAAGTTCTCCTGGATAATATCCTGAAGAGTGTTTTCTAATTTGGTTCCATTCTCCCCGTCACTTTCAGGTACACCAATCCGATGTAGATTTGGTCTTTTCACATAGTCCCATATTTCTTGGAGGCTTTGCTCATTTCTTTTTACTCTTTTTTCTCTAAACTTCTCTTCTCCCTTCATTTCATTCATTTGATCTTCAATCACTAATACCCTTTCTTCCACTTGATCAAATCAGCTACTGAAGCTTGTGTATGCATCACGTAGTTCTCGTGCCATGGTTTTCAGCTCCATCAGGTCATTTAAGGACTTCTCTACACTGTTTATTCCAGTTATCCATTTGTCCAATCTTTTCTCAAGGTTTTTATCTTCTTTGTGATGGGTTCGAACATCCTCCTTTAGCTCAGAGAAGTTTGTTATTACCAATCATCTGAAGCCTTCTTCTGTCAACTTGTCAAAGTCATTCTCCATCCAGCTTTGTTCCATTGCTGGCGAGTAGCTGCGTTCCTTTGGAGGAGAAGAGGCGCTCTGATTTTTAGAATTTTCAGCTTTTCTGCTCTGGTTTCTCCCTATGTTTGTGGTTTTATCTACCGTTAGTCTTTGATGATGGTGACGTACAGACAGGGTTTTGGTGTGGATGTCCTTTCTGTTTGTTAGTTTTCCTTCTAACAGTCAGGACTCTCAGCTGCAGGTCTGTTAGAGTTTGCTGGAGGTCCACTCCAAACGCTGTTTGCCTGGGTATCACCACCAGAGGCTGCAGAACAGCAAATATTGCAGAACGGCAGATGTTGCTGCCTGATCCTTCCTCTGGAAGCTTCATCTCAGAGGGGCACCCGGCTGTATGAGGTGTCAATTGGCCCCTACTGGGAGATGTCTCCCAGTTACGCTACTCAGGGGTCAGGGACCCACTTGAGGAGGGAGTCTGTCCGTTCTCAGATCTCAAACTCCATGCTGGGAGAACCACTACTCTCTTAAAAGCTGTCAGACAGGGATGTTTAAGTCTGCAGAAGTTTCTGCTGCCTTTTGTTCAGCTATGCCCTGCCCCCAGGGGTGTACTCTACAGAGGCAGGCAGGCCTCCTTGAGCTGCAGTGGGCTCCACCCAGTTTGAGCTTTCAGGCCGCTTTGTTTACCTACTCAAGCCTCAGCAATGGTGGGCGCCCCTCCCCCAGCCTCGCTGCCACCTTGCAGTTCAATCTCAGACTGCTGTGCTAGCAGTGAGTGAGGCTCCGTAGGCGTGGGACCCTCCAAGCCATGCGTGGGATATAATCTCCTGGTGTGCCGTTTGCTAAGGCCATTGGAAAAGTGCAGTATTAGGTATTAGGGTGGGAGTGTCCCAATTTTCCAGGTACCACCCATCATGGCTTCCCTTTGCTAGGAAAGGGAATTCCCTGACCCCTCGCGCTTCCCAGGTGAGGCAATGCCCCGCCCTGCTCCATGGGCTGCACCCACTGTCTGACAAGCCCCAGTGAGATGAACCCGGTACCTCAGCTGGAAATGCAGAAATCACCCATCTTCTGCATCACTCACGCTGGGAGCTGCAGACTGGAGCTGTTCCTATTCGGCCATCTTGGAACCTCCTCCTTCAAAAAGAGTCTTGCTCTGTCACCCAGGCTGGAGGGCAGTGGCACAATCTCGGCTGACTGCAACCTCTGCCTTCCAGGTTCAAGAAATTCTCCTGCCTCAGTCTCCCAAGTAACTGGGATTACAGGTGCCCACCACCACGCCTGACTAATTTTTGTATTTTTAGTAGAGACATGGTTTCACCCTGTTGGCCAGGCTGATCTAGAACTCCTGACCTCGTGATCCACCTACCTCAGCCTCCCAAAGTGCTGGGATTACAGGCATGAACCACCATGCCCGGCTTGATTTATAGTTTTATTCTGTTGTGATCAGAGAAGATGCTAGACATTATTTCAATTTTTTTAATGTTTTAAGATTTGTTTTGTGACTCAACATATGATCTATCCTTGAGAATGATCCATGTGCTGAGGAAAAGAATGTGTATTCTGCAGCCATTGGGTGAAATGTTCTGTAAATATTTATTAGATCCTTCTGGTCTATAGTGTATATTAAGTCTGATGTTTATTTGTTGATTTTATGTCTGGAAGTTCTGTCCAGTGTTGAAAGTGGGGTGAAGTCTCTAGCTATTATTGTATTGGAGTCTATCTCTCTCTTTATCTCTAATAATATTTGCTTTATATATCTGGGTTTTTCAGTATTGGGCACATATATATTTTAAACTGTTATAACCTCTTGCTGAATTGACCCCTTTATCATTATATAGTGACCTTCTTTGTCTCTTCTTATAGATTTTCTCTTGAAATCTATTTTGTCTGATATAAGTATAGCTCTGCCTGCTCTTCTCTTGGTTTCCATTGGCATATAATATCTTTTTCCATCCCTTTATTTTTAGTCTATGTATGTTTTTATTCATGAAGTGTGTTTCAGCCACTCTATGTCTTTTGATTGGAGAGTTTAGTCCATTTGCATTCAATATTATTATTTATAACTAAGAACTGACTTCTGCCATTTTATGTTTTTTTTTGTGGTCTTCTCTTTGTTCTTTCTTTTCTTTCTGTCTTCCTTTTAGTGAAGATTATTTTCTCTGCTGATATGATTTAGTTTCTTGCTTTTTATTTTTTGTGTATCCATTATCTGTTTTCTTATTCTGAGGTTATCATGAGGCTTGCAAATACTATCTTATAACCTATTATTTTAAGATGATAACAACTTAACATTGTGGTATAAACAACCTAACAAGCAAAAAGAAAACTAATAAAGACTCTGTGCCTTAACTTTGTCCCCAACTTTTTCACATTTTGTTGTTTCTATTTATATCTTATTGTACTGTCTGTGTCATGAAAAGTTGTTGTAGTTATTATTTTGGATTGGTTCATCCTTTAGTCCTTCTACGTAAGAGTAGCTTAAACACCATTGTTACAGTGTTATAATGTTCTGTGTTTTTCTGTATATTTACTATTACCAGTGAATTTTGTATCTTCAGATGACTTCTTTTTGCTCATCAACATCCTTTTTCTTTCTGATTGAAGTTCTCCTTTTAGCATTTCTCACAGGACAGATCTGGTGTTGAAATCCCTCAGCTTCCGATTGTCTGAAAAAGTCTTTATTTCTCCTTCATGTTCGAAGAATATTTTTGCTGGTTATACTATTCTAGTGTAAACGTTTTTGTTGTTTTTCTCTTCAGCACTTTAAATATGTTATGCCACTCTATCCTGGCCTGTAATGTTTCCACTGAAAAGTCTGCTGCCAGGCATATTGGAGCTCCATTGTAGGTTATTTCTTTTCTCTTACTGCTTTTAGAATTCTTTCTTTGTCCTTGATCTTTGGGAGTTTGATTATTAAATACCTTGACGTAGTCTTCTTTGGGTTAAATCTGCTTGGTGTTCTATAAGCTTCTTATACTTGCATATTGCTATCTTTTTTAGGTTTGGGAAGTCCTTTTTAATTATCCCTTTGAATAAACTTTCTACCCCTCTCTCTTTCTCTACCTCCTCTTTGAGGCCAATAACTCTTAGAATTGCCCTTTCAAGTCTATTTTCTAGTTCCTATAAGTGTGCTTCATAGTTTTTTATTCTTTTTTTCTTCTGTCTCTTCTGACAGTGTATTTTCAAATAGCTTGGCTTCAGTTTCTTTATTCACTCATTGATTGATGGCCATTTGGGTTGGCTCCACGTTTTCGCAAGTGCCAATTGTGGTGCTATAAATACGGAAGTGCAAGTATCTTGTTTGTATAACGACTTCTTTTCCTCTGGGTATGTACCCAGTAGTGGAATTGCTGGATCAAATGGTAGTTCTACTTTAGTTCTTTAAGAAATCTCCACACTGTTTTCCATAGTGGTTGTGCTAGTTTACATTCCCACCAGCATGAGCTCTATCAATGGCTTTAGGCGCAAATATAAGACTGTGTTGAGCCCAACGAACACCAGTGTAAAAACACAGGCAGGGAGAGGCCTCAACCCTGTCTTTTCTTCCTCCCTGGTAACCATGCATATAACAAATTTGAAGTTAGGATTTGTTGTTAGGGTTGCTCACTGTTGATGAACAATCCTATCATTGTTTGATGATAGCAACGGGCGTCAATGAAGGGTACAGTTCACCAAAGGCAGATTATTCTTAAGAATTCCATGATGCTGTTTACTAAATGAAACTGTTTTAATTATTCTCTTGACAATTTGAAGTGTAAACAAATTTAGGCTGGTAAATAGAAACATCTCCCTTGTGTGCAAATGAGAGAATGGAAGAAATTGGGAGAATGCTAAGGATACTAAGGCCCTGAGGTTCCAGTTATGTCTTTTGTAAGTGCAGGACACCTCCAACTTTCACTAGGAACAGAAAAGAGAGTACTAGGGTGGATGACATAGTGTCTGAAGTGACGCTGGGTTGTTTGTTTGAGACCATGTGTGTGAGAAAGATGTGAAAAACCAGACATCTGAGATAGAATAAGAAAATTCATGCATTGTTAGGAAACTGAACTCTAAGAACCCTATGGTCAGATATGGACTAGTCTGCAGTAGAAGAAAGACAACTTAGACATCTTTATTTTCTTGAAATTTTCTTCAGCTGTTCTATTATTCTTAGTGTTTATTGTTGTACTGTTTGCTTCTGTTTCTCCCTTAGTTTTCTGAGTAAATACTTCTACAATTCAGAGTCAGCCATACTCAATAGTGAGTAAATACTATTACACCACTACTATATAGCTATTATTTACCATGATTCCTATATGTGTTAAATACTTTACATATATTATCTCATTTTATTCTTATAATGATGTGATATGGCTTGGATATTTGTCCCCTCCAAATGTGTTGAATTGTAATCCCCAGTGTGGATGAGGGGCCTAGTGGGAGGTGATGGGATCATGGGGATTGGTCCCTCGTGAATGGTTTAGCAGCATCCCCTTGGTGACAAGTTGGTTCTTGCTTGGTTAGTTCACATGACATCTGGTTGTTTAAAAGAGTGTGGCACCTCCTCCCTTGCCATCTTGCTTCCACTCTCACTGTGTGACATGCTGACTCTGCATCACCTTCCACCATGATTGTAAGTTCCCTGAAGCCCTCACCAGAAGCAGATGCCAGCACCATGCTTCCTGTACAGGCTGCAGAATTGTGAGCCAACTTAAATCTCTTTTATTTATAAACTACCCAGTCTTAAGTATTTCTTTATAGCAATGTAAGAGTGGCTTAATACAGAAAATGGGTACTGAGAAGTGGGGTGTTTCTATAAAGATACCTGAAAACGTAGAAGCAACTGTGGAACTGGGTAACGGGCAGAGGTTAGAGGGGTTTGGAGGGCTCAGAAGATAGAAAGATTAGGGAAAGTTTGGAACTTCTTAGAGACCACTTAAATGGTTGTGACCAAAATACTGATAGTGATATGGACAGTGAAGTCCAGTCTGAGAAGGTCTCAGATGGAAATGAGGGACTTTTCAGGAACTGGAGCAAAGGTCACCTTTGTTATGCCTTAGCAAAGAACTTGACTGCATGGTGTCCATGTCCTAGGGATCCGTGGAAGTTTGAACTTAAGAGTGATGACTTAGAGTATCTGTTGGAAGAAATTTCTAAGTAGCAAAACGGTCAATATGTTGCCTGGCTGCTTCTAACATCCTACTTTCAGATGTGAAAGCAAAGAAATGACTTAAAATTGGAACATATATTTTAAAAAGAAGCACAGCCTAGAAGTTTGGAAAATTCACAGCCTAGCCATGTGGCAGAAAAGAAAAGCCCATTTTCAGGGGAAGAACACAAGTGGACTGCAGAACAACAACTTGCTAGAGAGATTTGTATGACTGACAGATAGCCAGGTACTGATAGCCAAGACAATAGGGAAAAGGCCTGGAAGGCATTTCAGAGACTTATGAGGCAGCTCTTCCTATCAGAGGCCCAGAGATCTAGAGTAAAGAATGGTTTAATGGGCCAGGCTTGGAATGCCAAAGCCCTGCATCACCTGGGGGTGCTTCTCCCCTCATTTCTGCAGCTCCAGCTTCAGCCATGGCTCAAAGTGCCCCAGATACAGCTTAGGCCACTGCTCCAGAGGGCACAAGCTATTTATTCCTTGGCAGCTTCCACATGATGTTAAGCCTGCAGGTGCACAGAATCCAAAAGTAAAGGAGGCTTGGCAAATTCCACCTAGATTTCAGAGGATGTATCAGAAAGCCTCCTAGGCTTCTGCCTAACCCCTAACTCAGGTAGAAGCCTGCCACATGGGAGGAGCTTCCACAAGAACCTCTACTAGGGCAACACCAAGGGGAAATATGAAGTCGGAGCCCTGACACAGAGTTCCAACTGAAGCACTGCCTGGTGGAGCTGTGGGAAGGGGGCTGATGCCCTCTAGACCCCAGAATGGTAGAGCTACTGGCAGCTTGCCCTCTGTGCCTAGAAAAGCCACAAGCACTCAACTCCAACCCATGAAGGCAGCTGCAGGGGCTGCACCCGGCAAAGCCATGGAGGCAGAGCTGCCCAAGGCCTTAGGAGTCCACCCATTATACAGTGTGCCCTGGATGGAGGACATGGAGTCAAAGGAGATTATTTTGGAGCTTTAAAATTTAATGACTGCCCTGCTGGGTTTCAGACTTGCATGGGGCTATTGGCACTTTCTTTTAGGCAACTTTTCCCTTTGGGAATGGGAATGTTTACCCAATGCCTGTACCACCATTGTATCTGGGAAGTAAATAACTTGTTTTGATTTTGTAGTCTCATAGGTAGAAGGAGACAAGTCTCAGATGAGACTTAGGACTTTAAACTTGATGTTGGAATGAGTTAAGACTTTGGGGGACTGTTGGGAAGAGATTATTGTGTTTTGCAATGTGAGAAGGACATGAAATTTGGGAGTTCAGGGGCAGAATGATATGGTTTGGATATTTGTCCCCACCCTAGTGCAAGACGTGGGGCCTGGTAGAAGATGACTGGATCACAAAGACAGATCACTCATGATTGGTTTAGCACCATCTCTTTGGTGATAAGTTCTCATTCAGTTAGTTCACATGATATCTGGTTGTTTAAAAGTGTATAGCACCCCCTGCCCACCTTGCTCTCTTGCTCCCACTCTTGCCATGGGAGATGCCTGCTTCCCCTTTGCCTTCCACCATGATTGTAAGTTCCCTGAGGCCCTCACCAGAAGCAGATACTGGTACCATGCTTTCTGTGCAGCCTGCAAAACCGTGAACCAATTCAACCTCTTTTATTTATAAATTACCCAGTCTCTGATATTTATTTATAGCAATGCAAGAACAGCCTAATATATGATGTATTATTGTCTGCCTTTCACAAATGAGGCAATCGATGCCTTTAGCAGTCAGATAATTGTCCAAAGCCACACAGCTGTAAAGTAGCAGAACCAGGACCAGAGTTCAGTTTTGTCTGACTTCAGAGGCTGCATTCTCAATCATTATATTATACCATTCCCTGCAAAATACTGAGCGCCATCGTTTACAAGGCAATTGAATAGATACTCTATAATATATAAACATGTTTCAGGCATGCTCCTTGGTCTTCTGGAATTTATTATTTAGATGAAACTATAGTAGCTGCGAATAAAAAATAAATATAGTGCATGACAGAATGTGATAAGAACCAAAGGAATAGTTTTTTCAAAGGCTCAAATAAGGGAAGCAATTACTTTGACTGTTGTAGTTAGAAAGACTTTATAGAAGAGGTGACATGAGTGGGCCTCAAAGGTTGGATAGAACTTTGAAAGGTAGAGAACAGGAAGGAAAGCATTTGTTAACTAATTTCTTTATGCATGCATTCAATCAATCAACAAATACACATATTAAGTGTGTGCAGTGGCTAGGCAGTGTTGTATGTACTTTTCTGGCATGCATCAAAATGCAGGGATGAAAGTACAAGCAGATACAGCAAAGATGAACTAATTGGCTGAGGCAAGAGATGGCATGGGTGGGGAGTGCCAAGTAGAGCCAGAGAGACAGGGAAGACCAGACTGTGGAGAGCCTTGAACACCAGGCCTAGGAGTTGAATGCATTCCCAGTATGCATTATGTAACCATGTGTTTGTTCCTAGTGGATCAATAATTAGACGAATTATAGGATACTAAAAGAAACTTTTGCTAGCCCACTCCATTCTTTGGTTGGTGGCTCTAGAGGCAATCTCTTTAAAAGGCTCTGCAGTACATTAATACTACAAGCAATCATTTGCACATTATGGGAAAGGTCCTCTTTGTTAGTTCAGTAGGAGTAAAATTCATTCTGCTGTTATTAGTAATAGATAGGATGGAGTAAATGCTGAGCAGCCTTAACAAATCATGTTTAAAAGTACACCCAGGGCCCACTTTATGGGCCTGTGACCTGTACAGTCATAGGTGGCTCAGTGCTCAGCAGAGCCCCATGCTTGGTTTAATGATCTGTTGTTGCTGCCTTGAAATCCTTAGTAATTTTTAACAAGGGGTCCCGTAAATTCTATAACTAGTTCTGAGTAGACCAGTTTTAAAATTGGCCCCTTAGGATAGGAGACAAATTACCTCAGCAAATGAAAACTAAATTTAGTTATTTAGGAAATTAAGGTAAATGACATTCCTGAAAAATAAAAGATCTGAAAGATTTTGTTCTCGTATCAATGTGAAATGATTTTTAGCTTCAGTCACCATGGGGATTTCTTTTTTCAAAAAAGTATTTTTATTTATTTATTTATTTATTTATTTATTTATTTATTTTTTGAGACGGAGTCTCGCTCTGTCACCCAGGCTGGAGTGCAGTGGTGCGATCTCGGCTCACTGCAAGCTCTGCCACCCAGGTCCACGCCATTCTCCTGCCTTAGCCTCATGAGTAGCTGGGACTACAGGCACCCACTACCACACCCGGCTAATGTTTTATATTTTTAGTAGAGACAGGGTTTCACTGTGTTAGCCAGGATGGTCTCGATCTCCTGACCTCGTGATCCACCCACCTTGGCCTCCCAAAATGCTGGGATTACAGGCATGAGCTACCATTCCCAACCTTTTCAAAAAATATTTATTTATTTAGAGACAGAGTCTTGCTCTGTTGCCCAGGCTGGAGTGCAGTAGTGCAATCATGGCTCACTGCAAGCTCTGCCTCCCGGGTTCAAGCAATTCTCGTGCCTCAGTTTCTCAAGTAGTTGGGATTACAGGTGACCACCACCATGCCCAGCTAATTTTTTGTATTTTTAGTAGAGAAGGGGTTTCACTGTGTTAGCCATGCTGGTCTCAAACTCCTGGCCTCAAGTTGATCCACCTGCCTCAGTCTCTCAAAGTGCTGGGATGACAGGAATAAGCCACCACACCCAGCTCAACCAAGTGGATTTCTATAAAGGTAGGAAAGGTGGAGGTGGCATGAATGGAGACCAGAGGTTCCTCCCCTAGGTTTTGGAGCCAGATACGTTTCAGTGCAAATCAGGGATCCTCCATTGATTTGCTATGAGAACTTATGTAAAATAACTTCATAGGTTTCAATCTCTTCTTCTGTAAAATGGGGATAGAAAGAGCATTGTCATAAGAATATGACATAAATTAGGTACTCAAAAACTTACATCTATTATTTAATCATCCATCTTATTAACTTTAATCATTTGAACATTATGGGAAAGGTCCTTTAGTGCTAAAAAGAAAAAGTATTTCCCCTTCCATTATATTCAGAGTATTGTGATTTAATTTTATTTGATGCAAATGGCTAAGTTGTATCTATTTGTGAGACTGTTTAAATGATTTGATGGCATACAAGAATGTTTTTATATTCTTTCCAAAGCGTCAATATAAATTAAAATCCTGTTGGGGAAACCTATGTGTGTACAGAAATCCATCATTTTCATAGTGTCACTAGTCAAATGAAGACCATATACAGATAATACCAATCAACAAAAAATCCAAACTCACAACATTGAAACCTGCAGGGTTACACTGGGGAGGAGGGGAAGGAATGAAAAAGGGAGAGAGTTGAGAATATTAACAAAAATACCATGTGACATGAAGTAGAGGCAGTAAGACAATGGAAAATTAGAGGTTGCAGACTTAGAACAAAGACCTGAAAATCAAAACAAAAAGCAAAAAACCCCTCAGAGCTACTGTGCTAGCATATTTCCTTCCTCTCTTCCTCCCTCTCCCAATCCATCCATCCCTCCATCCCTCCCTCCCTCCCTCCCTTCCTTCTGCCAGATAACTTTAGGGAAAAAAACAGCTATACTGCTTTATTTCTTTACTGCTCACTCGCATTTCCCATTGTGCTATGCTTTCTTCCCTTGCAGGTAAGTCACGCCTGCTCTCAGGGTCACAGTGTCCTCCTAGTAGATCCATCTAATGACTTTAATCCTCAGTCTCCTTCTGCAGCACTGACATGATTAATCCCTCTTCTGTTTGCACTTTCTCCTCTGTTTGTCTATATCGCTCTTTCTTGTTTTTCTCCTCTAAATTCTCGTCCAACTCCCCGACCTCCTGTCTTTCTCCAAATTCAGAGAATCCATCTGGTCAGTCCTTGGCCTTTTCTCTGTTTGTTTTCCTTTCTTATTTCAGTAACTTCACTCCTTTTCTTATCTTCAACCATTACATCTTTTTGACTCTAAAATCTCTGATTATACGTGTCTCCTAAGCTCTAGTCTAACAATTCCAATTGCCTACTACAAGTTCCAGATTTTTCCAACCCTTCTCAGCTGTCTCTAATTATTAGGTACCTCACTAGAGGCAGCAGAGCCCAATCCAGTCCTAGAATTAATGAGAATTCAGGCTGGCAGGAGATGTCAGCTACTTTGCCTATGAACAAAGAGGATCTAGAAATAATGCAGTCTTTTAACTTCCCCATGCCTAAAGTCTGAGCACTCTAAAACGGACAGAGCCCTAAGTTGGCCACATATGGTCACAACATAACATGCCAGGGAAAGATGAAAAAACTGCAAAATCATGCCCAGAAGGGTGTTCAGCTGGTCCTTTTGCCCAGGTCCGTGATGCCTATTTTGTTTTTTGCCAGTTCACTAGGAGCAGAATTGGAAGTATCTTTGTTCCCTAGGAAATTGGCAACTTGTAATGGGGAGGATAAAACTGACTTCTTAGCCTAAATCAATCCTTTTCCTCGCGGCTTGATTTTGATCTTTCACTTTTTTCATCAGGCTCTGAAAATCTTCCCTGATGAGTTAATCTTCACCTACCACATGAGTCTCCCTGTCTCATGCTATGAGGATCACTTTCGGAGCATCGTGGGACCTGCCTAACTGGACTTGAGTTTGCCTCACCCTGCCCTAGATATCCCTCTAGGGAGACTCTATCCTTGATGTTCAGAACTTTTATAAACCTACCACTGTTGATTATTACTCAGACCTTGCTTGCCTCTCCCCTCAAGCCTTTTCTCAACTAGCACAGCCAGTATCAGGACATTTATAATTCAGCTCTTTAGGACAGAACTCAATGCCCCATATTCTCTTGTGTTTACTAGTTCTTCTCCTCATATCACTTTTTCCCAGACATCCAATCTCCAAATCATTTGTCTTTGACAAACTTTCTTCTTTGCAACTCTAGAACCCTTTGCCACCTTATTTTATTCCATCTCCATGACAACTCCCATCTGTTCCTCCATTACCTAGCTCAAACAAAATATTCATTTTTATCTCTCTTGTTACTTGCCTTGACCCAGCTCATCCTCTAACCAAATTAATCTGTGTGGTATCTTTGCCAGTGACCCTTGCCCTCCCCCATCCAGGCCTTTATTCTGACTGTTCTCACAGATGACAACATTTTTCCCACACCGCTTCTGACTCCAAAGTTGTATTCAGTTTTCAAAGCCAGTTTTCTAATCTGTAAAATGAAATTAATACCCATGTCATGAAGGATTAAATAAATAATGTGAGTAAGGCACTTGAAATATAATTATTGTTATTATTAATGTTAATATGATTATCACTCATCTCTTTCATAAAGTATTTTCTGATTCTCCCCAAACTAGAAATAATTCCTCTCTCCTGAATATTCATGGGGGCACACTTGCTATTCCGTCCCCCAGTGTCATCACTTTCTATATTTCATTACCGTTGTTTTTGTGTATGCCTTATCTAATCATAACGGGTCCTAAGCTCCCTGCGGTCATGGATCGTTTATTGAGCATCTTTATTCCTTCTCCAGTGCACAGAATAGACACCTTGTAAGTATTTGCAAAAAGAAGGAACAAAATCACCACACTGGTAATTATAGCTTTGGTACAATCTCTACTCACAAATTACATCTTGATGAAATTACAAATTAACAAATCCCATTATACTTACAAATTACATAGTGAATCATTCATCTGGAGGGTGATTACCTGGCTCTTTGAGAGGTGTTGGCAGGCTCTAAAAGACAGGCAAAGACCTGAAGAAGGCGTTGCTGCTGCTCAGAAGTAAGAAACTGGCAAGGCTTTTTGTCCCTGGTGAACTTCTTCACTTCTTATATTGAATTTCTTCCATTCTTTTGACTATAAGATGCACCATTATTCTATCAGCTACCAAGAAAAAAAGCCCCAAAATAGGGAGTCTAATAGGAAACTCTGGCATGAAGCTGGGACACCCCACACCCCAAGGGATTTTTATTTCTCAACCTTTGCAATGAGAGGAGGGAGAAAATAAAAATCTCCTCTGAGATTTTGAACCTCAAGCCATTAGTCACATCAGCATGAGGTCTGAATACACACTATTGGTGTGATGAAAAACCTCTAGAAGAGAATTTAATTTGAAGTGGTCTCTGACTGGTAGTGTCCCTAGTTAACTGTTGGAAATAAATGCTTCCATAAGAGATTCATTCCAGGGCAACAGCAATGCCATAAAATGCCATTGATTGTACCATGCATCCCAATGTCAGAGGTGTTAAATTGTGAAAAATGTCATCTTAGAACTAATGCTGTATGTTGCTTCCATTAAAGACAAAGAAAGGTCTGCAAATAGCTCAATGGGGAAGATATAAAATAAAAACAAACCTCTGCTTCTTTGACATTTTAACCAGGCCAATTGCCTCTTTTCCAGGAACAAGGGAGGCAAGAACCCTAGCTCTATTTTCTTTTTTTTTATAATTATACTTTAAGTTCTAGGGTACATGTGCACAACGTGCAGGTTTGTTACATAGGTATACATGTGCCATGTTGGTGTGCTGCACCCATTAACTCGTCACTTCCATTAGGTATATCTCCTAATGCTATCCCTCCCTCCTCCCCCAACACCATGACAGGCCCCAGTGTGTGTAATGTTCTCCACCCTGTGTCCAAGTGTTCTCATTGTTCAATTCCTACCTATGAGTGAGAACATGGGGTGTTTGGTTTTCTGTCCTTGCGATACTTTGCTCAGAATGATGGTTTCCAGTTTCAACCATGTCCCTACAAAGGGCAGGAACTCATCCTTTTTTATGGCTGCATAGTATTCCATGGTGTATATGTGCCACATTTTCTTAATCCAGTCTATCATTGACGGACATTTGGGTTGGTTCCAAGTCTTTGCTATTGTGAATAGTGCCGCAATAAACATATGTGTGCATGTGTCTTTATAGCAGCATCATTTATAATCCTTTGGGTATATGTCCAGTAATGGGATGGCTGGGTCAAATGGTATTTCTAGTTCTAGATCCTTGAGGAATCACCACACTGACGTCCACAATGGTTGAACTAGTTTACAGTCCCACCAACAGTGTAAAAGTGTTCTTATTTCTCCACATCCTCTCCAGCACTTGTTGTTTCCTGACTTTTTAATGATCGCCATTCTAACTGGTGTGAGATGGTATCTCATTGTGGTTTTGACTTGCATTTCTCTGATGGCCAGTGATGATGAGCATTTTTTCATGTGTCTGTTGGCTGCATAAATGTCTTCTTTTGAGAAGTGTCTGTTCATATCATTTGCCCACTTTTTGATGGGGTTGTTTGATTTTTTTCTTGTAAATTTGTTTAAGTTCTTTGTAGATTCTGGATATTAGCCTTTTGTCAGATGGGAAGATTGTAAAAATTTTCTCCCATTCTGTAAGTTGCCTGTTCACTCTGATGGTAGTTTCTTTTGCTGTGCAGAAGCTCTTTAGTTCAATTAGATCCCATTTGTCAATTTTGGCTTTTGTTGCCATGCTTTTGGTGTTTTAGTCATGAAGTCCTTGCCCATGCCTATGTCCTGAATGGTATTGCCTAGGTTTTTTTCTAGGGTTTTTATGGTTTTAGGTCTAACATTTAAGTCTTTAATCCATCTTGAATTGATTTTTGTATAAGGTGTAAGGAAGGGATCCAGTTTCAGCTTTCTACATATGGCTAGCCAGTTTTCCCAGCACCATTTATTAAATAGGGAATCCTTTCCCCATTGCTTGTTTTTCCCAGGTTTGTCAAAGATCAGATGGCTGTAGATGTGTAGTATTATTTGTGAGGGCTCTGTTCTGTTCCATTGGTCTATATCTCTGATTTGGTACCAGTACCATGCTGTTTTGGTTACTGTAGCCTTGTAGTATAGTTTGAAGTCAGGTAGTGTGATGCTGCCAGCTTTGTTCTTTTGGCTTAGGATTGTCTTGGCAATGCAGTCTCTTTATTGGTTCCATATGAACTTTAAAGTAGTTTTTTCCCATTCTGTGAAGAAAGTCACTGGTAGCTTGATGGGGATGGCATTGAATCCATAAATTACCTTGGGCAGTATGGCCATTTTCACAATATTGATTCTTCCCCATGAGCATGGAATGTTCTTCCATTTGTTTGTGTCCTCTTTTAATTCGTTGAGCAGTGGTTTGTAGTCCTCCTTGAAGAGGTCCTTCACATCCCTTGTAAGTTGGATTTCTAGGTATTTTATTCTCTTTGAAGCAGTTGTAAATGGGAATTCACTCATGATTTGGCTCTCTGTTTGTCTGTTATTGGTGAATGCTTGTGAATTTTGCACATTGATTTTGTACCCTGAGACTTTGCTGAAGTTGCTTATCAGCTTAAGGAGATTTTGGGCTGAGACAATGGGGTTTTCTAAATATACAATCATGTCATCTGCAAACAGGGACAATTTGACTTCCTCTTTTCCTAATTGAATACACTTTATTTCTTTCTCCTGCCTGATTGCCCTAGCCAGAACTTCCAACACTATGTTGAATAGGAGTGGTGAGAGAGGGCATCCTTGTCTTGTGCCAGTTTTCAAAGGGAATGCTTCCAGTTTTTGCCCATTCAGTATGATATTGCCCAGCTCTATTTTCTAAGTTCAGTAAATAGATTCTGCGCGTGTGAGGCATCAGGGTCTGTGCTGATCCCACTTCCCTGTCCTATCATGCCCATGGTGGGAGCATATATGGGGTTGGTAGCAGGTGGTGAGATTGGGTTTCTCTAATCCCACTGGACTGAATCCTCCTACCTACTAGCACCTTGACTTCACTCCATGGACAGGCTTCTTCCCTTGTTCACCTGCCTAGTTGTCCACGTGCTTATTTGTTCTCCTTTCTCCCATTTTGCAGAACACAACAGGAAGCAGCTCATTCATCTAAGAAGACATTCTATGTTATAGGGTACACATGTGCACACATGCACACACACACACACTTTAAGAAGATTGTCCAATCATGTTTACACTACTGTGAATAAACTGAAATCCCTAAAATATAGCATTTACCCTAAATATGAGTTTAAATGACACCTAGGGAGGAGGAGCAAAGGTGATCTGTATACGTGGGTGAAATACTGCAATGACGGTTACTGGGTAAGTAGAGCTAGTTTAAGGGCTGTAGGTTGGAAAATAGTGGCACCAGTAAGTGAGAATGTGCCAAAAGTAAATTACTCAACTCCATAGCTTTTTTTTCCTGGAGATCCTCATAGGAGCAAGTAACCAAATAAAAGTAAAATATGATTTCAATGTGATTTGAGATACAGTCACACAATGTATTACATATGTATGTGAATCAGTTTAATGCAAAACTATGTAAATGAGGGATCTGTTTAATACTATACTGCTCCTTGATATGAAGATTCACTACCACTGTGTAGACTAGTGCAGATTCAGACTATGAACCAAAACTTGGCAATTCCCACAGTTGCCATTTGCCAAGTCAGCATTGAATTTTTATGTGCAGCCTGTTACTATAACACAGCATATGCAATCTTGAAATTCACTAAAGCAAAATAATGAAAACATCCTTCAAAGACCTGTCTCAGCGATCTTTGCAAATCAAACTCACCTGTAAAGCAGTCAAAATCTAACTTTGGCCTTAACAGTACAATGAAATCCAAATAAGCAAAATTAAGTTTTAAAATACATGTTGATATTTATAAAATATGATGTGCAATCTATAAATTGACCCAAACCATCTAACCAAATTAAGCTGATCTAATTTAGGCAGATCTGTTCAGCATCCTGATTCTGTTCTTAGACAAATGAAAACATGGTGGAAAAAGATAGCATTACGCTCAGAAAAAGCACTAACCTAATCCATGTTATTTTCAACATAACTTCTCCTAAAGGAGGAGTAATTACATATTTTAGTTTTCAAGTTTCTCCTTCCTAGGCTATGAGTTATCTGTCAAGTAAGTGTAAATATACACAGTCAGCCCTCTATTTCTGTGCATTTTGCTTCTGTGGATTCACCCAACAGCAGATCAAAAATATATATTTTTTAAAATGAATAGTTGCATCTGTACTGAACATGTACAGACTTTTTTCTTACTATTATTACCTAAAAAACACAGTATAACAACTATATATATAGCATTTACATTGTATTAGCTATTGTAAGTAATCTAGAGGTAATTTAAAGTATACAGGTGGTATGTGTAGGTTATATGCAAATATCACACCATTTTATATCAGGGACTTTAGCATTTAAGGATTCTGGCATCTGCAGAAGGTCCTGGAACCAATCCCCCATGGATACCAAAAGATGACTATACAAGGCATCGACTAATAAATAGGGCAGGTGCTATCAGTTATCTATAATAATACTAATTGCCTCTTTGACTTCTCTATCTAGGTGTTCTGTATGGCACACTATGCCCCAAACCAAGCTTATTATCTTGCTCAATTTCCAAACATCCTGGAGATGTTATCTCCATCTCCCTGTGCTATCTCAGTAAAAACCAACTAAATTGCTCAAGCCAAGAGCTTTGGACTCATTCTTGATTCCTCCTTTCCCTCTCTCAGTATACTCAACCAACCACTACATATTATCAAATGCCTCTTGCATCCATCCCCTTCTCTTTTCAACAATACCGGTATAGACTCCAATCGCATCTCTCCAGAACTACCCAGCGAGCCTCTGAGCAGTTTTCCCCTGCCAGTGCATTCTCTATTGTACCCCACAAATTATCTCAAGCATAGATGTAATTATTTGGGTTCTCTGATACCCAGAGAAGAAAGTAAAAACTTATTAGATTTGCTAAGGCCCTTCATGATTGGGCCTAAGACAAATTTCATTATCATGTGCAACTACTCTCTGCAAGCCCTGTGATCTAACCACAGTAGGCTACTAGACACTTCCCTATGCCACCCAGGCTTTGTTCAGTTTAGTTGTGTCCTCTGCCTAGAATGCCATGTCCTCTTTTGTCCAATGGAAAACTCCCACTTATCTGTTAAGGTTCAGATCATGCATCATCTCTATTTTGTAGTTTTTCATGACCCCCTCTGGCCCCTCCTTCCATCCACCTTTCCATTGATGTTTTCATGTATCTCTATTTCAGTATTGATTCCATTGTTAAGGCAAAACTGATACGCAATCATTTGCACTGTGGCCATCCATACCAGCTGTATATAGTCAGTCTCCATTCTGATTGGTGGGTACTTGTTCAGCACAAGTATTAAATATTATGAATAACACTCCCAGTTGCTGGCATTATTTCAAATCTATCTTTACCATGATGCTACGAGATTAAGGGCAAGGGCTGTGCTTTATTCATCCTATTTCCAGGGACTGGCATAATATCCTCATATAGTTGTACCCTTATATGTTTGATAAAATGAACAAAATATAGACAGTCTTTATAGTAATTCTTTCTAAAACAGAATTACTTTTATCTAAATAATTGTGAAATTTGCCTGATCTATACCAAAATTATCATCAACCTGTTTAACGATCAAAGCTACACTATGGATTTGGTAAGTTCAGAGGTCAGATATAGTAACCTCTAGTTTGGGTAATTTCATGACTTTTCCTTCTTTGAACCTGGGTGGGAAAATCCTGGACTTTGAAATCAGACAAACCGGAAATTGAATTGAGAGCAATCTCTTAAACCTATGAGACTTTGGTAAGCTGTTTAACCTCTCTGAGATCTATTTCTTCCTTTTCAAAATGGGGAAATGGATACCTCCCTTACCGGGTTGTTAAGAGAACAAGTAAGACCATGTATTTAAGGACATGGCATATAATCCCCCATGAACAGTAAGCTTTAGCCTACTTGGAACTAATTTAAGTTAGTAGAGAAGATTTCTATTCTGAACAGCAATCTCTCCAATCAAAAGAGAGGAGGAAAAGGCAGATAAGGCTTATATTTCCTGGAAGCATCCTGTAGCAGCGTACATAAGACATCACAATGGACTGCATGCCTATTATTATGAGCCAGTGCTGACTGTGCTGCTGAGAAATGGTCATATGGCCAGAGTTATATACTAGGGATAAGCTAAAGGCCCCGCGCAGTGCTTTATTTGTCAAACAGAACTACTGTTGTTTTATCTCCAAAGCATCTGCGTTTAAAACATCTGGATTCATTTTCAATGGAGGCATCTCTTTTGCTGATAAAATGTGAGGAGCAACAAGGTAATGTAGTTGGCAGGTCAGCTGTCAAGATGGGTAATGTTATCATAGTTATGTTGTTTCTCTGACTCTTTGAACCTATTAGGATTAGGAAAGGCGATTCTAAGACAAGAAATTGAGCACCTCTAAATCACAGAATTTAATAATGAAGCCATTATTTTTCAAATATATTACTCTTTTGATTAAACTTTATCATCATAGGTATCAAATTCTGACATAAAAACTGACAAAAATAATTGATATTATAAAGAGTTAAATCTAGTTTAGAAAATATACAGTTGTGTGTTGCTTAATGATGGGTATATGTTCTAGTTCTGAGAGATGCATCATTAGGTGATTTTGGTTGTGCAAACATCACAAAGTGTACTTATGCAAACCTAGATGGTATGGCCTACTACACACCTAGGTTATATGGGATAGCCTATTGCCCCTAGGCTACAAACCTGTATAGCATGTTACTGTACTGAATACTGCAGGCAATTGTAACACAATCTAAGTATTTGTGTATCTAAACATAGAAAGACTACAGTAAAAATGCAATAAAATGTTATGAGACCACTGTCATATTTGAAGTCCATCATTGATCGAAAGATCTTTATGCAGGACTTGGCTGTATTTACTTTTATTTACACCTGACTTCCTTTATTCCTCGACTTTTATCTCATCCTCATCCATGTGAAGGGGCAAAAGCCTGGTATCATGGGTCCCACAGCCAACAGGTCTGAAATGTTTCTTCACTGAGGGAGAGGAAGATTATATGGTAGCTCCATATGGATTTTCAGGATCTAACTAGGATGCCAGAGTGACCAAAAGAAGAATTACAGGCAAGATCTTGCTGTGGTTTCTTCCCTTCACTTCCAAGTACTGTCTGCTTCACATTTTCTACAGCCACAAATAACCCTGTCTATGTATCTGTGTCAACAGAGGACGGTCATGACAGGGAATATTATGCAAAGCTCACTTCCAAGCTTATCATCCTATGATGTAATAATTAAATTAAATCAGCTGTTATTTTTCATACCTGTTAATCGGTAAATTGCATACAAATTTATAACTCACTTTAGATAAGTCTGTCTCCAAATGGTGATCTTGCTCAGAAGCCTATAAAGAATCAAACAAAACACTTAGATCATGAGAAAAGTGGAATATTCAATAGGAGACCTCAAAGTGCGGAAACATTAAAACTTCATGGGCTCCGAATAAATTTTTGGAAGTTGCAGATGGCTTCTCATGAAACCATACATCTGGAAAAAACTTTTTAAAATATGACAACCTAAATTTGATATTTAAATAAGACTGTGTCAATACTCTATAAGCAGAGTTATGTGAGAAATCATCTGTATTTGATTTTCATAATCATTTTTATAGTATCTGCTAATTATAGAATTTTAGAGTTAGGAGATAGTTTGCAATGCTAACTACGAAATGCACACCAAACCTATACCTGAAAACTTTTGTCACCTAATATATAATAAGTTATTTAAGCAGTTTATTTATTTATTTGAGAGTAGGTCTCACTCTGTTGTCCAGGCTGGAGTGCAGTAGCACGATCATGGCTCACTGCAACCTTGACCTCCAGGGCTCAAATGATCCTCCTGCCTCAGCCTTCTGAGTAGCTGAGACTACAGGTTCGTGACACCATGCCTGGATAATTTTTTTTTTTTTTTTTGAGACGGAGTCTCGATCTTTCGCCCAGGCTGGAGTGCAGTGGTGCTATCTCGGTATCTTGGCTCACTGCAAGCTCTACCTCCCGGGTTCACACCATTCTCCTACCTCAGCCTCCCGAGTAGCTGGGACTACAGGTGCCCGCCACTGCGCCTGGCTAATTTTTTTTTTTTGTATTTTTAGTAGAGACGGGGTTTCACCGTGTTAGCCAGGATGGTCTCCATCTCCTGACCTCGTGATCCACCCGCCTCGGCCTCCCAAAGTGTTGGGATTACAGGCGTGAGCCACCGTGCCCGGCCGGTAATGTTTTTAAAAAATTTTAGTAGAGCCGAGGTCTCACTATGTTGCCCAGGCTGGTCTTGAACTGCTGAGCTCAAGCAATCCTCATTCCTTCTGCCTCCCATAGTGCTGGGATTACCAGGCAACCACACCTGGCCAAAAATATCTTTAGACAATATAGGAACACAGATTTTATTTTTACCCTTTTTAATCCCCTTGCTCCTATTTGAGATATCATATCTCATTCTTAAATGTGCCTTGGATTTCCCCGTATCTTTTTGAATCTCAGTGATTCAATTCTAATATTTTGTCCTTGTAATCTTGTACCTGGGTTAATGCACCAGCCTCCGCTGGTAGAGGGAGCCACAAGTGCAGAGATCTGAGATAGGACCTGGCAAAGAGCCTAGTAAGGCTGGGAGAGGGAGCAGAGAGTGATGGGGATGGGCTTAGACAGTGATAAGAAATGAGTGAGAGGCGAAGGAGAGGCCAGAGCCTCAGGGTCTTATCAGTACAGGGGGAGGACTTTGGCTTTCCTCTGAGAGAGAAGGAAAATCACAAGCCAGGGAACCTTGAGCCAATGAGTGTCATGATCTGGCTTGTGTCTTTAAAGGACTACTTTGGCTTCTGTGTTGAAATTAAGAGAATAAGAAGCAGAGAGACCAGAGAAGATGAGACTGCTTCCATCATCCAGGGAGAGCCTATGGCACCAACCTCCAGAATGGTGGCAATGGAGGTGATGAGATGTGTTCGGACTCTGGATATAGTTTGAAAGCAAAGCTGGCAGAATTTGCTGGCAGATTAGATAGGAAGTGTAAGAGGAAAAGAGAAGACAAGATGACTCCAGGGATTTAGACCTGAGCAATGAGAGGAATTGAGCTGCCAATTTATATATATCAATAATATATGTGATGAATATATATGATGTATACAATATATTTATGATTTTTCTCACTTAAAGCACAATTGAAACAATCAAAAATTAACTTTGAGGTAGGCTAAGTGGTTGACCCAAGGTTGTCTTGCTAAGAAGGGACAAGCTTGGCCTTGAGCACTGCTCAGTGTAACCACTGAACCTGTACTCTTTAAGCTATGGCACATCAGCTCCTACACATACCTTTAGTTTTTGGTCAGCAAAAGTCCTATATGATGTTTTGACTTTCGAGAATTGACTTCTAATGCACGGATTTTATATGCCTGAGGACATTTTATAGACCTAATCAGGTATGCAGAATCCAGGTTGCCAGCTCTAGTCCAGAACTCCAGAACTCCAGGTCTCCCATCTTGCAAATGTGACTACATGTAATGCTTTGACAAATAGTAAAGAAACGCATTTTAACATCTGGTTTGACATCTGCAAAGAATGATTCCTTTTAAAATACAACTAACAGGGTTAAAACTTATTTGGAGACTTAAGGAACATAAAATCATAGCTTCAAAGTCGATTATATCATGATGGTATTATTTGCATTTGTTTTCTTTTGGCCACGTGGAAAATTTTCATCATAGACTGGGGTCTAATACTTATTCAGTAAGGAGTGTTTTTCCATGGCTGAAAAATACAAATTTGGTCCTAGAGGTCGTAGATGTGAGTTCTAAAATATTTTATTTATATCATATTTTCAAACTTTCTTTGCATCAAAAGAAATACTAGTTGAAACACTTCTCAAGTAAAACGGATTATACTTGCTGAAAGCATTACTGGTTTTTATTTAAGTTGCTGATTTTTTAATAAAGGGTCTGACCTTGAGGACAGCTGCCAGTTGGCAGAAAGCACAGAGGAGATGAGAAGAGAGTCTGGGGCCAAAATAAACACCCGAGTCTGACAGTTGTGTCCCATGGACTCTTTCATGTGTCTGTAAGACATTCAGGGTCTTGGATTTGAACATTCCTTCATAAAGGCTCACCCTCAGCAAACTCTCTGCTCTTCCAGTTTCATTGGCAGTCTAAAAACCTGGCAGCATCCTTGGGTTCTGCTTGTTAAGACTTGTGAAATACTATGGACTTGGGCTGCAACCTTCAGCTGAATTTAGATGTAGGAAATTAGCAATTACAAAGTGTTCTTTCTGCCAAAAATCACATGCTGCTGCGATTACCTTACTCTGTGATGAAACAGGTCATTTTAATCCTTTGTAGTAGGTGGAACATTATGTACTTAACCAACCAAAAGGAAAAAACTTCTTAACTCAAGGGAGATATTTTCAGCAACCACATGTAGGCTTATGCACATAATAGGAAAAGTAATCCTTTTCCCCCCAGGTAAAATCTTTTAAAGTAATTTTGAAATGCAATTGGCAAAACCCTCTTCACTTTAATAAAATACTTTGTAAATGTGCCAAAGTTTAATACCAACAGACCACACGAAACTAGGTTTCCAACAGCCAACTGAAGAGATGTGATGTCTAATTAGGAAATTGTGTTTTACCTGACCTTTAAGTTTTTGCCTCAATTATCTTTTCTCATTGGTGAGTTATGCATGGCTGGGGTGACACAAGGTTGTTCATTTTTTTGTGATGTTGATTAGCGTGGGTGATTGCTATGATTAGTGAATCCAAGAATTCTATAGCTGAATGAGATCACAAACATTAGCTAGTTCAACTTTCATATTTTACAGATGAAGAAACTAAGTCGCAAAGGATGAACTCACTTGCCCTCGGTCATTGGTCCCGTTGGTGACAGTTAGGTCTGGAATTCAGTTTTCCCATCTCACTGTCTTGAGTAGAAGGAAAAGGCCCAGTGTTCTATGTCATTTGGATGTTGGTGTCTTCCCTTCTGCTGGTAAGGATTATCTAAACCTTTGGAGGAAGCACTAGGGGAAGGGTAGTGTCAAAGGCAAGTAGATTTTATACAGTAAAAGTACTATTTGATTTTTTTTCTTGTTTTAATATTTGTTTTTTTTTCCCCTTCCGTTTGTTTTATGTTGAAAATTCCCCATGATGATACCTCTACCTACTCAGCTACTCAAGCCAAAAACCAAAAGCCATCACCCCATCCACTAGATCACCAACTCTTAACCACTCTGCTGCCTAAATAGCTCTCAGGTCCTGCTTCCCTTTCCATTCTCACCAACACTACCTTCATGCAGCCCTTGTTATCTCCCACTGAAATACTGCAGTAATCTTTTTATTGGTCTTCCTCACTTCCAATGTCTTATTTCTTAGTAGCAAAAACTGCCAGTTGTCCTCCACTTTCATTTTTTCTCCTCCCAGTTTACCTTGGGTTTGGGTGTGACCATGTGACTAAGTGCTGACCAACGGGAGGTAGGTTGAAAAGTCATGCGGCACTTTCTGAGGATCTTCTCAGAAAGACCATTGGCAGGCACAGTTTGCCCTCATTTGCTTTGTCCTTGCTTAAGCTTGCTGCATGGACTGTGGATGCCCTCCTAGACATTAGATTGGGGCTGACATGACAACCAACAATATAGGAAGGGGCTGAGTCTCTGATACGATGGTGAACTGGATCTCTGGACTAGCTTTTTAAGTGGTGAGTTACTGTCAGTCAAGCCAATCCTAACACTTAGTGTATAGCTGATGACCTAAATTCCACAACATCTTGGAGGTTATATTTCTAAAACACAAACTCCTTGACAAACCACATAGCATGCCCTTTGTGACCTGACTTAAGACTTCTCTGTAGCTTCATCTCTCTTCAGGCTTCCCCTTGTGATTAAAGATCCAGCAGCACTGAACCACATGTAGTTCACTTAACCCATTGTAAGCTCTGGCTTTTGCCCATCCTGTTTCTCTCAGCTGGAAAGTTTCTATTCAACCTCTTAAAACCATCTTGGATGGCTCCTTCTTCTGTGATGTCATTTCTTAACACACTGAACTCTAATAGAGTGAATTTATCTCTCCTCTATGTGATTTTCACCTGTTCTTGCTTCTATTATTGCCCCTGTACTCTATGTTGTCTGTACCTATGTCTTCTTTCCTGGATTATTTTCTGTGTCAGTTCGTTCTATTATTGCTATAAAGAAATACTGGAGGCTGGGTAATTTATAAGGAAAAGAGGTCTAATTGGCTCACTGTTCTGCAAGCTGTGCAGGAAGCATGGTGCCAGTATCTGCTCTGCTTCCAGGGAGGCCTCAGGGAGCTTTTGCTCACAGCAGAAAGGGAAGCAGGAGCAGGCACGTCATATGGCGAGAGCAGAAGCAAGAGAGAGGTGGGAGGGTGCTACACACTTTTAAGCAACCAGATCTTGTGAGAACTCACTCACTCTTGTGAGGACTCACTCAATCTTGTGAGGACTCACTCTTGTGAGGACAGCACCAACCGGATGGTGCTAAACCATTCATGAGAAATCTGCCCCCCATGATCCAATCACCTCCCAATGGGCCCTGCCTTCAACACTGGGGATTACATCCCAAAAAGAGATTTGGAGAGGGCATCCAACTATATCAACTACGAATCCATTGAAGAAGAAATCACTATTTTTTTCTTCTTTCTTCCTTTTTAATGGTTAAGGGAGGGCATATTGCCTAGGCCCTCAATAATTGTTTGTTGAACTGAAGTAATATGAATTAAATTCAGAGGGTATTTTAGGAAAGAAGATCAGAAACAAAAAAGCTAGGTGAATATCAGTACATTTTTTAAAAAAATTAACTCACTTATGTATAATTGGCAACATCCTTGGGCCCTAATTATTAATATTTACCAGGCACCATGGTCTTGGGCAGCAAATTTGTTTAGTTATAACTTGTCAAGCTGTTTCATACTAAGAATCAGAAGTTCTTCTAAGGTACGTAGTTAGGCTACTGGTATTAAGGAAAAAAGAAAATAAAAGAACTGGCCATGTCTCAGAGATAGTAAATGTGAAGTGTGGGTGTATAAAAGTTAATTACTGATTATACTAAATGGAAAATGTTCAGGAATAAGGTACCAATAAAACAAAAATAAATCTGCTACTATAGCAACTAACTAGAAATTTAATCAAATCTCCTGACTCATCTGGAATTAACATGGAGAGATTTGTAAATTTGGGTAAAATGGGAGACGTAAGTGGAATTCGATGAGTACTAGTTTGTTTTAAGTTTATTTAAATTTCAACTCAGATAATCCCATGTAAATCTGAGTTATAGGCCAAGCTGTAGGGCTAAAATAAGATAGACCACAAATTCTGGACACTTCAAGATGAGCTATGAAATCATGCTTTCACAAGTATAATATTGATGTAAAGAAGTAAAAGCCAAAAGTATAAAAATAACATACAGTTCAAAATAGACCACATTAAACTATATTGTTCAGGGATGCATACATAGTAAAACTATCAAAAAAGCAAAGAATTGATTGTCAAAAAAAAATCAAGGTAATGATTCCTTCTAGAGCAAAAGATGGGATTGAATTAGCAAAACGTGGGGTTTCTGAGGTCCTGGAAATATTTATTTCTTGTCTTAGGTTGTCCTTACACAGCTATTTCCTTTAAATTATTTATTAAACTGTACATAGATGTTTTATGTATTTTTGCAAATTATTTCACAATTAAAAAGGGAGGAAAGCCTATATATCAATAAGTAAAAGTCAAATACTCAGAAGAAAATGGGAAAAAAATCAGAACTCAATGTTCATTAAATATAAGAAATATGCTCAACATTATTAGTAGCCAGGGAAATTCAAATTAAAATCACAATGAGATACTATTTAATACTCATAAAATATGTTTTAAAAGTCACAATAAGACAACATTAAGTCTTAGTAAGGGTATAGAGGAACAGAAATTCTTACATTGCTAGAAACCGAATTAGAAAACAACTAGGGATTATCTAACAGAGCTGGAGACATAGGTACCCATAACCCAGCCATTACTGTCCAAGGTACATGTACAATGACGTTCATAGCAACATCATTTATTATAGCAAAGTTCTGGAAACAACCCAAATGTTCATCAGTTGGAAAAAGAATAAAATGTCTATGTATATAACAGTCAGAAATCAATTAGAGCCACACACACCTACATGAATGAATCTCATAAACATGTTAAAGAAAACAAATTATTGGGAAAAATATGATGTATTTTACATAAAGTTAAAAACTTACAAAATTATAGGCACACACATATATGCACGTTAGGGATACATACAACAGTGGTAAAACTGCAAAGGAAAGCAAGGAATTGATAAATAGAAAATTCAGGATAATGGCTGAGATTGCCTTTTATAGGGGCTGGGATTGGGGATGGAGGGAGACACAGGTGACTTCAAGACATAGTTAATGCTGTATTTGTTTTGTTTCTTAAGCTGGGTGGTAGGCATGAGTTTGTTCATTTTACTTATTTTTAAATTACATATACTTTATGTATACTTTTCTCAATATGTTATCTATTTCATTTTATACTTTTTACATTAAAAATTAGGAATTTGATTATTGTTTTGATGCTCCAGACCAGCCAAATTTCCAGGAAGGGATGATGAGATTTAAAATCTTCATGGCACAAATATTCTCCACAGAATAACTATAAAAATGCTTTCTTGTCTATAAACTAGGCTGAAGAGAGTGTAGATGGTAAAACTTAATTATTCATTGTGTAGATCTCTTAGAACCAGTTACTCTGTGAGTATCTGCATTCGCAGAAAAAGAATTATCCACCAAGGCTGAGCTTGAAGTAGCCACCACCTGTCTCACCCAGTTTACTAGGTACAGGGAGTTGGCACATTTGTGGGAATTACAAACCCAGAGAAGGGGCAGAGCAAGACAGTGGAAGAGAAGTTTCCACCAATCATGCCCCCTACAAAGACACCAGTTTAACAACTATCTACATGCTATACACAAAAGAAGCACCTCTATAAGAACCAAAAATCAGCTGAGTACACACAATACTTGGTTCTAACTTCATATTGCCAAAAGAGCCACTGAAAAGGTAGGATAAACAGTCTTTAGTCACTGACACCAACCGTCCCCCACTTCCTGGCAGCAGCAGTGTGGTGAGGAGAGTGTTTCAGTGTGCGTGGGAGAAGGAGATCACAGCAATTGTGAGGCACTGAACTCACTGCTGCCTTATTATAACAGAAAAAAAAGGACCATCTCTATTGATGCCCACCATGGAGAGAGCAATTAAAGTAGCCTAGCCAGAGAGGAATTTCCCATCTCAGCAGTCCGAACTTGAGTTTCCCAAAGCCTTGCCACTGCAGGCTAAAGTGCTCTGGGGCCCTTAATAAACTTGAAAGACAGTCTAGGCCACAAGGACTGCAACTCCTAGGTGAGTCCTAGTGCTGGACTGGTCCCAGAGCCAGTGGACTAGGGGGTCATGTGACCTACTGAGAAACCAGCGAGGTGTCTAAGGGGGTGCTAGCATCAACCCTTCCTTAGCCCCAGGCTGCATAGCTTGTGGCTTAAAAACAGACCCCTTGCCTCAGCTTGAGGAGAGGAGAGGGAAGAGTATGGAGGACTTTGTCTGGCATCTTGAACGTCAGCCACAGCAGGATAGAGCTGTGATAGGCAGCTCAGCCCACAACAGGATAGAGCACCAGTAAGAGTTGTGAGGCCCCCTTTCCAGGACTTAGCTCCAGGAAAGGGAGGACCCTGGACGAGAAGGGAATCTGCTGTATTGAAGGGAGGGACCTAATCCTGGAAAAATTCATCATTTGCTAACTGAAGAGCCCTTGGGTCCTGAATAACCAGCAGCAATACCCAGGTACTATGTTGAGGGCCTTGAGTAAGACTCTAACACTGGCTGGCTACAGTTAAGGCTTAGCACATGCTGCATTGGCTACAGAGTGAGACTCCTTTACTTGAGAAAAGTGAAGGGAAAAGCAAAGGAGACTTTGTCTTGTACCTTAGGTACTAGCTTGGCCACAGCAGGGTACAGCACAAAGCAGGCTCTTGGGGTCCCAGATTTCAGGACATGGCTCTTGGATGGCATTTCTGGACCTGCCCTAGGCCAGAGTGGGTTACCAGGCAAAGATCCTTGTTTTCTTCCCTTACTTTTCCCAAATGAATGGAGTCTCTCACTCTGTTCTGAGCCACCTGGGAGTGGTATAACACAAGTACCCCTGTGGCTACCACCACTAGCACTGCACTGGCAGGCAGCATTCACCACAAGGTGGCTGAAGAGCCCTTGGGCTTTAGCAGCAGTACTCCATGTGGGCCTGTGGTGGTGGTGGCCACAGGGTGAGGCTCCTCTGCCTTTGGAAAGGGGATGGAAGAGGGGGAAGGACTGTGTCTTGTGGTTTGAGTGCCATCTCAGCTGCAGAACAATATAACAAAACACTGGATAGACTTCTAAGATTTTTGATTCTAGTCCCTGGCTCCTGGACGGCACCCCTGGACATGCCCAGGGCCTGGGGGAACTTGTCACCCTGAAGGGAAGGACACAGGCCTGGCTGGCCTTACCACCTGCTTTTATAAAGCTCTGGGGCCTTTAGCAAACATAGGGCATAGCCAGGGAGTGGTAACAGCAAGCCTTAGGCAAGACTCAGCTGTGTACTGGCTTCAGGTCTGACCCAGCACACTTGTAGTGGTGGTGGCCACAGGGGTGCTTCTGTCACACAACCTCCAGCTCCTAATAGCTCAGAACAGAGAGAGAGAGAGAGAGAGAGAGAGAGAGAGAGAGAGAGAGAGAGACTCTATTTATTTGGGAGAAAGTGAGGGAAGAGAACAATAATCTGCCTGGTAACCCAGATAATTCTTCCAGATCTTGTCCAAGGCCATTAAAGTAGTACCTCTATGAGTCTGCAAGAACCACAGAGTTATTGGGTTTGTGGTGCCTTCTAAAGCAGATACAACTTAAATTATAACGCCTAAGTTCTCTTGAATATCTAGAAAGCCTTCCCAAGAAGGACAGGTACAAACAAGCCCAGAGTGAGAGGATTCCAAGGAACACCTAAGTCTTGAGTGCCCAGACACTGAAGAATATCTACAAGGATCAACATCATGCAGAAAAACATGGTATCAGAAGGAGAGGATCATGGTGGACAGGAGGCAGAACTAGATTGCAGCTCCCAGTTGAATGGACAGAGCAGCACGTGGAGGCTTGCATCGTGAACTATTGCTCCAGAATGACTGCAGGCATACATTAGGAAAGCCAAGAGAACCCACAGACCCTCTGAAGGAAGCAGATTGCTCCTGCAGGAGTCAGGAGACACCCCAAATACTGTGAGTGCCCAAACTTTGGAAGTGGGAAAGGGAGATCATTTGCCCTGGAACACCCCCACTAGGGAACCTGAAGGTCTAGATTATGGCAGAAAATTCTGACCTTACCTGGAGTTGAATCAATTTAGAGAGCCAAACAAAATACAGGGTAGAGGAAGCAGCGGGAAAAGCCCTGTGGACTCACTGGGTCCCCTGGCAAGCCATTTCTGCCCTGCCTCACAGGGTCCTTGGGGCGGGGGGCAGTCAGAGGCACTGGAAAAAGGCCACAGGGAGCAGGAAACCTCTAGCTGAACTTTGTAACAGTTTGAACTGATTGAGAAGTCTCCTGGCCAGGACTTGGAGAAAGATATGAATTCAGTGTGCAGACTCCACAGGCCTGGGAAGAACAAACGTCCTACTTGGTTTTGCAGCTGGTAAGTGGGTAGCCTGGGGCAAGTTCTCAGCCCTGTTCGCCCACTGCCTGAAAACAGACTTGGTGCTGTTGTAGGGGGTGGGCCACAGTGGGAGTGAAACCAGCCCTTTGGGTTGTGTGGGAGCTTAGTGAGGCCTGTGACTGCCAGCTTTTCCCCACTTCCATGACAACCTGCATGACATAGTAAAGGCAGTCATAATCCGCCTAGGAACACAACTCCATTAACCGGAGAATCTCACCCCCCACCCCCCACAGCAGCTGCAGTAAGACCCGCCCAAGAAGAGTCTGAGCTCAGACATGCCTCACCCTGCCCCCACCTAATGGTCCTTCCCTACCCACCCTGGTAACTGAAGACAAAGGACATATACTCCTGGGAGTTCTAGGGCCCCACTCACCACCATACTACCATAGCTAATGCTCTACTGAAAGCTCCAATCCTGGCAAGAGGCCAACCATCACAAAAATAGTGCATTAAGCAACCAAAGCCAAGGACCCTTACAGAGCACATTTTCCTCCCCTGCCACCTCCACCAGAACAGGTGCTGGCATCCATGGCTGAGAGATCCACAGATGGTTTACATCACAGGACTCTCTGCAGACAACCCCCAGTACCAGCCTGGAGCCTTGTAGATTTGCTGGGTGGCTAGATCCAGAAGAGAGATAACAGTCACTACAGATCAGCTCTCAGGAAGCCATATCCCTAAGAAAAGGGGAGAGTACTATATTAAGGGACCATCCCATGGGACAAAAAAATCTGAACAGCCTTGAGCCCTAGGCCTTCCCAAAGACACAGCCTACCCAAATGAGAAGGAACCAGAAAACCAACTCTGGTAATACGACAAAATGAGGTTCTTTAACACCACCTAAAAATTACTCTAGCTCACCAGCAATGGGTCCAAACCAAGAAGAAATCCCTGATTTACCTGGAAAAGAATTCAGAAGGTTAATTATTAAGTTAATCAGGGAGGCACCAGAGAAAGTCAAAGCCCAATCTAAGGAAATTAAAAAAAAAAAAAAGAAAGATACAAGAAGTGAAGGGAGAAATATTTGATTAAATAAATAGCATAAACAAAAAACATTCAAAACTTCAGGAAACAATGGACACACTTATAGAAACGCAAAATGCTGTGGCAAGTCTCTGAAATATCATTGAACAAGCCAAAGAAAGAACTTCAGAGCTCGAAGACAAGGTCTTTGAATTAACCCAATCTAACAAAGACAAAGAAAAAAGAATAAGAAAATATGAACAAAGCCTCCAAGAAGTCTGGGATTAAACGACCAAACCTAACAATAATTGGTGTTTCTGAGGAAGAAGAGAAATCTAAAAGTTTGGAAAACATACTTGGGGAATAATCAAGGAAAATTTCCCCAGCCTTGCTAGGACCTAGACATCCAAATACAAGAAGCTCAAAGAACACCTGGGAAAATCATTGCAAAAAGATAATTGCCTAGGCACATTGTCATCAGGTTATCTAAAGTTAAGATAAAGGAAAGAATCTTAAGAGCTGTGAGGCAAAACCACCAGGTATCCTATAAAGGACAACCCATCCAATTAACAGTAGATTTCTCAGCAGAAACCCTATGAGCTAGAAGGGATTGGGGCCCTATCTTCAGCCTCCTCAAACAAAACAATTATCAGCCAAGAATTTTGTATCCAGTGTAAGTAAGGATCTTATATGAAGGAAACATAGTCTTTTTCAGACAACCAAATGTTGACAGAATTCGCCACTACCAAGCTGAAACTACAAGAACTGACTTAAAAAAATCTCTAAATCTTGAAACAAATCCTGGGAACACATCCAAACAGCACATCTTTAAAGCATAAATCTCACAGGACCTATAAAACAGAAATACAAAAAAAAAAAAAAAAAAAAAAAAACCCAAGGCATACAGGCAACAAATAGCATGGTGAATGGAATGGCACCTCACATCTCAATACTAACTTTGAATGTAAATGGCCTAAACGCTCCACTTAAAAGACTCAGAATTGCAGAATGGATAAAAATTCACCAAACAACTATCTGCTGCCTTCAAGAGACTCACCTAACACATAAGGATGCACATAAACTCAAGGTAAAAAGGTAGAAAAAGACATTCCATGCAAATAGACACCAAAAGCCAGCAGGTGTACTATTCTTATATCAGACAAAACAAACTTTAAAGCAACAGCAGTTAAAAAAGATAAATAGGGACATTATATAATGATAAAAGGCCTTGTCCAACAGGAAAATATCACAATCCTAAATATATATATGCATCTAAAACTGGAGCTCCCAAACTTATAAAACAATTACTAAGAGACCTAAGAAATGAGATAGATGGCAACACAATAATAGTGGGGGACTTCAATACTCCACTGACAGCACTAGACATCAAAACAGAAAGTCAACAAAGAAACAATTGATTTAAACTATACCCTGAAACAAATGAACTTAACAGATGTATAGAGAATATTTTACCCAACAACCACAGAATATACATTCTATTCAACAGCACATGAAACTTTCTCCAAGATAGACTATATAATAGGCCACAAAATGAGCCTCAACAAATTTAAGAAAATTAAAATTATATCAAGCACTCTCTCAGACCACAGTGGAATACAACTGGAAATCAACTCCAAATGGAACCTTCAAAACCATGCAAACACATGGAAATTAAATAATCTGTTCCTTAATGATCATTGGGTCAAAAATGAAATAAAGATGGAAATTAAAAAATTCTTTGAACTGAATGACAATTGTGATACAACCTATCAAAATCTCTGGGATACAGCAAAGGCAGTGCTAGGAGGAAAGTTCATAGCCTTAAATGCCTACATCAAAGGTCTGAAAGAGCACAAACAGACAATCTAAGGTCACACCTCAAGGAACTAGAGAAACAAGAACAAGCCAAACCCAAACCTAGCAGAAGAAAGGAAATAACCAACATCACAGCAGAACTAAATGAAAGTGAAACAGCAACAGCAACAAAAAATTACAAAAGATAAATGAAACAAAAAGCTGGTTTTTTGAAAAGAAAAACAAAAATTGATAGATCATTAGCAAGATTAACCAAGAAAAGAAGAGAGAAAATCCAAATAAGCTCAATTAGAGAGGAAATGGGAGATATTATAAATGACACCACAGAAATACAAAAGATCATTCAAGGCTACTATGAATATCTTTACATGCATAAACCTAGAAAACCTAGGGGAGATGGATAATTTCCTGGACATATAAAACCCTCCTAGCTTCAATCTGGAAGAATTAGATACCCTGAACAGACCAATAACAAGCAGTAAGATTGAAATGGTAATTTAAAAATTACCCACAAAAAAAGATCCTGGACCAGATGGATTCACAGCACTCAAAGAAGAATTGGTACCAATCCTGTTGACACTATTCCAGAAGATAGAAAAAGAGGGAATCCTCCCTAAATCATTCTATGAAGCAGTATCACCCTAATAACAGAACCAGGAAAGGATATAACCAAAAAAGAAAACTACAGGTCAATATCTCTGATGAATATAGGTGCTAAAATCCTTAACAGAATACTAGCTAACCAAATCCAACAACATATCAAAAAGATAATCCACCATGATCAAGAGGGGTTTCATACCAGGGATACAGGGATGATTTAACATTTGCAAATCAATAAATATGATACACCACATAAACAGAATTAAAAACAAAAATTACATGATCATCTCAATAGACCCAGTAAAAGCATTCAACAAAAGCCAGCATTCCTTTATGCCACGTTTACAGTAGAATAGCATATCCAGCAAAAATAATCTTCAAACATGAAGGAGAAATAAACACTGTTCCAGACAATCAAAGGCTGAGGGATTTCAACACCAGATCTGTCCTACAAGAAATGCTAAAGGGAGTACTTCAATAGAAAGAAAAAGGATTTTGATGATCAAAAAGAAATCATCTGAAGATAAAAAAACTCATTGGTAATAGCAAATATACAGAAAAACACAGAACATTATAACACCGTAACAGTGGTGTTTAAGCTACTCTTACATAGAAGGACTAAAGGACGAACCAATTCAAAATAATAACTACAACTTTTCAAGACATAGTACAATAAATGTAAATAGAAACAACAAAATGTGGAAAAATTGGGGACATAGTTAAGGCACAGAGTCTATTAGTTTTCTTTTTGCTTGTTAGGTTGTTTATTCAACAGCGTTAAGTTGTTATCAGCTTAAAATAATAGGTTATAAGATAGTATTTGCAGGCCTCATGATACTCTCAAAACAAAAAACAGATAATGGATACACGAAAAATAAAAAGCAAGAAACTAAATCATATCACCAGAGAAAATAATCTTCACTAAAAGGAAGACAGAAAAGAACAAAAAGACCACAAAAAAACCCCACATAAAATGCAGAAGTCAGTTCTTAGTTATAAATAATAATATTGAATGTAAATGGACTAAACTCTCCAATCGAAAGACATAGAGTGGCTGAAACACACTTCATGTATAAAAACACACATAGACTAAAAATGAAGGGATGGTAAAAGACATTCCATGCCAATGGAAACCAAGAGAAGAGCAGGCAGAGCTATATTTATATCAGAAAAAATAGATTGCAAGACAAAATCTATAAGAAGAGACAAAGAAGGTCACTATATAATGATAAAGCTGTCAATTCAGCAAGTGGTTATAACAATTTAAAATATATATTCACTCAAAACTGAAGCACCCAGATATACAAAGCAAATATTATTAAAGAGAGAGATAGACTCCAATACAATAATAGCTGGAGATTTCACCCCACTTTCAACACTGGACAGACCTTCCAGACATGAAATCAACAAAGAAACATCAGACTTGATATACACTATAGGCCAAAAGGATCTAATAAATATTTACAGAACTTTTCACCCAATGGCTGCAGAATACACATTATTTTCTTCAGCACATGGATCATTCTCACGGATAAATCATATGTTAAGTCACAAGACAAATCTTAAAACTTTCAAAAAAATTGAAACAATGTCCAGCATCTTCTCTGATCACAATGGAATAAAACTATACATTAATAAGAGAAATTTTGGAAATTATACAAATACATGTGATATGGTTTGGCTGTGTGTCCCCACCCAAGTCTCACCTTGAATTGTAATAATCCCCACTTGTTGTGGGAGGAGCTCAGTGGGAAGTAATTGAATCATGGAGGTGGGTTTTTCCCATGCTGTTCTTGTCATAGTGAATAAGTCTCATGAGATCTGATGTTTTTATAAAGGGAGTTCCCCTGCACATGCTCTCTTGCCTGCCACCATGTAAGACAACCCATTGCCATTCCTTCGTCTTCTGCTATGATTGTGAGGCCTCCCCAGCCATATGGAAATGTGAGGCCATGAAACATCTTTCCTTTATAAATTACCCAGTGTTGGGTATGTCTTTGTTAGCAGCATGAGAACAGAATAATACAACATATAAATTAAACAATATGCTCCTGAATGACCAGTGGGTCAATAAAGAAATTAAAAAGAAAATTGAAAAATTTCTTGAAACAAATAATGGAAACACATATACCAAAACCTATGGAATATAGCAAAAGCAGTACTAAGAGGGACCTTTTTAGCTATAAATGCCTACATCAAAAAAAGAAGAAAAATTTCAAATAACTAGTCCAATGATGCATCTTAAAGAACTAGAAAAGTAAGAGCAAACCAAACCCAAAATTAGTACAAGAAAAGAAATAATAAAGATCAGAGCAGAAACAAATAAAATTGAAATGAAAACAATACAGAAGATCAATAAAACAAAAAGTTGTTTTCTTGAAAAGTTAAACAAAATTGACACGCTTTTAACCAGACTAAGAAAAAAAGAGAAGATCCAAATAAATTAAGTCAGAGATGAAAAAGGAGACATTACAATTGATACTGCAGAAATAAAAAAAAAATCATGAGTAACTACTATGAGCAACTATATGCCAATAAATTGAAATATGTAGAAGAAATGGACACGTTACTGGACACATGTAACCTTCCAGGATTGAACCAGAAAGAAATCCAAAACCTGAACAGACCAATAACAAGTAACAAAATTGAAGCCATAAAAAAAATGTCTCCCAGTAAAGAAAAGCCCAGAACACAATGGCTTCATTGACGAATTCTATCAAAAATTTAAAGAAGAACTAAGACCAATCCTATTCAAACTATTCTGAAAAATGGAGGAGGGAAAACTTCCAAACTTATTCTACGAGGCCAGTATTATTGAAAACTACAGGCCAATATCTCTGATGAATATTTATGCGAAAGTCCTCAACAAAATGCCAGCAAACAAACTTCAACAATACATTTAAAAGATCATTCATCATAACCAAGTGGGATTTATCCCTAGGATACAAGGATGGTTCAATATTTATATATCAATCAATGTGATACATCATATCAACAGAATGAAGGAAAAAAATGATCATTTCAATGATGCTCAAGAAAAATTTCATAAAATTCAACATCCCTTCATGAAAAAAACCCTAAAAAAGCTGAGTACAGAAGGGACATACCTAAACGTAATAAAAGCCAAATATGACAGACCCACAGCTGCTATCATTCTGAATGGGGAAAATCAAAAAGCCCTTCCTCTAAGATCTGGAACACGACAAGCATTTCACCACTGTTATTTAACATAGTACTGGAAGTCCTAACTAGAGCAATCAGATAAGAGAAAGAAATGAAGGGTATCCAAATTTGAAAGGAAGAAGTCAAATTATCCTGGTTTGCAGATGATATAATCTTAAATTTGGAAAAACCTAAAGACTCTACCAAAAAACTATTAGAACTGCTAAACAAATTCAATAAAGTTGTAGGATACAAAATTAATATACAAAAATCAGTAACATTTTCATATGCCAACAGTGAACAATCCGAAAATGAAATTTAAAAATAATCCCATTTATAATAGCCAGAAATCAAGATTAAATACCTAGACATTAACCAAAGAAGTGAGAGTGCTATAATAAATAAAAACTATGAAACGCTGACGAAAGAAATAGAAGTGGACACCAAAAAGTGAAAACATATTCCATGTTCATGGATTGGGAGAATAAATATAGTTAAAATGTCCATACTACCCAAAGCCATTTACTGATTCAGTGTAATCCCTGTCAAAATACCAATGACATTCTACACAGAAATAGAAAAAACAATCCTAAAATTTATATGGAACCACAAAAGACCCTGAATACCAAAATTATGCAAAGTAAAAAGAACAAAACTGGAGGAATCATGTTACCTGACTTCAAATTATACTACAGAGCTATAGTAACCAAAACAGCATGGTACTGGCATAAAAACAGACACATAGATGAATGAAATAGGATAGAGAGCTGAAAAACAAATCCACACACCTACAGCGAACTCATTTTTGAAAAAGGTGCCAAGAACATACACTGGGGAAAAGACAGTCTCTTCAATAAATTGTGCTGGGAAAACTGGATATTCCTATGCAGAAGAATGAAACTATATCCCTATCTCTCACCACATACAAAACCACAATCAAAATGAATTACGGACTTAAATCTATAATCTCAAAATGTGAAAGTACTACAAGAAAACGTTGAGGAAATTCTCCAGGACATTGGTCTGGGCAAAAATTTCTTGAGTAATATCCCAGAAGCACAGCCAACAAAAGCAGAAATGGACAAAGAGGATCAAATCAAGTTAAAAAGCTTCTGCACAGTAAAGGAAACAATCAACAAAGTGAAGAGACAGCTCACAGAATGGGAGATAATATTTGCAAACTACCCATCTGACAAGAGATGAATAACCAGAATATATAAGGAGCTCAAACAACTCTATAGGAAAAAATCTAATAATCTGATCAAAAATGGGCAAAAGATTTGAATAGACATTTCTCAAAAGAAGACATACAAATGGCAAACAGGCATATGAAAAGGTGCTCAACATCATTGCTCATCAGAGGAATGAAAATCAAAACTACAATGAGATACCATTTCATCTCAGTTAAAATGGCTTTTATCCAAAAGACAGGCAATAAGAAATGCTGGTGAGGTTGTGGAGAAAAGGAAACCCTGGTACACTTTTGGTGGGAATGTAGATTAGTACAGCCACTATGGACAACAGTTTGGAGATTCCTCAAGAAAACAAAAATAGACCTACCATATGACCTAGCAATCCCACTGCTGAGTATAAGCCCAAAAGAAAGGAAATCAGTATATCAAGGAGATATCTGCACCCCCATGTATGTTGGAGCACTGTTCACAATAGCCAAAACTTGGAAGCAACCTAAGTATCCACCAACAGATGAATGGACAAAGAAAATGTGGTACTATACATAGTGGAGTACTACTCAGCCATAAAAGGAATGAAATCCTGTCATTTGCAACAACATGGATGGAACTGGAGATCGTTATGCTAAGTGAAATAAGCCAAGCATAGAAAGACAAATATTGCATGTTCTCACTTATTTGTGAGATCTAAAAATCAAAACAGTTGATCTCAGGAAGTTAGAGAGTAGAAGGACAGTTACCAGAGGCTGGGAAGGGTAGTGGGATGGTGGAGGTTGGGAGAGGTAGAGATGGTTAATGGGTGAACAAAAAAATAGTTAGAAAGAATGAATAAGACCTAGTATTTGAAGGCACAATGGGGTGACTATAGTCAATAATAATTTCATTATACATTTTAAAATAATTTAAAGAGTATATTTGGATTATTTGTAACTCAGAGGATAAATGCTTGAGGGGATGGATACCCCATTTTACATGACGTGATTATGAAGCATTGCATGCCTGTATCAAATCATCTCATGTACCCCACAAATATATGTACCTACCTACTATGTACCCACAAAAATTAAAATAAAAATTTTTTTTAATCCCAGAGAAGATTCCATTCTAAAACAAAGCTAATGCTTTTGGAACACAAGATACAAGTTTATAAAGAAAGAAAATCAATACCTAACCATCACCTTATGCTTCACAATTGCTGCAAAATAAGTTAATCCTTTTCTTTGACTTATTTATTAATTTATTTACTTTTTAATCAATATACAATAGTTGTACATATTTTGGGGGTACATTTGGTATTTTGATACCTGTATGTGTAATGATTACATCAGGGTAGTTGGTAAATCCATCACCTTAAACATTTATCATTTCTTTGTGTTGGAAATATTAAAAATATTTCCTTCTAGCTATTTGAAATGTACAATAAATTATTGTTAATTATAACTTTTTTACCAAAGTATTAATGCCTACTTTATAATGTTAGAAACCATGTTTTAGGTAATAATGTCAGAAAATTTGACTATATCTATCCATGCTTCTTTTATATTTAGAAATTTGTCTTAATTAATTAATGATACCAGAAAGAAGGGGTACTGACTGGGCCATAATTTAGTATCTTTTAGCCTCTTCATAAATCTCTCAGAAAAGCATGAAATCAGACCTGTAATTAGGCAGCATAACTCTGGTTGCCACTTGTTAATCCTAAATTTTTATTTTCTTTCTTTTCTTTCTTTAGGGGGCATGCATCCAAAGAAAAAAGAAAGAAAGAAAGAAAAAAAACCTCAACCTTCCTGCTGACTGTTCTTGACCCACATTGTATTGACTTTCTTCTGTTTAGGTGGAGAAGGAAGGGACATTTGAGAAAAGGGCAAAGTAGCAGAAAGCCCAAAATGTGCCTAGAGGGAAATAATTGATTTTTTGTTAATTCCCCAGGTGCTGACATGGTCAGGAAGTCATAGGACTACCTTTTCTTGGCAAGTCCACAACTGCCTCAGACCCACATGAAAGAGCTTTCTCTGGGAATTTTTCTAAAGGGCTTTTAATTGCTGACAGTCAAAAGATCCAGAAGTTTACTTCCCAAGAAATAGCAAGAGTAAAACTCTTACTCCTGATCTGATACAACTGCCTTTAGACTCCAATACATTTGGATTTTTCTGGAGGCTACAGTTAAGCATGTCAACTTGTGATATGACTTTTAGTCCCTGCTAATTTCAGTCAATAGAGAACTAAAGGCAGATGGGAAGAGGAGAGGGAAAAAAAAATCAGCTGAAACAAACGAAGAATTCAGGCTTATTTTTCAATGTTAGTTGCTCTGGTTTTCTTGTTTTATCTAACCTATTCTAACAGTCCTTCCTTTGAATTTTGTACAATGCACGTTTCTATAAATTCACACTGAAAAACATCTGGAGTATTGCCAGCAATTTGCCAAACAGAAACCTGCAGCAATGGAAATGTTCTGTAAGACTATAAAGTTCAGGAAGAAATGGTAGAGGTGAGTGGTAAAAAATTCTGACACATCACAATAAGGTGTTCCCCCTCTTAAGTCTTGCCAGGATTCATTGCTTACCTCATTGATGATGTTCTTAATTATATTATCTTTTACTTTGTGGAGCACTTGATTTAGTGTCAGTTAATTTCATAAGAATATAACCAGATGTACAATTCCTTTAATATTCAAAATTCTATCAGGAACATGTGTGTTGAATATCTCAATAGGAATATTGCAAAATGTTTGAAAAATAGTTATCTACCTTTTTTAAAAGATGGGATCTCACTGTGTTGCCCAGGCCGGAGCACAGTCATTATTCACAGGTGCAATCCTACTACTGATCAGCATGGGAGTTATCTGCCTTTTGAAGTCAGATTATAAACACTTTCTTACAGAACCAATTTGACATTGGTATATCTGACTGTTTGTACACATAGTCAGTAAAGAGGTCCTTGTATTATTAATTAGGAAATAAGTTCTAGAACCAGATTAATACACCTTTTTTAAGTTGGAAGGCCCCTAAGAGGTAAGTACAGTCTTTTCATCCTAAAGAAAAAGAAATATTTGTTGAAAAAATAAAGAAATTCTATTATACTAGGTCTTATAGGGGATTAACAATACAGAGACGATTCCTGTCCTCACGAAGCTGACATGCTAGTATGTAAGACAATAAATATACACAAATAGCATAGGGCAGAATAATAAGTGACTTAAAATGCATAAATGAAGTCTGCAGTTTTGGAATAGAACCTGTCTATTTGTGGTGGTATCTGAAGTGGGGAGAAGGGAAATTTTTCTCAAAAAGTGACATACGATTTGATCACCGAAAAATGGCATGACATTTTAAAAGGGGAAACTGCAAGTCAGGGAAATTGTAGATATAAGAAATACCAGAGACACATACGAATATTGGGGGGGAAGGCTGACAAGTGGATCAGTCTTACATGTCAGGCTAATAAAGAGCTATGCAAACAAACAAGCAAACAAACAAAAAGAACTGCATGATTAAAAGAGTCATATTTATGAATCAACCCTATCACATTCCCACAAAGCCATCTAGTTTAAATGGTCACCTCTAGTGGCAGAGAATCTGCTTCCTCTTAAGAGTACCTGCCCCAACTTTGTTTAGTTCTATTTTTTACATTATATTGACTTAAAATCCTTTTTCTTACAGCTTTCACTTCTTTGTTTAAATTCTACCACTTATGGCCACATGGGACAAAAGAAGTCCTTTTCCAAAGGACAATTACTCAAGTATTGAAGTCAGCTTTAAACATTTTAAAAATCATGGTTCTTTATTTATTTATTTTTAAAATTTTATTATCATTATACTTTAAGTTTTAGGGCACATGTGCACAACGTGCAGGTTTGTTACATATGTATACATGTGCCATGTTGGTGTGCTGCACCCATTAACTCGTCATTTAGCATTAGGTATATCTCCTAATGCTATCCCTCCCCACTCCCCCCACCCCACAACAGTCCCCGGTGTGTGATGTTCCCCTTCCTGTGTCCATGTGTTCTCATTGTTCAATTCCCACCTATGAGTGAGAACATGCAGTGTTTGGTTTTTTGTCCTTGCGATAGTTTGCTGAGAATGATGGTTTCCAGCTTCATCCATGTCCCCATAAAGGACATGAACTCATCATTTTTTATGGCTGCATAGTATCCCATGGTGTATATGTGCCATATTTTCTTAATCCAGACTATCATTGGTAGACATTGGGTTGGTTCCAAGTCTTTGCTATTGTGAACAGCGCTGCAATAAACATATGTGTGCATGTGTCTTTATAGAGGTATGATTTATAATCCTTTGCGTATATACCCAGTAATGGGATGACTGGGTCAAATGGTATTTCTAGTTCCAGATCCCTGAGGAATCACCACACTGACTTCCACAATGGTTGAACTAGTTTACAGTCCCACCAACAGTGTAAAAGTGTTCCTATTTCTCCACATCCTCTCCAGCACCTGTTGTTTCCTGACTTCTTAATGATTGCCATTCTAACTGGTGTGAGATGGTATCTCATTGTGGTTTTGATTTGCATTTCTCTGATGGCCAGTGATGATGAGCATTTTTTCATGTGTTTTTTGGCTGCATAAATGTCTTCTTTTGAGAAGTGTCTGTTCATATCCTTCACCCACTTTTTGATGGGGTTGTTTTTTTCTTGTAAATTTGTTTGAGTTCATTGTAGATTCTGGATATTAGCCCTTTGTCAGATGAGTAGGTTGCAAAAATTTTCTCCCATGTTGTAGGTTGCCTGTTCACTCTGATGTTGGTTTCTTTTGCTGTGCAGAAGCTCTAGTTTAATTAGATCCCATTTGTCAATTTTGGCTTTTGTTGCCATTGCTTTCGGTGTTTTAAACATGAAGTCCTTGCCCATGCCTATGTCCTGAATGGTATTGCCTAGGTTTTCTTCTAGGGTTTTTATGGTTTTAGGTCTAACATGTAAGTCTTTAATCTATCTTGAATTAATTTTTGTATAAGGTGTAAGGAAGGGATCCAGTTTCAGCTTTCTACATATGGCCAGCCAGTTTTCCCAGCACCATTTATTAAATAGGGAATCCTTTCCCCATTGCTTGTTTGTGTCAGGTTTGTCAAAGATCAGATAGTTGTAGATATGTGGCATTATTTCTGAGAGCTCTGTTCTGTTCCATTGGTCTATATCTCTGTTTTGGTACCAGTACCATTCTGTTTTGGTTACTATAGCCTTGTAGTATAGTTTGAAGTCAGGTAGTGTGATGCCTCCAGCTTTGTTCTTTTGGCTTAGGCAAATGTGGGCTCTTTTTTGGTTCCATATGAACTTTAAAGTAGTTTTTTCCAATTCTATGAAGAAAGTCATTGGTAGCTTGATGGGGATGGCATTGAATCTATAAATTACCTTGGGCAGTATGGCCATTTTCACAATATTGATTCTTCTATCCATGAGCATGGAATGTTCTTCCATTTGTTTGTATCCTCTTTTATTTCATTGAGCAGTGGTTTGTAGTTCTCCTTCAAGAGGTCCTTCACATCCCTTGTAAGTTGGATTCCTAGGTATTTTATTCTCTTTGAAGCAGTTGTGAATGGGAGTTCATTCATGATTTGGCTCTCTGTTTGTCTGTTATTGGTGTATAAGAATGCTTCTGATTTTTTCACATTGATTTTGTATCCTGAGACTTTGCTGAAGTTGCTTATCAGCTTAAGGAGATTTTGGGCTGAGACGATGGGGTTTTCTAGATATACAATCATGTCATCTGCAAACAGGGACAATTTGACTTGCTCTTTTCCTAATTGAATGCCCTTTATTTCCTTCTCCTGCCTGATTGCCCTGGCCAGAACTTCCAACACTGTTGAATAGGAGTGGTGAGAGAGGGCATCCCTGTCTTGTGCCAGTTTTCAAAGGGAATGCTTCCAGTTTTTGTCCATTCAGTATGATATTGGCTGTGGGTTTGTCATAGATAGCACTTATTATTTTGAGATACATCCCATCAATACCTAATTTATTGAGAGTTTTTAGCATGAAGGGTTGTTGAATTTTGTCACAGGCCTTTTCTGCATCTATTGAGATAATCATGTGGTTTTTGTCTTTGGTTCTGTTTATATGCTGGATTACGTTTATTGATTTGCATATGTTGAACCAGCCTTGCATCCCAGGAATGAAGCCCACTTGATCATGGTGGATAAGCTTTTTCATGTGCTGCTGGATTTGGTTTGCCAGTATTTTATTGAGGATTTTTGCATCAATGTTCATCAAGGGTATTGGTCTAAAATTCTCTTTTTTTGTTGTGTCTCTGCCAGGCTTTGGTATCAGGATGATGCTGGCCTCATAAAATGAGTTAGGGAGGATTCCTTCTTTTCCTATTGATTGGAATAGTTTCAGAAGGAACGGTATCAGCTCCTCTTTGTACCTCTGGTAGAATTCGGCTGTGAATCTGTCTGGTCCTGGACTTTTTTTGGTTGGTAGGCTATTAATTATTGCCTCAATTTCGGAGCCTGTTATTGGTCTATTCAGAGATTCCACTTCTTGCTGGTTTAGTCTTGGGAGGGTGTATGTTTCCAGGAATTTATCCATTTCTTCTAGATTTTCTAGTTTATTTGCGTAGAGGTGTTTATAGTATTCTCTGATGGTAGTTTGTATTTATGTGGGATTGGTGGCGATATCCTCTTTATCGTTTTTTATTGCATCTGTTTGATTCTTCTCTCTTTTCTTCTTTATTAGTCTTGCTAGCAGTCTATCAACTTTGTTGATCTTTTCAAAAAACCAGCTCCTGGATTCATTGATTTTTTGAAGGGTTTTTTTGTGTCTCTATCTCCTTCAGTTCTGCTCTGATCTTAGTTATTTCCTGTCTTCTGCTAGCTTTTGAATTTGTTTGCTCTTGCTTCTCTAGTTCTTTTAATTGTGATGTTAGGGTGTCAATTTTAGATCTTTCCTGCTTTCTCTTGTGGGCTTTTAGTGCTATAAATTTCCCTCTACACACTGCTTTAAATGTGTTCCAGAGATTCTGGTTCATTGTGTCCTTGTTCTCATTGGTTTCAAAGAACATCTTTATTTCTGCCTTCATTTCTTTATGTACCCAGTAGTCATTCAGGAGCAGATTGTTCAGTTTCCATGTAGTTGAGCGGTTTTGAGTGAGTTTCTTAATCCTGAATTCTAATTTGATTGCACTGTGGTCTGAGAGACAGTTTATTGTGATTTCTGTTCTTTTACATTGGCTGAAGAGTGCTTTACTTCCAACTATGTGGTCAATTTTGGAAAAAGTGTGATTTGGTGCTGAGAAGAATGTATATTCTGTTGATTGGGGGTGGAGAGTTCTGTAGATGTCTATTAGGTCCACTTGGTGCAGAGCTGAGTTCAGGTCCTGGATATCCTTGTTAACTTTCTGTCTTGTTGATCTGTCTAATATTGTCAGTGAGGTGTTAAAGTCTCCCATTATTATTGTGTGGGAGTCTAAGTCTCTTTGTAGGTCTCTCAGGACTTGCTTTATGAATCTGGGTGCTCCTGTATTGGGTGCATATATATTTAGGATAGTTAGCTCTTCTTGTTGAATTGATCCCTTTACCATTATGTAATGGCCTTCTTTGTCTCTTTTGATCTTTGTTGGTTTAAAGTCTGTTTTGTCAGAGACTAGGATTGCAACCCCTGGTTTTTTGCTTTCCATTTGCTTGGTAGATCTTCCTCCATCCCTTTATTTTGAGCCTATGTGTGTCTCTGCACGTGAGATGGGTCTCCTGAATATAGCACACTGATGGATCTTGACTCTTAATCCAATTTGCCAGTCTGTGTCTTTTAATTGGGGCATTTAGCCCATTTACATTTAAGGTTAATATTGTGATCTGTGAATGTGAACCTGTCATTATGATGTTAGCTGGTTATTTTGCCGGTTACTTTATGCAGCTTCTTCCTAGCATCGATGGTCTTTACAATTTGGCATGTTTTTGCAGTGACTGGTACTGGTTGTTCTTTTCCATGTTTAGTGCTCCCTTCAGGAGCTCTTGTAAGGCAGGCCTGGTGGTGACAAAATCTCTCCGCATTTGCTTGTCTGTAAAGGATTTCATTTCTCCTTCACTTATGAAGCTTAGTTTGGCTGGATATGAAATTCTGGGTTGAAAATTATTTTCTTTAAGAATGTTGAATATTGGCCCCCACTCTCTTGTGGCTTGTAGGGGTTCTGCTGAGAGATCTGCTGTTAGGCTGATGGGAAAGAAACCCGACCTTTCTCTGGCTGCCCTTAGCATTTTTTCCTTCATTTCAACCTTGGTGAATCTAACAATTATGTGTCTTGGGGTTGCTCTTCTTGAGGAGTATGTTTGTGGCATTCTCTGTATTTCCTGAATTTGAATGTTGCCCTGCCTTGTTTGGTTGGGGAAGTTCTCCTGGATGATATCCTGAAGAGTGTTTTCCAGCTTGGTTCCATTCTCCATGTCACTTTCAGGTACACCAATCAAACGTAGATTTGGTCTTTTCACATAGTCCCATATTTCTTGGAGGCTTTGTTCATTTCTTTTTAGTATTTTTTCTCTAAACTTCTATTCTCATTTCATTTTATTCATTTGATCTTCAATCACTGATACCCTTTCTTCCACTTGATTGAATCGGCTACTGAAGCTTGTGCATGCATCGCATAGTTCTCGTGCCGTGGTTTTCAGCTCCATCAGGTCATTTAAGTGCTTCTCTATACTGTTTATTCTAGTTAGCCATTCATCCAATCTTTTTTCAAGGTTTTTAGCTTCTTTGCGATGGGTTCGAACATCCTCCTTTAGCTAGGAGAAGTTTGTTAATACTGACCTTCTGAAGCCTACTTCTGTCAACTTGTCAAAGTCATTCTCCGTCCAGCTTTGTTCCATTGCTCGTGAGGAGCTGCAATCCTTTAGAGAAGAGGTGCTCTGGTTTTTAGAATTTTCAGCTTTTCTGCTCTGGTTTCTCCTCTTCTTTGTGGTTTTATCTACCTTTGGTCTTTGATGTTGGTGACCTACAGATGAGGTTTTGGTGTGGATGTCCTTTTTGTTGATGTTGATGCTATTCCTTCCTGTTTGTTAGTTTTCCTTCTAACAGTCAGGTCCCTCAGCTGCAGGTCTGTTGGGGTTTGCTGAAGCTCCACTCCAGACCCTGTTTGCCTGGGTATCACCAGCGGAGGCTGCAGAATAGCAAATATTGTAGAACAGAAAATATTGCTGCCTGATCCTTCCTCTGGAAGCTTCGTCTCAGAGGGGCACCTGGCTATATGAGGTGTCAGTCAGCCCCTACTGGGAGGTGTCTCCAAGTTAGGCTACACGGGGGTCAGGGACCAACTTGAAGAAGCAGTCTGTCTGTTCTTAGAGCTCAAACACCATGCTGGGAGAACCACTGCTCTCTTCAGAGCTGTCAGACAGGGATGTTTAAGTCTGCAGAAGTTTCTGTTGCCTTTTTTTCAGCTATGCCCAGCCCCCAGAGGTGGAGTTTACAAAGGCAGGTGGGCCTAGTTGAGCTGCAGTGGGCCCCACCGAGTTCAAGCTTTCTGGCTACTTTGTTTACCTACTCAAGCCTCAGCAATGGCGGACGCCCCTTCCCCAGCCAGGCTTGCCACCTTGCAGTTCTATCTTGGACTAGCAGTGAGCAAGGCTCTGTGGGCATGGGACCTGCTGAGCCATGCATGGGATTTAATTTCCTGGTGTGCCATTTGCTAAGACTGTTGGAAAAGTGCAGTGTCTAGGTGGCAGAGTCCCAATTTTCCCAGTACAGTCTGTCATGGCTTCCCTTGGCTAGGAAAGGGAAATTTCCAGGCCCCTTGTGCTTCCTGGGTGAGGCAATATCCCGTCCTGCTTCAGCTTGCCCTCTGTGGGCTGCACCCACTTTCTGACCAGTCCCAATGAGATGAACCAGGTACCTCAGTTGGAAATGGAGAAATCACCTGTCTTCTGCATCAGTCACACTGAGAGCTGCAGACCGGAGCTGTTCCTATTTGGCCATCTTGGAATGGACCCCGCACCTTCATTTAGATTTAATTTATTGGACAACACAAGGCTATTAATGTTTTTTACAGCTGGCAGTGGGTTAAGGATGGATCAAAGAAAGAGAAGAATGAAAGATGAGGAGATGAGGAGATGATTAGGAAACTAGGATTGTGGTCCAGGAGAAAGGCAATGAGAGGCTGAATTGAAGTGGTGATCATATAGATGGAAGTGGAGGGGACCCAAGGGGTAGAGTAAAGGAGACAACATGGGGCTTGGCATCTCACTAATCCAGGGTTAAGAAGAAACCACAGAAACTTCCAAGGTTATTAGTTTGGACTGGGAGAATAGTGGTCTCATTGATTAGATATAAGGAAGTCTCAAGGCTCAGCTAGCTTCAGAAGAAGGTGTTGGGTTTGGTTTGGGCATAAGAAATTTGAGAGGACAGCAGAGGCTCAGACTGAAGGAAAATTGGGAAGCCACTTGTCTTCAACAGTCACAACTGTGGGGGTGAGAGATTCTCAAGTAACGTCTTTAAGGAGAGCAGAGACCCCTTGAGTAACACCTATTTCTAGGCGCACAGAGGAGTCAAAGAAGCAGAGAAGGAAAGTGAAGAGAACGAAGAGAACCAGTATAAAGCAGGGCAGGACGTCAAGGGAAGGACAAAGTTTTAACCTCAAATACCAGGGAAGTCAAAGAGGACAAAAATTGTAGCAAAGCTATGCCATTTGGTGATTAAGAAGAAATGTTATTAAAGGGCAATTTTAATGGCGTACTGGAGACAGAAATCATATGTTTAGGTGTTATGATATGATTAGATCATGAGGGCAAGGAGACCACGAAGATAAATAATTTTTAAAAACATTACTAATCAGTGCAAGAAGAGGATTAACAGGATCAAAGGAAGCCTTTGGTGTTTTGATGGTTTTAGGAGGGGTTGTTTTGTTTAGAATGGGAACATTTAAGCACAGGCTGTGAGGAATACAGTGATGAGGAGGGACTAGGATGAAGGAAGTTTGTCCACACTGGAATCCTCGACTATGTAGCTGAGTTCAGATGGTTAAGTTTAATCCCACTCATCATTTTACTCAGGTATAATGGTTTAGCTCCAGTGTTCCACTATTCCATTTGAGAACATTTACAGTATATTGCCTTAAAGAACAAAAACATAATGAGAATGCTTCCAAAATATGATTGAGAAGTAAAGGATTGACTCCCTTTCTCTTTCTCATACACATACGTACACACACACAGTCATAGCCATGAGTACTGCTAAAATATTTATTTGATTTTATTTTTCCAGTCAAGTGGTCTTGGAAAATGAGCCTGATCCCATTTCCTTAGAGAGCAATAGCAATGCATTCAAAAGTTAGATTAGAATGGACCTCATTTTATGCCAGTCTGATTTAAATGGTTCTTTATACACTTGGATTTCCTTTGCTTGCCAGTTCTGATCCATAACATTTCCTCTTTGGTTGCTTTCTCTTTATTCTGTGTGGTGGAATTTAAGAGTAAACTTCTATCCGTTGGAGTATTTTCTTCATGGAACAGCAAAAAATTTCCATCCAGGGATAGAGTGCTTATTAAGCTTGTTTTACCATCTTAGCCTTTAACATAATTGTACCTATTCAAAGGTTTTTGTGTGTGTTCAGTGAAGTAGAGGGCTTTTCACTGCCAACTAAAGAAATAAGAAAAATACTGTGGCTTTAGATGGAGAGATAGCAAAATTAAATTTTTTTAGATTAACTCAAATGCTTCTTGTTAAAACAAATGAATGAACAATCTGGAAAAAAGTATATCATTTCCTACAATTAACCAGTTCTATCTGAGTCTCTAAGGTCCCTCACACACACACACACACACACACACACACACACACACACGCGCTCCCACTGTCAACAACACTGAACCACTACTCACAGCCTGGATGGAATTCACTGTGGATTTTACACTTTTAGGCTTTGGACCATCTCTGTCCCTTTTTCTAGACTTCTTTCTTTTGATATCTGCCTAACAAACTCCTACTGCTATTCAAGGCTTAGGTCAAGCAATTTTACATCTAGGAAACCTTTGCTGAGTCACTCAGGTAATGTAAACTCGCATCAGATCTTATTTTTATCTTCACCACTGTTATCTGCTTGTTGTATGCCCAGTATCTAGCATGGTGCCTGAATCCCTTTGGCTGAATGAATGAAGCTCTGATGAACTGATCTAAATGCAGGGAAACAGAAAAAGGAGTCTAGAGCTGGAATGACTTTATATATATATATATTTTTAAATGTCCCCCGTGTATAGAGTTTAAAGGCTACCATATGTGATAGGTTGAATAATGGCCCCAAAGACATCTAGGTCTTAATTTCTGGAACCTGTGAAAGTTACCTTATATGGCAAAAGTGACTTTCAGATGTGAATAGATTAAGGATCTTGAGGTAAGGTGATCTCCTGCATTATCTGAGTGGGTCCTGTGATGTAGTCTCAAGTGTTCTTATAGGCAGACAGAGGGAGATCTGCTAGAAGAGGAAGAAGGCAATGGGATGATGGCAGCAGCAGGAGAAAGAGCAATGTCATGAGCCATGGAACGAGGACAGATTCCAGAATATAGGAGAATGCAGTGAAAGGGATTGTCCCCTGGAAGCTCTGGAGGAAGTGCAGCCCTGAAGACACCTTGATTTCAACCCAGTGAGACACTTGTTTTGGACTTCTGACATCCAAAACCTTTAAGAGAATAAATGTCTGTTGTTTTAAGGCATGAAGTTGGTGGTAATTTGTTATAGTAGCAACAGAAAGTCAATGCACCACACAGATCCTGTTCTTCTTCTAGACTTTAAAGCACTCTTATTGCTGGTTCTGACATGACGGGTAGAAATGAAATCAAGATAAGCTTAGGAACCAAAAGACCTGTGTGTGTTTTGACTCTACCGTTTTTTAGCTAGATCTTTTAGTGGGAATCACTGGGCCTTGGTTTCCTGAGGTTAAAACAATACCTGATCAATCTACTTCTTGCAGTTGTTATGAGCATTATATGGCATAAATTACACAAAAGCATTATGTAAACTGCAACAAAAATGTTAACTCTATGATCATGACTTACTTCTTTGGACCTAGGAATTGAAGGCTTCTGGCAAAATGTAAATGAGCCTCATTTGATAATTAACATTGTAGTGCAGTGCTCTGAATAGTGTCTGGCACATAAAACCTTATGCATATTTGTTAAGGGAATTAAGAGATGATTGAATGCATGCATAAATTAAATTAGCTTATTAGAAAAAATATTTAATATCAATAGAATCTTGCTGTCAACAGGTCATAGGAAAAGTAAACATTGGAAAGAGAGAAAGTATTTGGAAATACTTTCACTTTTTTCACAGAACCCCACCTATGAAAGAGATGGATGATGTGGGAGGAGGGTGTGGAGTCTAAAGGGGCTCCTTTAGAAATGGGATTCAAGCAGATTCCTAAATACAGCTGGCAGCTGAGGGGCAACTAAGGGAGAAGATAGGCGGAAGCATTGGGAGAGGAGACAGAAGGACAAAGGGAAAAGCAGAGAGGAGTATCATGGACAAAGGAAGAGAGTGGTTTCCAAAATGAAGGAGAATGATTATTAATGTCAATTGCTGCTGGTGGGTAAAAAAAAAAAGTATCTAAAAAAAGTGTCCATTGGGTTTATCAAGACAAGTCATCAGTCGCCAGTGGGAGTAGGGAGACTGACTGAAGGGTGGGGTAAGCGATGTCCTCTTTTTTTTCTGTCTATTCCTTGTTAAGCTTCCTACGCATTTTTCTAGTTCTCTTCTGGCCTCATCAGTTGCTTCTTCTGCTTCATTTCCAACTTCTCTTACTCTTGCCTCCACCAGCCCTGGAGATTTCTATAGCTCAGTTCTCGGTACTGAGCACAGACACATTCCCTTGATGAGCTCCCTACAACCCAAATCCTCAATTACCAGGTATCTGGGTGACACCTTAAATGCTGACCTCCAGCTCAGCACATCTGGAGAAGCTGCTTCTCCAGACATCTTGCAGAGTAGTCATCCATGAACTGAGTTCAAGATTAGAGTTTAATCTACCCTCCAAGATACTATCACATGCAATAGACTTTGTGCCTATTCCTTTTGGGGTGTTTTCCTCCTAAAGTTAGTTTTCAGAAACCCAAAAGAGAACAGTATTTCTCTTCTGTTAACAGAGGTTAACTGCGGTAGAACAGACTTGGCAGATTGCAGAGTCTAGCACCTTGGGAGACAGAATCAGACTTGAAAGTGTGCTTGGCAAATAGGGAAAGTGGCTATATTAGTTTGCTAAGGCTGCCACAACAAAGTATCACAGACTGGGTGACCTAAACAACAGAAATTTATTTTCTCATACTTCTGGAAACTGGAAGTCCAAGACCAAGGTATTGTTAGGTTTGGTTTGTTTCTTCTGAGGCTCTTCTTGGCTTAAAGATGGCCATCTTCTCCCTGTTTTCACACTGTCTTCCCTCTGTTGATGTCTGGGTTCTAATCGCCTCTTCTTATAAGGTCATTAGTCATATTGGATTAAGGCCCAATCTAATGACATCATTTTTAATTAATTACCTTTGTTGAGACCCTATCTGCATCACCGTCACAATCTGAGGTACTGGGGGAAAGGACGTCAACCGATAAATACAGGGGGGCACAATCCAGCCTGTAATAGTGGCCAAACAAAATGAGGCTCAGCTAAAAGGGAGAAATTTAGGTAGCAGAACAAGCTTCTTGCTCACGAGATGAGAGATGGGGATGGGTGAATGCAGAAGATGAGGTCATTGTGGGTCACATGCTGACCATGAGTCAGCAACATGGTGCAGTAAAACACATGAGCACAATTCCTGGATATAGAAATAGGAGAAGCAGAGTAGAGTGTGTGAGGTAATTCAGTTCCCTTTGCAGTAATTGGAAGCACCTTTCCAATTCTGAACTCCAAGCCAGAGAAGGTTGTGAAGATTCTGGACAACGTTCAGAAGAGAGCCATATAGCAGAACCATATCCTTTTTTTAATTTTTTAATTTTTTTTTTTGAGACATGGTCTCACTCTTTACTCTTGTCGCCCAGGTTGCAGTAGAGTGGCATGATCTGGGCTCACTGCAACCTTTGCCTTCCAGACTGAAGCGATCCTCCTGCCTCAGCTTCCTCAGTAGCTGAGATTCAGGTGTGTGCCACCACACCCAGCTAATTTTTCTATTTTTGGTAGAGACAGGGTTTCAACATGTTGCCCAGGCTGGTCTCAAACTTCTGAGTTCAAGCGATCTGCCTGCCTTGGCCTCCTAAAGTGCTGGGACTACAGGTGTGAGCCATGGCGCCCAGCCTAGTGTCATAAATTATTTCTTAATAATTAGAACTTGAGTTGTCATAACAAAATATTAACAGTGTAAGTTGTTAAAACTGGAGTTTACTAAAGTAGATTTTTTAAAAATAAATTATTCTTTATTTCAGTGATTTTAGTATGATTCTGCCTAAAGTTATATGTGGAAGATCATTATTCACTCATGTATATTCAACACACATTTATTAAATGCCTACCAGGTAGCAGGCACCATTCCAGACCCAGTGGTGAACCAATTAAGTTCCTGTCCTCATGAAGTCTACTTCTAGTAGGGGAGACAGACTATACCTCACCCTCCCACCCCGACACACACATAACACACACACACACACACACACACACAGTGTGAGATAGTGAGAAGGCTTATGAAGTAAATCAATAAAGCAGGGTAAGAGAAAGAGGGTAACATAGCTGACTATTTTTAGACAGGGTGGTAGGGGAAGTCTCTAAGAAAAATATTTAATTATTATTATTGATGAATCAATAATAATAGTCAATATTTATTTAGGCAGACATTGTGCTAAGCTTTGTATCATTTAATCCTTGCAATAACTTATTTTACAACAACTCAACAATAAAAAAGAATGAACTATTGACACACACAACAACCTGGATGAATCTCCAAAGAATTATGTTGAGTAAAAAAAGCCAATCCCTAAAGGTTACATACTGTATGATTACACTTACGTAACATTCTTGAAATGACAAAATTATGGAAATGAAGACAAGATTCAAGTTTGTCAGAGGTTAAGGAGGGGGCAGAGTAGAAGGGAAGTGGATCCTGGTGGTGATGGAAATGTTCTGTATCTTGACCAGATCAATATCTATAACCTGGTTGTGATATTGTACTGCAGTTTTGTGAGATGTTACCATTGGGGAAAACTGAGTAAAGGGTATGGGGGATCTCTCTGAGTTATTTCTTAAATTGCATATGAATCTACAATTATTTCAAAATAAAAAGGCCACGTATGTTATGATTTCCCTTATATAATAACATTCTGGAAAAAAAGCGAAACTATAGGGACAGAAAACAGAGTTCTGTTTCCCAGGAGCTGGTGGTGAGGTTGACTTGTAGCTGACTACAAAGGGGCACAAGGTGATTCTTTGGAGTGACAGGAATGTTCTATATCTTGAATCTAGTGATAGTTACATAAACATGGGATTATCAGAACTCAGAACTGTACACTAAAAAGGATGAAGTATACTGTATGTAAATTATACCTCAATATAATTTACATTATGTAACTCAATATAGCTGTTTTAAAATAAGGACTAATTTATTTCACAAAGGAGGAAATGGAGACTCAGAGAGGTAAAATAACTTTCTCAATAACTTACACGTCTAGTAAGACTCAGAAGCTCTGAGTCAGCCTTGCTCTTTCCCTAGCTGCTAATATTGACTTTAATTAGCTATAGTATTTAATGTTAATGTTAACTTTATGCTGAGGCCCTGATGGGCACAGAGTTTATGTTTATTCACTTTAGTGGGTAGTGCCTAGGTAACAGGTGAATTTTACAGAGCTCCAGTGTCCCTGTGCAGTCTTGGGTACTATCTGCCTCTTGGTTCTGAGGTGCCACCAAAACCAGACACTTCACTGACATCAGTCAAACCTATAAGGCAGGTGTCTACTGTAGACAAGAGGGGGATGTGATCTCTTGGACAAGTGGAGGGGTTGGCCTTTAGCAGGAGAATGGGCAGCTTATCCGTGGTAATAGAGGGAAGGCAGGGTACACAGACACAGAGGCAGGTGACAGGTATAGGTGGTGGGAGCTTGCAGAAGAGCCCATCTGATGGTTTCTATTTTTCTAGAGAGTGAAAATGGGGAAGGGGGGACAAAGAAAAACATTTGAAACAGTAAGAATTGATAGATATTTCCTTAACATAATAAAATGATCTTCTTTCTTTCAAAAGTTCACCACGCTTAACAGAAAATGATCATGATGGGAAGACAGACAAGAAACTCTATCAATTGCAATGCCACGTGATACACAGGTAAATAATATTAATCTTGATTGATGGTGTGTGAGGCCACAGAAAGGAGTGGTTTATTCTTCTTGCATGAGGCAAGAGATTTTGCAGAGCAGGTGAAATCTGAAGAAGTACTTGAAGGATACAACAGTAATGAAGATGCACTGTTCTATGTATTTAATATTCATAAGGGTCCTGTGAGAGGTAGGTGTCGTTGTTGTCCCCATTGTGCAGGAAAGGGGTTGATGTACAAGCTCACACAGCCAGTGTATGCAGTGCTGACACAAACTTATCTCATCTGACCCCTGAGCCTGCTCTCTCAATTATTTCCCCAATCTCTACTTTTTCTGACAATTATCCCCAAAATTTAAAAACTGCTTTTGTAACTTCCTGTTTGTCTCTCTGTGGTTGTATGTGTGTCAGAGAAGTGTGGGATTTTACTCACAATGGACATTTTGATTGATCTCAGCCAAGCCTGCCCATTAGTCAGTAGGGGAGCTTTTAGAAAGTTCCAAGTGCCAGGCTATACCCTTGGGAATTCTGATTTAATTGCTCTTGATTGGAGAGCAGGCATCAATCTTCTTAGAATCATTCGTCAGGTGATTCTACTGTGCAGCTGCAAGTGAGGACCACTCACTCAGGTGAAAGAAAAGGGTTTTAAGGGACAGATAGAAGAATTTGATACTTGCAGTACCTTAGTGATACTTGCAATACCATTGCTTCGGGTTAAGAATTTTCTCCTCAAAATGTAGATTGCTCTTTAGGTTGGAGCAACATGTTAAGACTCTACAAAGACCTTAGTGGGAGTGATTTTATAATTCTCCTTTCTCCTTGTGATGAGACTGTGGGAGGGGCTGGCATTAGCACATTTAGGCCTGGAAAGGAAAGGGAACATAGGAATCGGAGAAGCCAAGGTTGAACAGAAAACAAGAATTTACTCTATACTTGGTAAAAGAATTTAACATCAATTTGAATACTAATAATTTAATAATTGACTTCAAGACCAAACCAACTGCTAAAATGATCTAATTAATGATAAGCCTAAATAAGCTTCAACATCATATTTTGGCTAGTAAAGTACAAAGATGGCTAAGCTATGAGCTTCTTGCCTTATCCATGGTACATGGCACAGTACTTAAAACCTAATAGCCATTCACTGAATTTCACTGAATGAGTGAAATTCATCAACTGACTTAATCAATGTGAAACGATTTACCGCAAAATAGGAAACAGGTTTGGTGATGGGTTAACAGTCTTTGCCCTGCCATTGTAAGAGCATTCTATAATATGCTTCAATTTATTTACTCATTTCCCCATTCAGTGACATTTAGATCATTTTCAATTTCTTTACTGTTAAAAAAATACTGCAAAGAGCACCTTTGTATGTGTTTGCCTGTGTACTTGTACAGGAGTTTCTCTAGAATATATCTGTAGAAGTAGAATTGCTGGGTAAGGGATACATGCTTTTCAACTCTCTCTCTCTCTCTCTCTCTCTCTCTCTCTCTCTATATATATATATATATATATATATATGTATAGCTAACTAGTTTTCCAACTTTCTACTCCAAATAAAACAAAAAACAAAACCTAAAGGAAAAGATTATCAATTTGACTTAAAATGTAAAAGTTCTATACGCAAAACATACAACAAAGTTAAAACACATTATAGCCCTTTTCACTTCTTTCCAGTGCATGTTAAATGCACCATAAACAAACTTCAATTTCTAAGTTTGCCTTTTGTAATCAGTTCACAAGACAGTTGAGAGAGGCCTGGGCCCTCTTTTCTTGCCTGCATTTGCTCTGTGAAGTTTGAGAGAGTTTTCCCATCTTCAGATGGTTCCTCAGGGCAGCCTGGCTGTTGGTAGGCAGGCTGTGATCCAGGAAAGAATGATCTAAGACTGCAGGTGCTTGTTCTGCCATTTTCCCAAAGCCAATTCCCAGTGCTCCGTGGGCAGGACGGCAGGTGGGGCTGGAGCCCACACAGCCATCTCTGTCTCTCCCTTCTCTGCTCATCCCCCAGGGATGGACTAGTTTTGGCAAAATGGATGGTCAAGCTGTCTTGGGCATAACTAATGCGAAATAATTCTCACCAAGACTGATCACAGATTTGCCAGTTGTTCCTTTTTTGAAACATTGGTTATGAGACTTTTATCCTACATGTAAATTCTGGCTTTAATAACTCAAGAGTTTGAATAGAAGTGCCCAGCCCTTCAAGGGAATCCTTTGAACTTAGTATCTCCAAAAGCCTTAGCTTTATAAATATTCAGATGCACAATATATACATATGTGACCATGTTATTCCATAATTTAGATTCTCTTTTAACTCTGCTTTAAATTTGAGTGTACTACACTAAAAGAACAAAAAGGGACTAGCTACTGTCATAGTTTAAGTTACAACAGAGCTGCTCTTCCAGAAGAAACTGTGTTTTCCCACAAGTGATTGCGTTTTAGATGGAATAGCAACACCATCAGTGATTCCCCATGCAATGTTTTCAAAGGGCATTTCAACAAAAAAAGGCCTTTTTTAATGTTAACGGAACTCCACAGTTTTCTAATTCCATTTAATTCTGTTCTCAATTCCAATTTTCACAGTTAGCAAAACAAATTTTATAACTTACAAAATTATAAAATATACTTTTAAAATACAAGTATTTTAAATATATAATTTCTATAATTTTAAAATGATAAATTTCTAGTTTCTTTTTTGTTGTTTCTCTGAAGGATGAGAAAGGTGGTAAAGTATACCTTTTCAATATAAATGCTTCTTTTCTTCAACAAGATAGGAGTACATTTTCTAGCTTTTCTTGCCACATCAAAAACTCTGCTGCTATTATGTGACTCTTCCACGTGTCTATGATCCAGGTATACATGAGTTTCTCACAGAGCAGGGCCAGTTTTCTTTTCTATGAGCTGATTTTCTTTCCTTAGGTTGAACTTGAAAGTGCTAAACTGAGCACCGCAACTTCAGGCACTGGGTCCCCGCTTCTCTCCTAAAGCCTCCTGTGGATTGTACTCCACTCCGTAGCTACTACTGTTTAGCTTCCATGTCTTCATTTGCTCTATTAATGTCAATATCTATGAATTCTTGCCACATGTCAAGTGCTTTATACGCGCTCTACCATCGTTCTATCATAATCCCCACCAACACTATGCAATAGGTGTGTTACCCCAACTTTACAGATGGAGAGAAACCAAAGCAATCAAGGCTTCAGTAACTTGTTGAACATAGTCTGGTAAGTGGCAGGGAAGAGATTCAAACCCAGGTGAACTGACATCAGACACTGGGCTCCTAACTACTGTCCTTATCTGCTGTCTTCATCTCTATTCATTAGCTGTTGACCTTCACAAGAGGAAGTTTCTTCTGATTTGGTCACTGGAGTATTCCAAGGGCCTAGAACAGTGCCTGGCTTAGAGTTAACACATGTTAACTAATAACCGCATCTATTAACATGTTAATACATTGGCAGGGGTAACTTTTTTTATTTAGAGAGAAAGAGAGACAGGGTCACACTCTGTCACCCAGGCTGGAGTGCAGTGGCATGATCATGGCTCACTGCAACCATGAACCCCTGGGATCAAGCAATCCTTACACCTTAGACTTCCAAAGTGCTGGGATTACTGATGTGAGCCACTGCACCCAGCCACGTAGTTTTTAAAACAAATTTTATTTTAAATATTTGATTAACAAATAAGGGTTGTATAGATTCAAGGTATATAGCATAATATGATATACGTTTAACTTGTGCAATAATTACCACAATCAAATTAATAAACACATTCATCACCATTCATGCTGTGCCTTAGATCCCTAAAACATGTTTATATTATATCTGAAAGTTTGTATCGTTTGACCAACACCTCCTCATATTTCTTAAATGAATAATTCTGTTCCCCTATTTTTCCTTTCAGTTATTCATTTGTTTGTACCTTAAACAAATGTTGACTGAACCCCTAAAACATGGCCTTATTCTACACACTTGAGATATAAAAATGAATAATCAAAGTCTCTTCTGTCAAGAAGATTACACTCTTGAGGCAGGAGATAGACTAATAAATATGGTCAGCAAAGACAAGGAAGAGAAGTGGGCCGTGGAGAAGACTTGCGCTTTTATGCTGAATGAGATGGGAAATCAACAGAGGGTTCTGGACAGAAAACTGATGTGATTGCCTCCATAGTAAGAGGATCACCCTGGCTGCTGTTAGAACAATCAAAGTTACTGTAGTATTCTGAGCCAGAGGCAAGTGGGTTGGATCAAGGTAGTAGCAATGGGGATAATGAGAAATATTTAAATTCTATACCTTTCAAAAATGATATGATTTGCTGATGGAGCAAATGCTGGATATGAAAGAAAGAGAGGAACAGCCCCAATGTTTTGGGCATTAGAAGGGGGCATCCCCAGGGAAGGCTGCAGAGGAACAAGCTTGGGATTGGAGGGGAGTCAAGAGTTTGGGTTTCGAATATGCTTCTCATCATCTGGTATTGCCTTGTATGATAAAAACACTCAATAATGATTCTATTAGCTCCTCAGGGGCCTGAAAATCCAAACACCCTCAGGGTACAGCAAACAGCTAACTTCACCGTATGACTTAGCCAAGTGTAAAACAACAAAACAATGGTACAGCCTGTGAACTGCAGAGTTCATGCATGACCCACAGGCACTAACATAAAAAGAAAAGTTGCGCTGGTCACTGTTGCCCTTGACCTTGAGTTTGTGAGCCCGCCCCCCCCCGCAAAATAATATCAACATCATTGGCTTTTATCCACATTGTCCTTAACACTTACATATTTTCTGCCTTCTACTAAACTGTGTATGCAGCTGAATTTAGTAGAGCAGAAACTGCACACTCTGCCTCATTCATCATTATATTATTTGTACAACAAATATTTAGTAAGCCTTTACTCTATGCCAGTCACAGTCCTACAAAAGACGTGACAGCAAATGTATAGTGTCCAACAACATTTAAGATTACACTCTGACCTCACGTATTCAGAGATGATCCCTCTGAAGCTCAACTATGAAAACAAACAAAACAAAACAAAACACAAAGGCGCCAAAAGGGTCCTGAGTAGGTAAAATAGATGTTTGAAGTCTGATGTCCACACACTAAGTTTCTGTGCTGAATTCATAAGACATTTTGCCAGGATGGCCTCTCTTATTTTACATACCATCTTAATGAACCTAAACATCTGTTTTTCTAGCCCCAAACAGATAAATCAGAAATAAGCTGGCGGACGACGGGGAAGGAGAAAAGCTCTAATAGAGATGGGCACACTGAAAAGAGTTAGCTGTAATAAGAAATGCTGTCTCCCTGCCAGAGGAAAAAAAATTAGACACACAAATAACACAAGAATTTTTTTTAATGTGGCAGTCTGAGAAAACTCTATCGTTTCCTGTAAAGGCAAGAAGCCTGTCAGAGCTCAATAAACCTGAGGGTGTTGCTATGTTAAAGCACAGTACAGTCAGGGCTGGTCATCTAGTAAAGCTTACATTAAACTCATAAACTGCTTAAAAATGAGAGAGGTCAGGCACGGTGGCTCATGCCTATAATCCCAGCACTTTAGGAGGCCAAAGTGAGTGGATCACTTGAGGTCAGGAGTTCGAGACCAGCCTGGCCAACATGGTAAAACCCCATCACTACTAAAAAAAAATACAAAAATTAGCTGGGCATGGTGGCATGCACCTGTAATCCTAGTTACTCCAGAGGCTGAGGTGAGAGAATCACTTGAACCCAGGAGGTGGAGATTGCAGTGAGCCAAGATTGCGCCATTGCACTCCAGCCTGGGTGATAGAGCAAGACTCTGTCTCAAAAAAAAAAAAAAAAAAAAAAAAAAAAGGAGAGAAAGCATGCAATCCACTCAAAAGGCATCCCTGAAAATGCTGAATGTATGCATTTAAAAGAATTTTGTTCTGGGATTTAGAAAGTCCACCCAAATGAAATGCCTCATTCTCCAATAACATTGGATATCTGCTACCATCCCACACTCTTGCCTGTGTGCCACACCCATGGCCAACAGATGCTAAAAACATACCCCTGGACATGCCTTCCTGCTTAGAGAGAGATGGTGGCAGACCCTCTTATATCACCTGCCTCCTTCGTCTCTCCCATCTGCATTCCAGGGTCTAGCCAGCTTTGGATCTGACTGCCATGGCCTGCTCTTTGCTGCCTGTACTCACAGGTTGGACTTGATGGCAGAATTCAGCTTCCCTGGTTCTGACTTGGGTGCTCAGAATTCATCATCCCTTGAGTATGATGTGTGCACATAGGTATTAATCATACTTTCCTCCTGGGCCTGTGTGCCTCAGAGCCCAACCTATCTTTGGCATAAACTTGGCTTATACTTGGATTGGACCTCCAGCAATGCTCATTGACTGTTCTTATCTTCAACATGTACTGAAAACACCTTTCACATATGAAAAAGACAACCATTGTACTGTCAATAGGGATTGTTCTCAAATATGTGTTCTTTTCAGAAGTAGTTAACTCCCAGAATCATAAATCTTTGAGTTAAAATAATCCTTAAAATTTGCCATCAGTCTTAATCCGAATACTGCCTACAAAGCTATCAAACTCTCCTGATTTTCATTGGTTTCCCTTATTTTCAGAAATGCTCATTTATGAAACAGATAACTAGGAAAAGGTACCCATTCCATAACTGTGATATAGAGCAAAGCTAAAGGATTAATGTAAAGATTAAACCAATGACCTTGGCTGTTAAAGTAGAAAAAAGAGCTCACCAGCCACAGCTAGAGAGCCTGATGGTGTGGATTTATATGAACAGCCCACATCACCCATTTTCACTTAGAAAATAAAGTACTACTTCTCAGTTATAGGACTTTTAGGAGTCATTGCCTATCATTTGAGTAGGTAGAGTCACTACTATAAACTGGGCACATTCAAATAGAGTATAAGGTTTTCATAAGTTTTATAAGTTTCTGAAGTTACTATAGTTGTTGTTCAAGGTAAGGGGATTGCACTATTATTATTTGCATTATTTAGTTGTGTACTCATTAGCTTAGGATTAATTACATTTAACCATATGACCTGGGTTTTAAAATACCTCCAGGCCACAAAATCACTTCTACAAATAAGTTACTGTTATCCTCCCTCTAAAGGCAAATACAAAAGCAAGTATCCCAGCATTCACAAATTGCCTTTGCAATGCAAACTTTTTATTATTTTTCATTGCTTTGTGGAAAAACGGAGTCCTGTAGATCAAAAGTGAATAATAGCATTACAATAATCACAATAGAGCTACCAGTGTTGGGCACACATATATACACATGCACACATTCACACATATACCAGACACATACATGCACACACATATGTCAGAGCAGAGTGTTAATGGGCATAGCTCTGGAGCGAGGTCCTTTTCGTTTTCACCTACTCCTCATTTTTTCTTATCAACTGAGGATAAAGTGACCATGATGAACTTTGAGTAATAATATGACTATGATTTCACACGACCCTTCAAAACTCCCTCAACCAATAGCTTTCATCCTTGGTTTCATCCTGCCTCATCCTTGGTTTCAACTTGCATTTTTCAGGCCCCTAAATTATACATAACATCTTCCTACCACAACTCATTAGTACCAGATGGTAAAAATGATCCCTCTTGAGTAATAATAAAGAACAGAACGAGCTCTGAAAGCCAGGAAATGGGTATTCTGGGTGGAGTTTCACCATTGACACTCCAGCAAATGGGGACATCCCTTAGGCCTATGTTTCTATATCTATGATGTCAGGGTGGTCACTGAACAATCATGGGTCCTACACCTCACAGCTGGTCTGCTGTCTCTGGGGGGTTCTAGAACCTTCCATGCCTTCTCCAATTGAGCCCCCTGCTCAAGTGCCTTCAGGTCCTGTGTAGCCTATTAAGCTAGTTCTTTTCAGACTCCCCGGCTTACTACTCATCTTTCTGTCATCATCTAAGTAGAGGACTTCCTTTTTCCCAAAAGTTTTTCTGACCTGGTGGTTGCCAGAGCCCTGCCTGGCTGGGGTTTGTTGAAACCCATGACTGCTGGGCCTTGGCCTCACCACCACCAAGACAGGCTGGAGAGACAACCCCAGAGCCTGGGATGGCACCTCTGCCTCCCACTGTGGTGGCCTCCTGCCACCTGGGCTGTACACAGCCCTTGTTCCTCAAGGTCACAGACTTGGAGGGGCTTTCAATTTAAAACGAATGATTCAGGCCTCTTCACAAATCGGTTATTTCTTTTGTGGTTTTCTATAAATTCCTCCTCCTTTACTGAATGGAAAAGTAGCATTATATTTATGTCTTCTTCCCTTTCAAGGAAAAAATAAGGTAGCATGGGGCTGTACTTTTTCATCTGTTTGAAAGTGTATGACAAATACTTTGGGTCTCTCTAAACTGTCTAAAACAATGTGTCAGAAAAACAGCTATTCGATTAGCCTTTCACATTTCTAAACAAGCAATATCAAATTCCTTTTTAAAAAATTTAATGAAGGAGGTTCCTGAGATGCTGTGTCTAGACCCAGGTGCTGGTTCCACAGATGTGTTAAGTTTGATAAAATTAACAGACCTGAATATTCATGATATCTCTATTTTGTTGTATGTGTGTATATATATATACACACACACACACATATATATACATACATATATATAATCCTTCAATAAAGACATCCTTAAAAGTTAAGTGAACAGACCATGATTTGAAAATGCTGGTTATCAATGATATTTTCCCTTATGCATTATAAATAGTAACTATAACTCTTACTTCCATAAGAGTAGGGATTGTTATGACTTTTTTTGTGAACTGAATTCAGTATAATTTGACTAATATACCTAGTGATTCTTTAGGCTGAATTTCCTAACAGTACTCAGTAAAAGCTAAAAGTTTTGTCCTTTCCTGAGAAGGGAATGCACATAGTATTTAAAAGATAGGATACAATGGAGATTGGAAACCTTGTTCTATAATTTTTTAGCACGTGTTTCACCTACTACTTCTACATATTTATTTCTGGGCTGGGGAGTTCTAGGCAGTTGATAGAACTTTCAGCAGAATAAACATAAAGATTGCTCCCACCCAAGCTGAAACCTCAAAAACCAATTCTCAATAAGCTTGACCATCACTTGAGAATACATCAAATAATGTTTTTCCTTGATCAAAAAGATTTATTTTGTGATTCTTTTAAAGGAGGCCTTTAAATGCAATAGTGTAAGGAAATGTTTGATGCACTCTTGCACTGTTTTTATAGAATAGTAGTAAATCAGTAAGTCAGACAAAGAACATTCTACAATAAAAAAGGATCTATTCCACAGAAACTAGTTCTGCACCCAGAAAACACCATCATGCTACCTTTTTCTCCCAACTCTCTGAGCTGATACCACAAAGGTAATTGTACACGCTAACAAGAGGGTTAGGTCAAATCTGGCAGCGTATTCTAGCCCTTTCAAGGGCCAGATTCTTTCTCTGTAACTATTGTTTATAACTCACAATAACTTATTGTTCATCTTCTTATTCAGTGATGAGGATGAGCCTCTGAAAGGCATCCATGGAGGGAGGTTTGTTCTTTTTTTCTTTCAGTTCTTTTTTCTTTTTTCAGTGAAATAGCTTTGAAAAACTCTAAGCGCAGACATTGTTAAAGGGAACTGTTCCAACTTTCATGATGACTTTTTTCCCCAAAGTACTGTGCTCAGTCGTTAATCAGTTCTTCTCATGGGTCATTTTATGTCACAAGAGAAATGTTAGCATGCCCTGAATGTCCTTCAGGTGCTGGGGGATAAAACAATCCTAGAGAAAAGTGCTGGAAGGGATCACGCTTTGTAAACTCGAATCAGTGAAAATATTTTGGGAGAGAGATCCTCACATGTCACACACAGTTAATTCACCTAAATTTTCCAGGTTCCTTCTGAACGTGTGGATGCTTTCTCTCATCTGGTATCACCACAGGACACATTATCCATAAATTAACTAAAGGTGCATATGTTTATTCCACAACACATGTGGTAATAACTACATTTTATTGCACATATTCATGAACATGAATTAAATTAACTTTGGGGAAAACATCTTTCTTGTAGCCAATCCTTTTCTTTAAAAGGCAAAGGATGGGCCGGGCGCGGTGGCTCACGCCTGTAATCCCAGCACTTTGGGAGGCCGAGACGGGCGGATCACGAGGTCAGGAGATCGAGACCATCCTGGCTAACACGGTGAAACCCCGTCTCTACTAAAAATACAAAAATTAGCCGGGCATGGTGGCGCGCGCCTGTAGTCCCAGCTACACGGGAGGCTGAGGCAGGAGAATGGCGTGAACCCGGGAGGCGGAGCTTGCAGTGAGTCGAGATCGCGCCACTGCACTCCAGCCTGGGCGACAGAGTGAAACTCCGTCTCAAAAAAAAAAAAAAAAAAAAAAAAAAAAAAAGGCAAAGGATGTTATAAAAGGTGAAATTTGAATACAATGATTGAATTGCATATATTACTTGAAGTTGACTTCAGGTAGTTAGTTTTGATAAAAACCAATCTGTGCCTCCATAATTCACCATTTTTATATTTATGTTTCGGAATAGAATTCATAAATAATATGGATTTTATTTATTTTTTGGATCATTCAACTATATCCCAAAACAGGAGTTCAGAGGCCTAATTCTAGCTCTATCTCACACTAGCTAAATGATTTTCAGTAGGTTTGTAACAAATCTGAGCTATGATTTTTTTCATCTAAAAAGACTAAATCACCTTCCAAACATCAGAATTGTAGATTCTAATAATCACTTCCCCCAAGATGTTTACATACTAATTCCTGGAACCTGAGAATGGTACCTTATATGGCAAGGGGAACTCTGCAGATGTGGTCAAGTTAAAAATCTTAAAATTGGTGACTCTCCTGAATTACCCTGGTGGGCCTGACATAATCATAGGAGTCCTCATGAGAGGGACATAAGAGTCAGAGTCAGAGAGAAGGCCATGCGACAATGAAGCAAACATTTGAGTTATGTGGCTACAAGCTAAGGTATGCCAGCAGCCTCTAGAAGCTAAAAGAGGCAAGGGATGAATTCCCCTCGTATCACCAGAAGGAACCAGCCCTGCCAACACCTTGACTTTAGCCTAGTGAAACTGATTCTGGGCTTCTGGACTCCAGAACTGTGGGAGAATAAACCTGTATTGTTTTAAGCCATCAAGTTTTTGGTAATTTGTTAAAGCAGCCATAGGAGGCTAATTCATCATGTTAAGGAGAAGCACTTCCCAAAGGTGGTATGAGAAGCTCTGTGGACACTCTTCCCAGCAAAACAACTATAAATAATGAAAATTGTAAAAACAACAACCATTTAAAGTGTCTGGAAGGTATCCTAATAACATACTGAAGATGTAGAAATGTTTATTAAAGAAAATTAACTAAATCTTATTAGGAAAAGCGACTCTCTGGGATTCGAGCCATAACTTGCTCTCCACCTCCAAGTTCAGTGTGATGGAGGTTCTACTGGGTATGGCCAAGAACATGAGTTCATTTTTCTTCTAAACGATAGTAGAGTTACGGTTTCTCACAGAGTGGCCCAGGTCACCAATATTTCTTACTTTCTCCTATCTCCTTACTGCAGAAACTCTACTTTAGATAAGTGCAAACAAGAGGTCTGGGGCTTCTGTTCTTCACCAAGCCCCTAACTCGTAAAGTGGAAGTTTTACCTCAGGCTTGATAAGTCAAGACTACTGAGTCCTAATCAGCCCGAATCCAAATTGCTTTTAGGATGAAAAGTTTCATACCAAGAGAAACAATCCAAGAGGACCAGTGGCTACCACCCTCACTAAGTGCCCTATTCATAGACTCTGGTGTTAATCCAAGGGAGTTCCAAATCAATAATGCAGAGGTCATGCCTCTGGGGATTAGGCAGACTGTAAAAACAAAGAGCTCTGTATCTCTCTCTAAGGGGATTGATTTTATTTGGAACGGAGTGTGAGGAATTTCAAGCCTAAGTGCACTATTGAAAATAATGGAAATTTTGATAGTGAGCAATTAAGTTTATTGCTATCATGGCTATTAATTCCATGATAGCAGTAAACAAAATGGCAGACCAGGTAGAAGCTTAACAGAGAGAAAGAAAAATATATATAGAGAGAGAGACAGTTGAAAAGAGTCCTCATGGAGTTGGAGTAAGCCACAAAACTCACCCCAAAGAGATCTGACTTTAATTAGATCAGACTGTGAACTAATTTGTGACCCAGGACATAGTCATAAACAATAAAGTAATTAGCAAGCAATTCGTGGATGCTAACCAATGGAAGCTGACCAACTAGATCCTTAATAGGGATATCAGGGAAATAAGCAGTAAAAAAGATCCTGGCTAAAACCATTGCCACTTTTGGGGGGAGGAGAAAATGAGGAGTGGTTAGGGTGCCTGCACATGCTCAAGATTATGGAGCATCCAACGCTATATGCTCTGGAGGAAAGAAACTTAACCCAACCAGCTAATCAAACAAATAAAAAAACAAATAATCAAACAATTACACAACAATAATAATAAGCCCTGGGAGAGGATCAGTATCTGGAGTTGCTACAATAAATTATCTAAAATGTTCCATTTTTGAGGATCATGGTGGACAGGAGGCAGGACTAGATTGCAGCTCTGACTCGGACAGACAGAGCAGCATGTGGAGGTTCGCATTGTGAATTTTAGCTCCAGGTCAACTGCAAGAACAAATCAGCAGTCCCGAGAAGACGCACAGACCCTCTAAAGGAAGTGGAATGCTCCTGCAGGACCCAGGAGACACCCCAAATACTGAGTGTCCCAAATGCAAAAGTGGGAAAGAGAGCCTCCTCTCCCAAACACACACCCCCGCTGGAGAAACTGAAGGTCTGTTTGCAGGAGACGTTTCCAACCTTACCTGGAGCTGAGTCAATTTAGAGAGCTGAGTGAAATACAGGGGTAGAGGAAGCAGCAGAAAGGCCCCTTGAGCTTGCTGGGTCCTCAAGCAGCCCATTCCTGCCTGGCACCACAGGGATCCATTGGGAGGGCGACCGGAGGAGCAGGAGGAGGAGGCAGAAAACTTCACAGGGAGAAGGAAATCTCCAGCTGAACTTTGTAACAATTTGAATGGGGCGAGAAGCCTCGTGGCTAGAACTCAGGGGAGGGCACAAATCCATTGAGTAGACATCACAGGCAGAGGAAGAAACAAGCTCTTATCTTTCGCAGCTGGGAGGCGGGTAGCCTGTCTCGCCCACTGGCCAGAAACAGACTCAGGGCTCTTAGTCGGGGCAGAGTGGGAGTGAGACCAGCCCTTCAGTTTGAGTGGGAGCTGGGTGAGGCCTGTGACTGCCGGCTTTCTCCCACTTCCCTCACAACCTGCATGACTTAACAGAGGCAGCCATAATCCGCCTAGGAACATAACTCCATTGGCCTGGGGACCTCACCCCCATCCCCCACAGCAAGACCCATCCAAGGAGACTCTGAGCTCAGACATGCCTAGCCCCACCCCTACCTGATGGTCTTTCCCTACCCACCCTGGTAGCAGAAGACCAAGGGCATATAATCTTGGGAGTTCTAGGGCCCTGCCCACTGCTGGTTCTTCTGCACGCTACCACAGCTGATGCTCTCTGGAAAGCGCCACCTCTTGGCAGGAGGCCAACCAGCACAAAAATAGAGCATTAAACCACCAAAGCTAAGAACCCTCACGGAGTCCATTGCACCCACCCCTTGCCACCTCCACCAGAACAAGCACTGGTATCCACAGCTGAGAGACCCATAGACAGTTCACATCACAGGACTCTGTGCAGACAACCCCCAGTATCAGCCCAGAGCCAGGTAGACTTGAGGGGTAGCTAGACCCAGAAGAGAGACAACAATCACTGCAGTTCGGCTCACAGGAAGCCAAATCCATAAGAACAGGGGAAGAGTACTACATCAAGGGAACACCCCGTGGGACAAAAGAATCTGAACAACAGCCTTCAGCCCTAGACCTTCCCTCTGACAGAGCCTACCCAAATGAGAAAGAACCAGAAAACCAACCATGGTAATATGACAAAACAAGGCCCTTTGACACCCCCCAAAAATCACACTAGTTCATCAGCAATGCATCCAAACCAAAAATAAATCCCTGATTTACCTGAAAAAGAATTCAAGAGGTTAGTTATTAAGCTAATCAGGGAGGGACCAGAGAAAGGTGAAGCCCAATCTAAGGAAACCCCAAAAAAGATACAAAAAGTGAAGGGTGAAATATTCAAGGAAATAGAGAGCTTAAAGAAAAAACAATAAAAAATTCAGGAAACATTGGACACACTTATAGAAATGTAAAATGCTCTGCAAAGCCTCAGCAATAGAATTGAACAAGTAAAAGAAAGAAATTCAGAGCTCGAAGACAAGGTCTTCAAATTAACCCAATCAAACAAAGACAAAGAAAAAAGAATAAGAAAATATGAACAAAGCCTCCAAGAAGTCTGGGATTATGGTAAATGACCAAACCTAAGAATAATTGGTATTCCTGAGGAAGAAGAGAATTCCAAAAGCTTGGAAAACATATTTGGGGGAATAATCAAGGAAAACTTCCCTGGCCTTGCTAGTGTATCCAAATACAAGAAGCACAAAGAACACCTGGGAAAATTCATTGCAAAAAGCTCTCTGCCTGGACACACTGTCATCAGGTTATCCAGAGTTAAGACGAAGGAATCAATCTTAAGAGCTGTGAAACAGAAGCACCAGGTAACCTATAAAGGAAAATTGATCAGATTAACAGCAGATTTCTCAGCAGAAACCCTACAAGCTAGAAGGGATTGAGGCCATATCTTCAGCCTACTCAAACAAAGCAATTAACAGTCAAGGATTTTGTATCCAGTGAAACTAAGCATCAAATATGAAGGAAAGATACAGTCTTTTTTGGACAAACAAATGCTGAGAGAATTCACCACTACCAAGCTACCACTACAAGGACTGCTAAAAGGAGCTCTAAATCTTCAAATGAATCCTGGAAACACATCAAAACAGAATCTCTTTAAAGCATAAGTCACACAGGACCCATAAAACAAAAATACAAGTTAAAAAGCAAAAACAAAAAATAAAAAACCTAAAGTACAAGGGCAACAAATAGCAAAATGAATGCAACGGTACCTCATATTTCAATACTAACATTGAATGTAAATGGCCTAAATATTCCACTTAAGAGATACAGAACTACAGAATGGATAAGAACTCACCAACCAACTATCTGTTGCCTTCAGGAGACTTGCCTAACACATAAGGACTCACATAAACTTAAAGTAAAAGGGTGGAAAAAGGCATTTCACGCAAATAGACACCAAAAGTGAGCAGGAGTAGCAATTCTTATATCAGAAAAAAAAAAACAAACTTTAAAGCAACAGCAGTTAAAAGAGACAAAGAGGGACATCATGTAATGGTAAAAGGCCTTGTCCAACAGGAAAATATCACGATCCTAAACATATATCCACCTAAGACTGGAGTTCCCAAATTATAAAACAATTAATAATAGACCTAAGAAATGATATAGACAGCAACACAATAATAATGGGGGCCTTCAATACTCCACTGACAGCACTAGATAGATCATCAAGACAGAAAGTCAACAAAGAAACAATGGATTTAAACTGTATCTTGGAACAGATGGACTTAACAGATATATATAGAACATTTCATCCAACAACCGCAGAACACACATTCTATTCAACAGCACATAGAAATTTCTCCAAGACAGACCATATGATAGGCCATAAAAGGAGCCTCAATACATTTAAGAAAATTGAAATTATATCAAGCACTCTGTCAGACCACAGTGGAATACAACTGGAAATCAACTCTAAAAGGAACCTTCAAAACCAAGCAAACACAAGGAAATTAAATAACCTGCTCCTGAATGAGCATTGGGTCAAAAATGAAATCAAGATGTAAATCTAAAAATTATTTGAGCTAAACAACAATAATGACACAACCTATCAAAATCCTGGGATACAGCAAAGGCAGTGATAAGAGGAAAGTTCATAGCCCTAAACACCTACATCAAAAAGACTGAAAGAGCACAAACTGACATTCTAAGGTCACACCTCAAGGAACTAGAGAAACAAGAACAAACCAAACCCAAACCCAGCAGAAGAAAGGAAATAACCAAGACCAGAGCAGAACTAAATGAAACTGAAACAAAAAAATTACAAAAGGTAAATTAAACAAAAAGGTTTGAAATCTATCTTTGAAAAGATAAATAAAATTGATAGACCATTAGCAAGATTAACCAAGAAAAGAAGAGAGAAAAATCCAAATAAGCTCAATTAGAAATGAAATGGGGGATATTACAACTGACGCCACAGAAATACGAAAGATCATTCAAGGCTGCTATGAACACCTTCATGCACATAAACTAGAACACCCAGAAGAGAAGGATAAATTCTTGGAAAAATACAACCCTTCTAGCTTAAATTAGGAAGAATTAGATACACTGAACAGACCAATAATAAGAAGTGAGATTGAAATGGTAATTACAAAATTACCAACAAAAAAAGTCCAGGACTAGATGGATTCGCAGCAGAATTCTACCAGACAGACCTTCAAAGAAGAATTGGTACCAATCCTATTGACACTATTCCACAAGGTAGAGAAAGAAAGAACCCTCCCTAATTCATTCTATGAAGCCAGCATCACCCTAATACCAAAACCAGGAAAGGACATAACCAAAAAAGAAAACTACAGACCGATATCCTTGATGAACATAGATGCTAAAATCCAAAATACTAGCTAACCAAATCCAACAACATATCAAAAAGATAATCCAACATTATCAAGTGGGCTTCATACTAGGGATGCAGGGATGGTTTAACAGACGCAAGTCAGTAAATGTGATACACCCCATAAACAAAATTTAAAACAAAAATCCCACGATTATCTCAATAAATGCAGAAAAAGCATTCGACAAAACTCTCAGCAAAATTGGCATACAAGGGACATAGCTCAATGTGATAAAAGCCATCTATAACAAACCCACAGCCAACATAATACTGAATGAGGAAATGTTGAAAGCATTCCCTCTGAGTACTGGCACAAAACAAGGATGCCCACTCTCACCACTCCTCTTCAACATAGTACTAGAAGTCCTATCCTGAGCAATCAGACAAGAGAAAGAGAAAAAAAGAGCATCCAAATCAGCAAAGAGGAAGTTAAGCTGTCACTGTTTGCTGACGATATGATCGTTTACCTTGAAAACCCTAAAGACTCCTCCAGAAAACTCCTAGAACTTATAAAAAAAATTCAGCAGGCTGGGCGCAGTGGCTCATGCCTGTAATCTCAACACTTTGGGAGGCCGAGGCCGTGGCTCACCTCAGGTCAGGAGTTCGAGACCAGCCTGATCAACATGGAGAAACCCCCATCTCTACTAAAAATACAAAATTAGCCGGGCATCGTGGCACATGCCTGTAATCCCAGCTACTCTGGAGGCTGAGGGGGGAGAATCGCTTAAACCCAGGAGGTGGAGGTTGTGGTGAGCCGAAATCACACCATTGCACTCCAGTCTGGGCAACAAGAGTGAAACTCTGTCTCAAAAAAAAAAAGAAAAAAAAAAAAAAGAATTCAGTAAATCAGCAAATTTTCCAGTTACAAGATTAATGTACAAATATCAGTAGCTCTTTTATACACCAACAGTGACCAAGTGGAGAATCAAACTAAGAATTCAACCCCTTTTACAAAAGCTGCAATAAAATAAAATACTTAGGAATATACCTAACCAAGGAATTGAAAGACCTCTACAAGAAAAACTGTAAAACACTGCTGAAAGAAATCATAGATGCACACAAACAAATGGAAACACTCCCATGCTCATGGATGGATAGAATCAATATTTTGAAAATGACCATACTGCCAAAAGCAATCTACAAATTCAAGGCAATTCCCATCAAAATACCACAATCATTCTTCACAGAATTAGAAGAAACAATTCTAAAATTCATATGGAACCAAAAAAGAGCCCACGTAGCCAAAGGAAGACTAAGCAAAAAGAACAAATCTGGAAGCATCACACTACCTGATTTCAAACTATACTATAAGGCCATAGCTACCAAAACAGCATGGTACTGGTATAAAAACAGGCACATAGACCAATGGAACAGAATAGAAAACTGAAATAAACCCACATACTTACAGGCAACTGATCTTCAGCAAAGCAAGCAAAAACATAAATTGGAGAAAGGACACCCTTTTCAACAAATGGTGCTGGGATAATTGGCTAGCCACATGTAGGAGAATGAAACTGGATCCTCATCTCTCACCTTATACAAAAATCAACTCAAGATGGATCAAAGACTTAAATCTAAGACCTGAAACTGTAAAAATTCTAAAAGATAACTTTGGACAACCCCTTCTAGACATTGGCTTAGGCAAAGATTTTATGACCAAGAACCCAAAAGCAAACACAATGAAAACAAAGATAAATAGTAGGGACCTAATTAAACTAAAGAGCTTTTGCACAGCAAAAGGAACAGTCAGCAGAGTAAACAGATGACCCACAGAGTGGGAGAAAATCTGCACAATGTATACATCTGACAAAGGACTAATATCAAGAATCTACAATGAACTCAAACAAATCAGTAAGATTAAAAAAAACATCCCATCAAAAAATGGGCTAAGGTCATGAATAGACAATTCTCAAAAGAAGATATACAAATGACCAACAAACATGAAAAAATGCTCAACATCAGTAATGAACAGGGAAATGCAAATCAAAATCACAAGGCAATACTGCCTTACTCCTGCAAGAATGGCCATAATAAAAAAATCAGAAAATAGTAGATGATGGCATGGATGCAGTGATCAGGGAACACTTCTACACTGCTGATGGGAATGTAAACTAGTACAACCACTGTGGAAAACAGTGTGGAGATTCCTTAAGGAACTAAAAGGAGAAATACCATTTGATCTAGCAATCTCACTACTGGGTATCTGCCCAGAGAAAAAGAAGACATTATACGAAAAAGACACTTGCACATGCATGTTAATAGCAGCACAATTCACAATTGCAAAATCGTGGAACCAACTCAAATGCCCATCAATCAATCAGTGGATAAAGAAACTGTGGTATATATATATATGATGGAATACTACTAAGCCATAAAAAGGAAGGAATTAACAGCATTTGCAGCAATCTTCACTTAGAATAATTGGAGATTATTATTCTGGTGAAGTAACTCAGGAATAGAAAACCAAAAGTCATATGTTCTCACTGATATGTGGGAGCTAAGCTATGAGGACACAAAGGCATAAGAATGATACAATGGACTTTGGGGACTTGGGGGGAAGAATGGGAGGGGGGTGAGGGATAAAAGACTGCAGATATGGTACAGTGTATACTGCTTAGGTGATGGGTGCACCAAAATCTCACAAATCACCACTAAAAAACTTGCTCATGTAACCAAATACTACCTGTACCTCAATAACTAATGTAAATAAATAAATTAATTAAAATAAAATGTTCCATTTACAATATTAGAATTATGAGACATTTAAAGAAACAGGAAAAGGTCACCCATACATGGTGGGGAGGTGGGGAAAGAAAGCAAGCAACAGAAAATGCCTTTGAGAGGACCCAGATGTCGGAATTAGTAGGCAATGACTTTAGTCATTATAAATATGTTCAAAGAAATAAAGTAAACCAAGTTTACAGAATTAAAGGAAAGCCTGATGACAGTGTCTTATCAAATAGAGAATACCCATTAAGAAATAACATTATTTTTAAAAGAACCAAAAGGAAATTCTGGCATTAAAAATATGGTAACTAAAATGAAAAATTCACTACAGAACTTTAACGATAGATTTAATCTGGCAGAAGAATCAGTAAACCTGAAGATAGATTGATAGACATTATGCAACATAGAACAAAGAGAAAAAAAATGAAGAAAATGTATCCTCAGAGAACTGTGGGACACCATTAAGCACACCAACTTCATTAAGCACACCAACTTCATTAAGAAGTCATATTATATTCAATATATAAAGAACTCTTTACATTCAATATATAAAGAACTCTTCCAATTCAACAATAAAAAGACAATGCAATTTAAAGATGGGTAAAGGATTTGAATATACCCTTTTTTTTCCAAAAAAGATATACAAATAGCCAACAAGCACATGAAAATATCATTAATCATTAGGAGAATGGAAATCAAAACCATATTAAGAAGCCATGTTACACAAAACCAAAGACATCACAAGAAAACCACAGACTAATATTCCATATTCACATATATGCAAAAATGCTCAACAAAATGCTAGCAAATTGAGCATAGCAACACATACACCATGACTAAGTGAGATTTATCCCAGGAATGCAGGATTGGTTTCACATTAAAAAATCAGTTAATTTAATATACCACATTAATAAAACAAAGAAAAAACACATGATCACCTCAATAAAAAAACAGAAAAAAAGCTTGATAAAACCAAATACCCTTTTCTGGCAAAAAGACTTAACAATCTATGAATAGACAGGAACTTCCTCAATCTGATAAAGAACATCTACAAAAAAACTCACAGCTAACATACTTAACGGTGAAAGACAGAATGTTTTCCCTCTAAGATCAAGAACAAGACAAGGATGTCCACTCTCATCACATCTATTCAATATCAGACCAGAAGTTCTAGTCAGGGAAAATTAGGCAAGAAAATAAAATAAATAACATCCATATTGAAAAGAAAGAAGTAGTAGTTTATCTATTTGCAAATAACATGATCCTGTATGTAGAAAATACTAAACAACTTACTAAAAGCCTATTAGAATAAATGAGCTCAGCAAAATGATAGGATAAAAGATTAATATACAAAAAATAATTGTATTTATATCAATTTCAATGAGCAATCCAAAATCAAAATTAAGAAAATAATTCCATTTACAATGGCACCAAAACGAATAAAGTACTTAGGACTAAATTTAAAAAAAGAAATGTAAAACTTGTGCTCTGGAAATTATAAAATATTAAGAAAATTAAAGAAGACCTAAATAAATGGAACACATTGCATGTTGATAGATAAGAAGACATAACATTGTTAAGATGGCAGTACTCCCTACATTGATCTACAAAGTCAATGGAAAATTCCAACTGCCTTTTTCTTTGCAGAAACTGAAGAGTTTATCTTAAAATTCATGTAGAAAAGCAAGAGAGCCAAAATAACCAAAACAATCTGGAGAAACAAAGAACAAAGTTGGAGGACTCCAATTCTGGATTTCAAAACTTGCTACAAAGAGCAATGAAATGTGGTCCTCTGGCAGTGGGTTATACATATAGATCAGTGGAACATAACTGAGACTCCAAAAATAATTCCTATATTCATAGTCAATTGATTTTTGACAAGGGTGCTAAGGCAATTCAAGGGAAAAAGAGTGGTGTTTTCAACAAATTATACCCAGATAACTAAATATCTACATGCAAATGAATGAAGTTGGACCCTTCCTCAAATTACACACAAAAATTACCTCAAAATGGATCATAGACCTATATGTAAGAGTTAGAACTATGAAACTTTGAGAAGAAAATGTAGAAATAAATTGTTGTGGCTTTGAGTTGGGCTAAGCCTTTTTAGATATGACACTAAATGTACAAGTGACAAAATAAAAAAATAGATAAATTTGACTTCATCAAAATTGAAAACTTTTTTGCTACAAGGAATACCATCAAGAAAGTGAAGAGACAACTCACAGAATTAAAGAAAATATTTCCAAAGCTGATAAAAATCACGTGTCCAGAATACATAAAGAACCCTTCCAACTCAACAATAAAAAGACAAACAATGCAATTTAAAAATGGGTAAAGAAGTTGAATAGACATTTTTTCAAAAAAGATATACGAATAACCAACAAGCACACGAAAAGATCATTAATCATTAGGGGAATGGAAATCAAAACCACAATAAGATCCTGTTCTCAAACACTAGCCTGGGTATAATTTTAAAAGACAGAAAATAGCAAGTCTTGTTTAGTATGTGAACAAATGGGAAGCTTTGTACATTGTTTGTGGGAATGTAAAATGGTGTCGCTGCTTTGGGAAACAGTTTGACATTCTGAAAGTGTTAAACATATAGTTACCTTATGACTCGGCAATTCCACACCTAGATCTATACACAATAAATATAAAAACACATATCCACACAAAAGCTATATGTGAACATGCATAGTAGCATTTGTCACAATAGCCAAAAAATGGAAACAACCCAATGTCCATAAATTGATGAATGAATAAACAAAATGTGGCATATCCATCCAATGGGATATTATTCAGCAATAAAGAAATGAACTACTGATACATACTACCACATGGATGAACCTTGAAAACATGCTAAGTGAAAGAAGACAGACATAAAAGACCACAATTATATGATTCCATTTATATGAAAAGTCCAAATTAGGCAAATCTACAGAGACAGAAAAGAGATTAGTAATTGCCTCAAGCTAGGTGACTTGGGGGGAGAGGAGTGGGAAGTGACTGCTAACGAGTGTGAAGTTTCTTTTAGAGGTGATAGAAAATAGAATAGGTAATTAAGATTGGGTGCAGTGGCTCTCACACCCATAATCCCAGCACTTTGGGAGGCCAAGGCGGGCAGATTGCTTGAGTCCAGGAGTTCGAGACCAGCCTGGGCAATGTGGCAAAACCCTGTCTCTACAAAAAATACAAAAATTAGCCGGGCATGGCATGTCTATAGGCCTAACCTACTCAAGAGACTGAGGTTGGAGGATCACTTGAGCCCAGGAGGTGGAGGTTGCAGTGAGCTGAGATTGCACCACTGCACTCCAGCCTGAGTAACAGAGTGAGACTGTCTCAAAAAAAAAAAAAAATCTAAAATTATATTGTGGTGATCACATAACTATGTGTATATATTAAGAATCATTAATTACATTAAATAATGTTATTTAAAAATTTATTAGTTATCCATGACATTACAATTGTAATAAAATATCAGCTTATTGAAGAAAAGAGGTTTTTTGTTTTTTTTTTGAGACGGAGTCTCGCTCTGTCGCCCAGGCCCTGGAGTATAGTGGCGCAAACTCAGCTCACTACAAGCTCCACCTCCCGGGTTCACGCCATTCTCCTGCCTAAGCCTCCCGAGTAGCTGGGACTACAGGTGCCCACCACCATGCCTGGCTAACTTTTTTTTTGTATTTTTTAGCAGAGACGGGGTTTCACTGTGTTAGCCAGGATGGTCTCGATCTCCTGACCTCGTGATCCACCTGCCTCGGCCTCCCAAAGTGTTGGGATTACAGGCGTAAGCCACCGTGCCCAGCCAGAAAAGTGTTTTTAATTTGAAGTATATTTAGTTTTCTTTTCTGTTCATTTACTCATACTACAAACATTTACAGGACATCAAAAAGTGCTTGGTACTAGCAATACTCAGATGAAAAATAATTTCTGCAACTAATACTGTGTTTGGCATGTAGTATGTACTCAACCAGTATGTTTTGGATGGATGGATGGATGACTATAGAATAGATCTGATAAGTGCAAGAAGGTAATAGTATTCTGTTTTTATTAATGTTCATAAGGCTGTACTAATGTAGCAAAATTTGAATTTTACCAAGACTAGGTAATATTGATGTCTTGATTTCCTTTCCTTTATAAGGTGCATGTATAAACCAGCAGTTTGGCTGAAAAAAATGAACAGCAATAAGAAAATTATTGGCTGATACAGTAAGCTACATGCCATGGAAAGGTTCTGAGGTTTATTGTCAGGAAAAAAATAATGGGTTCAAATATTGTCTGTGGCACTTACTATCAATGTGACCTGAGGTAAGTATTTAAGCCTTTGTTCAGTTAAAGGGGAATAACATAACATCTTTCCTACTTGGTAAGATTATTAATAATGTGTATTTAGAAACCAGCATAATGGTCAATAAATGGAAGTTATGATTATTAAGCTTAACTTCAAATAGATATACTTTTTATAAAAGTAATATAATAACTGCTTGTACTATTATTTATCCACAAGGGTAAACATTTAAAGTGTATATTTCATATGTCACATCAAACTTTGTAGTAAATAATAAAAGAAACATTATGAAACTCTGCAGTTCCACAGAATATAATATAAGAGATGCACAATTTGGAAATTAAACAACTGCTGAAAACCTGGTCTTATCCATTTAGGCTTCTCTGCTTTCCCATCCTAATTTTTTTTCACTCTTGAATAATAAATATATCATTATTATTTGTACTATTACTTACAACCATAGTAGGACTTTTCACTTTTTAAAAAGTAGCTTGAAATTATTTATACTAAACCAAATTTGCGAATTTCAGTCAGAAATTCTAAAACTCAATTCAGCAACCCAAGAGTTTTCCTTACTGTACAGTCTCCTCATTAACCCAACCATACTCCATCCAAATCTTTAAAAAACATTTCCCCAAAGTTAGTGGAATGAATTTTATGATTTAGATGCCATTTACAAAATAATATATGTTAAAGGGTCCAGGTAAGGAACTATATTTTTGTTTTGGGCCTTGAGAGAAGGAAGCTTATGAACTGAATGTTTGTGATCCTTCCCCCAAAATTCATCTGTTGAAGCTCTAATCACCACTGTGAGGGTATCTGAAGGTGGAACCTTCGGAGGGTAATTAGGTTTAAATAAGGTCATGAGGGTTGAGCCCCCATAATGTGATTAAATATATCTTTATAAGGGGGTGAGAAAACTGGGGCTCTCTCTCTGTTGTGTGAGGATCTCATGAGAAGACAGACAGCCATCTATGAACCAGAAGGAGGGCCCTCACTAAGAACCCAACCATGCTGCACTCCGATCTTGGACTTCCCAGCTTCCAGAACTGTAAGAAAGAAATGTTTGTCGTTTAATCCTTCTGGCCTGTGATGTTCTATTAAAGTAATCCAAATGGACTACAACACTCCATCTGTCTTTGGTCATCTCTGCTTTAGTACTGAAGGTGCCAAAAATTAACATTAGCTTTATTCTCCAAATATAACTTTCTTCCTTTCAAAAAATATTTAAACTTGTTCAATCTTTTAAAATCTTTTAATCTCTTTTAATCTTCTTTCTCCTCATCTCAGAAAAGAAAAGCATGGAGAGCCTGTTTCTTAAGGACATTATTTGAGTCAGAGCTACCTTAGCTGATGCTCAGTGGATTAACTTCACTCTGGTGCCACAGCCCCAACCTGAGCTCAGTACAGCCAATTGGAATTTTATATATGTCCCACAAGTCAGATTTCTCAGGACTGTATTTTCAAATCTTCTATTTAGTCATGCCACGTCTATGATATATTTTCGATATTAGAGGTCAGTATGCATTCAACAATTCAGTTAATGCAACGTTCCAAGCACTGTTCTAGGCTCTGAAAATATAGCACAAGATCATAGCCTTGAAGAAGGATTAATAGTCCTTTAAGAATAAGCTTCTCTAAGATCTTATGATCCTTGAGTGAGACAGAAAAAAACATATAACATGGTAATTTTAGATTGTAATAAGAGTCATACAGCAAGTCATGACAGAAATATAAATAAAACTTACATTATCATTTATGATTATAGTGGGATGAGCAGGGGAAGCCTTTCTAAACAGATGACAGTTGAGTTGAATCCTGCATGACAAGAAGGAGCAAGACATGCAAAGAACTTTAAGAAAGGTATTCAGGGGAAGCATCCAGCAAGGCCAGAGACCCCGACACCTGGTGGGTTTGAAAAATAGAGAGGAGGCCAGTGTGCTGAGTAAGCAAAGAAAGAATGACATGAGATGAAAAAGGTTAACAAGGGCCGGATGATAGAGGGCTTTATAGACAATAGAATATAGGATAAACAAGGAAGAGACTTACATATTCCTTTTTAATAGCAAGGAAAATATCCCAGGAAGTTCTGTAGCAGATTTTCCTTTCAACTCATTAGCCAGAATTGTGCCACATGTGCATTCCAATTTTTAAACCGATTGCTGACAACAGGAATTGAGCTGCCATGATGGGGCCATGACTAATCGAGTGTCACTTGGATGACCAGTCACCCTGAAGACCATGGCCCCCTGGGAACTGCATAAAATCAAGGTTCTGATGGCAAAGAAGAAGGGAGGAGTGGCTGTTGGACAGGATCCTGATGGAAAGTGCCAGAGAAGTCAATGTTTGTTATCAAGTGGAGGTACCAGGTAGTTAGTTGATTATGAGTCCAAAATTCAGGGTGTCGGATGAATGGCAAATGGCACATAGCTGACATTTATGGTCAGGAACTGGACAAGATCACCTGGAGAGACTGCACATAGATTTAGAAGTCAGTCCAGTATTGAGATCAGATAAAGTAAAAGAAATAAAGAAAGGATTGGCCAGAGCTAGATATGGGAAAGCGTTCATCATAAAAGCCAAGAGAGAAAAGTTTTCCATGAAGGAATTGGACAGCTGGATCAGTTGTGGCTGTGAAGAAGGTGAGTATAATGAAAACAGGAGAAGTGCACATAGGATCTAGCAATATTAAGATTGTGGTGGCCTTGACAGAGCAGATTCAGTAAATGGTTAAGTAGAAGCTTGAAGCCAGGTGTGATGGCTCATGCCTGTAATCCCAGGACTTTGGGAGGTCAAGGCAGGAGGATCACTTGAGCCCAGGAGTTCAAGAGCAGAATGGGCAACATAGTGATATCCCTTTCTCTACAAAAAAAAAAAAAAAAAAAAAATTAGCCAAGCATGGTGGCATGTGCCTGTGGTCTCAGCTACTCAAGAGGGTGAGGTGGGAAGATTGGTTAAGCCTAGGAGGTTGAGGCTGCAGGGTGCTGCCACTGCATTCCAGCCTGGGCAGCATAATAAGACCTGTCTCAACAACAAACAAACATACAAACAAACGAACAACAACAAAAAAATCCACACACACAGAAACAACAACCACCAAAACAAACAAACAAACAAAAACAGAATCTTGATAGAGTAACCAAAAAAGAGAATGATGAAAACCAAGGAAGTATTTTGAGGTTTTTTTTGTTTTTGTAATTTGGGAGTTCACAGAACTTGCGTATATGTTGCCTGGAATGACACCATGTGGAGAAAGCCATAGATGCTGCAGAATAGAAGGAGTTTAACTATAAGAACAAGAATCCTTGGAAAGGTGAGGGTGGGTAGGATCAGAGTAGGACCGGAAGGATTCACCTCTGATAGGAGCAGACACATTTCTCCTGTTTCAAAAACAGGGAAGGCAGAGACAATATGGGCACAGAGACTGAGGTACATAGATTTGACGAGATGAAGGCACTCTTGTCCAATATTAGATTTCTTTTTCAATGAAGTATGAGTCTAAGTCATCAGCTATGAATAGGGAGGGAGAAGTGTGAGAGGTTTTGGGAGAGAGGAAATGTGAAATCGTCATTTCAAAGACTCAAAGGGGAACTTTATTAGGGAAAACTAGTAGGACTCTTTCGCAGTACTAAGGGCCTATTTGAGGCCTGAGATTGCAAATTTAAAGTGCAGCCAGGACAACAGATGTGATTAATCTCTAGGCATAGAGAAAATGGCTAGTTAGGCTCATGAAGAGTTGGAGTCTAGCCAGGTAAGTACAGGGAGAGTGGGGCCAGAAAATTGAGCATGTTTTCAATTAAATGATTTTAGAAATGGGTCATGAATTGTAAGCTGGGCAAAAAGAGAAGCAAGGTTTCGAGAGTAGTGAAAATTGTGAAAGAGTGACAGCATCAATGGACTAGAGGTTTCAATAATTAAGGAATAATTGCAATGGAGATGTGAGGGTAAGGGAGTTGAAAGGAGAGGTGGTTGTGACCATTAGACATATTTCCACTTTGAAAGGTTACGTTGCTCATACATTATTACTGGATGTTCACTGCAGCCTTTAAAAAAAGATCAAAGTAACTGCTGAGCCCAGCTCGCTAACATAGAGTAGAATTATGTGTGGCTAAGAAGCAGCCATGTGATTAGGGAATTGATAATGTGCTAATTCAGTGATACCATGGTAAAATGGGCCACAGAACATTAGATCTGAGCGATACAGCAACATCACAGCACAAGGAAAAGAGCTGGGGCCTGCTTCAAACCCAGCCGTGACATGTAGCAGCTGTATGTGTTTCAGACTTTCTGAACCCTTCTGCATTTCAGTTTGTCCTTTTAAACTGGGATATGGCTACCTCCTTCACAGGGTTGTTATGCACATGAAGAAGGATAATGTATGTAAAGTAACTGTAAATAGCAGGTTCTCAGTAAATATTAATCACTGTGAAAATAAGGAGCCATGTCACTACTGCTGCATGGTAGTTTTGGAGTCACTTTGGGAAGCTTGTAGGTGTTGAAGGAATGTGACACTCAGAAGGACAATGAAAGGATTCTCCTTGTAGGGCCCTCATGGATGAGGACAAATCCTGGGTTGGTTATTGCATTGTATCTAATAATTCTGATGATAGGATTGAAGTCCTGTTTGTTGGCTATTGACAGTGTAGAGGTCAAAAATAAAATCACAATACCTGGGTTAATTTTTTTTAAATAAATAGTAAACCCCAAGCTATGAGGGATGGCATTGTTCAAGATGGTATGGGGTGGAAGACGTACCCCTTGCCCACCAAGAACAGGCCTGTTGTTCATTGACAGCATATGGAAAGTAGAGCTCAGTGTCCCTAAATGAGTTCCAAAACCATCCTAGTCTTTACCCTCCTCTCAGCTCCCTCTCATCTCTCCTGGCCCTCTCCCATCACTCTGGCCCTCATCTGCCCCCGATTTGTCATTTGATTGTTCTGTCTTCTCAGATTCATCTTGGTTTCCAGCATCTGATCTCTCTTTCCAATGGTCTTCTGCTTTCCTCTTGAGGGACTGCCAGTATCCAACCTAGCCCTAGGATCATTTTTTTTTCTCTTGTGCTTTTCTCAAAGCCCCTTAGAGGGGCAGCTGGGTCAAGAGGGGTGATGTCTGCCACTCATGTGTGTTAACCCAAAGTCCCTGGTTTTTCAGTACTCCCTGGCTTTGATGATTGCTGGAGTAAAAGGTAGCCTGGGAGTATGCAGAAAGGAAGCATCAACCATAGTTCAGAGATAGGTCACCACCGACTGAACAGGTGGGCAAAACAAAATTCTAACAGTAGTAAGCTGCCAGTGTTTAAAAATATAATGTCCTGGTGGCCTTAGAAAATCCTTAAAAGGTAGGTAAGGATCTATTGGAGCTTAGAAAATGTAAATGCAAACCAGCTGTTTGCCAGCAATGTTGCTTTCAGAGTATTTGCATTTTAGTCTTTCAACTTTGAAATTCAAATAATATGAAAACTTCTCTATGACATGGATCTATTAAATCTGAGAGGTTGTTGATGTACCTTGTTTAAGACCCATCAACTAGTAAAAAGCAGAATTAAAGTGGCAGACTTTTCAAATGTCTTTCCTAGTATTCTGGGATGAAAATAATTTGGATTTTCTTCTGGTGACTTCTCAAATCCTTACAATGTCATTTTCCAAAACGATTGAATAGGTTTTTGATACCTTTATATCTAATAGATCATTTGACTATTTAATAATGTCTACAATAATAATATTGTCTACAATAATAAATATGTTTCTGATAAAATTTCTACAATCTGGCTGGGTGCAGTGGCTCATGCCTGTAATCCCACCAAGGCAGGTGGATTGCTTTGAGCCCAGGAGTTCAAGATCAGCCTGGTCAACATGGCAAAACCTATCTCTACCAAAAATACAAAAAAATTGGCTGGGCATGGTGGCCTGTGCCTGTAGTCCTTCCCAGCTGCTCTGAAGGCTGAGGTGGGAGGATGGCTTGAGCCTGGGGGGGCAGAGGTTGCAGTGAGCTGAGAATGAGCCATGGCTCTCCAGCCTGGGTGACAGAGCCAGATCCTGTATTAAAAAATAATAATAAAAGTAAAAAATGAAAAAATAAAATTTCTATAATCCAGCACAAATCATTTTTGGAAGTAGTTAAAATATAAGTTTAAAAAATAAAATGTATAGTTAAATCTGTGTTCATTTATTCATCCTTTTATCTCTAGCATGTTGCATGGTTTCTAACATTTACCAGTTGAATAAATACATGAATACACCAATTACTAATTCATCATCTTCTGAGTTCTCAGTACTATACATAAAAAAGCATTTGCTATTATTTTAAATTAAATTTATTTCATCTGAAATCTTGAAACTGGGTAATCTGTCTCTAGTTGACCAAAATGGTTCCTCTTGACTATTACAGATTGGTAAAAACAGCCAATTTCATAGGAACTGTCAAATAACGTTCAAAATTGGTAAAAGTGGAGACTTTAGGACAAATTATCTGAGGATGTTTTCTCTTTCTCTTCCTTTCCTTCCTTCATTCCTTCCTTCTTTCCTTCCTTCCCTGCTATATTACTATATTACTATTATTATTACCAAAGGATTATTTAGTCAAGATAGAGAATGTAGTTTTTTAAAATGTAAAGTTTTTCATCATAAAAGTAATGCATATTTATTGGAGGGAATTTGGAAAACATAGGCAAGCCAAAAGAAACAATGAAAATCACTGAAAATGTTACTTCTGTAGGATACCTCTTTTTACACACTAATATGTCATTCTTGTTTATTCTATACATACGTGTTCATTTCGACAGTCATGGGTTCCTGCTACACATACCATTTCAACATTCTTTTTTCACTTCAAAATCGTCTGTACAATGTTTCACTCAAAAACAGCATCTCAATTCATGCCATTTTTATTACTTTAGAAATTTCACGTTTATGAAAAAAATTGTTCTTATATCTCAGTGATGACAGATATGACCACTTTCTAAAGTGTCAGGTGTTAGTATAAAAAGGAAATGAGGGAAGCCAGCGAATTGCCTGATGGGGAAAATCCAGCATTCATTTCTCACTTACTGTGGTGGGTCTGGACTCTGGAAACACCGATGTCTCCTGCTCTCACTGGCTGTTGCATGTAGTGTCCTTAAGCTTCTTCTGTTATGCTCAGCCCCGGAGATCTGGCACACAGAGCCATAGTAACAATGCGTTCAGCCAGGTTTCCTTAGCTACACACTAGTGACAGGACAGGACGCTGCCCTAAAGTGCCTGCCGCTGACTCAGGGAGGAGGCTTGGAACACACAGCGGGAGGTGGGAATGGCTTCTGCCTCACCCAGAGGGGCTGTCACCTTAAAAGGAAGTCACTCCATAGGCTTACAGATCTCATGCCCTGGCAGGGATCTAACAAGCTTTTATGGGTTTTATAGGATCTTATCTGCTTGGTAACCCAGTTTAATCATACAGAAAATTTATTTTTTTTACTTTTACCCTGTATGAATTAGTCAGCAAGCAAAGAACTTGCAATGATTATTTTCCTAAGTGAATTCCTTTTACATTCCATATTAGGTTAATGAGTTCAGTGTCATTTCAACGATACGTGTGTGTGCCTGGGGGTTTTTGTCTTCCTATATATATGCTGCATTTCCTGATTTCTCATTTCATCTGGCTAATATGTATCAGGCACTGTGCTCAGTGCTAGGGGATCTTAGAAGGAATTCTGTAATCTCTCTCAAGAACTGAGTTGCCCAATACTGTAGGCATTAGCAACATGTGGCTATTTAAATTATTTTTCTATTTTTTTTTTTTTTTGTAACGGAGTCTAGCTCTGTCGCCCAGGCTGGAGTGCAGTGGCACGATCTCGGCTCACCACAACCTGTGCCTCCCAGGTTCAAGCGATTCTCTTGCCTCAGCCTCCCAAGTAGCTGGGATTACAGGCGCCCGCCACCACACCCAGCTAATTTTTGTATTTTTAGTAGAGACAGGGTTTCACTGTGTTGGCCAGGCTGATCTTGAACTCCTGACTTTGTGATCCGCCCGCCTCAGTCTCCCAAAGTGCTGGGATTACAAGTGTGAGCCACCGGGCCCAGCCACTAATTTTTAATTAATTAAATACAATTAAAACTTTACTTTCTCAGCCACACTAGCCACATTCCAAGTGCTCGATACACATAACTAGTGGCCACTATACCAGATAGCACAGACACAGAACATTTCTGTCATTGCATACTATTCCGTTGGACAGTGTTGGTGGAGCTACTAAGAGAATGTTGATCCTGTTAACAAATTATGTTTCTGAATCTATAAAATTGGATCCATCTTTCCAAATGTTTTGCTAATTCTCCTTTGTGATGGTTTTGTAATTACACAAACTATTCTGCAAGGAAGCTTAAGGAGATAAGCTTTAGGAAGAGAGTAATGAATAGCATATGCTCATTGTCTAGGCAGGTCTCCAAAGGTCCCCAAACTTTATATAATTGTACACCATTATAGGAAGCATTTTAAAACAATCACTCCCAATACAGGTATTTGCATTAAAAAGTAATTAATATGTGCTACTGTCAGCTAATATTTCAAAGCACAGTCTATATATTTAGGGCTCATTAATGAGAGTTGATATAAAACCATATTCCAATAATCTTCTTGATAATCTTGAATCTCAGTCCAACTACTTGTCATATCATATGTCTGTGATACAGACTGGTATGAGTGTAAAGTTAGAATCCGGAATAGTCTATATTCAGTTCCACCACTTTCATTATTTTCGGTTATACGCATCCACCAAAACTAGGTTTAACAAGCATACTAGAAAATCTCTTATGATGAATAGATAAGTGTAGTTCATAATTAGCAAACCAACAAGCCACCTTAGCACTGCTGGATTTCCACTTCTGTGGCCGTGGCTATATTTAGATATAAACAGGGAACACTTGCAAATGATTAGATTAAGTAGGTAAACTTTCCCATTATAAATTTCTTTTTCTTTTCTTTTCCTTTTATTTTTTTGAGATGGAGGCTTGCTCTGTTGCCAGAGTGGAGTGCAGTGGCCACTGGAGTGCAGTGGCGTGATCTCGGCTCACTGCAACCTCCGCCTCCCGGGTTCAAGCAATTCCCCTGCCTCAGCCTCCTGAGAAGCTGGGACTACAGGCGCACACCACCAACCCCGGCTAATTTTTTGTGTTTTAGTAGAGACAGGGTTTCACCATGTTGACTAGGATGGCATCAATCTCCTGACCTCGTGATCCACCTGCCTCAGCCCCCAAAAGTGCTGGGATTATAGGCGTGAGCCACCGCACCTGGACCCATTATAAATTTCAAACATCACGCTTGCTTCACAAATTTCTTTTCTATCAATGGAACTAATTCAGTCCTTAATATGTGACACTCCAAATGAACAGAATTATTGATTTACTCATTTTCATTTAAAAGAAATATGACAACAAATACAAAATGCAGTTAGAAAGGAATGCTACATGGATTTATATACATAGAAAATCAGCTAATTAGAACAATGCTTTTCCATGTTATATCTGTTTTCTTCTTTATTATATTGCTATGAAGTGGGCAAAGTAATTTTTTAACTCTTTAAAACTTCTGTCATAATTGTGTCTGTGCCTCTCCTCCATAAAATTAAGTATTTCATAACTCAGTATTTGTCCTAGTTTAGTCATCAATTTGCAGGGGAAAACAGACCTTAGCACGTCACTTGCTAAGGTCCTTGGGCCTTTCTTTGCTCCCCTGTCTAATAAGAGAATTGGAGTATATTATTTTTTAGTTGCTTTCCAAATCTTCATTCTCAATTTTTAAGAATAGAGAGTAGTTTTAAACTACATTATTCATCTTTTTATAGAAAATTATTTTTAAGCTATATGAGGCTTATATATGTTTATTTTAGTTAATCTTTTTTAAATTTTTTAATTTTTTCCCCCCGAGATGGAGGCTTGCTCTGTCACCCAGGCTGGAGTGCAGTGGCCCGATCTCGGCTCACCGCAACCTCCCCCTCCCAGGTTCAAGTGATTCTCCTGCCTCAGCCTCCCGAGTAGCTGGGACTACAGGCACATGCCACCATGCCTGGCTAATTTTTGTATTTTTAGTAGAGACGGGGTTTCTCCATGTTGGTCAGGCTGACCTCGAACTCCTGACCTCGTGATCCACCCACCTCAGCCTCTCAGAGTGCTGGGATTATAGGTGTGAGCCACTGGGCCCAGCCTTACACATTTTTAATTGGCTAAGAAATCAATTATGTATTCAGAAATAAAAAAAATTCAATCCACAAATCTCCCTCTGAAAATAATAATAAAGAAACATACCAGCCCATGGTACCAGGTTCCTATATGGTACCTTTATAAATCCTGCACTGATTTCTTACCTGAACAAGGTCCTTCAAGTTATGCTGTGATTTTCAATATTATGAGAGCAAAGGGCATATTCACTGAATTTCCATGGTTGATTCTGTGCAAGTTATTCTGCATATACAGCAAGCTGAATCTATTTAAAGGCCAAAATTCATTCACCAAAGTCACCTTTACAAATTTTAACAAACGTATAAGTTTGAGCAATGCTTACAGTAACTAGATTGATTAAAATTAAACTAAACACTTTGAAATTGCACTTAATTTTGAACTAAACATGAATTTACAAGGCAACAGATGAGACTGAGCACACCCTCTCCATGCTGATTGCATCAGGTGTCTGAAACAAAGCAGCAAAGGGGGTCATTAGCTCCTAAAGGAGCAATTAGGTAAAAGTGCTGTGATTTACCATATGTATAATGTATGAGGCTTCTGGAAGGGTTTCAGTCTATGCAAAACAGGTCAAAATAATAGCAGATGTTTCTTCAAGGGGTACTAACACAATTCAATAATCTATCTATATCTAAAGTTCCCTTCCTACAGGATGTTATATTGGGCAATTTAGAAATGATACCTTACAGCCAAAAATTATTTTTTAGTGCTGATGAAAATATATGATTACATAATTTAAACATTCTATGACCTGAATTTCTTATATCCTCCTTTTTTGGAGGGCAGCCTTTTCAGTGCAATAGTGTTAACATACTTCACTCCCTACACAGTGAAAGCACTCCTATAGCCTGATGAGCATGGAGGATGCCTCGGTTATGGATAATCCCATCACGCCAGAAGGACAGCATTTCAGACTCTGGGAATTTCCCTCTGGAGGGACTTGAAAGAATCTGCAAGCTGCTAAGATTAAAAGAGATGACAGGTGGTAAGAAAACTGGTGGTGAAAACACACCACTCATTTTAGTGTATTGGCTTTGAAGAGAAGATCATTAGAATGTGAAAAACAATAGGTAGAAATTATTCTCTAGAATCTGATGTATGGAGCCCATCAAAGGCAGAAAAGAAGAAGCCTGGGGAGAGGGGATATTGCTCATACTAAAGACAGGGCAAACCTGTGGGGGAACAGATGTAGGAGAGCCGGGGGCAATAGGTCAGCACTAGAGGCACAACAGCCTTGCTGATGGGCTCCCCTTCCTTTGAAAGAATGCAAAAAGCGGGGAGTGAAAGAATAAGAAACATGTATTATTGAGCTGGACACTCTGCATGGTACTGTACGTGGATTTCATCAACTGGTCATTACAAGCACCGTGAGTTGGATGGTAGTCCTCATTTTATAGAAGTCTTTAAACAAATCTATTTTATGCCTAAATAACTTATTAATATGCCATTCTGCTAATAAGTGGCAGACCCAGTCTTTTTGACCCCGAACCCATGATTTTTCCCCATTTTGCTACACTGTCTCCAGACAAAAAGGCTGAGGAGTTGGTGGAGAGAGACTGTGGGGATAGAAAAAGAAATGGAGGGCGAGATTGGCAGAGGCTTACTTTCATCCTGGCATTCAGATGACATGAAGCTGGACGTTTAAGGAGACTGTAGAAATTCTCATCTGTGATTTATACAAATGAGTCTCTCATGCAGTTTTACTTTAATCTAGCTCTTACGGAATAGCTGTGGCTGAATGAACTTTGGAAATCAAACTCTGCTGATTAAATATGCTTTGTCCTTACGTCCGCATAACTTTCAATTAGTAATGTTCTTAACACTGTTTCTCTGCCCCTCCATCGCTCTGTCAGTAGTTAAGAAATGCACCAGGAAGCTTCTATATGAAGGAACACCTGAATTTTTTCCATATATAATTCAATTTTAAAGCTATCAACTCATGCAATTCATGTGTCTTAGTCCAATTCTTTTTCATTGAGTTTTCTTAGAGACAGCCTGACTTATAATAAGACACTACAATTTGGCAAATCAAATCAGTGGCAACAGATCTTTATCGAGCACTGACATCCCTGTTGCAGCTTGGCCAGATTCATCTGGTTATGTAAAGATGGTGGAGTGTATCAGGACATTTAATGGCAAATGAAAAAAATCACTAAGAAAACAATGGCCTGAAAGGACTTTTTGTCATCAGGACATAACTAGTTCCAGGAAAGGTTCAGCTAGGAGGGCTGGCACCAGGGACCAGCCAGGCCGGGGTGGGGGTCTGTCTGGGGAGTACTGCCGCAGGGAAGAGGCAGCCTGAGGTCTGGGCAGTGGGTCAGGGTAATGGCACTAACAAGCAGAAAAGCAGGAAGTGTCCTCTCATCCTAGACACAGATGCGGTGAACGCGTGCATCCTGCCTGCACATGCCAGCTGGCAGGAAGAGGAAACAAGAACTGTGGCTCTGGCCTCCCAGCAAGAAAGTGGCCAATGGCCCAAATACACAGGCAAGAGTGGGTGTGTGAACACATAGCGGGGAGCATTAGACACTAGGGTCTACCTGAGAGTGGAGGATGGGAGGAAGGAGAGGATCAGGAAAAATAACTAATGGGCATTAAGCTTAACACCTGGGTGATGAAATAATCTGTACAACAAACCCCTGTGATACAAGTTGATCTATATAACAAACCTGCACATGTACCCCTGAACTTAAAAAAAATGGACTGGAAATATAATGGCGAATGGAATAAGAGGTCTCTGTCTTCGCAGAGCTTACACTGTAGGGTTGGGAAAATAAAGATAATTAAAAAATAAATAATGCCTCATACCAAAAAAGTAGGTGTGGCCAAATCAAGTCTGAGTCTAGCCCACATAGGTACCCAGTGGGATTCCAGGCAGAGAGGACTCCTGAGGTCAGGTGAAGAGCAGCCTCCTGTTGCAATGGATCAATCAGGCTGCTTAAAGATTACAGACAAAGCAACAGGGCTGAGCAACAGCCACAGGGCTAAGAAAAAAAAGTTAGGAGGATGGCAGGGCCCGGGTAGCCACCTGAGCTGAGATGTGATTGTATTGGCCTGCTCGGGCTGCCATAACAGAATGCCACAGACCAAGGGATTTAAACAACAGAAATGTATTTCCTCACAGTTCCAGAGGCTGGAAATCCAAGATCAAGGTGCAGCAGGGTTGGTTTCTTGTGAAGCCTCTCTTCCTGGCCTGTAGGTGATGCCTTCTCTGTGTCCTCTCTGGGCCTTCCCTCAGTGCATGCACACTCCTGGTGTCCCTGCCTCTTCTTACAAGGACAGCAGTGGAGTGGGATTAGGGCCCCATCCTTATGACTTCATTTAACCTTAATTACCTTTTTTTTTTTTTTTTTGAGGCAGGGTCTGGCTCTATTGCCCAGGCTGGAGTGCGGTAGCGTGATCATGGCTCACAGCAGCCTCTGCCTCCCAGGCTCAAGTGATTCTCCCACCTCAGCCTCCCGAGTAGGTGAGACTACAGGCATGAGCCACCACACCTGGCTAATTTTTTGTATCTTTTGTAGAGATGGGGTTTTGCTATGTTTCCAGGCTGGTCTCAAACTTGTGAGCTCGAGTGATCCATCCACCTCGACCTCCCAAAATGCTGGGATTACAGGCATGAGCCACTGCACCCAGCCTTAATACCGACCTCTTTAAAGGCCCTATCTCCAAATACAGTCGCACTGTGGGTTAGGGCTTCAACAAATGAATTTGGTGGTGGGGAGGGCCGCAATTCAGTCCATAAGAAAAAGGAAGACTTCAGGAACTGATGTGTTCAATGGAAGTCCAAGGCATAAACACAGTCGTACAGAAGGGGCCAGTGCAGCACAATACAGCCTAGAGATTAGTCCTAGATTTCTGCATCTCTCATTTAGACCTGCAAGACTAATTCCGAGCTTCACCTGCTGAGGCTGGGGCGGGAAGAGTCGGACAGGGCAAGGACTCCTCAGCTTCTCTCTGTCCTGGTTTGATTGGCATGGGCCAGGCTACATCTTCAGGGGAAATGCTTCTGTGAGTACAAAGGAGAGGGGCTAAGGAACCTAGGAGTGGACAGAAGACAAATAGCTTCTGCCCAGCTTCTTACCCCAGGTAGGTGTGGCTCAGTAACGATGACAGCCTGTAGGCATAACCTGGCCAGGACTGAGTTGCTGGGACCTGGAACTGTTCAGGGGCTTAAGCGGGTGTGGGAAGGGTCATGCCAGGTCAGTGACCCTGGCACCTGGGGCTTGGATCACTTTTCATGGTGATCTTTCAAAGCCTGGGGTCCTAGAACCAAATTAAAGAGGAACATGGGAGATTCCAGTTCACCAGCCAGCTGGTGACCTCTGAAGAACTCGCCAAACAGGATAATCCTGTGTTTCTCACTGGGGCCTGCTGAACACCGGTTAGTACACCTCTCTGCCTAATTGTTGCTTACCGAGCTCTGTAGGCAACTTCAAAAATATTTTAGCTTATATATTTTTATACACACCAGAAGCCTTTTTAGTGAGCAATAAACATGTTTTTAAATTAAACATTTTCTGGCTTGGGGCACTGGCTCATGCCTATAATCCCAGTACTCTGGGAGGCCCGGGTGGGAGGATGACTCGAAGCTAGGAGTTTGAGACCAGCTTGGGCAACATGGCGAGGGCAACAACCCTTGTCTCTACTAAGAAAATAAATAAATAAACATTGTCTGAGTGTCTACAGAACTGCAGAACTGTGCACAGTTCATTTAGCTTCAATATGCTCTCAATGAAAAGAAAGATCTTGACTTGCTCACTTTCATACGTCTCAAGTCAATAACAGTTGAATATCTATATAATTTTTCTGTTGGTTCACTAGGTCGCTCCTCCCCACACAGAATAGGCTCCTGTAGAGATTTTTTTTTTTATTTTTTTTTAGATTAACCAGTTTTACCAGCATGACAACTGAAAAATAAATCTGGATGAGTACTGGGCTTTACCAAAGCAAATGCCTATTTCCAGTACTCTCTTTGCTTTTATTTGCCATGCAGCCCCAAGATTCTCTGGATTTGGGAAGAAACCTAGCCTGGCCTGTACAGAAGTTTCCCAGGGAAACTCCCTGTTTCGTGGGAAATCTCCGTGGGAAATTGTCCAGTTCCATTATGGAGTCTCTCAAGCGCTTGAGGGAGTATTTCAAATCCCTTCTTGGATTGGGAGAATCTGCTGATACCACCAGCTTGAGAAGATTTCCACCCCAACATCTCTCTTTTACCCCTTCAGCCCACCACTATCCTTTACCACAAATACACCCAAACACACACACACATACGCACACAGGTTTTTGTTCAAATGTGAGCCCAAATTACTTTGTCATTTATATCTAATCAAATAGAATTGCAGGCAAGGATGTAAGAAAGCAACTTAAGGGATGATGCAGTATGTCAAGATAACCTGACCGCAATAATATAAACTGGTAAAGTATTGAAGACAGACAAAATATTTCAGAAATGAAGGTAGAATTTTGCTCTTCTGAGGAAGAGATGGCAGCTAAGGGAAATAGCTGATCCTTAGTTAGCTATTGTAGATTGTAGAAGGTGAATAAATAAAAGAGAAAGGCAAATTAGCCCATATGTAAGCTAAGCTGGAAATTAAGGAAAACAAAGAGAACTTGAAAGAGGCAGATGAATGCTGTAAGCCCGCAGCAAGCACAGGGCAATGCTGAGATGGTATGAATTGTAACTTACACAATCTCCATGCTGCAGTTAGAACTCCAAAGACCCTCTTATGTCCTTTTAAAAATGGTCTGTATTTCAGAATATACTAATTAATGTTGAAAGAAAAGGAGGAATGTGTTAATTCTGCAGTTTTAAGAAAAATCTGTTTCTAAACCTGAAAAAAATTACAGTCAGGCTTGTTAGCTCATTAACATTTTGACTTCAATTTTTTAAGGCTTAGAATGTGAATGGAAATAACCCTTCAGAGAGGACATGTCATAAAATCCCTGGAGCACATCTGAGCTCTGCCACTAATTAACTCACTAATGGGACCTTCCAAAAGGCTCCTGCTGCCTGTTTTGATGCAGGCTGTACTGTCAAGAGAAATGGGCTGAAACAAGGTGTTCCACCACCAAGGGCTCATGCTAATGTGATGGTGGACCCATTGCCAATATCCTGTGAATTGGAAGGGACCAAAAGGGTTTCAGAGTAAAGAGAATTAACGGGGGTGGGAAAGAGAAATGGAAGTAGAAGAGACATCCGAGCACTGGGCTACAGCCTGACAAGCTCATGGGTGAATCTTTTTTTAGTGTTTCATCAGAACTTCTATGGGTGTCGCTTTGTCAACTTTTCAGCTTGATGAGGTCCTCGAGGTCATTTGACACAACAGCCTTGAGTTCCAACTGGGGATAGATTAACCCAAGGGCAAGAGGGCATAACTCTGATATTCTGAAGTTTAACAAGCACTTAAAACAAAATAAAACTAAAAACAAAACAAAACAACATCTAGAGGAAGGATAGAGCCGCTTGTAATTCTTAAAAATTCATCTATGTGGTCTAGAATCCAGATTTCCGAAGACTTCTTGGTGATCAACCTGCGCTGTTTTACTTAACCCCAGCTACTGTAAAAACCAACATTTCAATATGGCTGCCTCGTATTTATAAAGCACTTTAGAATCATTTGCAGAATGTGATCTTCAATCCAGGAAAAGAAAGTGAACAGTTCAATTATAATCCATACTAAATGTTGATCATCAAAAAAGCAGCAGGCCTGCTCTACCACAATCACTGGAGTTGCTTCTGGCAACACAAAAATATGATGCCAACATGCTGTCCCACAAAGTTGTCAAGTCAGTGCCAGGCTCTTTATGAGACAATAAAGAATAACTATAACCTGGGAAGAACACAGAAATTGCCACATTGGGTGGTCCAGAGGGTATGCAGCTCAGTCACTGTTGCCAGCCCAACCTTGGCAGGGAAGGGAGGGCTTGGTCATCCTTCCTAACTGGAGGGCCTTTCTTAGTTCTCTTAGTCTCATGGCAGGGCCTCTGTCTTGTAGACTCCTTAGCAGAATACACACTCCAAACCTTTAAGCTCCCCTTAGTTGTTGGAATGGCTCTGCCATTTACGAAAATATAAACAGATTCTCTTCAAATCCATTTATGTTTAAGGAACTTGCTGTGAGAACTTGTAAGCCGGAGAGCAAAATGTTTAAGCCTTCTTTTCTCTGTAAGAAACTGCATTAGAATATTCCAAAGGCATTTTTTAGAGCAATAAAGCATATTTGGAAAATGTCAAGGAATTTACCCAAGAGAGATATAAAATATGGAGTTGAAAAAAATCAAAGGTCTCAAATTGAAGACTTTCATTAGCCTTATTAAGGGCTCATGGTATTTCAATCTCTGAAACCAGGTCAATATTTCCCTCTTCCCAGGAGTGATCCCAATGTCTGGCAAATAGAAGGCTCCCATCCAGTCCATATTTATTTAGAAAGATGAATGAATGAATATATTCACATGTAATCTATGTCTATCAGGCCTAGTTATAGGTAAGGTAAAATGTTGTAAGATTTAGTATTTCCCTGTTCTTTCAAACATTTTTCTACAACTATTTTAATATAATTCACTTTTTTTTCATAGCAGCTATTACTATCTGACATTATGTATGAGTTTCTCTGTTTTGTTTGTTTGTTGTTGTTGTTTTTGGCCTGTCTCTCTCACAAGAATGTGAGTCCATGAAGGCATTATTTTTGTTTCTTTATTCAAACACTGTGCCCCCTGGTGCTGAATAGTGCCTGGTATATAGCATGTACTCAACAAACACTTTTTAAATGGTGAATAATTGGATTTTTATCCACATGTTGTCACCAACCCAGCATTTCCCAGCTGAGAAATGAATACCAGAGAGAGGGCAACAAGGCCAAGTAAAGGAAATCAGAGTCCAGTGAGGCCAACCAAGAGGTCTCTGCCAGCCACTAACAGGTTACAAATGGCAAACTCATTGTCCCAAGGTCTAATTCACTTTCTTAACATCCTCTGGCTTAACTTACTTTTGTAATGTGGTTCTTATTACTGCACCTGTATTCCCAACCTTGGAGAACTTACAGACATGGATTCTTAAGCAAAATGTTTTTAATTAAAAAAATAATGAATAAATCGTTCTTCTGTTGCCTTCTGTTTAGTGATCAACCAGGCCAGAGAAACTCCAGTGTTCATACTGACAATTTGTTGCCATAGTAACAATTGCAAGCTTGATTTCTTTCTAATAAAGCAAGAACTCAGTTTTCTCAGTTGAAAACTGAGAGAATGATCTCTTGTTTTTTATATTCGTATTTTTTTCATGCAGAAGAAAAGACTATCTTATCCTTAAAAGACATAGTGTCCAATTATTATAAATCACCTTGATGTTTAATTTTAACAAAGCCTTGTTTTAGAGGAGATACCCTTTATCAGCAAGTGGAAAACAGCATCACCTTCATTTGATAGCTCTTTAAGGAAGAAACATAATCAACTTTCTTTCCATTTTACAGAAGGGTAAAGAAAAATGTCACATTGTTGGTCTATCTCAGTCTAAAATGAAAATGACTGAATCCAATGATCAGAATTGTAGTCACAGTGGATTCGGTTAAAATTCAAAAGTGATTTTTAAAGCTCTGCACATGTAATCATTTTCTCTCTTCACATTTGGTTTGTTTTTCCAATGACTCCATAAAATAAGGAGGCTCAACATAGACGCCTATTAGTAAGATGAGTAACAAATGAAGAGAGTGAAAGTGATTGAAGGGAGGGTGAGCATTTGTAAATGTTTGGGGCAAACTGGATTCTTTTGGACTGAATGATTTCTTTTTCTTTTTTTTTTTTTTTAATTATACTTTAAGTTCTAGGATACATGTGTGCAATGTGCAGGTTTGTTACATGGTATACATGTGCCATGTTGGTTTGCTGCACCCATTAACTCATCATTTACATTGGCTATTTCTCCTAATGCTATCCCTCCCCCAGCCCCCCACCTGACGATGGGCCCCGGTGTGTGATGTTCCCCTCCCTGTGTCCAAGTGTTCTCACTGTTCAATTCCCACCTATGGGTGAGAAGTTGTGATGTTTGGTTTTCTGTCCTTGTGATAGTTTGCTCAGAATGATGGTTTCCAGCTTCATCTATGTCCCTGCAAAGGACATGAACTTATCCTTTTTTTGGCTGCATAGTATTCCAGGGTGTATATGTGCCACATTTTCTTAATCCAGTCTATCACTGATGGACATTTGGGTTGGTTCCAAGTCTTTGCTGTTGTGAATGGTGCTGCAATAAACATACGTGTGCATGTGTCTTTACAGAAGTATGATTTATAATCCTTTGGGTATATACCCAATAATGGGATCACTGGGTCAAATGGTATTTTTTGTTCTAGATCCTTGAGGAATCGCCACACTGACTTCCACAATGGTTGAACTAATTTACACTCCCACCAATAGTGTAAAAGCGTTCCTATTTCTCCACATCCTCTCCAGCATCTGTTGTTTCCTGACATTTTAATGATCGCCATTCTAACTGGTGTGAGATGGTATCTCATTGTGGTTTTGATCTGCATTTCTCTGATGACCGGTGATGATGAGCATTTTTTCATGTGTCTGTTGGCTGCATAAATGTCTTCTTTTGAGAAGTGTCTGTTCATATACTTTGCCCACTTTTTGATGGGGTTGTTTGTTTTTTTCTTGAAAATTTTGTTTAAGTTCTTTGTAGGTTCTGGATATTAGCCCTTTGTCAGATGGGTAGATTGCAAACATTTTCTCCCATTCTGTAGGTGGTATGTTCACTCTGATGGTAGTTTCTTTCGTTGGGCAGAAGCTCTTTAGTTTAATTAGATCCTGTTTGTCTATTTTGGCTTTTGTTACCATTGTTTTTGGTGTTTTAGTCATGAAGGCCTTGCCCATGCCTATGTACTGAATGGTATTGCCTAGGTTTTCTTCCAGGGTTTTGATGGTTTTAGGTCTAACATTTAAGTCTTTAATCCATGTTGAATTAATTTTTGTATAAGGTGTAAAGAAGGGATCCAGTTTCAGCTTTCTACCTATGGCTAGCCAGTTTTCCCACCACCATTTATTAAATAGGGAATCCCCTCCCCATTTCTTGTTTTTGTCAGGTTTGTCAAAGATCAGATGGTTGTAGATATGCAGCATTATTTCTGAGGGCTCTGTTCTGTTCCATTGGTCTATATCTCTGTTTTGGTACCAGTACCATTCTGTTTTGGTTACTGTAGCCTTGTAGTGTAGTTTGAAGTTAGGTAGCATGATGCCTCCAGCTTTGTTCTTTTTGCTTAGGATTGTCTTGGCAATGCAGGCTCTTTTTTGGTTCACTATGAACTTTAAAGTAGTTTTTTCCAATTCTGTGAAAAAAGTCATTGGTAGCTTGATAGAGAAGGCATTGAGTCTATAAATTACCTTGTGCAATATGGCCATTTTCATGATATTGATTCTTCCTATCCATGAGCAAGGAATGTTCTTCCATTTGTTTGTGTCCTCTTTTATTTCATTGAGCAGTGGTTTGTAGTTCTCCCTGAAGAGGTCCTTCACATCCCTTGTCAGTTGGATTCCTAGGTATTTTATTCTCTTTGTAGCAATTGTGAATGTGAGTTCACTTATGATTTGGCTATCTGTTTGTCTGTTATTGGTGTATAGGAATGTTAGTGATTTTTGCACATTGATTTTGTATCCTGAGACTTTGCTGAAGTTGCTTATCAACTTAAGCAGATTTTGGCCTGAGACGATGGGGTTTTCTAAATATACAATCATGTCATCTGCAAACAGGGACAATTTGACTTCCTCTTTTCCTAATTGAATACCCTTTATTTCTTTCTCTTGCCTGATTGCCCTGGCCAGAACTTCCAACACTGTGTTGAATAGGAGTGGTGAGAGAGGGCATCCCTGTCTTGTTCTGGTTTTCAAAGGGAATGCTTCCAGTTTTTGCCCATTAAGTATTATATTGGCTGTGGGTTTGTCATAAATAGCTCTTATTATTTTGAGATATGTTCCATCAATACCTAGTTTTTTGAGAGTTTTTAGCATGAAGGGCTGTTGAATTTGTCAAAGGCCTTTTCTGCATCTATTGAGATAATCATGTGGTTTTTGTCTTTGGTTCTGTTTATGTAATGGATTAAGTTTATTGATTTGCATATGTTAAGCCAGCCTTGCATGCCAGGGATGACGCTGACTTGAACGTGGTTGATAAGATTTTTGATGTGCTGCTGGATTCGGTTTGCCAGTATTTTATCGAGGATTTTTGCATCGATGTTCATCAGGGATATTGGTCTAAAATTCTCTTTTTTTGTTGTGTCTCTGCCAGGCTTTGGTATCAGGATGATGCTGGCCTCATAAAATGAGTTAGGGAGGACTGTCTCTTTTTCTGTTGATTGGAATAGTTTCAGAAGGAATGGTACCAGCTTCTCTCTGTACCTCTGGTAGAATTCGGCTGTGAATCTGTCTGGTCCTGGACTTTTTTTGGTTGGAAGGCTATTAACTATTCCCTCAATTTCAGAGCCTGTTATTTGTCTATTTGGAGATTCCACTTCTTCCTGGTTTAGTCTTGGGAGGGTGTATGTGTCCAGGAATTTATCCATTTCTTCTAGATTTTCTAGTTTATTTATGTAGAGGTGTTTATGATATTCTCTGATAGTAGTTTGTATTTCTGTGGGATTGGTGGTGATATCCTCTGTATCATTTTTTATTGTATCTATTTGATTTTTCTCTCTTTTCTTCTTCATTAATCTTGCTAGAAGTCTATCAATTTTGTTGATCTTTTCAAAACACCAGTTCCTGGATTCATTGATTTTTTGAAGGGTTTTTTGTGTCTCTATCTCCTTCAGTTCTGCTCTGATCTTAGTTATTTCTTGCCTTCTGCTAGCTTTTGAATATGCTTGCTCTTGCTTCTCTAGTTCTTTTAATTGTGATGTTAGGGTGTGAATTTTAGATCTTTCCTGCTTTCTCTTGTGGGCATTTAGTGCTGTAAATTTCCCTCTACACACTGCTTTAAATGTGTCCCAGAGGTTCTGGTTCATTGTGTCTTTGTTCTCCTTGGTTTCAAAGAACATCTTTATTTCTGCCTTCATTTCGTTATGTACCCAGTAGTCATTCAGGAGCAGGTTGTTCAGTTTCCATGTAGCTGAGCAGTTTTGAGTGAGTTTCTTAATCCTGAGTCTAGTTTGATTGCGCTGCGGTCTGAGAGACAGTTTGTTATAATTTCTGTTCTTTTACATTTGCTGAGGACTGCTTTACTTCCAACTATGTGGTCAATTTTGGAATAAGTGTGATTTGGTGCTGAGAAGAATGTATATTCTGTTGATTTGGGGTGGAGAGTTCTGTAGATGTCTATTAGGTCCACTTGGTGCAGAGCTGAGTTCAGGTCCTGGATATCCTTGTTAACCTTCTGTCTCATTGATCTGTCTAATACTGACAGTGAGGTGTTAAAGTCTCCCATTATTATTGTGTGGGAGTCTAAGCCTCTTTGTAGGTCTCTCAGGACTTGCTTTATGAATCTGGGTGCTCCTGTATTGGGTACATATTTATTTAGGATAGTTAGCTCTTCTTGTTGAATTGATCCCTTTACCATTATGTAATGGCCTTCTTTGTCTCTTTGATCTTCATTGGTTTAAAGTCTGTTTTATCAGAGACTAGGATTGCTACCCTTGATGTTTTTTGTTTTCCATTTTCTTGGTAGATCTTCCTCCATCCCTTTATTTTGAGCCTATGTGTGTCTCTGCACGTGAGATGGGTCTGCTGAATACAGCACACTGATGGGTCTTGACTCTTTATCCAATTTGCCAGTCTGTGTCTTTTAATTGGGGCATTTAGCTCATTTACATTTAAGGTTAATATTGTTACATGTGAATTTGATCCTGTCATTATGATGTTAGCTGGTTATTTTGCCCGTTAGTTGATGCAACTTCTTCCTAGCATTGATGATCTTTACAATTTGGCCCGTTTTTGCAGTGGCTGGTACCGGTTGTTCCCTTCCATGTTTAGTGCTTCCTTCAGGAGCTCTCGTAAGGCAGACCTGGTGGTGACAAAATCTCTCAGCATTTGCTTGTCTGTAAAGAATTTTATTTCTCCTTCACTTATGAAGCTTAGTTTGGCTGGATATGAAATTCTGGGTTGAAAATTCTTTTCGTTAAGAATGTTGAATTTTGGCCCCCACTCTCTTCTGGGTTGTAAAATTTCTGCCAAGAGATCTGCTGTTAGTCTGATGGGCTTCCCTTTTTTGGCAACCCAACCTTTCTCTCTGGCTGCCCTTAACATTTTTTCCTTCATTTCAACTTTGGTGAATCTGACAATTGTGTGTCTTGGAGTTGCTATTCTTGAGAACTATCTTTGTGGTGCTCTCTGTATTTCCTGAATTTGAATGTTGGCCTGCCTTGTTAGGTTGGGGAAGTTCTCCTGGATAATATCCTGAAGACTGTTTTCAACTTGGTTTCATTCTCCCCGTCACTATCAGGTACACCAATCAAATGTTGATTTGGTCATTTCACATAGTCCCATATTTCTTGGAGGCTTTGTTCATTTCTTTTTACTCTTTTTTCTCTTAACTTCTCTTCTCACTTTATTTGATTCATTTGATCTTCAATCACTGATACCCTTTCTTCCACTTGATTGAATCGGCTATTGAAGCTTGTGCATGCCATAGTTTTCAGCTCCATCAAGTCATTTAAGGTCTTCTCTACACTGTTTATTCTAGTGAGCAATTCATTTAATCTTTGTTCAAGATTTGTAGCTTCCTTGCAATGGGTTCGATCATCCTCCTTTAGCTCGGAGCAGTTTGTTATTACCGACCTTCTGAAGCCTACTTCTGTCAACTCGTCAAAGTCATTCTCTGTCCAGCTTTGTTCTGTTGCTGGTGAGGAGCTGCAATCCTTTGGAGGAGAAGAGGCGCTCTGGTTTTTAGAATGTTCTGCTTTTCTGCTCTGGTTTCTCCTCATCTTTGTGGTTTTATCTACCTTTTGTCTTTGATGATGGTGACCTACAGATGGGGTTTTGGTGTGGATGTCCTTTTTGTTGATGTTGATGCTATTCCTTCCTGTTTGTTAGTTTTCCTTCTAACAGTCAGGTCCCTCAGCTGCAGATCTGTTGGAGGTTGCTGGAGGTCCACTCCAGACCCTGTTTGCCTGGGTATCACCAACAGAGGCTGCAGAACAGCAAATATTGCTGCCTGATCCTTCCTCTGGAAGCTTTTTCCCAGAGGGGCACCCGCCTGCATGTCCCGTTTTTCCAGGTTCTGTCTGTCATGGCTTCCCTTGGCTAGGAAAGGGAAATCCCCCAACCCCTTGAGCTTCTCAGGTGAGGCGATGCCCTGCACTAATTCGGCTCACCCTCCGTGGGCTGCACCCACTGTTCAACTAGTCCCAGTGAGATGAACCAGGTACCTCAGTTGGAAATGCAGAAGTCACCTGTCTTCTGTGTTGATCATGCTGGGAGCTGCAGACTGGAGCTGTTCCTATTTGGCCATCTTGGAACAGGATCCCCTGAATGCTATTTTGAAAATATGCATAAAGCTTTTTTTGGAAGGGGGGTTCTTAAATATATTTCATACTCTAGGCAGATTCTAATAATCAGTGATATTTTTCAATGTATGTATAAAGTAGTATATGCCACAAAAGAATATCAAAATTAATGTTTTAATACATAAACTTGAATAACAATATCCTTTTTAATCACAAAATGAATCACATTGGCCTTAATCATCATAAATATTTATGATTTTTTCTTTACCTGCTATATTTTACACTTTTTGAGAGCATGGGTCATGCCTTCTTCTTTATTTGTACCCAATAGTCAAAAAATGCTTATTAAGGCCGGGGGCGGTGGCTCACGCCTGTAATCCCAGCACTTTGGGAGGCTGAGGCGGGTGGATCATGAGGTCAGGAGATAGAGACCATCCTGGCTAACAAGGTGAAACCCCGTCTCTACTAAAAATACAAAAAATTAGCCGGGCGCAGTGGCGGGCGCCTGTAGTCCCAGCTACTCGGGAGGCTGAGGCAGGAGAATGGCGTGAACCCGGGAAGCGGAGCTTGCAGTGAGCCAAGATTCCGCCACTGCAGTCCGCAGTCCGGCCTGGGTGACAGAGCGAGACTCCGTCTCAAAAAAAAAAAAAAAATGCTTATTAATAGCTCACTTTCTCTAATAGATATTGAAAGTAATCACAGTGGTTTATTTTCCTTGGAACATAATGTTTGGTAAATTATTACTTATAATACTTTATTATTACATTGATAAATTATTATTTTACTCTAAAAATTTAGAGGAATTAGACATAATAAAAAATAAAATAAAAATTTATTATTTTGCCACCCCAAAATAACTTACATTAATAACATTTAGTATGTTTAATTTACTTGTTTTTTCTCAGTGTATATAAAACATGCTTAAAAAAAGTAAAAGCTGCAAAAGCCATATTGCTTTGCATCCGCCTCCTTTCATTTGATAAAAGTTAGTCATTTTCCATTTTCCCACAGCAGGCACAATATAAAAGCAAATAATTAAAATAGAACTCCTTATATTTTAAATTAAAATTAATAACAAACATGTGCACTGTTCCTTCTAAAATGTATTTTTTCAAACCACCCAGCTATTATTAAGCTCTGATGCAATAAACAGAATTGCCTGAAGCTGTACTCTGAAGTACAAAAAGAGGATGATCTTCAGGTCTTGGTGAATCTTACTAAGGTTCTATTAACCTAGTCTTTCCACTTCAGTTGTGGCTTGTCCTTTTGTCAAGGAGGCTCCAGTTTAAGGAAGTGGCACAGAGTGGTTCATCCCATCCTGTCCCATCATTTCTTTCAGCAATTCACATGTGCAGCTATCTTCTCTATCCCCCAATACAACAGTGCCTCAAAGCTTCTTTGAACCCTTGTTTTTAATTTATCTCAGGTCAGAGCCCCAATCAAAATTACCACTAGCATCACCAATGCGTTGGCTCTGGCTCATATCATTATAGCCTCTCCTTTGCTCTATTCATTTTCAGGAGTCATTTTATTTCATGCTTTTTTTGTTAGTTTATTTATTTTTAAAGCAAAAGTTTTGAAACTCTTTAGAGTGATGAAATGATTCCACTGTTTCTTACGAGCTATAAAAACATCTTCAGTTTACTAAAGAAATATTTTATTGTGTTATTTTACTTTTTAAAACAATCACTTAAATTATTTCAATAAACTTGTAATTTAAAAAATTGAACATAAGTTTGTGGCTTAAAAATAATAGAGCAAGGTTTTTGTTTTCCTTTGCACTTTTAAATTTCATATGAATTTGGCATATAAGACAGAAACTAAAATACTTTGTCTTATTATGGTGGTCACCAACCACCATTTTTCTGGGACTATACTACTTTAGTGGCCATTTCAGTGGAACTGAATGTCTCTTGTCCTGGGGAAACCCCTCAGTCCCAAGAAAACCAGAATGGTTGGTATTGCTCAGTCAGATAAGCTACATTTACCAAGCTACTAACATTCATGATGTTAGTTGGCATTGTCTAGAACGTGAACAATAGTTTAAACAAATCATACTTTTACCCACTTCATGGTCTGTCAAGTGTGACAATAGTCTATTGTGGTCATTCTGGGAAACATTTTCAGCCCTCTCCATTTCTTACAAAAATATATGATCTCAAAAATGTCTGCGAATTGCCAAAAAGTCCATACGTTGATGCATACATAAATAGCAATTTGACAAACTTGCAAATGCTTCATTTTCCACTGCCCTTTTGCTTCCGGCTACTGGTAGTTCTGAACTGAGTGAAAGTCTGGATAATTCCAAACTTTATGTCTTTCAGATGTGATTTTTTTCCCCCAAAATTTTTAGCAGTGTGTGCTAAAACTAACATTTTCCTATGGTTCTCCAGAGCTGCTGCTCTGCACCAATACAATGCAGCTAACAAGAGGTTTTATGGAGAATGTTCTGTTTGGCAGTGCTGTAATTGAAGGACACCTGCCAGTCTTTTGCCTATCAGTAGGTAAGATTCTGCCCCTGGGAAGTGTGTGCTTGTGTGCTCTCTCTCTCTCTCTCTCTCTCTCTCTCTCTCTCTCTCTCTCTCTCTCTCTCTCATTTTAACAGATGTTGCTAGCAATCTGTCCTCAAGTCATATTTTGTTGGTATGAAAATTCGTTACTGTTTTCACACAGGGCACAGAAAACATTTCATAACATCTGGGAAATAAATGTTTTTATGATTTAACAACAATGAAAAAATACCGACATCTCCTTTTCAGCTCATGCTAGTTTATAACTCACACCCAGGCAACTCCGGTGTGTTAATGCTTATTACTGGAGTGTCTGAGCACCTGGAAAATAGAAGCTCATTGTTTTCGGTAAATGTCTCTCATATTCCACAATGTATAACAGTTTCATATCCCTGAACTTAATTTCATTGTAGACTTGGAAAGTGCTGTCACATTTTTATCCCGATAAAAATAGCAAAGAGCAACTTTTGAAATCTCATTTACTAGATACAGGTTTGAATTTAAACGGAGACCTCAGTTTGAATGGTGACTCACATAATTACTGGGGGACCATATTTTAGTTTTAGAAAATATTTCACGTGAAGAGCTATATCATCACTCAGAGATTTTGGAATTTGTTGTGTACCTCAGATTAAAGAGCCACAACCTTAATGCCCCAATATAAAAGTCATAAGATAGTTAGAATGTTGTTTCAGAATACTGTTTAAAAAAAAAAAACCCACAAAACTCTGCAGAGTTGCATTGTATACAGCTAGATTCCTTAAAATTTGTCAGTTTATAAATATTATTTAAGGATTGTATTGACTCCATATGACTTTTAAGGGACTGCATTTTCCCTGGAATGTCAGTTGTAGATAAATAAAGAAGGATTTTGTAAAATGTCAGGTTGGAAAAATAAAGGCAATGTGGCCTCATTTAGTCATCTAGACTTTGTAATCAGTTAGACGTGGGTATAAGATTCACCTCCACCACTGACTAATTGGTCCACCTTGGAAAAGTTGCTAAATCTCTTCAAGCACTGATTTTTGTCATCTTAAATGCTCTTATGAGAATTAAATGAGATAATGTATAAAAGGGAGTGTCTAACACAATCTCTGACATGTGTTGAGCACTCAGTAAATGAAATATGCTATTATTAGTATCATTAAACACTGGAGGCATGGTTGAGCACAATGGAGGCAATATTCTTAAAGCCATTTCATGCTCCATAGAATCCTCAAAGAATGAGCCTCCCAATTTATGCCATTTGACAGCCCTGCCAGACTTCCAGGTATATCCCAAATGGCATTTTTTTTTTTCAAGAAAACTTCTTTGGTCCCCTCACCTAAATGTGAACATTCACTCTCTTAAATGCCCAAAGTATTGATCATTTGCCACATTAAGTACATAGAGGCACTGGTGTTTAGAGATCTTTGTGTTGACGGTTCTCCTTGGGTTAGGGGTTCTGTTTCACACAGTTTAGCTTTCCCCATTGTCTAAGCTCCTGATATCTGATAGGAAAGTAAAAGAGAACACAGACAACTAAAATTATTGTGTATAATATGTGCAGCAAAAGTAGTAAAACGAAGCTGTTAATATTAAGAGTAGGGAGAGATGATGGCTTGTCATTGGGTAATAAGGAGAGATTGGTTTGGAGGGAGTAGCTTTTAAGTGATTTTAAGGGCCGGAAGGGCTCAAGAGGGCTTTGCAGCGGAAAAAAATGGAGCAAAAGCAACTTCATGAAGAAACCAGTGAACCACAAAGAGTGAGTCTGTTTGATTGAAGCATGTTGAGTGTGTGACTGGTAGAAGACAATTCTGGAAAGGTAGATGTGGCACAGTTGCAGAGAACAGGAAAGGACAGGCAAAGGAGACTGGATTTTATCTGGAGGCCAATAAGGAGTTGCCTAAGCTTTGAGAGAAGGAAGTGACACAGAGAAGGGTGTCAGGTGTTTCCATGACAGCCTTTCAACACTGGACTCATCAACACTCAGATACATTTGCTGACTATCGCCAAAATACCTGCCCCCTATCTGCCCTTTAAAGACAGCTAACCATAACACATACCAAGCCTTGCAAGTATGTAAAGCAAGCAGTAAACTATAGGTCTTGTTTCTGTAATAGAAAGTTAAGTATAGTAGATGGTTAGGAGCCTGGGTTTGGGAAGCAATAGACTTGGGATTCAAATCTTAGCTCTGCCAATGACTAAAGAGTGACCACAACAAATTACTTAACCACTCTCTCACCTATAAAATTTGGTAGTTATCCTATTAACTCACTGGGTCATTGTGAGGTTTAAATGCCATGCATGTGAAGCACTTAGTACCTGATCCATAGAAACTGCTCACAGGACTCTATGACTCATGATTCCTCCCTCTCATCTCTTTGATTCTGGTTCTCTATGGCCTCCAGCGTTTGATACTGATTTCTGTTCTGCATCATGTTTAAAAGTCTGATTGGGCTTCTTTATCATCAGGGACATCTCAGGAAAAGATGATCCACTCAAAGGGCTTAATCCTGAAGAGAGTATCATAAAGGAACTACTTACAGAGATACAGACTGGGTGAAGAAGGCAAGGGATGGCAGAGCATCAATGAATGAGAAATCATGATCATTCTTAGGTGTAAAGGTGTTATTGGAGCTAGAGCTGCAGATGCCCTGTGGCCTTAGAGGAATGCAGCCAGCCTAGAACTCCAAGAGGCAGGAAGGGAGCAGTGTGTGTACAGGGGATAAACATAATCTCTTTCTCCTCCTTCCCTCTAAAGTTTTGCCACATTCATATGGCACAGAGAAAAGTGCAAGTGAGTTAACAGAAACCCCTGATGCCTCTAAAATGATGTGGTATTCATCACATCCACTCACACTCCAAGGGTCAAAGCAAGTTACACGGCCATGCCCAGAGTAAACGAGGCAGGAGATATGATCTCCTTATGGTAAAAGGAGATTGAATAATTCTGAAAAATAGTACAATCTATCACCATAGGATGTTACAACTCTGACCGATTGGAAAGAACAGAATCTTTGGAGTCAGAAAGGCTTGAGTTTGAATTTTGGTATCACCAGCTTCCTAGCTTTGTGGCCACAGAGAAGTTAGAACTCCCTGAGCCTCAATCTCTTAAAATGTAAAAACCTGCCTCACAGGATTGTGTGAATATTAAATATACCAGTACAACGCCCGAAAAATACTATGATATGTGCTTGGTAAATACCAACCTTGGCCTCTTCTTCAAGGATTAACCAGAATGTAATTATCCCAAAGGGAGAAGTCAGGGAATACAAGCCACATGTAAACACATTTTTTTTCCCTAATTTTCCTAATAAAACTAAGGTAGAGTCCCAAATGCCTAATGCTTTTATATACTATATCTCTTTGAACAGTGTAGTAATAAATCACTTAGAGTGAAGGAAGTATAGTATTACTCTTCTGAATAGGATCATTAAATGCAATCAATATCAGAGTAGAATTACTTTATAATTACCTTTATAAATTGATGATTCACTTTAACACCTATTCTTGGCTTATGAAAATGTTATCATAAAGCTATAATAATTATAGTTAGAAAACTGGCCAAATCAAACAGTGAATTATACTCTGTCCTTGGATTGTTTAGACTTCCCTTATGACTGGCCCAGATTATTTTAAAAGTTATTGTCGATTTTTAGCTCATAGTATCTATCTCTTTTAAAATAACAATTATTAGTTGTTACTTTTTATTACGTAAAAAATAACTGTATCTCATACACACACAGACACACACACAAATGAAACAGTACATTTTAATCAAAATAACTAAAAAGTCAAGTCACTCCAAACTAATCAGACAGAGTAAATTCAGTCAATGTTTTAGTATGTATTCTTTCATTTTTTTCCCCTGAATTGATAGGTGGTAGAATGTATGTGTGTATACATACACACAGACATGTATACATATGTATATGTTTATATTGCTGTGTATTTACATATACTTTAACAAAATGGGGTTATATATTTTATTTTATTATTACTATTTTTTTGAGACAGAGTCTCATTCTGTCGCCCAGGCTGTAGTGCAGTGGTGTGATCTCGGCTCACTGCAGCTTGTGCTTCCCAGGTTCAAGCAATTCTCATGCCTCAGCCTCCCGAGTAACTGGGATAACAGGCACACACCACCAACCCTGGCTAAATTTTTTTTGTATTTTTAGAAGAGACGGGGTTTCACCATGTTGGACAGGCTGGTCTCAAACTCTTGACCTTTGGTGATCTGCCTGCCTCGGCCTCCCAAAGTGCTGGGATTACAGGCATGAGCCACCATGCCCAGCATATATTTTATTTTATTGCCTGCTTTTTCATTTAGTTATATACATATATGCCCTTGTTTTAATGATTACATTTATGGTTTCTATGCATATTTTTCAATGAGTACCTTATTATTGGATGTTTGGATTATTTGTCAGTTTTCTATTATTCAGTCTCTTAAACGTAGTTTTCACTAGTCAATATATATGCACTAGAGGAAGCCAGGCCATGGGAATTGTTGTCTGGGACACTAGCTGGATTTTGGCCCTATTCACCCCTACTCACTTCTGTGATCAGATCCCATCCTTGGCAGCTCTGTTCTTAAATGTCTAAATGTATACTAGAAACGTTAAAGAACAATACACATAGAATCTCTCTCAGAATGAATAAGCCTTTTTTGAAATTTCTAGTCATTTTATAGTATCAACAGCTGCCAGATAGTATTTAAAAGTATTTACGTCTTGGTACCATTAACTGCCTTTGCCAAGATTTGTCTTTATTAACTAAGTTCTCTGTGAAAGGGCGTCAAAAATGGCTAAAGTGTTATTGGCTTTACAGGTCACGGATGCATAGAGCATCTTGTGTCCAGTGTTATCACAAAGATGCCTATGGCTAAAAAAACTCAGGTGCAGTCTTTTTTACCCCCTGAAACAAAAATTTTAAAAGCAGCCTTATGTTCTGATTCTTCTTTTGCTTCAGATCAAGGAAATGATTGCTTATAAAGTCCCCAAGAACTACCAATAATGACTCTCAAATGCCCTGAATTGTCATTGTTATAAAAACATGGCTCCTTTTATGGGTGAAACAATTACATATTATTTATTTTTTTCTACATACAAGGAATTAAATGGAAGTCTCCATCTGCATCGGTTAAGAGCTCCCTTTGGAGAGATGGGGAGGCCAATTACCCAGGAGCCATGGAGGCTGATCTTTAGCCTGGCTCCCCTGGTCCCAGCCTTCCATTGTCTCCTGGGATCCTACTGCAGCTCTTTTGATGAATGTGCTGTTGTTGATCTCCTCAGAGAGACGCTGTTAAAGGAAAGGGAAGATTATTTGCAAGTGAGTAGAAGAACGATCCAACAAAAGAATGAAATGAAGTAATTAGTTTCCTGCTATACATAAGCACCCTCACTGCTTTAGAATCTTCAGGCAGTAGTGATTGAGGAAAATAATGACCTTCCCCATGCAAGGCAGAGTCACCTGCAGCCACTGACCAATCACAGGTAAGGCCACCCTCTTTTTTTTTTTGTGATAGAGTCTCACTCTTGTCGCCCAGGCTGGAGTGCAGTGGTGCGATCTTGGCTCACTGCAACCTCCGCCTCCCGGGTTCAAGCGATTCTCCTGCTTCAGCCTCCTGAGTAGCTGGGATTACAGGTACCCGCCAACATACCCAGCTAATTTTTGTACTTTTAGTAGAGATGGGGTTTCACCATTTTGGCCAGGCTGGTCTCGAACTCCTGACCTCAGGTGATCCACCTGGCTCAGGTTCCCAAAGTACCAGGATTACAGGCACGAGCCACCGCATCCAGCCAAGGCCACCCTCTTCTTTACCACAGGAAGAATGGGAGGTTGGGTAACCACAAATTTGTCCTAGTATATTTTTTATCTTATTAAAATCTTTTAAAATGGGGACCACTATTTGACTGACTGGGAGGGCTATGTAAACTAACAATTCCTCAGGGAACTAATTTTTTTTTAATGTGCTATGTATTTTTAAAAGTAGAAAGGTAAGAGATTTGTGGGACAAGATTAGTTGATTAATAATTTTTACTATATGTAAAAGGTACTGTTGTGGCCTAGTACAGCGGGTGTCCAGTTTGGGCTTCCCCGGGCTACATTGGAAGAAGAATTGTCTTGGGCTACAAATAAAATACACTAACACTAATGGTAACTGATGAGAAAAAAAAAAAAAACTACAAAAGTCTCATAATGTTAACAAATTTGTGTTGGGCCACATTCAAAGCCATCTTGGGCTGCATGCAGCCCACGGGCCACGGGTTAGAGAAGCTTGGCCTAGAATAAAGCTCAAAGAAAGTCTAGAAACCTCACCATTATGCTAATCTGGAGAGCCTGAGGTCTGCTATGAATTTCAAAGCTATAAGGAAAGCCTTCTTAAACCTCATCTATGCTGTATCATTTTGGACCAAGGAGGGATATCATGGGTTGTCTACCTCTTAGATAAATGATTTGGACAATTTGACATTGTAGACAATTTGAAAATGTGGAAATACAGATGGGCAATTGGAAAATGGGTACAGCAGAAGGATGAAAAGGAACACCTGTGCATGGCCCTAGTTAGCTACAACTTAGCTGATAGCTTTCCCCAAGAGATGGAAGATGATGTGACTATTATACATGATGAAGTCTCTTCATTTTTACCTTGAGGAGAGACTTGAAGAAGGGGAGCTGGTGGGCTTGCCACAGGCCAGGGTGTGCTTGTATGAACATGGTTGCCACAAATGAAGAAAAAATAGTTAATTTCTAGGGGTACATTAAGAATCAACCAAAGTGTTTATTTAAAGAATGGACTGGGATGTGAAAGGGACAAGAGTTAAGAAGAGTGAGAAGGAAAATGAAAAAATTAAAGTCATCATAATGATGTACATTTTAAAGTCTTTCTTAAAGTTGCTGGCTTCTTAGCTTTCTACTTCTCTGTCTCAAGTCTAACACTCTAAATAACATTGCCCTTAGGAAGCAGCCTTCTGTTCCCAGCCTGAGTGAGACACCTTCATCCAGGCTCGTGGGGGTCCCTCTGTCTCCCCTTATCATAAAGATCTGCAATGACCTAAGTGTGCTTGTCCATCTGTCCAGTTGACACTGAGCCTTATGAGTGCAGTGATGGGCCTGCCTTGCTCCCTGTGGTGGTCTTAGGGCCTGGAATAGCATCTGGGACATAATCAGTGTTCAAAAATATGTTGAATAAATAATTTGCAGGGGGAAGTGTCAGAGATCATAGGCAGAGAGGAGAGCCTGATAGAGGGGAACAGATTCATGGGGATGGTCAAAGTTCACAGGCAGAGAAGTTGAGCAGTCTGGAAACTTAAGATGCATAACAGAGTGTGAGGGAGTGGCAAGAGAGGGTCTCAGCAGGAGAGCAGGCTTGACCACAAAGAGCTCCTTAAACTGTGTGAAAGAGATTAGAATTAACACTGAGGGCAGCGCAGAGGCATCAACAGAAAAGATGGGAAGTGATGTGGTTAAATGTGTATGTTAAGACAGAAGTATTTTGCTGCTATGTGGAAAAGTTTGGAGAGAGGCCAGCATGGAGGCAGGGAGCCCATTTGGAAGACTGTTGCAGAAATCTATGGGAGATATTACCGTGGGTTGAACCACAATAATGCAGAAGTGATGGAGACAGTGGATAGATTTCAGAAATTTTTCAAAAGTATCATTGACACAGCTTTGATATTGATTGGAAAGATGATGAGGAAGATGGAGAGTCAAGACTTATTTCTATGGTTTAGGCTTGAACAAATGGATAATCAATGGTAGCATTAACTAAGATAGGGAAAGTAAGAGGAGGAGCACTCTTGCATTTTTGTAAATTCAGTTTCAGGCAGATCAAAGTCCAGGTACCTGTGAAATATTCAAGAGGAGATGGCCACAGGCAGTTAGATAGCTGCATTTCACAGGTCAGATGAATAACAGGGCTGGAGATACAGAGCCAGTGTTCATTGTCATCGTGGTGGTAATTAAACCTGGGAAACTGAGGAGATTGCTAGAGGAGTGTGTAGAGGGAGAAGACAAGAAGAATTAGAATTGTGAAGAACAGACAGATATTTTGAAATGGCAGAAGACAGGAACCTAAAAAGAAGTGTATGTTGAAGCAGCCTGAGATGTAAAGAGGTGTCATAGAGGCTGAGAATTCATTTCAAGTAGAAAGACTGGTCTAAATATCTAACTCCACAACAAGTTAGGTTAATAACTGAAAGATGGCTGCTAAATTTAGCACTAAGAAAGTGATTGGAGACCTTGATGAGAACAACTTCAGTAAAATTTATGGGACAGGAGCCATATTACTCTGGTTGAGACGTGAACAGGAGGTAAAATGAATACAATGAGTGTAGACAAATATTTTGAGTAGTTGGACCATAAAGGGCTGAGTCCTCTTACAGTTTTCAAAGCCCTTAACATTCATTCTTTATGGGAAGAAATAATTGGCAACTAGTCGTGGGCTAAGGAAGAGCAAAGAGCAAATCATGCCCCCCACCCAAGAGCCATGGATAAATCCAACACCTTGGAGATGATGGTTCCACAGACAGAAAGCAGAGGATGATGAGTTTGTCGGGGGAAGTTCAGTTTTAAACTCTGGAATGTTAGATTTGCCAAGTGAAAACATACAAAAGCAATTGAAAAGAGAATAGAGCTAACGAAGATGCTCTGGCTCAATGGCATTTTAAGAGTTCACTGCATCAGTGGCAGCTAAGACAATCCACAGGCAAAGGCCTCCTAGGGTAAGAATGAACGAGGGCAAGAGAAGACTTATAAGGACAATGACACAACAGTCCATTGATATCTGTCACCCAGGAACCAGGCACTTTTCCTGAGTGGACACCAGGGAGCATTCCATGCAGACTTTTAAACCTTTGCTAAATTATCTTGAGTATGAAGAAAATCTAAACTTCTGATTATTGAAGACAAGTTAGCACTTCCTCACCCAACCCACCTTGTATGTTGTGCAATATTCTTGACATTACAACTTGAAATTTATTCAATTAAATTTATTCAGTTCTTTCAGCATTTTCTGAGGTATAATTTCTATGAACAATATATTTCCCACCATAAACGACTATTTTCAACAGTGAGTTAAAGTATGTGAGATACCAGTGTGGAGTTCACCACAAGTGCTCTCTGAATGAATGCTGAAAGGCATGGTGTTATGTGGGCACCAGCAAGAGTACGAATGACTGAAGCTCAGGGCGTATGGAGTGCTGTCTTAGGAGCTGAGGCCAAAAAGGTTGGGGGAAATCAGATCATTGCAGTCTGTAGTATTCTGAGTACTTTCAGCTTCATTGTAGACAATGGGAAGTCATCTGGTTTTTGTGAATAAGGGAGTGATGGGCATAGATCTGAGTTTTAAGCAGGTAATTCTGGTTAATGATGTCTGCAAAGTAGGCTGCTAAAAATATTTGTTAACTGAATGGAGAAATGATGACTGAAGACTAGAGGTTCAGATAAAAGGTATTGTTACTGTCTGGAAGATAATGGGAGATAAGGTAGAAGGTCTCTTGATAAATGAAATTGGGAACTGAATGTGGTCAGTCATTTGTAAAAATTGTTAAAGCAGGGAATAAAATGATACACACTTCTCTTACACATTATACTTTCACCTAAGACATATGTGGGCACATTCATCCAGTAATTGTATGACAGAATGCAGAGACTCTTACTTTGAATACAGGTCTGCTAATTAGAGTTTTCTACCATTTTTCTTGTATAAGCTACATTCACATTTTTGTTTCTGTTTTGTTAAATTGCAGCCAAAGGCAATCTGAGTGCAGAATCTTCCAGACATTTTTACACAGTTTTTCACAACCATTTTTGGTTTCTCTTTCCCAATACTTGGTTGGATTATAATATTTTAAGCTGCTCACTCTCTTCAAGTCTCTCCAAAGTCTTCCATTTAATTTTCATAGGAAGAGCTGTCATTTACATTCATATGCATTGGTTTACATAGTACTTAATTAAATTTTGTAACATAATAAGCACAACTGCATAGACTAGTTTCTAAACAAAATACAAGTGTTTCTTTGCAAACTCACAGATAAATTGATGGAACCAGGAAAACCCAACGTATCACTCCCTACCAGACTTCACTGACCAGTGTGAAAGAGGATGGGAGAGTATAGTTAATAAGGTGACTTGACTAACTGGGGATTGCTGACAGAGCTTCTACCACAGTGACCAGAACTAGGGCACCAGCAATGGAAACAGAGAGGAGAGGATAAATTGAAAAGACATATCAAGACACTAGCTTTGAAAACAAACGGGCTTGAGTCAAATACTGACCTTGTCACTTAGCTGTGAACCTCAAAGTTTCTGTTTTTTAATCTGTAAAATAAGAATAACGCAGCATGTAGTTGAAAAATCAATTGCAAAAATGTACCTCATGTATACTTAGCAATGTGCCTGAAACAAATAAGTAATTAATATGATATTAAGAAAGTATTATAGCATTTGATTTGAATTGAGGAAAATGCAGAGTCAAAGATGACGCCACATTTTCTACTTTGGTTGAAAAAAATATATAGTACCACTAATGGAAACAGGAAATACAAGAGGAGAAATAGGTTTGGCAGAATAGATAATGAAGTTAGTTTTAGATGTGTTGAGTTTCCTGGTGAGACACCCTGTTGAGGCATTCAGAGTGCAGTTGGAAATGTTTTTCTGGCTTCCAGTGAGAGGTCTTGGCTAGTGATATCAACTTGAAATCGCCCATACAGAAATATAAATGAAGCTATGAGAATGGATTGGATGTGGCAGACAGGGAGTGGGAACACAGCGGGCTGGTAATGGCCGGGGACAGTCACATACACATATGAGGCAAAATCCCAGATCCAGAAGGAACCAGCTGGAGCAGTGAGGAAACAGGACAGGTCCTGGAGATACAGGTATAGTTTCACCTGTGTCTTGCTCATTGTCATAGCTCAGACTCCAGAGCCTGGAGCAGTCTTTGTCACTCCAGAAGCATCTTAAAGCTCTCTAGGTAAAGTGCTAGGAGAGTAGGGGGCTGTGAAGGAGCTCTCCTCGTAGCTTGAAAGGAAAGAAAAACTGAGGGGAGTCTTCTTCAGAAAAGAGAAGACCTAAACATGTTTTCAGGCTGGAGACAGGGAACCAATGGAAAGAGAAATTTTTTAATAATTAGAAATTAAAAATGATTTTCTCTATGAGATTATAGGTGATTTTTTCATCTTTGCTCCTTTCTGTACGTTTCAAATTTTCTACATGTAGTATATTAATACTAGGTTCTGAATAAAACTATTTTGCCTCAATATGAGATATGAAATTGGGGATGGTCTCTGAAACAATGTGCTGGAAAAATGGAATACAGCAGTATCAGAAACACAGGTAGAGAATGTGGCTTAAAAGGCAGAAAAGGACGCATCTCTCACAGGAAAGAAAAGAGAATGATGGAAGATTCCAAAAAATTTTAAAGTAGGGATAAGAGAATTTGAGAAATTCACATCATTTGGCCTCTATTATTATTATTATTATTATTTTCAGTAAACTAAGAGGCAAAGTGGTTGGTTAAAACTGAGAAGGAAAGATAGGACTGGAAGTATGGGAAGAGTGAAAACATTTTAAAAACACAACATAAAAAATAGAATAAGATTTAATTTGAAATCAATAAAAGCGTTTCCAAAGAGCCTGGAGGAGCAGCGGGCATTGGACATGATGTATGTGAAGTGCAGCCAGTTACTGCATTATCTTCCATGGTGACACTTACCTGTCTGGGAACAGTAGCAGCAGTTAGAACTTGCCAGGCAGGTGTTGGGAGAGTTCATGGGGAGGAAATCTGAGCTAGCCCTCACTCCCAGGAGAAGCTGCTCCATTCTTGTGTTGTCCATCTTAGGCAACGACACCACCACACCCTCTGTTGCTCCTTGCAGAAACACTGGAGTCATCCTAGATTCTTCTTTCTCTTTGTTGAACCCCATCTAAATAATCTGCAACTTCTGCCCATTTTTTCTCCGAACACTTTGCTCACCTTTGCTGCTACTACCTTTGTCAAAGTCACTGTCATCCTCTAGCTGTTTACGGCCTTGAACTCTAATTGCTCCCTCATATCCATTCCTACCTGACTCAATCCATACTTTGTGTTACAATTAGAGTGGTCTTTTAAAAATCACATCAGTTTGGCTGGGCACAGTGGTGCATGCCTGTAATCCCAGCATTCTAGAAGGCGGAGGCAGGTGGATCACTTGAGTCCAGGAGTTCAGGACCAGCCTGGGCAACATGGCGAAACCCTATCTTTACCAAAAATACAAATATTAGCCAGGTGTGGTGGCATGTGCCTGTGGTCCCAGCTACTCAGGAGGCTGAGTTGGGAGGATTGCTGGAGTCTGGCAGGTGGAGGTTGCAGTGAACTGAGATCGCACCACTGCACTCCAGTTTGGGAGACAGAGTGAAACCCTGTCTCCAAAAAAATAAAAACCATATCAGGTATCATTTTACCCTTTTAAGAACCTTAAAAGGTTTCTGACTGCTTTTAAAATAAGGACCAAAGTTCTCAACACAGCCCACCAGGTCCTTATGATTTAGCCCTCCAACATCTCCAACTTACCCGGCATAATCCACTCTCTATTCTCTGAGCACATGGCCTTCTTGTTCTTCAAAAACATGGAGATGATAAAGGACCAACAGAGGCAGAGATAGGATGTGGGGCGGTGTCATATAATCAGACATCATGGACTTCAAAAGGAAGAGATATTGAGTTAAAGAGGAGGAAATGGTCAAAGGTAAGAAAAAGATGCTGGCATTGATTCTTAAACTTGATACAAGAAGCAGGGAGGAAAAATGAAATGGCCTTTGTTTAAAAGTATGGTGATTCAAGTAAAGTTGTCAGAGAAAAGCCATTTTTAGTTAGTTGTATCCATAGTTTTTCATTCATTTAATTAGAAATATCTTAAGTTGAATATTTCAATATATGGCTGTGAAATGACTGAGGCATTGAAGATGATATGTATTTGTTAATACGAAAGGGCCACAAATTTCTGAAAAGCTTAAATTAGTTTCATACAAAAATGACAGAAAGGATTCTCAGGTCTTTTGTTTTATGATAATAGTGTAACATTTAGGGTAGTTATTGAAGAACAAAAAAGTCACTTGAAAGTTGGTTGAAATGCAGCAACGACTCAAAGTGAAATCACCAGACAATATGAGCAATAGACGTTTTCACATGTCCCTATTTAGTGGGTGACACAGCCCTTGTTCAACAGAGCCTTAGGGATAAATTACTGCTGCCTCAAGACCACATCATACAAAGTAAGTGTTCATAATCCTTTCTTCTAGTGGGCAGAGCTCTGGCAGAACTCGCTAAAGAACTGCATCTAAAATGACTTCGCTTAGCAAAGAGCTGTACTTCCAGGCATCTTGGAAAAGGAGCCTCTTTCTGAGTTTTTGATGTGAGATGTCAAAGCGTTGTTGGTATGAGGAAATCTACTTGAACTGCTGTTATTTGACAGGTAAACATCATTTTCCAACCAGTCCCTGAATCATAGCTACCTACCTGGTAAACAAGGATATCCAGGTGCTGCCTAGAGCCTCAAAGTACACCTGTCATTTATCTACATCCAAGATTGACATCCTAGCCTGAACCCAAAGTGGTTCAGACATTCTGAACATGTGTGAGAAAGCGACAGCCTAAAACATCTTTTAAAGAGTCAGAATGATCAGCTTGATCAAGAAACACATTTGCAGTTAGAAGAGAGGAATGATTATGCATGCAGTTTGGTAGCTATCCTCAGAAGTCCCTCTGTCCTCATAAGCTCATATCTTGATAAGAAGAAGAGAAAATGAGGTGGGGGAAGGTTTCACTTTGGTCTTTCTCTAAGACACTATGACCCAGAGAGTGCTTTAGCACTGCAAGAACACTGGTGCTTTAGTGTGAGGAGGATCAGGGGCCACACTTGGCAGGAGGGAATTTGCAGGACCTCTTATGAGACCCTCACTGTGGACTATAAAAAATTGCTTGTTGTGGAAGGTAATTTTGTAGGGACAGCAAAGTCTGAAACAATTCACAAAGTTCTGGCCTGGTCAGCCAATTGGTGGTGATGTCATTTCCTGAAATAGGGAATAAAAGAGAAATAGATGATGACCAGTCTGGTCTTGGCATGTTGAATTTCCAGTGCCAATGACACTTCTCAGGGAAGGTATCAAGAAGGCAGTTGAGAGCTTTAGAGAGAGTCTGAGGTAAAACTATAAATTTGGAGTAATCAGTTTAGCGATGTTAGCTGAAGCAATGGCTGTTGAGTAGATGGTCCAGAGAAAACAGATGAAGAGAGTAAAAAAGATAGTAACACCCCAGGATTATCTACCTTAAAAGGGTAGCAAAAAGTGTGACCTCAGTGCAGGACTTTGGAGTAACAGGGGAAGCCTGGGGGTGAAAGGAGACCTGGAAGTAGATGCCCAAAGAATGTACACTTAGAACTTAATCTACAGAGTCGATTCTGGAAAATTCTATTATTTCTTTGTTTCTAGATCTTCCCTTTAAGAAAACTGACTGCAGAGTATTAAATCTACAACTGGATTTCCAAATAAAGGAAACAATTGTAAGGATTCAGTTTTAAGGATATAAATCAGCAAGTAGTTCAGCCAAGGAATAATAAACAGTCACTAGCTGAAGCAAAGCAATGTAGCTCCCAGAAATTTTTATTTCTTTTTAAAAATTGATTGTCCAGTGAGACACCAATAACATACAGTCACATTAATTGGTGCTTATAAGATGATTAATCTCTGTAATTCCCCTCCAGTCATTTGAAACGTTCTATAAGATGCCCTTGTACAAAACATAGTATTTTAACAGGAATTTTACAAGGCCTTTTATTCCACAAGGTTTTCGTGTGTGGTGGTGTGGTTCACAACATCATATTTCAACACCAGCCTACTTCAAATCAGATGTGTTTTTATGTGGGTTCAAAAAATATGCAGGACTGTGAACCCCAACACCGAAATTTTACAAAGCACAGCTTCCTTCCTCCCCACCCCAAACGTTTCATTAACTGGAAAATAAATAGACTGCTGACCTCATTGTAAAAGACATTCTACTTGATGAGAAAGGATGACAGCCTTGTCAAGTCCCTTCGTTTCCTCTCCCTTTAGGGATAAAACACCTATTGGCATTTGCCTCCATCATGTCAGGTGACATGGAGCTCTGTGCCCAAGTCCCACAGTCTCCAAGCCCTTGTCCCAGGAGGAATCCTACCCACCCCCAGCACCTGTTCTCCAGCAGAACTGAGATTGGGGAGCAGAAGACGGTGACATGTGTCAATGCAATATTTTACATTTACTCCATATACATAACCCACTGAGTGAGTGGGTGGAAACCTCCTGTGACTCCAGGATTGGCCTCTCTGCACTTCCATTCTCAGAACTCCCAAACCCTCAGGAACTGAAGGAGGAGATGCTGCACTTGGCAATTAGTGAACCCCATTTTGCCTTTTCTTGTCTTCCCCTCTTCCTCTGTCTGGTTCTGATGATCTTCCCACATAGATGTTCAGTACTACCTTTCCCAGATAGAGAGTATTTAAAGGACTTGGGACCCTTGATCTCGTCACACTCAGGAAAAATGTAATGCTAAATGTCCTTGGAGATGGTCCATGGCTTGTTGTTATGTTGGTAAACATCTCGCTGCCTGCCCTCCATCAGGGTGCAAGGCCCCAGCATGCTGGTCCACACTCTGCCTCTCACTCCCCTGTGATGTCTCCATCCTGACAATGGGCCTCTTGTACTTGCCTTGCCTTTGAGAACCAGCCCTCCTTTGCTCTTGCTGACTCTGCTGCCTGAGAACTAAAGCTTTGCTCTGCATTTCAATTCAGGGCCAAGGTCCCTTCTATTAGATTGGTGCAAAAGTAATTGTTGTTTCAGACTGTGAATTTTAAAACATTATAACTAGGCTCAAACACATCTTTATTAATCAGAATAGGAACCATTACAATCAACACATTTTTGCCAATAAGAAATAAGTTTCTTTTTTCCTGTAGCATAAAAATCCCTGCTTTGGGATTCGACGATCTCTTGGAAAGCATTTTTCTGCATCCTGCTGGTTTTGGAAGTGTTTTCCCTGCAAAAAGTTGTCGAGATGCTTGAAGAATTGGTAGTTGGTTGGCGAGTGGTCAGGTGAATATGACAGATGAGGCAAAACTTGGTAGCCCAATTAGTTCAACTTTTGAAGCGCTGGTTGTGCAATGTGCAGTCGAGCGTTGTCTTGGAGAGGAATTGGGTCCTTTCTGTTGACCAATGCCAGCTGCAGGCGTTGCAGTTTTCAGTGCGTCTCATCAATTTGCTGAGCATATTTCCCAGATATAATGGTTTTGCCAAGATTCAGAAAACTGTAGTGGATCAGATGGGCAGCAGACAACCAAACAGGGACCATGACCTTTTTTTTTTTTTTGGCTTTGGGAAGCACTTTGGAGCTTCTTCTCACTGCAGCCACCAAGCTGGTCATCGCTGGTTGTCATATAAAATCCACTTTTCGTCGCATGTCACAATCCGATCAAGAAATGGTTCATTGTTGTTGTGTAGAATAAGAGAAGATGACACTTCAAAATGATGATTTTTTTTTAGGTCAGCTCATGAGGCACCCACTTATCAAGCTTTTTCATCATTCCAATTTGCTTCAAATGCCAAAAGACCATAGAATGGTTGAAGTTGAGTTCTTCAGCAAATTCTCTTGTAGCTGTAAGAGGATCAGCTTTGATGATTGCTCTCAGTTGGTCGTTGTCAACTTCCGATGACTGGTCACTACCCTGGTCTTCAAGGCTCTCCTTTGCAAAACTTCTTGAACCACCACTGCCCTGTATGTTCATTAGCAGTTCCTGGGCCAGATGCATTGTTGATGTTGAGAGTTGTCTCTGCTGCTTTACGACCCATTTGAATTCCAATAAGGAAGTCGCTTGAATTTGCTTTTTCTCTAACATTATTTCCATAGTCTAAAATAAACATAAAATAAAAAGCAAGTAATAAGCCATTAGCAAAAAATCATAAAGGGAGGCATGCCCATTAAAATGATGTATAACCTAACCACATTTATTTAAGAATGTATTCTAATATAAAATGGCAAATTCCAACAACGCAAAAACCACAATTACTTTTGCATGCACCTTAATTCCTCTACACAAGCCAACTGGATGCAGGCTGTTAATCTCTCTAGACTTGCATCATGGACTTTGGTGGCTGCCCATTTGCTGGAGGCAGCTACAACCTTGAATCTTGGTGCTTTCTGCCTCCCTGGTGGATCCATCCTATCAGCCGTAGAATTGGCACAGGTATTCTTGGGCCAGGCCTATATTACTAAGGGGTGAATATCAGATTAACAACACTGCCCTCTGCTCTGACTTGCTAAGAATAAATATTTGTTGTGTCTCTGATAGATCCCAAACCATACCATTAACATCTAATGCACAAGAATGCTTCACTCTACATCAAAACTACACTATCGATAATCTGTGTAATGAACTTTCCTTTAATGTATTGAATGAACTTTAAAAACGTGTTAAGATCACATAGATGTGGTACCTGAGTGTTAGTGACAATCTTTGCAAATAATCAGTTTTTAGTAAATTATCTCTCAATTTTAGCACTGAAAGTCCTGCAAACTGAGATGGGTGGTCAGCCTAGGAAACGAGTCAATCTCTCTCATTGGTACTGATCTGTAAAGTAACGAAAGACTCAATTATTACTATGTATAAAATTATAACCTGATAATATTTTGTTAACTAGTCTCTTTTTGCCCATTTACACACCATAACTACACAGTATTTCCAGCTAAATGGGCTCTGAGCGGCCAGCCGGCCAGCACTGCGGGCCCCAGGCAGTGAGGGGCTTAGCACCTGGGCCAGCAGCTGCGGAAGGGGGCACCGGCTCCCTGAGCACTGCTGGCCTGCCTGCGCCATGCTCGAATTCTCGCCGGGCCTCAGCCGCCTCCCTGCGGGTCAGGGCTCGGGGATCTGCAGCCTGCCATGCCTGAGCCCCCCACTCCCCGCAGTGGGCTCCTGCAAGGCCCGAGCCTCCCTGATGGGCGCTGTCCCCTGCTCCGCTGGCCAGGTCCCATCGACTGCCCAAGGGCTAAGGAGTGCAGGTGCGTGGTGCAGGACTGGCGGGCAGCTCTGCCCGCAGCCCTGGCAGGCGACTTACTAGGCCAAGCCAGCTGGGCTCCTGAGTCAGGTGGGGACTTGGAGAACTTTTATGTCTAGCCAGAGGATTGTATATGCACCAATCAGCACTCTGTGTCTAGCTCAGGGTTTGTGGATGCACCAATCAGCACTCTGTATCTAGCTAATCTGGTGGGGACTCGGAGAAGTTTTATGTCTAGCTAAAGGTTTGTAAATGCACCAATCAGCACCCTGTGTCTACCTGAAGGTTTGTGGATGCACCAATCAGCACTCTGTATCTAGCTAATCTGGTGGGGACTTGGAGAACTTTTAGACCTAGCTAAAGGATTGTAAATACACCAATCAGCACCCTGTGTCTAGCTCAAGGTTTTTAAACGCACCAATCAGCACTCTGTGTCTAGCTCAAGGTTTGTAAATGCACCAATCAGCACTCTGTGTCTAGCTCAAGGTTTGTAAATGCACCAATCAGCACTCTGTGTCTAGCTCAAGCTTTGTAAATGCACCAATCAGTGCTCTGTGTCTAGCTAATCTGGTGGGGACTTGGAGAACTTTTATGTCTAGCTCAGGGATTGTAAATGCACCAATCAGCACCCTGTCAAAATGGACCAATCAGCTCTCTGTAAAATGGACCAGTCAGCAGGATGGGGGTGGGGTCAGATAAGGGAATAAAAGCAGGCTGCTTGAGCCAGCAGCAGCTCATTTGGGTCCCCTTGTCACTGTGGGTGATTTGTTTTTTTGCTCTTTGCAATAAATCTTGCTGCTGTTCTGTCTTTGGGTTAGCACCGTGTTTATGAGCTGTAACGCTCACCGAGAAGATCTGCAGTTTTACTCCTGAGGCCAGCGAGACCACGAACCCACTGGGAGGAATGAACAACTCTAGATGCACTGCCTGAAGAGCTGTGACACTCACCATGAAGGTCCCTGCAGCTTCACTCCTGAAGCCAGCGAGACCATGAACCCACCAGAAGGAAGAAGCTCCGAACACGTCCGAACATCAGAAGGAACAAATTCCGGACACACCATTTTTAAGAACTGTAACACACACCACGAGGGTCTGCGGCTTCATTCTTGAAGTCAGTGAGACCAAGAACCCACCAATTTCGGACACACTGGGATTACAGGCATGAGCCATTGTGCCCAGCCATGTTTCCTCTTTTGTATAGCAAGTACCTACCTGTTAGAATTGTAAGTTTTTATAAGCTTCTGCATGAAAGGCACCTGCCATGCTACCTCAAAAGATCATTGTGAAAATCTCACTCCAGTGGCTCTAGATTAACGGAACAAGACTAAAACTAAAAGCAGGAAGCCAATGTGTCGTGCTATGATTTGAGGAGGGTACATACATAAAATCCTTGACGCCCTTGCCTGTCCTTTCACAGTTCCTTTCCTTTGAGACTCAACATTTTTGTCACCTTAAATGGTTATCAGATGATCCCTTAGCACGCATTACTTCAAAGATAGTGGGAGAAAAAAATAACTGGGTAGAAAGACAACAGGAACACGGTTTGCTTTGGTTCCCTACTCAGAGACCCATAAGGCATATTAGCATAGTGAAGTCTCCCCTTGAGGAATAGATGGGTGAAAAGGTCACGGGGTGGAAAGGATAGGCTAGAGGCATTAAAGGTACACTTCACACCCTCTGCTCACTTAGCAAATGAGAAGAGGCAAGAGGGTTAGAGAGCTGATTGTTAAATTCCTGAGTCGGGGGGGTCGGGGGCTTCTGAATTTATACCCAGTCTTGTTTCGCAGACTAGATGTGTTCCGAAAAGCGAGCCTTCATACACGTTTATTAAGCACATGTTCCCAGCAGTTTTCATTATAAGAACAGAGATGGAATTCCTGGGAGAAGAGCTAGGCCTGCAATGTATCATTGTGTTATGGGGAAAGGAACCCAAACTTTTGCCTGCTGTGCGATGCAAACAATGTTATTTCCCTTCATGAGACTTCAATTTTCTCTTTAAAACAGAGGTAATAATAATGATACCCTTTCCCAGGCTGATTATGTGGATCAAATTAAATAAGTTAAGTGAAAAGCCCTGCTAGGTATCACCTCTCTGAGGCCAGACACCATGTCTGTCTCACTCATCAGGGCATTTCTAGCATCGTCTCAGGGTCCCACACAAGGCGGGCACCTAATATATCTTTGTCGAACTAGTAAATTAATATTTTATAAACTCAGCCAGGCGTGGCGGCTCACACCTATAAGCCCAGCACTTTGGGAGGCCAAAGCAAGCGGGTCACGAGGTCAGGAGTTCAAGACCAGCCTGGCCAACATGGTGAAACCCTGTCTCTACTAAAAATAAAAAAATTAGCTGGGCGTGGTGGCACGCACCTGTAATCCCAGCTACTGGGGGCTGAGGCAGGAGAATCTCTTGAAACCAAAAGGCGGAGGCTGCAGTGAGCTCATATCACACCACTGCACTCCAGCCTGGGTGAAAGAGTGAAACTCCGTATCAAAAACAAAACAAAAACAAAAACCTCAAAAGCCTTGATAAAACACTTGTTTGTTTTTTTAAAGCATTTCTTTATATAATTTAGGAGTCTTTCATAGCAGTGTTTTCAGACCTTTAGGTTTCGTTGCATTTACTGTTAATGGCATTTTATACAAGAAAGCATTTCCAAATTTTAAAAATTAAGATTGATGTCATCTCTGAATATAGGTCAATCCTTCTCATGAAAGGACAGTTGGCATCCTTAAACTGTCCAAAAATAATATTATCTAGCCTTTATTGAGCACTTTATGGTCTATGTGCTTATTAATGACTAATTTGTAGATTAGTTGTAATAGTAAGAGAATATGAGAAAACTGGGGCACAGAGATGTAAAGTAACTTCCCAAAAATCACCGGAGGCAGAATTCAAATTTGCTTCTCATAGTTCTTGGCATTGCTTTCATTTTGCACTAGAGAAAACTTCATCTTTGACCAGCACTGTCCCAAAGCCTGGGGAACTCTGGTTTATTTTACTTGAGGATTGTTTTTGCTATAACTACCTTTCTCTCTAAAATCTCAGCTCGCAGGAATTTCATCTACAACTTGGGATAAGAATGAGTAGTTCTCATCAGAAGGTAATAATGGGGAAAAAGAATAAATAAACAGAAGTGGGATTCTCTTTGTAGAGAGATGAAAATCAGAGAGATGTACTAAATGGAGGTGAAATCTGTTCTATTACAGGGGGAAATATATCCAGAGAAATTAGTAAAATTAAAAGGGTTAAGTCAGTGGACTCACATACTAGACACTAAGACATGGAAAACCTGACAGACTTCTACCTATGAGGTGGGCAACCTAGAAAATGCTCCTTGATCCCACAAGAGTGAAGTGAGCGAAGATCATGAGTACAGTCGCACCAAATGGAGCCAAGGGTATAAGTGAGAGTGAATTCTGCACCCAGGGGGCCTCTCCTCCAGTTCAGGAACTGATCAGTGCAGAGGCATGGCAGCGTGTGGTTTACCTCCCCTTAGGGACGGACTTAGCCAGGAGCAGTGAGGATTTCAGGAGCAGACACTGCTGCTTTGCCAGCTGGACCCATGCCAGGCTCTGCCAATAGCAGGCGTAAGAGGCAGCCTGGAAGGCAGAAGGAGGAAAAGGGGACTTGTTCCTCCATCTGCTTCCATTTAGCATCCTGGTGGCTTCCTATTCCTTTGAATGTCTCATCAGAAACATTTTTTCACTCTCAGCAGTTGTTCCAGAGGCTGCAGTTTTCAGGTTTCCCCCCTCACCTTCCCAGGACAAGTTTGAACACACCATCTGAGAATGACCAGCACCTGCCAGTCATCATCCTGCCTACAAGACTGGCTTCCAACTTGGCAGGGCCCCTCCTCTGAGCTAAGTCCTAATAACTCCAACCTCTTGTGTTTGCTCCCACAATGTAGGATAGGGAGCTGCTTCCTGCGGTTACCTACGGTTCCCTTTCACACTTTCACTGCTCAAATACCCGTTTGACCAATCTCTTCGTTAAAATACCTTTCTTAATTTCTTAATTTTCTTCTAAAATACCTTCGTTAAAATATCCTTTCTGTTTTTCCTGGCTGGACCTTGGTAGAACAGTGCCCGTATCCATCTTTGCTTCCTTAATGCTTACTCTTCATATCCCCACCCCTGCCACTTGGTATTTGCAGATTTGCATTATTATTGAGGTTTTTAAATGCATAAGTTCTGACTTTCCATTTAGAGAAAAACTGGAGGCACAGAGAAAACATGTTACAGTGCTTGGATTTAGAAAGAAATAGATTTAAGATCTGATTCTTCCATTTCACAAACGAAGTGATTTTGAGTGAATTGTTTAACATCTCAGTACACTACTTTCTTTTCTAGAATGATGACGATAATGCCTGCCTCATGGTGATGTTGAGAGGAAATAATGAGTAAGATATATATAAAGTACCTGATAAGGTTTGGCTCTGTGTCTCCACCAAATCTCATGTCAAATTGTAATCCCAAATGTTGGGGGTGGGGCCTGGTGGGAGGTGATTGGATCATGTGGGTGGTTTCTCATGAATGGTTTAGCACCACCGCCTTGATGCTATTCTCACGATAGTGAGTGAGTTTTCACGAGATCTGGTCATTTAAAAGTGTGTAGCACCTCCCCCTATCTCTCTTGCTCCTGCTCTGCCACGTAGAAGTGCCTGCTTCCGCATTGCCTTCTGCCATGATCATAAGTTTCCTGAGGCCTCTCCAGAAGAGGAAGCCCCTGTGACTCCTGCAAAACCTGCAGAACAATGAGCAAATTAACCTTCTTTTCTTTATAAATTACCCAGTCTCAGGTATTTCTTTAGAGCAGTGTGAGAATGGGTTAATACAGTGTCTTAATAAAAGCACTCAGTGTATAAGGGTATTCAATAAGTGACTTCTTATTTTTTGTGTGTCTGTGCACAATTGCCTATGGCACTAGCTCAGCACTAGCTTGTACGTGGTAGGCCCTCAATATATAGCAAGTGATTATGGTGATTATTTAATATCTTTGTGTGTATCTGTGTCCCATGTCATCGGACACTGGCTAGTACACAGTAGCACTCAATGAATATTTGTAGATAATAAACGTATGTTTGAACTGCTTGATTAATAGCTCATAACATGTAATAATCCATTTGTTGTGTGTTTTTTACTAAAAAATAGACTGCTGCTCTGCCCACAAAGAATTCCAGAGCATGCTCTTTGACTGGAGGTCTGTCTCACTTCTATGGGTAGAACATACCTGGATCAAGTACTGGTACGATGTGTTTGGAACAAAAGATCTGTTATCTGTTCCTGTTCCCCTACGGATAGGAAAGAAATGAAACTCTAGATGATCTTTCTTGAAGCAAAAAAAACCCAAAAAAAGCAAAAAAAGAAAAGCCTGTGACTTTGATTACTGATCTTAATTTGGATGAAAATGGGAAACATTCACCACCCACAGTTCGCAGGAATCGTGAATACCCCTGAGGACAGTGTGTTTTCACAGGGGAGCAACAGAATGCGAATTCCTGCAGCCCCTCTTGAGGAGCTGGAAAGCAGACCTGCATGTTTAATCATGGAGAAAAAATAATAGAGATCAGATGTCTGGGGAGGGAGTGCCGAGGAACTCTGGCAGACTCTACTTGACGCAATGTAGTGTAAGAATGTTTTATTGTCCCTGTGGCTTGCTTTCGTTAGATAAGGTCCATCATCCACTGGGAGTAAAGTAATTACAGTCCTTGAAGAGGTTGAGGAGAGCTTTCTTACCCAATTCAGTCAGTCTTTAGAATATATTTATGCTGAGCAGCAACAACAAATATCCAGCATATTTACATTTATATTTATAAACTAAGCTCATTAAGAGATTGGACAACCAGGGCCTCCTATTTGCTCTTGTAGGAAAGGTCTGATGTCAAAGTGAACTCGTTCAGAGAATTGACCTTCAGTTGTGGTATCTGAAAAGAAGTCGTGACTCAGGAGTTTAACTCTGCTGACGATGAAATGCTGTGCTTCCCGCTAGTGAAGTCAATCAAGAATATTTCAAGTAGAGTGGTTCTCAAGCTTTAGGGGGCATCAGAGTCACCTGACGGGCTTGCTAAAACACAGCTTGCTGGGCCTCACTCTCAGGGTGGAGCCTGAACTCACTGCCCAAGTGTGTTAGTCAGGATTCTCCAGAGAAGCAGAACTAACAGGAGACACACAGAGTATTAAAGAGATCTGTTATAAGGAATTGGCCTGCAGAATTATGGAAGCTGAGCAGTCCCAAGATCTGCAGTCAGCACACTGGAGGCCTAGGAGAGCCAACAGTGTAGCTCCAGTCTAAGTCCAAAGTCCTGAGAGCCAGCCAATGGTGTACATTCCAGTCTGAAGGCTGGCAGGCTCAAGACCCAAGAGCCAACTTTTCACTTTGTGTCTGAAGGCAGAAAAAGACTAGTGTTCTAGCTTAGGCAGGCAGGAGGGATTCTCTCTTCCTCACCCTTTTTGTTGTATTCAGGTCTTTGATTGGATAAGGCCCATCCACATGAGGAAGTGCAATGGACTTTACTCAGTCTACCAATTCAAATATTAACCTCATCCAGAAATATCCTCACAGACACATTCAGAATAATATTTGGCCAAATGTCCAGACACCCTGTGGCCCAGCTGACACATTAAAATGAACCATCACACCAAGGGATGCTGATGGTACTTGTTCAGGGTCCATGATCCGAGAGTTACTGCTATAGCAGAAATTAAGTCAGGACTGGAAACCCACCACTTACTTTATTTTTATCACAAGGCCCAGTACAAAGTGGATACTTAATAAAAAGTATATTTAATGAGTGAATAAAGTAACAGGAGGAGGGAAAGGATGAAGGAAAGGAGAGAAGGAGGTCTCTTAGATAAAGAGACCTGAGTAGATATTAGATGGCCAGAGTTCTAGTGTGGCTGGCCCTCCCTTTCCTCAGCTGTAACGTTGAGTGCTCACAGTAACTCCGTAATTCCCATTTTGTAGTTGAAAAAACTGAGTTCACACCTTAAGGAAGTAGTAGAGCGGAGTTTCCAACTCAGCTTTCTCTGCCCCCAAACCTTTGTTCTTATACTGCCTACACCACAAACATTTGTGGAACATTGAATATGGGCAAGCCACCACATGGTGAGGAAAACCTCAGGGCATTTATAAGCTAGTGAAAAGCAGGCTTTTATTTTTGTAAATACCTAAAGAAATTTGAAATAGAAGATTGTTCAAAATGTCACTGGAAAGTGGGATTAAGGCACCATGTATAGTGATTTTAAGAGTGTACCTTGTGGTTCAGTCTCTTCCGAGTCTGAATTCTTTTTCCATCACTTATGATCTGTGTCACCTTTGTCAAGTCACAGAATCTCTGTGCCTCAGTTTCTCCATCCATAAATATCTATCTCATAAGGGTATTTACACTCTTACAGGATTACACCCTTACAGGGTTAAATGAGTTAATACAGTACTCCTCTTTATCCACGGTTTCATTTTCTACAGTTTCAATTACTCATGGTCAATCACAGTCTGAAAAGATTAAATGGAAAATTCCAGAAATAAACAATTCATGTTTTCAATTGCACTCTGTTCTGAGTAGTGTGATAAAATCTGGAGCTATCCCACCCCATCCCTCTCAGGACGTGAATCATCCCTTTGTCCAGTGTATCCCTGCTGTAGACACTGCCCACCCGTTAGTCATTAGTCGCTGTCTCGGTTATCAGGTCCACCGTCACAGTAAAGCAGTGCTTGTGTTCAAGGAACCCTTATGTTACTTCATAATGGCCCCAAAGCACAAGAGTAGTGACGCTGGTAATTTAGATATGCCAAAGACAAAGTATAAACTGCACTTTCTCTACACTGGTGTAAAATTTCTCTTCTAGAGATTGTAGTAAATATCCATATAGCAATTAACATTTCCTATATAACTGTCCTTCCAGAAACACACTCCCCATCTTTGAATAGCTTCTTCCTTTCTCAAGACACCAATTTCAATAACAGTTATTACTACCCCTCAGTGTGCCTGTTTATTGCTGGTTCGGTGATGTTATATTAATATGACTTTGATGCACTACATAAATACAGATGCATATACAGTAGTCCATATACTTCAAGTGAAAAAGTGAAAGTTCTCCAATGCTGAGGTTGCTGTGATCTATAGTAAGACTGAATCTTTTATCCATAAAATTGTGAAAAAATAAATAAAATTTGTGCATAGAATATATACGGTTCAGTACTATCTGTTGTTCAAGCATCCACTGAGGTTCTTGAACATATCCCCAGTGAATAAGGGGGGACTATGGACTACTGTATATGTAAAACAGTTACATAGTATTATTTACAGGGAAATCAGTATATTGGTCTTCACTATTATTATTATTATTATTATTATATCCCCAGCACCTATCTTAATGCCTAATAATTGAAGATGATCTTTACATACGTGTTTAATGAATACTAGGAATGTTTCTGGAGATTGTAGTAAGTATCCACATAAAAGTTAAAGTTTCCTATGTAACTGTCCTTCTGGAAACTCACTCTCCATCTTTGAATAGCTTCTTCTTTTTCTCAAGGCACCAATTTCAATAACAGTTATTACTACCCCTCAGTGTGCCCGCTTATTGCTGGCTCAGTGATATTATATTAATATAGCTTGATGCACTACATAAATAGAGTAAGAAAATGAGGCAAAACCTTGAAATTTCCCTTCAATGCCTGATAAGTTTCAGTTCTCACAGGTGAAGACAATTGAGACTTCAGAGAAAACAACCAGGAAGAACTTCTGAATTTGCCTTTTAATATATACCTTATGTATGAATTGCAGCCGACGACCTCTTGCTTTGCTTGTCAGATTAACTTCATAAGAAAAATCACTTGGAAATGCAAAACTTCACTGAACCTTTCTTTAAAAAGTAGCATATTGCCAGAGAATTCTTAGCCAAGCATATTGAAGTGAGAACTGTGGTTTGTTGTCTGATATTTAAAAGTCTACCTGAGCTCTTTAGTGCATGGATACTGAATATTCAACAATGTTCTGAAATTTCCAGTGTTGCTGCTTGCTTCAGCACTTTCATTCTGAGGATATGCCAGAATTGCACATTAGCATTTAAATGGACAGCGAAGTCCTGCAGAAACCTCATGATATATGTCACACTGGAACCGGCTTCAACTCCTTCAGGGGCTGCGGAGTTTCTTGTGCCTTTTCTGATGTTCCAACTTCTCTTTCAACTTTTGCCTTTGTGGATTTGGGATGATCAGTTATCTGCAAGATTTATAACCAACAGCTTTGATGTCGGACAGATGTATGGTGTCAACATTCTGCAATTCAAGAAAATTCTCTTTCTCCTTTAGGATGTAATATGTTTTTCTCTCTGCTGACTGCTGACTTTGATATAATAAAGCAAACTTCAGTTCCCTGGGTTTCTCTTAAAGCGGAAAATTTTACAACAGTTCTCATTCCAAGTTGGAACTTAATTTGATGTAACATCCCTAACTTCACTAAAACACCATGCTAGGTCAAAAGGGCTCATTTTTTATACACCTAAAACCCATAGCTGCTTACATCTCGGTAGGAACACCACAAAGAACCAATTACTAGAGGGTTTTCATTTGGATGTGATTATCTGCCTCCTGAAACTCAGACTTAAAACATAACTTAAAGAACATGTTTCTCTGAGATGCATCACGGATCCTATCCCTTGACCTCCTGAGTGTGATAAAGATGGATCATATCAATATTCCTGGATTATACAGCCTTGTCAGTATAACAACAGATACAGAATATAAAGCTGCTGGGTTGAGTGTCATGCAACAGTGCAATCGTACTACTTCCTAGTGCATGTCCCTTGGGGCTGCTGCAAAAAGCAACCCACTGATGATCAGTTTCATGGCACCGTCTACAGCATGCTGTCCCATAGGGTAGCTGCTTTTCATACGTGGCTACTTAAAGTTCAGTCTTATGGGGCTAAAATCAGGGCGTTGGCAGGGCTTGTTCCTTCTGGGACCTTTAAGAGATAAATTATTATTTGTCTTTTTCAGCTTCTAGAGGACACTTGCATTCCTTGGCTTGTGGCCTCTTCCTCCAATCACTCTAAGCTTCTCGCTTCCCTCATCACAACTCCCACTCCTCTGTCTTTGCCTTTCCTGCCTCCATATTATAAGACTCTTGTGATTACATCACTGGGCCACCCAGACAATCCAGAAAAATCTCCCCATCTCAATATCCTTAACTTAATCACATCAGCAATGTTCCCTTCACCACATAAGGATTAGTTTGTGGACATTTTCAGGGACCATTATCTACTCTACCACATCACCTTCACCATTTGATTTTTGCTGTGTTTGCTTACCAATATACTATTAATACTATTTACTTCATATTTGTCTTAAAAGTTTTTTATTTAATCTTATCTGTGAACTCAATGGGCTAATTATTTTTTTTCTAAAACATAGTAAAGTAACATTTTAATTATGAAAATAAAAAAGTTTCATTTATCTTCCAGCATCTCCTGGGTTATGAGTGATAGGCATACCACACTGATTATAAATTCTGCTATGAATTGACTACTTGCAAGGATTGGCCAAAAATTTCTCTAAAATATTACATAATGGGGAAAGTCTAGCCGAATCTAATGAGCAAGCTTCTCTTCTAAATTCTTTAATTTCTGTCCAGGTATTATATTTGAAGGGATAGATTTTGAGTCATATTATTAAAGCCAGACATAGAAATTTCTTGACTGAGTTACAGTTTAATGTTGAGTCCTCTACCATTAGAGAAGGTCAGTGCAAGAATCATCTCCTTGAACTGACTTTCTGATCCTTTTGTAAACCTGTAATTGGAGATATGACCCATTATGTTACCGAGTGTTCTTTGCACAGGGAGGACGAGTAATACATTACAGCTTGAGTTTAGCTTTAGCCAAAAAAGATGGCCTCTAATGTTAAATTAGTTGACTTTCTTTTGTCATAAAAAGAAATGTGTTCCTCTTTTTGCCTAAGCTGCTAAGCATAATCAGATTGAAAGTATAAATGAAATTGCATTATCACTGGGACCTTGGCAACAATATTCCTCTGCTCCAGGTATGTGAAGTACATGTTGTTTTGAGACCTAGTTGTACTTCATGTTGTGTCAAATCTTATTTAAAGTAATTATATTGAAGTCCTGTTATGATAGAACTTATAGTTAGGTGCACTTGGATATTTCATATGAAACAAATTCCTGAATCTTGAACTATATTTAGTATTTTAAGAGAGTAATTGTGGTGATTATAAGGATGTGCCTTGCAGACCTCTGACTACACTGAAATTGATAAGGGCCCCAGCTGCCTTTCACTGAAATCCATTCCTGTGTCTGCACTGAGACCATCCTTCCCACTGGCTGCTCCCAGGTGAGGACTGAGTGCAGCAGGGGCACTAAGACAGCCCGCTCCTGGGAGACTCAAGACTCACCTTTGACAGTCAGCTTTGCCTTGAGGACTCCTGTTGGCCTCCCTGAACCTTCCTTAGATTTCACGGTCATCTAGAATACTTGCATCCACTCTTCACTCCTTCTTCTCACTCATTCTGCTTACATTGTGGCCAGAAGGCTCAGTCTTCTCTGGGTCCCTTCCTTTGTTCTGTTGCAGGCATTTCCTGAATTATATATCATTTAACCATTTAAGCTGTCTTGGCATCTACATCTAGGAGGACCCAGGGTAACAAACACTGGCCGGGCACGGTGGCTCACGCCTGTAATCCCAGCAGTTTGGGAGGCCAAGGCAGGTGGATGGCTTGAGACCAGGTGTTCGAGCCCCGCCTGGGCAACATGGAGAAACCTCTGTCTCTAAAAACAATGCAGAAATTAGCCAGGCATCATAGCTCCCACCTATAGTCCCAGCTACTCAAGAGGCTGAGGTGGAAAGATCACTTGAGCCCAGGAGGTTGAGGCTGCAGTGAGCAGAGATTGCGCCACTGCACTCCAGCCTGGGTGACAGAGTGAGACCTCATCTAAAAAAGTATATATATATTTATATATTATTTTTAAACCCAAATATTGTAATTTTCTGACTCTTAAAATAATCAGAACACCTTTTTTTTTTAATTTGGTGGTACGTATGCACATAATTTATACAGTGATTGTACCACGTTGTTTGGCTGTATATTTAAAAGGAGAGAGCATAATGTACAGCTTTGTCCTGGCTCCATTTAAACTTGAGGTTGTATCTGCCTCCTGGAATATGTTGATGCAGATTGCACAGTGGAACCAACAGCTTAGGATCTACATCAGTGTAGTACAGTTAGACCCTTAGGTCATCAAAAGACTGCTGATAGAATGATGAATGATGAAAACAGACTTTGGTCACTGTTACAGGTTTTTGTGATGAGATGGATAAAGAGAAATAGAGTTACAACAGTGCTTAGGTGTGAGGTAATTGAGACTAGATCTTGCTGACAATTCAGTTAAGAAACTACATGGAAAAGCCAAAACCACAACTATATCGAAAGGGGAAAAAAATGGCAAAGAAACGACATAATAGAATAGTTGTCTTGAAATTTCCTGTTAAAAAGATGGGCTACTTATAAATAATACCCAACTTGAAGAAGATATAATGCAAGTAAATTTTAGTTTTCCTCACTGCTTCAGATCCACAGATGGGGGTCACTTCATTCTTTTATCCTTTTCCAGGGACAGGAATTTTATTTCCATGCCTCAAGCCCTGACAGCATTTTAGGTTGTGACAAAGGGGCAATCTCCCATGCTAAAACTTAACCCCATGCAGGGGTTTTGAAAATATCAGGGTTATATACATACTTGCAGTTCTGATTTATAACATATTCATGCACATAAGCAGACTACAAATATGTGTTCATAATACACAGAAACTCTGAAAACTAAAATATGCATCATAGCTATGTGTTAGCAGATACAATGGTCATCTTTCAGGCACCCCAGATGGTACTCTGTATTAACAGCATAATCTCTAAATTTGACGCTATGTAGTACAGACAATCATGGACCTGACAAGACTTCTTTTACCAACATTATATTTTGGTCTAAAAAGAGATGTTGTTTGTCTGATTAGAGGTGAGTCACTGGTGCTGAACAAGATTAGCTGTACATAATGTTCAAGAGACTCTCATTCTAAATAAAACACATGAATCCAGACATTGTTGGTAGATATTAACTGTTTGAAATGTTTGTGTTTAAACTACCTGTTCTTATTAAATATAACAATGGCTTAATATACAATTTAATTGCATTTCCCCCAAAGTCCATCAATTGAGTAATTGAAAAAAAATTTTAAAAGGGGTTGGGGTTGAAAAACAGGAAAAACTATGTAGGTATAATTTCCTCATTTCTTTTTTAAAAAATGATAGCAGGACAATAACTTGCTCTAAAACATGTGCGTATTGGAAAGGAGAAGGCAGGGATTGGGAAAGAATTAGAAAACCTGCTGGAATTCTTTGCAATCATCTTAAACCATTGTGTATATATATTTTTAGTAATGGAAAACATACACTACTACTAAGATATTTATGGGATTGCAATAGAAGCCCATTTTCCATCATGGTCTTTCTGTGTTAAAAAGGAAAGAGTAGGCTCCTCCCAAGTTTAAGTCCCCTTTTAGTACTAGCATTTGACAACACCCTCAGGTTTCAAGTTTTCACTTTAGCAGACTACTACGAAACTCTCAAAAATGTTGGTGTTAAAGAGAATACCATCTGGTAAGAAGCAGGTTAATGAACAAGGAGGACTAGCAGTAAAGAGATTTTAGATTCAGGTGCATTTTAAACCAAACTGAAGTTACTTTTATGATAGCAGGCAGATAAGCATCAGTGAAATACCACCAGCACCTCTGTAAAGGGAAAAAGAAGCAAGAATGCAATTAGGTACTGGAGTTGTCCATTTACTTAAATGGTTCCTGGAAAGGAAAAGGAGTCCTACGCCCATTGGATAGAAATGGAAACTAGCAGCCAATGGAACTAAATTGTGATTTTGTTCTTCTTTAAACCCTTTAAGAGAAACATTTTGTTATACAGATAATTACTAGCACCTCCCAAAGACAATTGAACTGGTGGCAATGCCCAGAACATTCTTACTCTACCTTAATGTCATCATTGATCAATTTTATTTAATAATTGTGGTATGACTGTTGTTATTTACACAGCTGGAGTAAAATGTCTCCCTGTGTAGCATAAAGCCATATTTTTGTGTGCTTTTGTTCCTTCATGAGTATCACTTACCAGCTACCCATAATGACATCAGTTAGACTAGGAGTCCCTTGAGCTACAAAATTCTTGGAGTCTATGAGGTGCAAAAGACATGGTTTCTTCTTATAGAAAACAAACAACTGGAGATATCAGTTCTTGGCCAAAACGAAGTACCAGGGAACTGATTTTCTCCACTTGAAATTAATGTAGGCTGGACTGTGGCTCACGCCTATAATCCCAGCACTTTTGGAGGCCGAGGCAGGCAGATCACATGAGGCCAGGAGTTCAAGACAAGCCTGGCCAACATGCCAAAACCCTGTCTCTACTAAAAACACAAAAATTAGCAAGCTGTGGTGGTTCACATCTCTAATCCCAGCTATTCGAGTGGCTGAGGCACAAGAAGGGCTTGAACTCAGGAGGTGGAGGTTGAAGTGAGCTGAGATGGCACTACTGCACTTCAGCCTGGGTGATAGAGTGAAACATTGTCTCTAGAAAAAAAAAAGAAAGAAAGAAATGTAAAATGTGTGAGAAAATAGTTTTCAGACATTGGACAACAGACCAAACCAAAGGACTGAGTTCCCTGTGAGAAGAGACACAGATGAGCCCTAGGACTGCACTTGCTTACCGCCTTGGGAGGGTGTCCCAGACACAGAGCAGGGATAGATCTAACGTAGCATGATAGTCTTGCTGTGTTGACGATACAGAGATCAGAGTTCCAGGTGACTAAGATGACTAGAATTTATGAGGCAGAGTGCCAGAGTGGAGAGAGAGAGAGACAGACACAAGGAGAGGCAGAGAGAGAGAGAGAAGGAGTGCTCTAGAAATCTGCAGAGGGGGCTGGGCATGGTGGCTCACACCTGTAATCCCAGCACTTTGAGAGGCCGAGGTGGTGGGCAGATCACATGAGGTCAGGAGTTTGAGACCAGCCTTGCTAACATGGTGAAACCCCATTTCTACTAAAAATGCAAAAAATTAGCCAGGCATCATGGTGAGCGCCTGTAATCCCAGCTATTGGGGAGGCTGAGGCAAGAGAATAGCTTGAACCTGGGAGGCAGAGGTTGCAGCGAGCCAAGATGGCACCATTGCACCCCAGCTTGGGCAACAAGAGCAAAACTCCATCTAAAAAAAAAAAAGAGAGAAAGAAAAAGAAATCTGCAGAGGGTTCCCTTTGAGTCTTTCAGCTGTGTGCTAATCAGTACATGCATGTGAGAATACTACCCTAGGCTAGGGAAAGCACAAGCTACAAGAAAGGAAAGGAATAGGCATAACAATGTCTAGAGCTCACACAGGGCTGGGAATAGTTTGTGTTCCCACCAGCCAAGTAAAAATATTGCCGTATGCATGGAGCATTGGGAAGAATTATCAGGAGGCCTTAGCGGTGGGGCTAAATTAACCCAAGACCAAAGGCTGCTCAGAATTTACTCTAGCTAAGCTTAAAATTGAGTCTCTAAAGGAACTAACTGATTCCAACTAAGTTAATTGTATGCAGATAAAAACCAAATGCTATTTGAAGAACCACAACAAAATCCAGCACCAACAATGTAACATTCACCATATCTAGCATTCAATTAAAAATTACCAATATGCAAAGAAGTAGCAAAAAAGGATAATTAACCAGGAGAAAAATCAATGAAGAAAACAGACCCAGGTATGATGAAACCAGCAGACAAGAATATTTAAATGGCTAGTATACATGTGATCCACATGTTGAAAATGGTAGAGTAGAACATAATCATGATAAGGAGAGAAGTGGCAGATATAAAAAGGATTCAAATAGAACTTCTGGAGATTAAAAAATGCATTATCTGAGATGAAAAACTTTATTGTATGGTTTTAGCAGTAGATTAGGCCTTACTAAAGAAAAATATCAACGTTAAGACATTGCAACAAAATTATCCAAAATTAAGCATAAAGATTTTTTTAAACTGAAAATGACCAGTGAGACAGTATAAAGTAGCCTAATATAGGCATAATTGGAGTCCTAGAGGATATCAGAGAGAGAGGGACAGAAAAAACTGTTTGAAGAAAGAATGGCTAACGATTTTTCAAATTTGCTGAAAACTATTAAACCACAGATCCAAGACGCTCAACAAACCCAAAGAAGAATAAACATAAAGAACACCACAGCAAGTCACATCATAATCAAGTTTCTGACAACTAACAATAAACAACCTTAAAAGCAGCCAAAGAAAAACAGACACACAACATACAGAGAAACAAAGATAAGAAAGAAAACAATTGACATCTTTCAAGTACTTGTCAATGTAGAATTCTATAAACAGTGAAAGTATGTTTCAGAAATCAGGGCTTAAAAAAGACTTTTCTCAGACAAACAAAGATGAAAAATAACAGACATCTGCAATTGGCTTCACTCCTTTGATATAATTTAAATTATTTGAAAAAAAAAATAAATAAATACTTGCATTACTTAGAATTAGCAAAGGATGGCCCAGGCTTTTCTGAGGTGTAAAGCCTCATCCTCCCCGACTTTTCCTCACACATAGTGCCCTAGCGTGGATTCATACCATATAACACGATGGTAGGTGGCAAACCTGTGCATTCTTTGTAGGAGTGCGGAAGGATCATCTCATCTCGTGTATCATATGTTACAGTGTCTCAATATAAAGGTGACTGCCTCCATAATATACAAATCATAGAAAAGAATTTCCCCCCGTTCTTACTGAAATTAAACTGTATCAGTTTCCTCATATCTAAAACAAGAATATTTGTCTAGGTGATAGCTAATGTTCCTTGTTTGTCTGAAATCACATGAGCCTAATAAAAATGCTATATTTGTTCATTCTTGCATTGTTATAAAGAAATACCTGAGACCAGGCAATTTGTAAAGAAAAGAGATTTAATTAACTCGTGGTTCCACAGGTTGTACAGGAAGCATAGTAATTCTGCTTCTGGGGAGGCCTCAGGAAACTTACAATCATGGTAGAAGGCAAAAGGGAGCAGGCATGACTAATGTGACCAGAGCAGGAGCAAGAGAGAAATTGGGGGAAGGTGCCACACACTTTTAAATGACCAGATCACATGAGAACTCACTCACTATAATGAAAATAGCATCAACATTCACTCTCATGATCCAACCACCTCCTACCAGGCACCACCTCCACCATTTGGGTGGTTTCTATCCTAAATGCAAGGTTTAAAGCAGGGTAGTAATATCAGCTAGTCTTCGTTTTTAAAAGACCACTAATTTTTGGTTAGAGCAGAGCTGTCCCATAGAAATATATTGAAAGACACATTGAAAATTTAAATTTTCTATTGGTTACATTTTAAAAAGGAAAATGAAACAAATCAAATTAATTTTGATAATATAGTTTATTTGACCCCACACACCCAAAGTATTATTGTATCATTATATAATCCATGTAAAATTTTACTATTAAGACATCTTACATTCTTTCTTCATATGAAGTGTTTGAAATTTAATGTGTATTTTATACTTACAGCACTTCTTAGTTCACACTAGCACCGTACTAGACAGAGAAGCTCACTGGAATGAAGTGGAGGAGACTGGAGTGGATGCAGATCCCAGTCCAGAGATTACTTCAGAAGTCCCTGAGAAAGATAAGGACTGCTTGGATTAAGATAGTAACAATAGAGATGGCCGAAAGTGAACAGATTTGAGATTAGTTTGAAGGGAATTAAGAACCATGAAATGAAGGAATGTGAGGAACAGCATTAAAAGGCAAATTACAACAGAAATAAACTGTAAGATAATTCTAAGAATGCTCCTCATTAATACTTTGGTCCTCAATTTTCTCTTTGTGGAAGGGCCTTATTAGCAGACTACATATTTTAACTGTCATGTATGATTTTATTTTCTTTCTTATACTTACTTTTATTTTTGATCAGCTACTTTTCTGTGTTGGTCTGCTTCAAAATTCCTGCTTCTTTATCTATTCATCAATTTATTTAATTTGACTTCATTTTACAATTATTATTGAGTGACTAATTTGTGCTAGGTCTTATGCTAAACATTGGGAAGATAAAGAAAAATAAGAAAAGATACTAGTCATAGCTTTTCTTCTTTCTATATTTCAAGGGAGGCCATTTCATCAGAGACTCTAACCTACAGCCTGCTGGGTAGGGGTTCTGGGAAGTGTAGTTCCCAGTCTTCTCCCCTGCAAGGCAAGGGAAAGTATAGAGAGTGGGCACAGGCTAAGTTGAAATATATACCTAGATACCTGTACATTAGACATGTTTTTGCCTCTGGGGTAAGATAGTGTATGGCTGTAAACCTCAAATACTCAGTTTCAATTTTGTACTCCCAAGTAAATTTTTCAGTTACATTTCTAACATTTATGTCTTGAATGATGTTATTGTTTCTTTCACCAGAATCAGAAAGTATCTTAAGAAGTTTGAAGGTCATTAAGCCCTAAAAAAGTATTGAGACTGAATATTCAAACAGCCAATGGCCAGAACATATACAAAATTAGAATTCTGATCCATAACCTGCAGCAACCTGCTCAGGAAACCAACCTTACATATAATAAACCTTACATGCAATAAACATGCAATAAACAACCCAGAAAGCTAGCCTGCTAAAAGTCAAATTCACAGGAAACCACATTACTATCTCCAGTGACAATCCAGGAAGCTAAACAATAACTTTTGTAACCATCAGCCCCAAATGGCCAGGACTTGATTAATAGCTGACAGTTTTCCTATTTTTTGCCTCCCCACTTCATTTCCAACTAATGACCAATCAGAGAAAGTTAAATATGGACCCCTAACCAATCACACAGGGTGCCCCACCCCTAGTTAGCCTGCTTACAGCTTCCGCATGAAACAGCCTCCCATCAGGGCATACCCAGAGCCTTCCCTTTTTCAACTACAAAGCTTTCTCACTCCCCTGCCTGCCTTTGAGTTTTTGCCAAAGTGCAAGCAATGATGGCTAACTTCTTTACCATAGCAAGTTCAAAGTAAATAGCCTTGGCTTTTCTAATTTGGTTTTTATTCCCACATTATTGATCAAGTTAGCATTTGATCTGAAAATAAGCTGTATTTGGTAAAGGAAACAAGACATTATTTCCTGAAACCATTTTTTTCTCATATATAGCAGGCAGTATGCCACAGTGGTTAAGTACTTGAATTCTGGAATTAGAAAAGCAATCAGACTTCAGATCCCATCATTTTCACTTTCTAGCTGTGTTTTATCAGACTAATTGCTTAGCTTTGATAGCCTTGGTTTTCTCATCAATAAAATGGGTAAAATAATGGTATCTATTCTTTAGGGTTATGGGGAGGATTAAAGTAGGTGATTAACTGCATTATCTAATTTAGTATTATCATTAGTTTCTCTTTCCAACCTCATGACCTCTGATATAGTTTGGATATTTGTCCTTGCCCAAATCTCATGTTGAAATGTAATCCCCAATGTTGGAGGTGGGGCCTGGTGGGAGGTGTTTGGATCACGGGGGTGGATCCCTCATGAATGACTTGGGCTTTCCCCTTAGTGAGAAGTGAGCTCTCATTCTGAGTTCACACAAGATCTGGTCACTTAAAAGTGAGTGGCACCTTCCCGCAACTCTCTCTCTCTTGCTCCTGCTTTTGCCATGTGATGTGCCTGCTCCCCCTTTGCCTTCTGCCATGACTGGAAACTTCCTGAGGCCTCCCTAGAAGCTGAGCAGATGCCAGTAGCATGCTTCTTGTAAAGCCTGCAAAACTGTGAACCGATTAAATCTCTTTTCTTTATAAATTATCTAGTCTCAGGTAATTCTTTGTAGCAATGCAAGAATGGCTTAGTAAAATAAATTGGTACCAAGGAATGGGACATTGCTATTAAAATACCTGAAAATGTGACAGCAGCTTTGGAACCGGGCAATGGGCAGAGGTTGGAAGAGTTTGGAGGGCTCAGAAGAATACAGGAAGATGAGGGAAAGTTTGGAACTTCTTAGAGACTAGCTAAATAGTTGTGACCAAAATGCTGAAAGTGAAGTCCAGGCTGCTGAGGTCTCAGATGGAAATGAGGAATTTATTGGGAATTGGAGCAAAGGTCACATATGTTATGCCTTAGCAAAGAACTTGGCTGCATTGTGTTCCTGCCCTAGGGATCTGTGGAAGTTTGAACTTTACAGTGATGATTTAGGGTATCTGGCAGAAGAAATTTCTAAGCAACAAAGCATTCAAGATGTGGCCTGGTTGCTTCTGACAGTGGAAGCAAAGAAATGACTTAAAGTTGGAATTTATATTTAAAAGGGAAGCAGAGCATAAAAGTTTGGAAAATTTGCAGCCTAGCCATGTGGCAAAGAAAGAAAAAGCTTTTTCAGGAGAGGATTTCAAGCAGGCTGAGGAGCAAACACTTGCTAGAGAAATTTACATGACTGAAAATGAGCCAAGTGCTAATAACAAAGATAATGGGAAAAAGGCTTCAAAGGCATTTTGGAGATTTCCCATGCAGCCCCTCCTATCACAGGCCCTGAGGCCTAGGAGGACTGAATGGTTTTGTGGGCCAGGCCCAGGTCCCTGCTGCCCTGCACACCCTTGGGACAAGCTCCCTGCATCCAAGCTGCTCCAGCTCCAGCTGTGGCTCAAAGGGGCCCTTGTACAGCTCAGGCTGCCACTTTAGAGAATGCAAGCCATAATCTTTGGCAGTTCCCACATGGTGTTAAGCCTGCAGGTGCACAGAGGGCAAGAGTAAATATGGCTTGGTAGCCTCTGCCTAGATTTCAGAGGATGTGTGACAGAGCCTGGGTGCCTAGGTAGAAGCCTGCTGTAGGGGTGGAGCTTCCACAGACCACCTCTACTACAGCCATGTGGCGGGAAAATGTGGGTTTGGAGCCCCACACAGAGTCTCCAATGGGGCACTGTCTTGTGAAGCTGTGGGAAGAAGGCTGATGTCCTCCAGGCCCCAGAATGGTAAATCCACCAGCAGCCTGCACCTTGTACCTGGAAAAGCTGCAGGTACTCACCTCTAACCCATGAAGGCAGCTGTGCAGGCTATACTCTGAAAAACCACAGGAGTGGAGCTGCCTAAGACCTTGGGAGCCCACCCTTTGTACAAATGTTCCCTGGATGGAGTCAAAGGACATGGAGTCAAAGGAGATTATTTTAGAGCTTTAAGATTTAATGACTGCCCTGCTGGGTTTCAGATGTGCATGGGGCCTATTGCCCCTTTCTGTTGGCCAGTTTCTTCCCTTGGGATGTGAATGTTTACCCAATGCCTGTACCACCATTGTATTTGGGTGGTAAATAAATTGTTTTGATTTTGTAGGCTCATAGGTGGAAAGAGATGAGTCTTAGATGAGATTCCAGACTTTCAACTTGATGTTGAAATAAGAGGACATGAAGTTTAGGGAGCAGTGGGTAGAATTATATGGTTTAGCTATCTGTCCCTTCCAAATCTCATGTGGAAATGTAATCCCCAGTGCTGGAGGTGGGGCCTGGTGGAAGGTGATTTGATCATGGGGATGGGTCCTTCCTGAATGGTTTAGCACCTTTGCTTTCCATCATGATTGCAAGCTTCCTGAGGCCTCCTTAGAAGCTGAGCAGATGCCAGAGTCATGTTTCTTGTAAAGCCTGCAGAACCATGAGTCAATTAAACCTCTTTTCTTTATAAATTACCCAGTCTTGGGCATTTCTTGATAACAATGCAACAATAGCTTAATACAACTTCCATCCTGGTCCACACATAAATTACCTCTTAACCTATATCCCTTTATCAGATCCTTCCTTCAGCCCATCCAACAAGAAACAATCAAATAAGTCTTCCTTAATTGTTATTGAATTGTCTCATTCCATTACTCAAAAATACCCAGGACCTTAAACACATTCAAACCCGTCTTTCTGAATCTTCTCATGCTCTCCCTTAAAAGAATGACTCTGTGCTAGCCAAACACACACACACACACACACACACACACACACACACACACACACACACACACGCATATTCATTAGTCTAGAAGTGTCCCCCAAAGTCCTATCCCCAAAACTGTTTCCCTTCACTGCTCATGTTTGGAATGAACCACACCTTTCTCAATATCTGAATACTACATTTCATTTATGCTCCAGCTCAAATCCTTTCTCTCCCTTAAAGTCATATTAGGCCACTGCATTCCACAGCAACTTCCTGTCCCTGGAAGTCTAATCTTTTACAAGACTCATTGAATCATATTCTGATTTTCAGTATATTTAATTTTTCGTGTGCATATGTCAAAACCTCAGTGAGAGGATAACATTCCTGAAGGTAGGGACAATCATTTATTCCTTTTCCTTTTTATGTATTGCCATATAGCCAAGTATAATAACAATTATTGTTATTCAAAGCTAACTGTATTTATGGTACTGTGCCAAACACTTCATTTTATCTTATTTAATTCACCCCAGAACTCTTGAGGGAGGGACTAGAATTAGCAATTTATCAGGTGAGAACATTTAAGCACAGAGAATTTGAGTTAGAGGAGTTAGTAAGGTGGTTTGGAACCACTTAGGTATGTCTGACTCTACAGCTTATGCAATTAATTAGCATTTTATAGATTGGTTAAACATATCGCTTTATGAGATCTTACTGGACACATATACAAATTTTCTTTCAAAGGCTTCTGGGGAAACCCAAATACAGGATTCATTTTAGAGATTATATATTTCACAACAGAATTAAGTTTCTAAGACATTTTTCTTGAATTTGTATTGGAAATCTTAAAATAATCAGAAAAGCATCAAAAAATACATTTATTTAGTCTCATGGTTGTTCAGAATTGAGACACAGGAGAATAAATCATGGGAGGCCATGTGACACCTTTGTGTTCTCCATTCATATTTTGAATGAGACTTGGGAACCACTCTTTACTGTTGGGTTTTAGGCTACTTGCCGAGGTCTCAGCTAAGGAGAGGAATAATTGTAATTTATAACATTTTAATAATATATAAAGATCAAAATTAACATAAAATTTTAAATATTGAATATTCCATGAAGTTTTTGTGTGAAATAGAGAGTTGTTTTGTTTTGTTTTGCTTTTACTTGTCTTTCTCAATAATTTCAGTGCATTCATTTTTTAAATGCTGTGGGGAGGTAGAAGTATGGTAAAGTTATAATGAACCTTGTCTAAGATATCTTACAGTTTTAGATTCTTTAATCAGAGAAGTGCATGAACTCTCTTGAGCCTTACTGAATTTTAAAAGAAGCCAACCGAATTCAAAAACTTCACCATTCAAGGATATTAAACTGAACTTACCCTTTCTGTGATGCATAGTAAATAAAATTGGGAAAATCTGAACCTGATAAAGAAACTCTACTCCAAAAAGTGCAATGTCCAACAGAAATCATTCCCAAAATATACTTAAAATATTAAAAGGCCATATTTTTATTTTATTCTTGTTTGTTCTATAAAAATACAAACGGATAGGAAGGAAATGATCATTTCAATCAACATTCAGTGGTAATTAAAAGCAATCGTAGTCCTTGGGCTGTTTCTTTCAAATATGATCCAGTGATCAGAAGGAATTGGAAATGATTACATTTTAACTCAAAACACATTTCCATCCAGAACTGAGCTTCCAAGCATGAAAAAGGCACAGTGGTGGCCCCTGTTTGTGTTTCCATCTGGGGCTCTAATTTGAACTTCAGTGATTATTCTGCCAGATTTCTGACTGTGCAGAGATTCAGAAAGTCAAAGCAAGCATATTCTTGTATGCTGTTTCATGCAAAAAAAATAAAATTGCACCAATTACCATGTTTGCATTTTGTAGAATGGCTCTATTTAAATGGATTATATGTTAAACAAGAGCATTTGTAAAATTCACAGCTCAAAGTTAATCTGGCTTTATCCCAGGCACCCAATCTGAAAAGTAAGTGATTGTAATCACACTGAGAAAGGAAGTTAGCAACAGTTTATATTGAAAAACAATCTGGATCAATTAAATTTAGCTTGATTTTCAAATTAAGAAATATATCCCATGGTTGGTCTTCCATTTGACTTCTTCAAACCCCATTAAAAATGCTCATCTCTTTCTGATATTCTGTTAGTGCTTCTAGAATGACATGGTCATTAATGATAAGGATAAAAGCAGAGAAAAATATAAAGCCTCATGCCAGGAATTAGTCTTACAAAACACCTGGAGGCCGTTGTATTGCTCTGACTTCACTGCTCCTGGCACTGGGAATTTCTGTTTTCTGTGGCCAGGAGAGAACAGTGAAGTCATGAATGTTTTGATGGGAAAGAAAAGAAGATGGCTTTGTGGGCCCTAAGGAGATTGACAACTTACTATATTTGATGTGAAATGCACAATCCTTTTATTTTCTTTGTCCAAATGCCCATGACTCTCTGTTAGAAATAGATAATCGGTGCCACGAAGAAAAGTCAGCACGGAGACAAAGGACCTCTCAGCAAGGCAATCTTTGCTTTCTGCAGAAAGGGTGCTCCATGCATTTGGAACAATGGCAAGGCCACACCTGAACAAAGAAAAAACAGACATATTTATCCCTTATGCATTTGGGTCATCCTTACTGCTGTGTCCTGCATCCATTGGCTGAAGCTAGACCTTACATTCTTAAACTGATACCTGATTTGCTAATAACCTAAAACTTTCCTAAATAGGTAAGTGCATGGGAGAACAAAGAAGGAGAGGAAGTTGCTTATGAAAGGTTTAAGGAAGCAATAACATTTCCAAATAAGGAAGGGGCATAAGCTATGAGCTGAGAACTTGCCTGGGCCTGTCCAGTCATGCCTGAGTAAGTCAAAGCAACTAACTGGGCTAAAGTGTAAGAACTAATAGTTGATAGGAGGCTTTAGAGTAAGAAGCTATTATTCCTAGTGTCTATTATTTTATTTTTAAACTAAGACAAGCTTTGAAGAGGAACTTTTCTACTTTCTACAATCTCTACTCTTGATTCTTATACTGGGAATTCTAATAGTTACTTAGAATATTTAGTATATTTACTTAAATATTCTAAGTCACTATTAATATTATACATAAGATTGTAAAATAACAGAATAATATTACTACCTCTATCCATAAACATTTAGTGACTCTTTATTACCAAAACATTTTTCTCTGGAAGATAAGGAAGAGAAACGCTCTAATGGGAAAGGCAGACTGATTCTTAGGAACAAGTCAACATTCTCAGGTGGCATGTTCTTTTTATTCTTTCATTTCCTTTCCTTTCACAAACATCTATATGATGTGTCCTATTGCCAGGCACTGTTCTAAGCACTTTACAAATATTAATTCATTTAAAGTCTCATGTCAATGCCATAGAGTTGTACCTTCTTTTTTTTTTTTTTTTTTTTTTTTTTTTTTGAGATGGAATTTCACTCTTGTTGCCCAGGCTGGAGTCAGTGGCACGATCTCAGCTCACTGCAACCTCTGCCTCCCAGGTTCCAGTGATTCTCCTGCCTTAGCCTCCTGAGTAGCTGGGATTACAGGTGCCTGCCACCATGCCTAACTAATTTTTGTATTTTTAGTAGGGATGGGTTTCGCCATGTTGGCAGGCTGGTCTCGAACTCCTGACCTCAGGTGATCCACCCACGTTGGCCTCCCGAAGTACTGGGATTTTAGGCGTGAGCCACAGCGCCTGCAAGTAGTACTATTTTTAACCTCACCTTACAGATAATGAAACTGAAACACAGAGAAGTTAAGTGAGTTACCCAAGATCATACAATTGTAGAGCCAAGATTTTGAAACACTGTGTTCTGGCTCTTGTTGCTTAGACACTCTCATGGTGCAACAAGCTTGTCGCACACGGAGACCATCAATAAAAGCTGTTTGACAACATGAGGTTTGAGAGCAAATGGTAAAGTAATTTTAGGTTAGGTTGTATAAATTGTATAGCTTAGCAATGTTTGTTATATTAAAAGGTCAAATCTTTTAATGCTGCCATCCAATCTATAGCTGCATGTATGTGCTAAGAAAAGTGTATATCAGTCAGATGATCTGTCTATATGACTTTTCTTACTAGCATGATGTAATAAGGATAGATCTTTAGAACATAGTGCTAAGATGAAAAATAGGAAATAAATTTATATGCATTTATCGCAATACTATTTCTGCAAATTAAAAATATGTGCAACATAAAATCATTATATATATTTTACAAGTACATATACCAGAAAAAAATTATACACAGAAAACACATTAAAAGAGTTGTTTATGAGAGGAGACAAATGGGAAGAGAGGATGGGGATAAGAGGGAATAAGTAAAACAGGAACAGAGGCTTAAAGGGATCTTTCATCATGGACTAAGGCTTGTGATTAATTTAACCTTCTTATAACAGGTCTAAAGCAGGGAAAAAGCATCTATCTAACCACTTATCCATGCATATATATGTTCCTCTTATCTATGCACGCATGCATGCAAACAAGGGAAAATGAAATTGTTTTATGTGTTGCTGATTGTGATGGTTAGTTTTATGTGTTAGCTTGATTGGGCCGTAAGATGCCTGGATATTTGGCCAAACATTATTCTGGGTCTGTCTGTCAGGGTGTTTCTGGATGAGATCCATATTTGAATCAGTAGACTGAGTAAAGCAGATTTCTCTCCCCAGTGTGGGTGGGCCTCATCGAGTCCACTGAAGGCCTGAATAGAACAAAATCCTGAGTAAGGGAGAATTTTCTCTCTGCCTGACTGTCTTGTAGCTGAGACAGTGGTCTTCTCCTTACGCATGGAACTCAAACTGAAACTTGGACACCGTCAGCTCTCTTGGTTCTCAAGTCTAAAGACAGTGATTTGCATATCTGCTTCTACTTTCCATTTGCTGCAATGTGTTGTGTTGGTTGAAGTATATGGAGACAGTCTCACCTTACACAGCTATGTAGTTGGAAAAAGAAGAAATGTTTTAATGGCCAAAAATATTCTTCTTTGATACTATACCAAAACTTTACAAATAGTAGCTTTTTAACGGTTATTGTAATGTGGGATCTAAAACCATATCAATGAACTTTTTATATTGTGTTACATTAAAATACACTGGTCTATATTATACCTTGAATGAATCTTTTACCCATGTATGATTTTGTAATATGATGCATTTGGTCATTTGAAAAATATTGATTTATTGAGTTATGCAGATCTTCAGAATGTTGACACATTTCCTCAAACTTCAAAATATCACACTTGTTAATATCCACATAATAAACACAGATCTCATAATTAAGTCCTTTTAAGTTCTAGGAAGCTTTCAGCTCACAGTGGTAGATACAAATTTTCCAAAATTCAAATTTCCATTTGAAAGCTTTAATTTTATCATTGGCAATAAATGCCTGTTACTTTCCTAGAAGTGACAGGCTCACTTCATTTTTCATAAAATAACTGTAGCTGTTATTTTAAGCATAAATGTTCAGCTTGCAACTCAAACAATGGCTTTTCCTATAGACAAGCGTTGTACTTTGGCATGCAGAAGGGCTTAATGTGTACAGAATATTAAACAGATGTGTACTCAAGGGTAGAGATTTAATAAATTTTCACTGTTTTATCAAGGACATTATTAAGTAAAACTTAGTGCATGACAATGAAGAAGACAATATTTAGTGCCACCTCCGTGTTTCCCGCTAAGACGCCAGCAGATTTACTCACCATTGCTTTTTACTACAAATGCAGATGTCAACACAGTAAGTAGAGAATAACATCTTAGCACCATTATAAAAATAGTTTTGAAATCAAAGGAGTCCCAGGGGTCCACAGACCACACTGCTGCTCTACAATGTGATATCAATTCAAACTTGGCACCTAAAGAATTTACGTGCTAAACTTATCCCAAAAAATGACCTAATGAAATCTGATTCAGGCACTTCCCAGGTCTCAAACAAGAATTAATCTAGTGCTTTCATAGCCATCTGTTAATTAATTAATAGTGTATTTGCCTTAGTGATATTCGGGGTGCTGCTCTTTAAAAAGTTAAATATGTAAATGAATTTTCAAACTTTCTAAACTTCTTATTCAGAAGGATTTCACAACAACCCCAAATGAGATTGCCCATTAAATCAGTGAGCAATTCTTTTGCTTTATGGCTTATTCACAGGGTGGTTCTGAGGCTGTTTCAGGACCAGGCTGGGTGATCAATACTTAATAAACCCACAGACTACAATTCATGACATCACTTTTTTGGAGTCATCCGTTCAATCCTGTTCTCAGTCCTCCACTACTACATTAAAACCTACAGAAACACTGCCAAAAGTGTCCTAGTTTTTGCCCTAGAAGCAGACTCAGAGGCCCCTGAAATTAGTTCTCTGAGATATTTTCTATGTTTCTGCACCCTCCCTCCCCACCGCACCCTTTTCTTTTGGTGGTCATGAAGTTTTGTTCTGTTTTAAAATCAGCCAGAAAAGGAAAGTACTAGTGCCTTATAGCACATGTAATTCATCAAGAACGTGAATACATCCCACTTCACATTCAATCAACAAACACCTCTTGATATCCTCATAAAGATGCTGGATTTAGTGCAGGGGATTTGGGAGTGAGGACGATAGTAACAACATTATGAAGAGAGAGAAGTTACAACTCTTGGCCTCAATAAACCAAAATCATTTTTGGGAAGAACTACTTGGGCTCATGTGAAAGGTCCGTGATGAATCAAGGCAAATGTCCAAGGAGAAGTGAAATGAGTAATACCAAATCCATGCTATTCCTACAACTGCAAACACACTCCTGGTCTCATGACTTCTTCATTCAATGCTCCCTTGGCCTGGAAACTTTATCCCTCAGCTTTCCATACTTTATGCATCTCTCTGCTCAAATGCCATCTTAGTGGAGGAGGCTTTCCCCTATCAGAAATTTCTTACCCTGTTTTATTTCCTTTACAGGAGCTACCACTGCCTGACACATTATATATTTTTTGTTTGTTTGCTATTGTCTGCCTCACCCCATTTGAATGTAAGTTCCAGAGAGCAGGGATTTAATTATTCACTGCTATATCTTGGTCTAGAGAGTTTCTGGCTCATAATAGGACACAATAAATATCTGAAGAAGGCCGGGCATTGTGTCTCACGCCTGTAATCCCAGCACTTTGGGAGGTCGAGGCAGCTGGATCACCTGAGGTCAGGAGTTCATGACAATAAATGTCTGAAGACTGAATTAATAATGAATGCCATAGTAGCTTAGAGCATGGAGAGAAGACCAGTGGGTACTAACTAGATGTTAAGGAAGTACTTCACAGGCTGAAGTGCGAGCTTGGCCTTGACAGGTGTTTCCAACATGTAGGGCCAATGAGCAGAGCAGTCTACTTGTTTTACAGGGCTCAAGCAAGATGCCATCTTCTCAAGGAAGCATTGCCAGGGCTTCCAGGGCTGGGCAAGTTACTTCTGCTTTGGGTTCCTGTAACTGTCCACATTCTCTCCCATGTCCAGGTCACCCAGGTGTGTCTTATCTGTTTACCTGTCTGATTGCTCTAGTAGACTATTATTAGGTCGGAACAATAGGCACAGTGTCTTATTCATAGTTGCATATCTAGCCATACTATAGATGCTGTTATGGGATAGCAATCCCATAAATACTTGCTAACCATATGATTTAATGAACGAAGAAGAAAGCTCCTGTGGGAGGAATGAAAGGCAGGTATGGACAAAACTATGAAGATTCATGGGGCAGAGTCATGGAGTTTGGGTTTTGGTCATGGAGACGTTGTGACAACCAATTATCTTAGCAAGATCAATATGAGCATGTTGTACGTGATGAAGGAAGTTAAAAAAAATATTACAGAGATGAACTATAACCATCCTACAATGCTCTAGGCACAAAATAATAAGGGCCTGGGCCAGGCTGGTGGTGATGGGAAAAGTCTGAGGGTACAGATGTAGCCAAAAGTCTTGGTGATTGATTCAATGTTAAGAACAGCATAGGTGACTGCATATTTTAAGCCTGGATGACTATAAGAAGGTGATGGAGTCCCTCTAACCCATATTTCAAATCTCAAGGCTTGTAAGAAAAGAGTATTTGGCAAATTATTCATGATAATGGCATTATTTCCTTATTCTAGCAATACTTAATGGTGGAATCTGTAAGAATTTATTTGTACAGCCCATACACTGATATTAAGCTTTTAGACAAAACTTAAAAGTCCTAAGATTAAATTTTTTTATGAATGCTGCCAGTTATCTATGAGAAGTTGTTCAGTTCTAAGACATAAAGGTAAAGATATTAAAATATTAAATTTCATCACATTCTTCTTCAGAAGTGTCACAGAATTTAGGGCTTTGAGAAACTTCAAAGCAAACAAGGCAAACAAGATTTTATCTCTCATGAGAATGATCTAAGACTCCACACATGTGCAGTGATGCATGGACCAGGCTAGGATGGGTGTGTAGGGGAAATGGCAGCACAAGTACCAGATGTTTTCTCTTCCTGCCTTGGAAGTCAGCTTTGGTGACTCCTCTTTTGCAAATAAGAAAGTTGCAGTAAGATTAACAAGGAAGATGAACTACCCAAGGTCACAGGGCTGATCAGAGGCATGATTCCTTACACTCAGGTGAGGAGCAGAGCCTAACACTTTTAACACTTTACACAACACTACAGTTAGAGGGATAGGTAAGTTTCAGAAATGGCAAACTTTGGTCCTCTCTATCTCCTCTCCAACAAAGGAAGACAAGGGACTCAGGAGCAAAGAATAATCAGAAGTATTTAAGAAGTTATTAGAGGATACAGAAAATCTGAAATGCCAGAAAATTCATGTGAAGAAGAGGTTCAAAGATAGGGTCTCAATTGGTTTTGTATAAATTTTCTCCTCTGGCTTCTGAATCTGGATCTCTGTCAGTGTCATTTGTATCTCATTTTTCTAATCGAAAGCATCTGTATGACTTAGGAGTATGATACGGGACCCGTGCTTTCCATACTATATTTAGTTGTGTTCTTCAGCATCTGATCTGAACAGATTCAGGGATTCATTTGGTAGCATCTTGATTTCATTTTTCTTTCTCCTTCTCTCACCTCGGTTTTTTACTTTTTGATTCAGTTCTTAGATCTCTTCGAGTGATAGCAAAACAGCCACTGTTCTGTCTTCTCAACAACCACAACTAAAGGTCTTTTTCTCAATGTTCCAAGGGCCCCCAAATTGAATTTTACCGGCTTTTATTACATTATATGGTCTTCCTTGAATCAATCATTATGTTAAGAGAGTGATAATTGACCAAATGTAGGTCATGTGCTCACAGATGGAATGAATTGATGGGTCAATGACATCCACAGTTCATGAACCTTAGTGAAAAAGAATAGTTTTCCTAGACAAAAGTAAGTGTGCTGTTAGCCAAAAGAGAGAAAATAGATGTTGGGCACAGAAATGGCAGCTGTCCACTGTACCCACTCAATCTAGTTCAAGTAAAAGTGGATTTCTTCCGAGGAAACATGTTGATTGGAACTGGGCCTGGACTGTTTTCAGGAATGAGACAACTCTAAAGACCCTGCTCCCCTGCCCTTCCTTCTTTGCCTAGTTCCCCATATCCTTTCTGTTCTTTCTGGAAGATTCTTTCAGCTTAAGCATAGGTTTTGCTTTCTCCTACTTTAGTGTGGCATGGACCCAACTCTCTCTAGTGGCATCTCTCATTGCATTCTTTTAGTTTCTGCATTGTCTTCTCATTGCCTCATTCTCTCCATTTCCTAACTCCAAACTTAAGAACAGAAAGCTGGTGGTTTAAGTTCATTGTATATCCATGTCAGAGGTAATATGCCACACACTAGATATGGCAATCTGTGGCTTGCCTACCAAGTCCAGTGCTAATTCTTGTTCTAATCCGCTTAGTGGTGATAGATGCAGGAGGCAGATAAGGGGGAAGGTCTTCAGGGAATCTCCAACTAGCCTTCACACTGGGAGGATGGGGTGGAGCCTCAGGAAGTTCACTCCGTTTACAGCAGGGAGGAGCCTCTCCTGTTCCTGGGTGGCAACCTGGCATTCAGTCAGTGAGGTGGAGAGCCTGTTAGCAGGACTACATCTTACTTTGCTGAGTTGTTTTTCCTTTTTCCTTTGTGCCCAGTAAATTCCTCTTCTCACACTTCTATGTGTCCACAAGCCTAATCTTTCCTGGTCATGTGACAAGAAACTGTTTTTTTCCCACAACAGTGGGAATGGAAGGAAGATGTTCTTAACCCCCTTGGCCAGACCATGCATGGGCTGTAATATTTCTTTTAGCAAGGGGTGTTGGAAGGACAGCTTTTGTTGAATAACTTCTCATAGGTGAAGTCCCAAGCACAGTATCAATGACATTCCCCTAATAACTTTACATTCCCACACTCCAAATCAATTACTTCCCACCTTCCAGGATCCTCTCAGCACCCACCCTCCCTGCATTCTTCTCAGGGAAAGCGTATGCGGTCTGAAAGGAACCATTCTATTCTCCTGTCCCTAAATCTACCAGCCCACGTTCTTATCTAAAAGCCGTCTACATCACCTCGGCTCTGAATTCTACCCCATTCCCTTTCCCAAGGATTTCTCTCCAACCATTATCAGTTTCCTAAGATACATTACACGTTTCTCCCTGTGTTCATTATCTGTGCCTTCCCACTTATGCCTGTCCACTAGAAAACAAGGCACGAATGCAGTGTGCTTCATTTGACAAGACTCCCGGCCCCTGGATCAGCAGCTTGACACATAGTAGGCTCTTGATTAATTTTTGTGGTCTGTTTGACTAATTTGAGTGTGGTAGTTCCTCAATAAATAATACTACCCCCTTTCATATTCCCTTCCTTTAACTTTGTTCAGTGTTTATTTTAGACATTTTCTGTTTAAAGAAACTTTCCTGTAAACAAAATATGAATATCAATCCTTTTGGTAGAAAAGCATGCTTACTTTGTTGGTACTGAAGATCAGTAATACATTGATTTGCATATGTTTTCCAGAAATATGAATGTGCTCTTCTAATGTCTTTTTCTTGACTCATTTAGTTTAATTTATTAAGAATTCCGGAATGTCTTCCAACTGATGATGCATTTCATGGTACGCATATAGCAGAAATAAAATGCTTTGCTCTCAGGAAGCTTCAATCTATTAAGATAACAAAGATTGCATCTGCAAGGATGTTTATCACACTTTGGTTTATAAAAGGAAAACTCTGAAGTAACCCGAATGCCTTTATCAACAAATTAGTCAAATAAATTGTAACTGGCGAAGAAGGCTGCTTATTGTAGCAGTTCTGAAATAGCAAAAGACTAGGAAGATTCCAAATGCCCACCAATTGTGGACAAGGTGAATAAACTAAGGTTACAGCAACAAAAGGAGCACTATGCACCTGTAATCACAGATATACTGTTAAATGAGAAAAGCCATGTGTATGGTGTGTGTATGCTATGTCATCTTCCAGCTAAGGAAGAGGGACACTACAGATAGTTACACACACACACACACACACACACACACACAGAGTAGCTTACTTTAAAAATGCCAAGATATACTAAAAACTAGAGGCATGGGCTACCTTTGGGTCAGAATGGGAATTGGGTGAGGGGATGAATATGACAGTTAGTTTTTAAAAATATTTTGTAGATTTTACTCTGGAAATATATGTACATCATCCAAAAATATAAACTTAAAAATCAATTCTTAGAATAAGAAAGCTGAAAGAAAATAATAAACCTAACTATTTTTGAGTTGGTGACTTTACCACTCAGAGAAAGTTTATTTCAAAGTGACTTTAAAACAGTAATTTTGCCGTATATCCCTGGTGGGTTACATTCTAAGAACAAAAGAAGTGAAAAAAGTCTCCTCAGTAATCAAGGCTCTTCTCAGTAATCATAAAGTTAGTTTTAGTATATTGTCATTCTGATACTATTGTAATAAAAAGTAAATAAATATTTATATTATTTCATTTAAAAACAAAGGCGTTCAGTGAAAGAAGGAAAAGATACAAATACAAGTCAAATAAGTAAAAATCCTGTAACCAAAATTGGTATTGGAAGTATTAGTATGGACTCCTGAACTATTTTTCTACCTTTGACCACTGAAAAGGTCTAGAGACCTTGGTCAACCCAGCAACTAGACTAGGGATTCTAAATACCTTTCTCCATTAAAAGGAACTTTGTAGAAAGGCTTGATTCCAGATCTATGGCTTCCAAAGTCAGGACAATTTGATTATAGAAAGGAATAATAATAGCAGAGGACTTAGCATATTAAATATGTTTAAAATCATTTGCTTACCCCAATAATAATTTTAAAAAGCTCATTGTTGAATTTTTCCAGTTGTTAAGGAATAAGCTCATTATTCTAAAATTTGACTTTTAAAACTCAAGCATTTATACACCTTTTCTGTACAAAGAGCACTTCAAGGTAACCAAATAGTTAATGTAGGAAAGCCATATTTTTCTAGAAGAATTCCAGCTAATATATGAAGAAGAAATTATAGAATTGGACTATCTCAATTTTGTAATCTCTAATGAAGTAACCATTTTAGGTGGTGACCATGGATAGCTACTAAAATTATTAGTTAAAAAGCTGATGAGGAACTTTATAAGGAAAGATTTGGCTGACATTACCTGTCAAAAATTGATCACTCTTAACATCATAGACAGGGAGACAACTTAGCATTATGTTCCTCCTGATGTGATAAAATAGGAAGAATTACATTCCTCCGGATGCAATGCAATATATTGTGATCCAGTAAGAAGTACACAACAACATCTATGAAATATTCTTGCAGAAATTTTAAAAAATCAAACTTGAATCTGATTAATTTATACAAATACAAGGGACTGAGAACATAATAAATGACACCACAGGGGCATAAACAAATCAGCAAAATCCACAATGTGATATATACTCCATAAGAATTTTTTCAATAAATAAATTGCAAAGGAAAAGAAAAAATGAACCTATATATTACAAGAACACTAGAGACATAACAACCAAATGTAATATGTGAACTTGCTAGGATCCTGATTTACACACACTAACTTTTTAAAAAGAAGAGAGAAGCATATAATATTCTCAATACCATTATTACTTTTTTCAAGAGTGATAATAAGTTTGGGCATATGTTTTTTAGAAAATCTTGTAACTTGCACAGGCTCATAATGAAGTATTTACAGATACGAGAGATGATGTTTGAGATTTACTCAAAAGAACCCAGTGTGTACAGGGGAAGGGAAATGAGGGTGGAGGTGGAGATTAAAGAAGACTGGCCATGTGCGGGTAACTGCTGAAGTTAAGTCACAGTCCCATGGACCATTACAATGGTATTATCTCTACTCTTTTAATACATGTGACAATTTCTATAATAGACATTTTTTAAAGCTGGCTATATCTTTATTCCATTTTCTTTCAATTCTTTCTGGAAAACTCTAAGATGACTTAAGGAAACAATGAACTATAAAAATTCCTCTTCAGAACAGTGTGAAATAATAATAAATTCAAAGGCATTAAATCTCTACTCTTCATCAGTTGTTTTAAAAGAAGACTATTTCTCACATCAGCTGACATGATGTATTTATGTAATGGGCTCCTGACTAGTAGGTTTTTATTTCATATGAAGGGAATACAGTATTCGAGTTACAAAAATTATGCATTTTTTAAAAACACAGATTGTTTGAAATTATTTTCCCTTACAGTAACATTCCATTCGCTTGACATTCAGTAGGACTAAGCTCTATTTTCCAATTTGCCAATCAAAATTGCAATCAAAACAATAGAGCATCTTTCTCAAGACCAGAATCAATCCCCCAAATCTTTTTACTCTTCTTTTCTACAATGACCCTGTCATCAATCCTGTGTCTAAGCTGACAAGGCTTCACAAGGGTTTGGCCATCTCCCCAACCAAATGGACTGACAGCCCCATCTTGAATCATGGCTAGACCTCAACCGTCCTAGGTAGCTGTAGGAATAAAGTGCTTCAAAAGAATGAATGGATTGCAGCAAATAGCTCACTTGAAATAAACTTTACACAGTTCCATGTTTCTAGTAATCAGAAAAATAAAGACAACATTTAACAAATGAAAGATGAGGTAGAAGAAGGATGGCACCAACAACTAAGTATAAGGTTTGATAGCAACTCCTGAAAATTGCCTATCATGTCCAAATGAAAGCAGAGATATTAATTTTTTCACATACCTGTGTATGTCTGTGTGAGCATAATAAAGGCAACATCACAGAATCCCTGAGTGTTATGCCACAGTGTATGCTGGAAAATTCTTGGAAAGGCAAGGCTCCCATTCTGCTTCACTGGCAACACAGGAATATGGTTACTAGTATATGTGCAGCAATCTGACTGCCTGGGTTCAATCACCAGCTTCACTATGAACTATGTAGAGAATATAATACCTTAGTTACTAAAAACTAATTGCATGGCTTTTTCCTCTATGTACTTCAGTCTTGTCATCTATGAAATGGAATTATTTAGCCTTGATACATAATAGTAGCGCCTTTGTCCTGGATTTTCATGAGGATTTTATGATGAAGCACTTATCACAGCACCTGGTGCACTGTTACCAAAGGGGAATGTCCACATCACACTGACATTTTAAATCAGTGGATCTGGATTGAGGCTTTTCTTGCCAAAGCCCGATGTAGGCTCTGCAGTAGATGATCATTGTCTAGTCCATCATTTATTGATTCCTTTCTCCATGATAACAGAATCCTTGTTTTTAGTAGGCCACATTGTCACCTGGCATAAAAGATGACACTTCCCAGCCTCCCTTGAGTCTGGGAGTGGCCATGTACCTAGTCCCAGCCAACAAGAATCAACTAAAAATGTTGTGTGGAACTTCTAGGAAATTTCCTTGAAAGAGGTGAATCTGCCCTACTCCCATCTCCTCCTCCACTCAGCTTCTTGGGATGTTGATGTCATGACTGAAACTAGGGCAGCCCATCAGACCATGAGGCTGGGAAAGCATCCATGGCCTTTGTAATACTACAGCTGCCTTGCCAGCCCCAATCTTTCCACTTCCAGACCGCTTGCAGGTGGGAGATAAAGTTCCAGCTTATTTAATCACAGGGTTTTTACTTTGAGTTGTCTCATTATTATTGTTGTTTTGTTTTGTTCATGCAGTCAACTAAGCCCTTTAGATCTGGTCAGAGACAATAAACATTGACTGAAAAATACATGTTTCATTTATGAGTGTCTGTGCTGGTCCATGTGTAGGTGAGAGGAGAAATACGGACCTACAGAACCAAGTAGAGGGACATAGAAACCAAGTGGAGGAACAAAGGCACACAGTTTTGGGAGGATCACAAGAATCAATACATGGCTATGAATCATCATTAATATATTGCAGTATAAACAGCATACAGAAATTTCTAGGGGACTCAAGACAAAAGTAGTAGATAAAGTAAGAAGAAAAGACAACTAGAGCTATTGTTAATGGCTCTGGAGCAGGAGGAGAGGAAAAATTTATTCAATTGCTGGGGTTTGAGAATGAGCCAAAGTATTTTGGCAGCCAAGCACTGAAAGTTGGTAATCTATAATGAATGAGACCCAGAACACCAAAATTGTTCCTAGAATGAATCCATCCTGAATTTAATAAAGGAAACATTCCCATCCATACTGAGAATTGTTAGTTCAATGGCAATTTTTAAAAATTTTGTTTGTTTCTCCAGTTATGGATCAAGGCACGAGCAATGATTTATGTTCTAAGAAACTGTCGGTTGTCGTCTTTCGTAATAGCAAATGCAAATCCAATGAAATCAGCACTAAAAATCCAGTCATGCTGGCTGACCTGGAATTGTCTGTTAAAAGCTGATTGATGGGTCTCATGTTGTGTTCTGTGAACAACCAGAGCATGCCAAAATACTCATCTCTGCATTGTGGCTGACCCATCTCTTCAGTAATTGTTTAACAGATTTTTAATTGTGCAACATATCTTCCATATGCAGCGCCAGTTACATTTCAAAGCTAGAAAGAACCTTCACATTCATCTACCACAGCCCCTGGGTTCAGGTAGACACCAGATAAAAAATAGTCAGGACTGGTAATTATATACAAAGCTTAAGTCAAAACTCCCACCAAATTTCCTAGGACCGCCTCTTCATACAAAATAAAAATGTACACGATTTCAATATAATCATTTCCCTTTGGTCCTCTGTGAACACAGGAATAGTGAATTGGAATCTTCCTAGAAAACCTTTCCCATTCTTGAAAACGAGCCAATTTATCCTGGTCCTTCTAAACAATTTCAATTCTTTTGACTTTTCATCATGTCACATTTGCATGTTTGTAGTTCCCTTTTCTGAATCTGTTCCATTGCCTCCACACTTTTTTAAAGGTTTGAGCCAGGCACCAGTGGCTCACACCTGTAATCCCAGCACTTTGGGAGGCTGAAGCAGGAGGACCACTTGAGCCCAGGAGTTGGAGACCAGCCAGGGCAACATGGCGAGACCCCATCTCTATAAAATCGCTTAATTAGCCATGCATAGTGGCATGCACCTGTGGTCTCAGCTACTTTGGAGGCTGAGGCAGGAGATTCACTTGAGCCCAGGAGGTTGAAGAGGCTGCAGTGAGCCCTCTTAGCACCACTGTACTCCAGCCTAGGCAACAGAGCAAGAATCTGTCTCAAAATAAAAGGGTCTCATGACCTAAACTGCACACATTAATCTGATAAATATCTGACTAACATGAATTCATGTATGAAGGAAAAATCATTTCCCATATACGACACATAAACTTTTAACATATTTTCATATCATCTCATTCGTAGAGCACACACACACAAGCACACAGACAAACACATACACACCATGTGGTCATTGATAGAGCCAAATTTACTACTATACTTCGATCTAGCTGGTGGTCCCTGACTCGTATCTGTGTGGATGGGGTCTAAGAATACAATTGAGACCTCATCTCTTTTCACTTCCATTCTGCTTTTGTGCACGACTACAGTATTCAAATATGTTGTAATAAGATGGTTGTGAGCAGTAGCTGTGGTTTAGAAGCCTTCAAACTAGTGTGGAAATTATTTCCAGGGAAAGATCAGGAACACATAACATAAAATTGGCTTTGGTGAAAGTCGTAAACTGTGGTGGAGAGCAACATGATGATTGCTAGTTTACTACGTGCCAAGCACAGTGCTCTCCTAAGCCTTGCAACAAATGCAAGGGGTAGATATTTTATTCCATTTTACAGATGAGAGAAATGACTTCCTTTAATGAGCCTGACTACAGGAGATAGGATTTCAGCCCACAACTGTCTGAAACCTAGACTTGTGCTCTTAATCATTAAGTTACAATGGTTACCTATAAATATGGATATGTCCACATAAAGTAGAATTTGGGTGAGATTTCTCATACTAAAGAAACTGAGAAAAACTGGAACATCTTCAAGAACCAAGCAATGGTAGTTTCTTAGTTGATATGAGAGTTTTCATAGAATGCTTGCCTTTCACTTGAAATGGTTTTGGCATCAGCTCTAGAAGGATGGTGCTCAGAGGCCTCTTGATTATTGCTTCACTGGTGACAACATCTGGCTTTCTGACATGAGAGTTGAAGTGTTTTTGTAATTACATCATGGTTGTGCACTCAGAACTAGCCTAGAATCTAGGCAGGGGTGGGGAATTAGTGCTATATAATAACGAATGGAAAAAATTCAATTTTGAGTACTAGATGAAAAAAACCAAGGCAGACAATTCTGCTTCATATACACATATGAAACCTTCTGTGATTTTATTTTTAAAGTGTTCCCCAGATGGTTTGGCAAAGGAAAAGTATATGTAGAGAAAAGACTGGAATGACTGAGGCCAGATGTTAGCAGTTAAGTTAGGGCTGTCAGATTCACCAAAGAAAAACACAGGATACTTAGTTAAATTTGAATTTCAGATAGACAACAAATAATTTTTCAATATAAGTAGGTACAAAATATTGTATGCATACATAACCTTAAAAATTATTTGGCTTTTTACTTGAAATTCAGATTTAACTGGGAGTCCTATATTTTATCTGTTAACGCTGCAGTGGGTGAACACAGATAGGTGTATATGAGTATTCAGTGTTATTCATTGAACTTTGTGACTTTGAAAGCTTTTAAAATAAAAATATTAAAGTGCTTTTCAAATGTTTATTTGTGTAATGATATTTTCATGGTTCTTAATATTAATTATAAATTTTATTGTGTAGAAAAAAGAGAATGATTTATATTTTAAAACTCTATTTAGGCCGGGCGCGGTGGCTCACCCCTGCAATCCCAGCACTTTGGGAGGCCGAGGCGGGTGGATCATGAGATCAGAAGTTCAAGGCCAGCCTGGCCAAGATGGTGAAACCCTGTCTCTACTAAAAATATAAAAAATTAGCCGGGAGTGGTAGCGGACGCCTGTAGTCCCAGCTACTGGGGAGGCTGAGGCAGGAGAACGGCGTGAACCCGGGAGGCGGAGCTTGCAGTGAGCCGAGATCGCGCCACTGCATTCCAGCCTGGGCGACAGAGCGAGACTCTGTCTCAAAACAAAACAAAACAAAACAAAACAAAACAAAAACTCTATTTACAGCCCAGAGACATTCGGGTGAAGGTGGGAGGGTTGAAACTGGCCAGAAAGACCCAGCTACAGCAAGCAGCCTGACCTGGGAAGGCTGTGTTCCCGCAGGCTCCAGACTCTCCTTCCCTGTCCAGAGAGGAAATCCCGCTATGCCTCTTCCAGATCAGGAGACACACAGCAGCTTAGCTTAGGGAAACCTCTTAACCCTCTCAGGAAGCACCTGTAGGGACCATTGAGAACCCCATCAACACCAGATAAACCAAGCTGACCAAAATAATGCCTTGGGGGCTCTGAAAATTAAAGTGTATCATATAAAGCGCAACACATAAAGGTAGGTCAAGGCCGGGCGCGGTGGCTCACGCCTGTAATCCCAGAACTTTGGGAGGCTGAGGCGGGTGGATCACCTGAGGTCAGGAGTTCCAGACCAGCCTGGCCAACCTGGTGAAACCCCATCTCTACTTCTCTACTGAAAATACAAAAATTAGCTGGGTGTGGTGGTGGGAGGCTGAGGCAGGAGAATCACTTGAACCTGGAGGCAGAGGTTGCAGTGAGCCGAGATCGTGCCATTGCACTCCAGACTGGGCAACAGCACAAGACTCTCTGTCTCAAAAAAAAAAAAGTAAGTCAAGATCCACGTGCTAAACCTAAACGGGGTGATTTCCTGCTAAAATAAAAAGATTTAAATAGGATCCAGAGTCTCCTAACATCATAGACAATATGTTTAGGATACAACAAAAAATCACCCGTCATACCAAGAACCAAGAAAATTGTAACCTGAATGAGCAAAGACAATCAGTTGACACCAATTCAACATGAATCAGATGTTGGAATTATGTGATGAAGGTTTAAATCAGCCATAAGAAAAATGCTTCAACAATTGAATACAAATTCTCTTGAAACAAATGAAAAAAGAAAATCCCAGCAAAGATAATGTCAGTTCTCTCCAGGAATATACCAGTGGATAATTTCCATTTCTTAAAGCAAAATCTTTGAAGTAAATATAATGAGTAAATATAGCCAAAGTAATGTGATATAAACACTTAATCAAGTATAATCAATGTCCAGAATAAAAGAAATGATGACTGAAAGGGCGAGCAAGACATACAAACTATCTGTGCTTGCATGGAATTTCTATTTTTAGAGTACTAGTGCTAGAAACAGAGTAATAACTTCAAAGTTGCACTAATCTAAGCAACTCAATTCTTACTTGCCTTAAGGCTGTTGCCAAGAATTTCACAAAAAGATTAAATGTTAGAAGTCTCTCTAACAAACTAAAGGGCTTGGCTTTCCACATGTTGTTCCACAATGGAATTGAAGCATTGCAGAGTTATGTAAATGGTTCCCCAAGCCACGTTTTTTGTAGGCTTATGCCCTGTTGAAGTGAAATGATGTGAGTCAAGGGCAACATAGATGTAGTCTCTAGGCCCCCACCTGCTGAGAAGACATGTGCTTTGATGTGTGCTAAATTGAACTGAACAGCACTTACTCCAAAGAAGCATTTGGTAACTGTATATATGATTAAAACAAATATTTGCACTTAAGAAATTTTCATAGCCCTAATATCCAGAATCTACAATGAACTCAAACAAATTTACAAGAAAAAAACAAACAACCCCATCAAAAAGTGGGCAAAGGACATGAACAGACACTTCTCAAAAGAAGACATTTATGCAGCCAAAAAACACATGAAAAAATGCTCATCATCACTGGCCATCAGAGAAATGCAAATCAAAACCACAATGAGATACCATCTCACACCAGTTAGAATGGCAATCATTAAAAAGTCAGGAAACAATAGGTGCTGGAGAGGATGTGGAGAAATAGGAACACTTTTACACTGTTGGTGGGACTGTAAACTAGTTCAACCATTGTAGAAGTCAGTGTGGTGATTCCTCAGGGATCTAGAACTAGAAATACCATTTGAGCCAGCCATCCCATTACTGGGTATATACCCAAAGGACTATAAATCATGCTGCTATAAAGACACGTGCACACGTATGTTTATTGCGGCACTATTCACAATAGCAAAGACTTGGAACCAACCCAAATGTCCAACAATGATAGACTGGATTAAGAAAATGTGGCACATATACACCATGGAATACTATGCAGCCATAAAAAATGATGAGTTCATGTCCTTTGTAGGGACATGGATGAAATTGGAAATCATCATTTTCAGTAAACTATCGCAAGGACAAAAAACCAAACACCGCATGTTCTCACTCATAGATGGGAATTGAACAATGAGAACACATGAACACAGGAAGGGGAACATCACACTCTGGGGACTGTTGTGGGATGGGGGGAGTGGGGAGGGATAGCTTTAGGAGATATACCTAATGCTAAATGACGAGCTAATGGGTGCAGCACACCAGCATGGCACATGTATACATATGTAACTAACCTGCACATTGTGCACATGTACCCTAAAACTTAAAGTATAATAATAATAATAATAATAATAATAATAATAAAGACTCCGTCTCAAAAAAAAAACCAATTTAAGAGCAAAAATATCAAATACCGCCAAATAAATGCAATATAAGGTGTGCAAGACTTCTATAAAGAAACCTATTAAACATTGTTGAGAGAAAAAAAAAAGAAATTTTCATAGCCCAAGTAGGTGTTCCAATAACAATAAATCTAGCAGAAATTTACTGTGCACTTGCTATGTGCCAGACACTTGATTAGTTTTGATTTGTGTTATTTAATGCATATAGCATTCTTCATGATAAGTATTATTATGCTCATTTTATACATGAGGGAATTACAATTCAGAGAGGTTAAATAACTTGTCCAAGGCCACACAGCTTTGTCATACTTGCTTAGTAAAACCCCAACTCTCCTTTGAATCAAACTGTCTGTTTACTCTATAACTGCATTGCCTGCTTCCAGCTGAACATGGTATCACTTTAAATTCATGATAGTGAACTTCATGTGATCCTTTGATCTGCCAACATTCAGACTACATTTTCCTAAATTCCTAATGTTTTCACTTGTAGGTAACCATTCACAACCTCTTCTTTAACTTCAACCCCTCCCTCCCATCTTCACTCTTGGTTTATCTTTTTGCTTCTTGCTTTACTGAGAAAATACAATCAGAAGAGAAATTTGAATCCTCACACTGTGCCTTCCTGCTTGTTACTGTAGATGAACCAGCTGTACCCTGTGCACTACCTCAGACAATCTCCCCACTCCCTTGTGCCTTAGATCTCACCCTTTCCTATTCAACAGCATCCTTCAGCAATTCTCCCATTTCTCACTTGCATTATTATTTTTCCCTTTCTACTGAATCATGTCTGTCAGCATACAAACATGCAGTTATTTATTCCATCTTAATAAAACAAAATAAATACAAAAACAGAATTTCTCTTTCCTCCTCAGCCATTGCCCATGTATTGGCCCCTTTGTAGCAACATTCAAGACTTGTTTATACTTGCTCAATCCAGTTCTTGTTCTCTTTAAAACTGACTCAAAATAGGCTTTTCTCTATCTTCCCTCATTCCCGAGGTGATCCCATTAAGTCTTCTGGTTCTATCTTCTTTCTGCTGGTGACTCCTAAATTCCTGTCTTTCAGGAATTCCAGCATTCCAGACTCAAATATCCCACTGCCCATTCTCGTCTCTTCCTTGACATCTCAGTAATTCCAAAACCAAATTTCTGATCTTCCTTTCATATCAGTCCTAGTTCTGGCAAGAGAAACAAATGGCACACTTTAACTGGATAATTTGACGGCAGTTTATAAAGAGGTTATTTACAGGGTGTAGAGAAACCACAGAGGATAGTGCAGAGCCCCAGTGCTAACAAAGGCGGTTATTGTCCCACCAATCTTGGAAGGGAAAGAAGTGAAAAGAGGAAGCAGTTGTCACTAAGAGAGAGAGAGATAGAAAGAGAGAGAGGTATGGAGGTAATCGACAGGAGCTGTGACCCCCTGTGGGAGTGTAACCAGCTTAAAGCAACTCTTCCTTCCTTTGAATCTCATACCAGTGCCCCTCATTGGCTGAACATACACTGGAGACCCAGAGAGCACAAGATCAGTAATGTACTCCACAGTAGGCTTACCAGAGTACAGAACAGAATGAGGGTGAGTAGACAGTGCCTGCACAGTGGTAAATAAAAGATATCCTGCACACTCCCAAAACAATTCCACCTAGGATCTTTCCCCTATCAGTTGATGGAAAAGCCATACTGTTCATTCTTCTAGGAAAAAAACAAGGAGTCATCTTTGACTCACTTTTACATTTGACCTGTCAGATCTAATTGGTCCTCCCTTCCAAGTTATCTAGATTGACCACTTCTCACCAGGTCCAGGTCTACCCTTCTCATTGAGCCACCATGCTCTCTTGCTATTCACAGCTAACAGGTCTCCTTATTTCCACTACCATGCCTGCACATGCAATTATAAACACAGTAACCAGAGGACACTTTCACATCTTTCTAGGACTTTATCCAGTTCATTTAAGTTGTTTAATTTATTGACATACAATAGTTCATAGTGTTCCTTTACAATCCTTTTTATTTCTTTAAGGTTGGTAGTAATGTTCCATCTTTCATTTCTGATTCTAGTAATTTCAGTCTTCTCTTTTTTTTTTTCTTGGTCAATTTAGCTTAAGTTTGGCCGATGTTGCTAATCTTTTCAAAGAATCACCTTTTATTTTCATTGATTTTTCTCTATTGTTTTTCTATTCTTTATAAAATTAATTTCCTTTCTAATCCCTGTTATTTCCTTTCTTCTGCTTGCTTCAGGATTAGTTTGATTTTCTTTTTTCAGTTTTCAGGTAGATTACATTTTTGATTTGAGGTTTCTTTTTTTAAAACACAGACATTCACAGCTACACATTTCCTACTAACCACTGCTTTAGCTTCATTCTATAAGTTTTTGATATGCTGTCTTCATTTTTATTTGGAAGTATTGTATAATTTCTCTTCTGATTCTTAATTGAATCATTAGTTATTTAGGAGTGTGTTGTTTAATTTGTACATATCTGTAGATTTCCGAAATTTCTTTCTGTTGTCAATTTCTAATTCTGCTCCATTTTTGTCAGAGAACATATCTGGTATTTTTAAATTATTTCTATTCTTTCAAATTTATTGAGTTTTGTTTTCTGACCTAGTGTATGGTCTATCCTGAGAAATGTTCCATGTACACGTGAGAAGAATATATGTTCTGCCGTTGTTGGATGAAATGTTCTATTGAAGTCTGTTAGGTATAATTGGTTTAGACTGTGGTTCAAGTCTTCTATTTCCTTGTTGATTTTTAGCCTAGTTGCTCTATCCGTTATTGAAAGTGGGCTACTGAAGTTTCCAACTACTATTGTTGAATTTTCTGTTTGAGTTTACACTTCATGTTTCGTGGCGCTCTGTTGTTAAGTATATATATATATATATATATATGTTTATAATTGTGTTATCTTCCTGATATGTTGACTCTTTTATGTTTACAAAAGCTCCCCTTTATCTCTACTAACATTTTTGTTTTGAAATCTATTTTGTCTAGAACTTCAGATTTCTTTTGGTTGCTGCTCGCATGATATATCTCTTTCCTTCTTTTAACTTTAATCTATTTGTATCTTTGAATCTAAAGTGTGTCTCCTGTAGACAGCACATAGTTGCAACATTATCATTTAAGGTAATTATTGATGTAGTTGGACTTACATTTGACATTTGACATTTTGTTTTCTATAAGTCTCATGTATTTTTTTGATATTCTATTCCTCCTGTACTGCTCCCTTTTGCATTTAGTGAATATTTTCTCATGTAGCATTTTAATTTCTTTAATAATTTTTTGATACATTTTTTAAAATTGTTAAATTATGCCTTTACTGACTGCTCTAGAACTTATCAAAAATAGCTTCAGATTTATATTAACTTAATTATACATGTTATTTCTAATCCCTTTCCACATTTTTCTTGTATTATTATTATTCATTTTACATCTACAAATGTTATAAATCCAAAATTATTGTTATAATTATTATTTTATACACTTTGTCTTTAAAGAAATTGAGAGGAAAACAGATAGTTATATATATACATGTATATATACTTACTTAGAGCTTTTGTTACATTGACTTTCTTATTCATCATCCTCAGTTTTCTTTGTTTATTCCTGTAAATTTGAGTTACCAGATGGAGTCATTTCTTGAGCCCAAAACAGCTTTGTTCCTACTGTCCTTCTTCATTGCTATTATTGGCAAGTATATTACATTTGTATATGTTATAGGCCCCAAAATACATTATATGTGTATTATGTTATATAATAGCTTTTTAAATTAGTTAGGAGAAGAAAGGGGAAGAAATATTCATTTATACTGTCTTTTATAATTCATAATTATCTTTACCAATGCTCTTTCCTTTTTTAAAATGTGGATTTGAATTGCCGTCTGATTTTGCTTGCTTTAAGATTGAAGCACTACTTTTAGTATATCTTGTAAGGTAATTCTGCCAGCAATTCAATTCAATTTCACTTGAATTTTGTTTATCTGGGAATGTCTTTATTTCCATGTCCATTTTTAAAAAATAACTGCTGGATATAGGATTCTTGAACAACAGTGTTTTCATTGAGCATTTTGCATATATCATTCTACTGCCTTCTGGCCTCCACTGATTCTGATATGTCAGCTGTTGATCTTATTGGGGTTCCATCATAAATGACAAGTCATTTTTCTCTTGCCGCTTTCAAGATACTCTCCATGTCTTTGGATTTTGGCATTTTTACTATGACATGTCTATTTGTAGATCTCTTTATCTTACTTGGAATTCATTGAGTTTCCTGGATTTATAGTGTTTTAAAATAAATTTCATCTGTTTTCAGCCATTATTTATTTAAATTTTTTAAAATCTCCTTTCTCTCTTTCCTCTCCTCCTGGTACTCTCATTACATGTGTGTTGGTGCACTCAGTGATATCCCGTATTTCCCTGAGGCCCATGGTTACTCTGGGATAACAGTGGTTCTGGCGGGATATTCTTTGACTGTCTGTTCAACACCCAGCTTTTCACTCCCACTAGAAGCTGAGTGTAATGAGAGGCGTATTTGATAAGTGTGTGTTGGGAATTTGAATAATGTCAAGACACAAAAACTATTGAGTATGACTGATTAAGATACTTGTTTCAGTTAATGTTTCCTCTTCCAATGAAAATGCATTAGGCAGTGATTCTTTCACACCTCAGTGTAAATTGCTTTAACCCACAAAATATCTCACTTTTACTATTATTTTTGCATCACTCTAGTATATCAACTTTGGAAACCAAAGACTCATTCTATTTATGGCATCCTGTTTTTAGTAGTGGTATTTCCATTTACAAAATGTAATGATTCTCTGTTGCTGAAAATGTCAAATCCTAGAAAGCGCACCATTCCTATGTGTGATGTTAACATCGTTCTCAAACAGTTGTTGGCTGAAGATTCATTTGATTAATCCAAGTGTTCCAAAATAGATGATTCTGATGTAGTTCTGTTTAGAAATAACTTCAATAGCAGTTTTTATATTTTATTTTCACATTGAAAATCAGTCAGATTTGCTTCAGCCTCAGAGTGTGTTTATGTAAAATTAAATGAGCATGGGCAGTGAGCTGCATTTTTTTTTCTCAATGGTAAAGGGGTTAATGGACTTTCAGTTCCTCCTTTCACTTATCCATTTATACAAGTGTTGACCTGTATAAAGGGCATGGTGGGGCATCTGACTTCTGGAGAGGTATTTGCTTTTGGGAGTCTGTAGGGTATCAGAGATCAATGGTTGTCAGGGAGGTAAAGGAAAAGAAGCAGGAAGTGAGAGAGGAGTTCACTCCAGGTACACACATCTCCTATCTGTCCCTTGATCTTACCAAGTTTAAGGTATCTGCCTTGTCAGTGAGAATGCTCTCACCCTGATGTTCGTGCAGCTGGTCCTTCATGTCATTCAGATCTCAGCTTAGGTATCACCCCCCCACCAAAGAGGCTTTCTCTGATATCCCAAACTGAAGTGATTAGCAGTCACAACATTTTATTATATTTTAATTTAATTATAATAATTATAATAATAATTAACTTATTATAATTTAAATATAATGTTATATTTTAATTCTCCAAAAATACTTCTTATCTGATATTTTTCTACATACAGTAGTTTGCTTAGTCTTTTTTCTCATTATAAGAAAACAATGTTCATCTTGTTTACCTCTTTATCTCCAGCATCTAGAAGAGAGATACATGCAAAATATTTAATAAATATTTGCTGAATCAAATTATTCTTTCTTCTCTTCTTAGACTTCTCATCTCCTTCCACTTGCTCTTCATTAGAAGTGTTATAAGAAATGAGCACAAAGTTATCACCATGATTGCAGGCTTTTTCTATTTCTAGAACCTTCAGAACATAGTTCCTAGAGAACCACAAAGGTCAGTGGTGTAAGGGCACAAAGAGAGAAATGGGACAGACATGTTATCAGCTCACAGAGAGGTTGATGGGTCCATGAAAGGAATGAAGAAGGATTGGTAACAAAAAAGAAAAGAAGAATTTAATGCAGTATCAATTGAAAACTTTTATTTTAAGCTTAACTTCAGCTATTCATTTTTATTCAATAACTCCTTGTCAATCATCTGCTATGTGTCAGAAAATGAATATTCTCCCATTTCTTCAAAAAGGAACATTATTAAGCCTCTTTTCTATGCATTCTGTGCTGGGCATGGAAGAATACTGTTTGGATCTGACATTTAAAGAAAGAAATAAGAGACTAAAATGTTGTATCAGTGGCACAGAATGCATTCAAACACATTTAGGCAACTGTGCCTATGTTGAAAGACACTGAACAAATTGACTCAATATGAGAAAAAAACAAGGCTTTTTTTGTGTTATTCTCCAATGTATAGGGCATTCAATATATATTTATTAAATGAATAAATTTGCAAGAAGAAGAAACAAATATTGATGGTTCAAGGACTCAGGGAACTAAATGCTTTTTACCTTGCTCATGAATATAAGGATTAATGTTGTAAAGAACGTGGTGATTCAGGTTTTATGTTTGTTTTTTAGTAGTAAGAGAGTTGATAAAGAAAATCATAGAACTTATTTAGTGCTTTCAACACATTAAGTTGATTTTGTAGAATAAAATAAACGATACAAGCCATAGTGTCTTCTGTAGAAATAAGTCTGAATTCCTGAGAATGAGGAGAATGTGATTATTATTGTTGATACATTGATTTTTTTTTAATGATTGATTGTATAACAAATGTCCAAAGAAATTATATACAGGAAAAGAGAACTGAACAGTGGTTACACAAGCATCAGTGATACAACGGAGGAGAAAAAAGAGCAGCCCCAGATGATAAACACAGCCAGCTCAGATGAATCAATGGCCTCAAAGGGACTCGTTCTAATCAAGATGCACAGATCTGCTTCTAATAGGTCCCATGGATACCAGGGCAGGCCTCTAATATATGAGCTGGAGCATTCATATTTGCATATTAAATATGTAAGTAACCGGCAGTGCAGGGAACAGATAATGGGAAAATAGGAACAGGACATTGAAAGGGCATGTTTATCCGGTTATAAACTAGTTGGAACACAACCAAATGTTAGTGTGTATAGACAAAGAAATATCTTTTTGTAGCTGGGCTCAATTCCCAAACCAGATCAATGCATAGCCTTTACCTGACCAGTCCAAAACCTATTGCTGGAAGGTAACTTCCAAGCATCTAGTGTAACTATCTCCTTCACTCTCAGAGAAATAACTAAGGCAGGTCAGACCAACTCAGCTGACATTTACCAAGTATATGCTATAAACTGTGCTATGATATGTAAGTGATAAAGAAAACATGGTATATTGTTCAAGGATTTTACCATTTAGAGTGGAAAGGAGACAGATAACTAGTTAAATTCTCTGTAATGTGGTAAGTGAAGAGATACAGGTTTATACAGAATGCTGTGGGAGCCCAGAGGAGGTATGGCAGAGATGTAGACTACGGGAGAAGGAGGTTTTCTGGTACCCAGCTGCAAACCGTAGATACATAATCCAAGACAGCTTAATTTTCCGTGCCCACACCTGATATGGAGAAGATGTGAGGGGATTTGTTATTTCACACTATGCTTTGGTTCTGTGCCTGCATTTTGCCCCCTTTTGAGTTGGTATGCTGGTGCTGAATTTCCTATTTTGTGATTAACTGAGAAACTCCATAAAAAGCCACTCCAAGAAATTTTCCCAAGACTTCATGCAGGATCTGCCTTGGGGCCACACAGCACGTTTCCCCATCTAGATTTCTGGAGCAGCCCTGGCTAGGCCCCTGTCTCCAGTTACTCTTGAAACAAGAGATTGGGCTCTGTCCTTTCTGTTAAGTGGGAAAGTGAAGGGTTTGCCTCTCTGTCTGCAGAAAATAAAACAAGGTCATGTTGTCATATAACGAAGTTTATTCACACAAAGTTCAACAATCATTAATTGAGCCAAGTCCTGTGTGAGGTGCTGTGGGTAGATACAATGGCACATAGGACTGGCAAGTTCTCTCCTTTGGAAAGGACCTTGTTGGAAAGAGGCTTTGCCTAGCAGTTACAGAGAGATGTTGGAGCCAGACTGCCAAGGCTGGAACCCTGGCACCATCTCTGTACCCTTAGGCAAGTTACTTATCTCTCTACACTACAGTTCCTTTAATTATTAAATGGAAATATTAATAGTACTTATCCCATAAAATGATTGTAAAGGTTGAATAATCTACAAAGAGCACTTAGAAGAATGTTAGGCTTGTAGTAAGTCTAGTAACTATTATTATTATGGAGTATAAAAGAAAGAAAATTAGCAACTAAATCAGTAAGATAGTTTTAGAGAGTTATAAGTACTGTGAAGAAAATAAAACAGGATTATGAGAGACAGCATAATTGGTATATTAGGGCATTTTCATGCTGCTGATAAAGACATACCTGAGACTGGCTAATTTACACAGGAAAAGGGTTTAATGGACTTGTAGTTCCACGTGGCTGGGGAGGCCTCACAATCATGGTGGAAGTCAAGGAGGAGCAAGTCATGTCTTGCATGGATGGCAGCAGGTGAAGAGAAAAAGAGAGAGAGCTTGTGCAGGGAAACTCCTGTTTTTAAAACCATCAGATCTCATGAGACTTAGTCACTGTCATGAGAACAGCACAGGAAAGACCCGCCCCCATGATTCAATCACCTCCCACCGGGTTCCTCCCACAACACACGGGAACTGTGGGAATTGCAATTCAAGATGAGATTTGGGTGGGGATGCAGCCAAACCGTATCAACTGGGAAAGTTTCTTTAGGTTGGGTCCTCAGGAAAGACCTCCCACAGAGATCACGTCTAAGCTGAGTCCAGCAGATGAGGGGATCAGCATTCCAGGCAGAAGGAATTATAAATGCAAAGGCCCTGAGGCAGGATCACACTTGGGATATTCTAGAAAGAAAAGGGAGGCAATGTGCCCAGTTAAGAAAGAGAGTGAATGGTAATGAAGTCAGAGAGGTAGGCAGAAGTCAGATGATCAAAGTCTGATTATGGACTAGAGATAGGTTCTCGTTTCTCTCAATGAATGGACCTTGTACAGAGAACAAGGCCTCAGAGGGCATGGGTGCATACTCCACAAACAAGGCTCAATCCCAGCTTCCATTTTCCTCATCCCCAATGGAGGAAAAAAGGCATATCCCTCAGCCAAAAAGGGGGTCAAAGGGGAAAACTCCTCAACACTCCAGTTGGGGTATGCACAGAGAGAGAAGAGGAATTGCTAGGATTGCTGAAGGTTCTCAGGGACAATGCTCTCTCTCTGCCTGATGGAAGGAGGGCCCACAGTCCACCAGTGGGGCTGCAGGTCACCACAGCAGTGTGGCCTGGAGAGGAGGCTGCACTGGAGAGATGGCTAAGCCCCTCTAACAAGAAGACAAGACTCAGGGCCAGTGCTGAGTAACCCATCAATTATTTTTAAATACAGCTAAAAGCCAGTCAGACTAAATCCAAACTTCTGTATTATAATCAAATTGCTTCAAGCTTAGCATTTGAGGCTTATGAACTTTAATTAAATTAGCAGGTGCTTCTCCCTTCCTATAAAAATTCAAAAAGTTTTATTACCAAATTATATTGTTAGTATTTACTTAGGGTGGGGATGCTCCAGGTCACTTAAGTAGGGCAATTATATAATTTATCATCTGTTGGGACACTTTTGAGAGTGAAAGGGGTGCTATTAATAATAATCTTAGAAAAACAGTATAAGCCAGGACTGTCCTGGATGATCTAGGACCTATTAAGAAATTATCTACCCATGATTAAAAGAAGGACTTCAGATTTTACTTAAATGAGGTTGGAAGTTGTTGGCAGGTTTACTCAGGGGAGTTACCTGATCTGATTTATGTTTTCAAAGGAATGTAAATTGGTACAGCCATTATAGAAAATGGTACAGCGTTTCTTCAAAAAATTAAAAATAAACCTCGATACAATCCAGCAATCCCACTTCTGGGTGTTATACAAAGGAAATGAAATCAGTATCTTGAAGAGGTATCTTGAAGAGATATCTGCATCCTCATGTTTATTACAGTGTTATTCACAGTAGCCACAATACGGAAACAATCTGCATGTCCTTCAACAAATGAATGGATAAAGAAAATGTAGTGTATATATATATATAATAAAATATTATTCTGCCATTAAAAAGAAGGAAATTCTGCCATGTTTGTGACAACATGGATGAACCTGGAGAACATTAGGCTAAGTGAAATAAGCCAGACACAGAAAGACAAATACTATATAATCTCAGTTATATGTAGAATTTAAAAAATCACATTTATAGAAGCAAAGAATAGAATGATGGTTGCCAAGGACTGGGGGGTGGAAGGATAACGCGAAATGTTGGTCAAAGGGTACAGACTTTCAGTTATAAGATGAATAACTTCTGAGGATCTAATGTGGTGCCTATACTCAATAATACCATAGAGTTTGAAATGTACTAAGGGACTAGATATTAAGTGTCCTCACCACACACTCGCACACACACATGCGCAAACAATGGTGACTATGTATGGTGATGAATGTGCTAATTAATTTGATTGTGGTAATCATTTCACAATGTATATATATAGACGTATATTAAGTCATCATGTTGTATGCCCATTTTTTTGGAGCCTTTTTCGCCTAGGCTGGAGTGCACTGGTGCAATAGCTCACTGCAACCTCCGCCTCTGGGGTTCAAGCGATTCTACTGCCTCACCCTTATAAGTAGCTGGGGTTACAGGTGTGTACCACCATGACTGGCTAATTTTTGTATTTTTAATAGAGATGGGGTTTCACCATGTTGGCCAGGCTGGTCTTGAACGCCTGACCTCAGGTGATCCTCCTGCCTCAGCCTCCCAAAATACCGGGATTACAGGCATGAGCCACTGCACCTGGCCTAGATACATTTTGTTTGTTTGTTTGTTTGTTTTTTGTTTTGTCAATCATATCTCAATAAAACTAGAAAACGAAAAGATCACCCTTGCTTCTGGGTGGAGACTGGATTGTAGGGGGCACAGGAAGAAGCAAGGAACATTTTAAAAGGTTTTTGCAGTAGTCTAAGCAAGAGATGAAAGACGCTTGAAATAGGGAAAAGGAGGGACAATGAAGAGGATTAAATATAATAAATACATTGGCAGTAGAGCTGGCAGGACTTACTGATGGACTGGATTTTGCCAATGAGGGAGGGTGGCATCCAATCACTTGAGCTATTGAGTAGGTGAGGTTACTATTTACTGAGCTGATTTTATGTGTCAGCAAAAATATATACCATGTTTTTAGCTTGATCAGATGCCAGTAAATAACAATAACAACAGTAAAAAGCAACCTCTTTTGATTGCTTAGGTGTCAGATACTATTCTAGTACTTTACAGGTGTTAATGTAGCCCCATAACAGCCCTGTGAGGTAGGTGTTATCATTATCAACATTTTACACATGAGTAAGCTATAGAATGAAGAGATTAAGTAGCCCAAAGTCACCCAGCCAGAGAACAGCAGAGCCAGGGTTGGGTTTTACTGGTACAAGAGTTTTGATTCCAGAGTCTGCCGTTTAACCCGATGCCACACTGCCTGTCTGTTAGTTTGACTCCACGACCCAGTCTAGATCCTCAGTTCTAACCATTTGCCTCCATAGATTCATGCTGTTGGAAACAGGCATCTCAGATGATAGAGTGTGGGTTGGCTCAGTCTAGAATACTGACGGAGATCAGAGCACACACACCACTTCCCCAAGGATGTTCAGGAAGAGACACACTGAGATCAGAGCATCACACATTCATCCTAAATAGGGTTGAAATCCCATGGAGTGGCCGGGCGCGGTACGTCACGCCTGTAATCCCAGCACTTTGGGAGGCCGAAGCGGGCGGATCACGAGGTCAGGAGACTGAGATCATCCTGGCTAACACAGTGAAACCCCATCTCTACTAAAAATACAAAAAATTAGCCGGGCATGGTGGTGGGTGCCTGTAGTCCCAGCTACTAGGGAGGCTGAGACAGGAGAATGGCGTGAACCCGGGAGGCAGAGCTTGCAGTGAGCCGAGATCGCGCCACTGCACTCCAGCCTGGGGGACAGAGTGAGACTCTGTCTCAAAAAAAAAAAAAAAAAAAAAAAAAAAGATTCCATGGAGTAAATGAACACTAATCCTGTGTCTGCTACATTTTATGAACTAGGAAAAGTTCATAAAACTCTTCCTCTGCTGCATTTTCCGCATTTTACTCATTTGAAGTAATGTGAAGTACCATGAATTATTTCTCGGGGAGGAACCCCTGTACCATGGTTAAAAGTGCTGTTCGAGAGTCAGATTCCTGGGATCAGATTTTAGCTTACCACCATTAGCTGGGTGACTTTTGTATATTATTTAAACTCTTTATGACTTAGTTTTCCTGTTAGTAATGTGAAAATAATAACACTATGCCAGAGACTGGCTCATTTTTCACTAAATCCAATTCCCTTTCCTTCTGACCACAAAGATAGACTGGATTTCCCAGCTTATCTTGCAATTCAGCCTGGCTAGAGGACTCTGGCCATTAGAATAAAGGCAGAAGTAGTGGATGCTGCCTTCAGATCTGGCCCATACAGATCCTCCAAGTGACACTCCACACTCTCTCTTCCCTGTCTGCTGGCTGCCTACTGAGGATCTAGCAGAGGACTCCAAGGCCCCAGGGGAAAGCAGAGCCACAGACTGGAAAGAATCTGAATCTCTGAATGACTGCGTGGTCCCACCAAGTAGGATCATCCACCTTGTGCTGCATAAACCAATAGTAAATGTTCATTTGCTAAATCAGTAGGAGTTAGGGGTCTGTTTATTAGAGCAGCATGAATTCCTTATCCCAACTAGTATAATAAATACGTACCTGGCAGGGATACTTGGCATTAATGTATCTGTAAAGTGTCTGTGTAAATGTGCTCTCAGAACATAGGGAAAAAAGAGTATCTCTATGATTCTTTATTTCCAAATTCTTTGTTATAACTAGAGAAGAGTGTAAGACTTCTTCAAGAAGACATGAAATCATGGTTCCCCATATGAGGCATCTTACTGTGATTAACAACACAGCTTATTTGTATACAAAAATGGGTATAAACAAGTTACGTAAAATAAGCAGAACACAAGAGGTGGACAAATGTGACCTAAGAGAGTTCAAAAGACTGTTGTCTTAGTCCATTTGTGCTGCTATAACAAAATATCTGAGACTAGGTAATTTGTAAACAACAGAAGTTTATTTCTCACCATTGAAGGGGCTGGGAAGTCCAAGATCAAGGAGCTGGCATGTTCAATGTCTGGAGAGGTCCTGGTCTCTGCTTCACATATAACATCTTGAGCGTTGCATCCTTGAGAGGAGATGGACACTGTGCCCTCACATGGAAGAGGGCCAGTAAGGCAAAGGACCTAGCTAGTCACCTCCACCCCTTCTATGAGATTGCTAATCCTGGTTGTGAGGGATCTACCTCCATGATTTAATCACCCCCTAACGGCCCCACTTCTTAATACTATCATGTTAGCCATTGTGATAAATTGCACCATAAAAATTTGCAGCCACACATTCAGCTGTGCTCTGAAGGTTTCTCTGATCCTTCCCAGAATCCCTATGACCTTAGTCTGCAGTCAGGCCTATAAGATCTGTGTAGCTGGGTCTTCCCAACTTGATTGCACAGCCTCACTGGAGATTAAAATTAATAGCTTTATTACAACCCGTATCTCATCTTCAGGCTCATCTTCAGGCTTGTCATGCTGTAGCACCCCGTGCCTCCTACAGCAAGTGGGCAGGAAAGGAGACTTTAAAAGTTAGAAAATTAGTTAATTAGTTAAATCATGTAGAATCAGGAATGCCTGTTTAGAAAAGGAAATCATTCTTGAGAAATGCTTAGCTTTTCTTTTGAAAATCTTTTATTATTGCTGTAAAATCAAAGTCCCAGAAAACTTCAGAGATTCAGGAAAACATTCAGCAAGCGATCAGGTTCTTACCCACTAGAAATATTTTAAACAAAAAGAAGTCTTAAGCCATTTGGTGTCTCACTTCTGTATTTACTTGTTTCTACACATCCTGCCAAATTTTTTCTAGACTTATGTTGACAAATAAATCTCTTGAAACTTGATTTTAATTTTTTCCAGTTCACCTTCAGACTCTTAAGATGCTGTACTCTGTGATCATCACTCACCATCTTATATCTCCAACAATATCACAAATCTTATTTTATGATGTAGCACTGTCAGCAGATACACCGCTCAGGTAACACAGAGAATATCTGTGTTATGAGTATCTAAAATGGCCTTGTAGATAAATAAGTCTATCGGTTCAAAGATACTCAGGTACTCACAGAAACCTATCATTATTGGCAATTTTCCAGTGTTTCAAAATGTGTCTGAAGCAGAAAGCACCAGCAGAAAATGCCCATTATAAAAGCTTATAACTGTCATACTGATGTAATCCCCAGGAAGTCCTGATCATGTGGCTCAGTCCCGGAGAGCTGCTAACATTCAGAGAAGTACCATCCAGACAGGACATCCAATATTTATGTACATATTTCAACATTCTTAACGAGGATGCAACAAAACATTAAAATTCTCTCTTCTCAATTTTATAACATCCCAAGCCCAGGAAGTGTCTCACTTTTCTATCCCAGAATTGCTTATGCTTTCACATCATTGCATCGTCCAAATTTCTCTCTTCATGAGGTTCATTATTTGTTCCCAGAGCCCCCCAGCAAAGTATGTACCTTGCCTACAGACCTCGGGATGTTATAGTTTTTTTTTTTTTCCGTGCTTTTTGATTTTCTGTCAAAAATCCATCTGCCTTGCTTTTTGTTTTTTATCTTTGCCTCGTTCCACCAATTTTGCATAATAAAAGCTCAAAGAATTGCCTGGAAATGGTGGAGCCTTCCTCTGTGTGCAGGACAGGGTAGAGAATGAGCTGGCCAAGCCAGAGCTTTCCTCATATGTTACTCAGTTTTGTTTCATCACACCTATTAAGTATAACGTCAGCCAAAAAGTATCCTAAACGTGTACATGTTTACTGTACAGGCTCATATCCCAAGAACATTCCAATTCAACAGCAATTCTTTGTGGAAAATGAAGACAGCCATTTGCTTCTGGTAAAAGATTCAAGAAAGTTCAACATGACAGCACCATCTCTCAAAGGCTTCACACAGCTGAGCTTTAAGTAACATAAAAAGTCCCCTTCTGTTGCCTAGTAAAAGAAGAACAGCTTATTCTCCTAGCGGGACTAAAGTAAAAGATGTATCTGATCTGTCATATTTAGCAGCATTCTCATAATGCACAAAAGCTTCTAAGGCACTGATTAAAAAGAGAACATATCATGTGGCTGGTAGAGAAGATCTGTGACTAAAACAAAAGTATTCTCACCCTTGACTAAACATTGACTGATTGACTGTCAACAATCTGTCTTCTGCATGTGCCTGGAAAACAGCACTACCAAATACACACACACACACACACACACACACACACACACACATACACACACACACACACACAAATGGTCTAGTCACGATAAATCTGCTTCACGGAACAATTATGCAGGAATAATTTTTCTTTGGCTGTTAAACTAAATGCTTTGCAAATGAACATCCAGATTAAATGTGCTTTCTCCCATCAAGCAAGTTCACAGGCCACTTGTGCTAGTTTTCAACAGAAAAAAGAGAGATTATTTTCTTAGCACATTATGATCATTATATTGCCCATTATTTCCACAAATAGGTTTCATTAATCCAAATTAACTGTCTGGGATCTCTACCCTATGCTTCAATTGAGTGAAAGGCACAGGCCTAGCTTTTTGTGTGTCTGTGAAATATTCTTGCTGTAGACAAGGAATCTCTCTGTACCTTGATCTTCAAAAACTGGAATGAGTTCATCCTAACAAAGTCATCATTTACAACAACGCAGATTCTCTTTCTTGGGTTTTTAGTCTCAGTTAAGTGAGATCCAAGTGTTCAGTGACCTTGGGTTAAAGACTTCTTTCTTCTTTGTGACAACATAAATAAAATATTTCTTTGAACAATAGAAGACTTTATTTTGTTTTACTTCCTGTTAGAAATTCCTATCTAAAATATGTTAATGTTTTCGCTATTCAGGAAGCTGTCATTATAATGTTTAATTATAATTATTTCAGTTTAAACCTTTTTTATATGTTGATGAAGTGTTTTCCTTGTGAAATAAATTAGAAACAGAAAAGATCATGATAAACCAATTTCATGAATATTGCTCTAATTTTCTTATTTTCCAATGGCTTAAGACAGTATTTCAAATATCATTCATTCTTATTAATATGAACTATCCCTATACAAAGCAGGAAAATTATTTGTTACAGGTAGAAGAGAAATATGTAATTACATATTATACTTAATATCAGTAATTTCTTGATTGAGGGGTTTGCAACTCTATAACCTTCTATACCATTTAAAATTTCTTATTACTTTTTTTCTGGGGCTCTTAAATCACACCATCTGATTTATTTTTACTACTTAGAAAGGAGGTCTTTAATGCATTTATTTGTTATATATTGCCCCAGCGTGTTCAAATTGCACCTACAGATGCTTAATAAAATTATCTGAAGATAAATCACAAACCATATCTGCTGCTCACATTGTAATGAGATGTATATAGGAATAAAGACAGACTATTCCTCCAAGACCTATATTTGGAATTCAGAGAGGCTCCCATTAGAATAGTGGAGACAGTCTGGAACCTCACATTCAAAGAAGAGGGAGGTCTGGAAGCAATCCCAAAGGAAAATGATAAACATTTTCAATTATTGGGAAGAGGATCAGATGGGGAAAGCAACTGTTCTTGTTTAGCTTAGAAAAGAAAGGACTTGCTCACACATGGTTCCCAAGCATGTGAAATGAAGTGTAGTTTTAAGGAGAAAGATGATTAGCTGGGCTTTTTTCCTTCTTCTCTCTCTCTCTCCTTTCTCTCTTTCTCTCTGTATTAAGAATAGATACAAGGAAATATTAATAGAAAATAACTATATATAAATTGTCTTAAAGAGATACACTCAAGTTAGATGTGTCACAAAGAAAGGTAGGCAGTAATGCCAGCCCCACAGAAAATTGTCCAGTGAAAGGTTTATTTCTATTCTTTGGCTTTTTGTGCTTCATTACCAGTTCAATAACCATATTTTCCCATTCTGCGAGGCACTGGAGACACTTGTTATTTTTTTCCCTTCCCTACCAAATCTACCTCAATAAAATATCTGATAAAGTAATCCACATTATGATATGTGACATAGATTGTTAACACTTCAAACACAATAAATATTCAACACAATAAATATTTCTGGAGTTCCCACTGAGTATCAGGCTTTGTTTGTCACTGCTACCCAAAATCTTTGGAAACAAATGAGCAATTCTGGGGGGCAAACATACTTACATTTGAAAAAGAGGGTAAAAATTATTGAGTCAAAGGATATATCCTTGGTTATTACGTGACATTCATATATAATGGTCATAAAACTACCGACTATTAAACATTTGTTTCTCCACATACAAAGGAGTATTCTTAGCTTCATAGATGAAATGATTAAATGAAATGATGCATGCTACATGTTGATTTTGCTATTGTTACCATTACTTCTTCTTTACACCACTTTCTAGGTTCAGAGAAACTTGGAAAGAATCTGGGAATCTTTTCTGCCCCCAAAGTCAGAACCTGGGAAGGGAAAGAGAACAATATAAGCATAGGTAAGTTTTCCTAACAGAGAGAGCAGCGGTACAAAAAATAAATAAAACAATAACATTAATAGGAACTACCATTTTAAGCACTTGCAATGCACTAGACATTATGCTAATGACTTAACGTTTTCTTCTTTAACCTTCACAAAATTTTGGGAATGTTATTATCATTCCCCTTTTTACAAATGACATAACTGAGGCTCAAAGAGATTAATTCATTCCCCAGGGTTACATAGCTAGTAACTAATGGGACTGGCATTGAACCCAGACGATCTGGCTGCCTAGCCTACACTTAAATATATAGTTTCCTTTTCCTGGACCTAATACTCAGTAAGCACATAACAATCTCTGTTTCTACTCATCTCTGATGTGATTTAATTAGTTGGGTTAAAATATATGAACTCACTGGGCACTGGGCTTTGAATACTATGGACAAGTTTAATTAAAATAATTTATGTTGATTGTATTCACATTATCTCTTTGAGTATTAGGCCCTATTTTATTAATTACTTTTGTAACAATCTGAAACTTAGAGAAAAATTGCAAAAACAATACAAAACCTTTTTTCATGAACCAATTTGAGAATTAGAGAGAATGTCTGATCACTCTCAAATGTTATATTGTATATTTATCTAAGTAAGGATATTCTCCTATATACAACCACAACAAACCATCAAACTCAGGAAATTCACAGTGATACATTACTAGCACTAATCCTCAGACCCCACTGGAGTTTTTGCAAATTGTCCCAACAATGTCTTTTATAGAAGAAAGATCCAGTCCAGAATCACATGTTGCCTTTAGTTATCATTTTATCTTGAACCTTTCCTCAGTATTTACTGGACTTTCTTAATTTTGACAATTTTGCAGATTACAAATGGCCGGTTACTGTAGAATGCCCCTCAATCTAGGTATATCCAATGTTTCCTCATAATTAGATTCAGATTATTTGGCAGGAATGTCACAATTCTTATTTGTCTCATCACTGATAGTGTCAAATATCTTGAGTAAAGTGTCTGTCAGGTTTCACCACTGTAGAACTATTTTTTTCCCCCTTTGAAATTAGTAAGCATTTTGTGGGAAGATACTTTGACACTATGTAAATATCCCATCCTTCATCAAACTATCAACTTCATTTATTTATTTATATCAGTATGGACTCATGGATTTATATGTTATTCATTAGCTTTAATCCATTACTATAATTATTTCCTTTAAAGCTTAAATTGTCACAGATTTGGCCAGCAGGAGCCTCTTCAATCTGATCTCTGTGTCCTTTTGACATGTCTCCATCATTCTTTGAACAAGTCCTTGTTTCTGGCACAAAAGTGTGTTCCAGAATCATGTAATACTTTTCCTGCCTTAAACTGGGGATTGGATATTTTTCCAAGGTGCCCTCTGTGCTAGGTGTGCTCTTTGTGAATACATATCTCTCTGTCTCTATATATTGAAAACAATGAGTCCAAACAGGCAATTCTAATTCCACTTCAATACCATAGATTTCTCTTATTTAACAGTAAGGAAGCTGGCTCTCATTATCTTTAGTATATTTACTTATTGGATTAGTTCTCCATATGTAATCAATTTCTCACCGCTGCCCATCCTCTCTGCTGACACAGATGTTCTCACTCCAAAACCCTAAACCCGGCTGCCCCCGTGCAAATTCCCTCCTCATCCTATTTGGATGACAATTCCATGCCTGGACCGTCCTACTACCACTTGCCTACTTCAATCCCCGAAGCCTACTTTGCTCAGCCCAGTTTAATGGGATTGACTCAGTTGTTCAAGAAGACGAAGAAAGTGAATGTAGCATTTTTGGATATTTATACTAAACCATGTAATTCATTTTTATTTGTGGGCTGACTGAAAATAATTAGTACTTCTAATGTAAGGTGCTGCTTGAGTTAGTCTGGAATCTACTGTCTACATTAGGCTACTATCTACTATCTACATCCTAAACTAGAATAATTGATGTTGGGCTAGATTAAGAGAAATTGACTTTATTCTCACTTTTCTAATTCCAACAGGTAAAATATTCCACTGTATCTTTTAACTTCTCCTATGAAGATAACCCATAAAACCAGACTTCAAAGTCAGTCATATCGCCTATGAAGATAACCCATAAAGCAAAACTGTCATTTACAATTTGCAAAAATATGAATCCTTCTCCCTCAGGAAAGTTGACATTCATGTTTGCATCCAAGAACCTTGACCTGGCTGGTAGCTTATTATATTCTGATTGTATACTATGAATGCTCGGAAACTGCTAGATGTTTAGTCTACAACAGTCTGAAAGTAATGTGAGAGAGTTCAAAACAACATGTTATACATTTCTTTATGAAAAGTCTACTGGAATGCTTAAAGACAACTTCATCTTATAAGGATTTCTACAAGATCCAGGGTGAATTGCTTGCACATTGAGTCAGTCATGCTATTTATGTAGAAAGGGCAAGTCTTAAAATATCAGAAGCTAAATTATGGATGGGCAATAAACATATGAAAATATACTCAACCTCATGAGTAATCAGAGAAGTGCACCTTAAAATAAAAATGAGATACTGTTACTGACAATGCCAATCTTAGCAAGATTGTAGACCAATGAAAACTCTTTATATGCTCTTTGTGAGAGTATAAATTGGTACAACTTTAGAAAACAATTTGACATTTTTAGTAATGATGAAGATATATAAACTGTAAACCAGCAATTTCATTCCTGGATATATACCCTAAAGAAAAATCACAAGATTATATAAGAATACACATAGTTGCATTGTTTATATTACCAAAATAATGGAAACAAACCAAATGTTCATCAGTAGAAGAATGGATAAATAAATGGTAGTTATATGATGAAATAACAGAAAGTAATTAAAATGACTGCTTTGCAGCTAAACAACATGGATGAATCTCACAAATATAATGTTGAGTCAAAAAAGTCAGAGTTCATGTAGTAAAAATCCATTAGTATAACAGTTTTTGAAACTAAACTATACCATTTGACAATACTTGTATATGTAGTAAAAAGAGAAGCTCTAAATTCACATTACAGTTACCTTATAGGAAGGGGGTGAGAGGGATTGGGTACAGTCTCATAGGAGACCCCAAAGATATTTGTAATGTGATTAGCCAGTACACAGATGTCCATTTTATTCCATTTTTTTTAAGAGACACGGTCTGGTTCTGTCACCCAACCTGGAGTGCAATGGCATTATCATAGCTCCCTGCAGTCTCAAACTTCTGGGCTCAAATGACTTTCCCAAGTAGCTGGGACACATCCATGCCACCAAACCTGACTAATTTTTAATATTTTTTTTTGTAAAGACAAGGTCTCACTATGTTGCCCAGGTGGTAATGAACTCCTAGGCTCAAGCAATCCTCCTATCTTAGCCTCCCAATGTACTGGGATTACACAGGCATCAGCCACTACTCCCAGGCTGTTATTCTTAATATTTTACACAAATGTGGAATATTATTTTTTTGTTATTAATTATTTAATTTTTAAAAGTTTTAAAAAAAGAGCTGTCTCTTTGAGGCTCCTTGTACCATTATAACTCTATAGGTAACTATTTTATTGTTAGGAGGAGTGAATTTTCTGAGGCCAAATACATACCAGGAGTTTTTAGATGTTATTTTTCTTACCCACTTTTTAGGTAGATACTTTACTGTCTTCTACAGGTGAAGAAATAGATCCGCAATGTGTAAACTATTTCCCCAGCATCTTGTGGCTGAGTAGAGATGGGATGAGAATTTGAAACAATGTCTCTCTGATTCCAAAGTGTGGGAGCTTCCTGCTTCACCAAATGATACCAACTTTTCTCACACAAATTATCTCATTTAGTTTTCCGAATAACTCTCTGGGGGAGGGGGGAATTAACATCTTCATTTTTAAAATGAAGACAGGTTAAATGGCTTTTCCATGGTCTTGGCATACAAGAACTTAACTCCAAGTCTTTTGATTCCAAATTCAGTGATTTACCTGTCAAGAACACTGTCATCTTCCCAATCACAAATCCTAAAATAAGTCAGGGGGAGAGTAGGATTTTATATTTAAATCAACATCCAATACAAAATAGAAACATCAGAGTTATCTGATTAAAAATCTTCATCATGTTTTCAGTCTTTTTCCTCTAATAGACATAACCAAAGTAACATTTATAATTATTTTATATTCTGATAGCTTCATAAGTGCTAATTTTCCTAGTCCCCATATTCCTAGCTCACATGTTCTATTTCTTAGAATGGGAAACTCAGGCAGGAAGGTTAAATGAATTGCTCAAGGTCACAGAGAGACCTTGCAGCAGAGCTTCACCTTCCAACAGCCAGATCCAAGCTCTTATCATCTACATTGACTTCGCTCAGCTAGGAAAGAATATTCCTACATACTTCTTCATGTCCACCTCAACCTTTAGTTTATTTACTTTATCCCACACAACTTCTAGTACTTTATTCTGTCAGTCTTAAGAAACTCTTGATCTCTGATGACCAGAGAGCAGGAATACAGAATACACTCTGTACACTCTACCCTGGAAGGCTATTTTGGTTCCACTTAAACTGTGAGAGGTTGCAAAGGTTGTGCCTGCTGTGACTCTCGCTTTTTGATAATTTGTTTTTAATACAAAATAATTCACATAAACAAAAATAAAATGTACCCCATCCTAGAACTGAGGTACAGTCATGGAAATTACATTTTCTTCTCTCTGGGACACTGGTGACTTCAAGTCAGTAAATGACAAGAAAGTGACACTGGGCACTTCAAGTCTGAAAAGAATAAACCTTACAATATAGGAGATTTTGACTTCCCTCTTATTTTGACTTAATTTATATAAATGCAGAGGAATTCAAAGTCCCTGTCTCCATAGTTCTGGAAAGCAGGAAGAGCACTTTGTGAGGTCTGAGATATGGAGAGGTGCAACATGGGAGATGCAGAAAGCTCACGGGAATTGGTTGGGAGCATTAGAATATAAGCCTCTGTTGGTCAACTGATCAGTTCATTAACATATATGCAGATATAAAATGTGCAAATATTCACATACAAAGAGTAGCTACAGACATGTGTGGGTATATAGCAATGGAAAATGAAACACAAATCTCTCATTTTTCACACTGCAATCTAAATCTAAGTGAAGGTGTTGCTTGAATTAGTCTGGAATCTACTATCTACATGATGCTTTACTTTAAATGTCTAATATTTAGAAGTCTGAGCTTTTATTCTAATGTTGAATGTGAACATTTTAAATGAGATTCTGTGCCATGTACTAAGTGCATTTTACAACATTCTCTTATTTAACCCTCACGACTTTCATAGGCGATAAGTACTGCTATTATCCCCGGCATTTATTCAGCAGAGCATCTGAAGCTTGGAGAGGTTCAATGCCCAGGGTCAGAGATCTGGTAAGTGGTGGAACCAGGTTGAAATAGTTGTCCTTCTGGCCTCTCCACTGAAGCTCTTCCCCATTGTGCAGCACAGACCCTCTGCTTTTACATCCAACAATCTGATTCTATTCTAGTTGGCCTACAGCTTTCCTGTTTCCATGTGGAAAGTACTCTGTACTTTGCAGGGAAGAAATAGTGATGTTGAGGAAGAGAAGAGACTCTGCCTCTGAAAAACTGCTTAGATATTTTCCAGACTGTGTCATGGGGACAGCTTAGGCCCAGACCCAAAAGGCACTTAGGTGAGCCAGGGATAGGAATGTCCTGGGAGAGGGAAGAGTCAGGCAAATGTTCCATATCTGAGTTACAGTCATTCTTCTTATGTATTTTCTGGCTTTAGAGAGCACAGAACAATAAGGTCAGCCAACCAGAAGTGGAGGCAAAACTCACCAGGTGCTAGCTTTCTCCAGACACAAAAATGAACATCAAAGGCAGCTTTGAAGTTCAAAAGAAGTCATTAAGTCAGCCTGAGGAGCTGTGAACCTGGGAAGAGCAGTATTTCCCTGGCAGTAGTGCTAGTTTTGAAAGGGGAGAATAAAGGGAGACGTTATTGAGAACAATGAGCATATTAGGCCTTGTTCTCTAATTCTCACATACTTGATCATCTTACAAGATGATAAACTCCAAAACACAGCCAGAATCTAGAACTTCCGGTTTTATACTGTCTACCTATTTCAGAGCAGGTGCTAAATAAATAAGAATTCATTCATACTTTGTTGCATTTATTAACATGGATTGATCAATTGATAGAGCACCTCCTATATGCCTCTGTCCTAACTTGGAGATAAGAAAATAGATGAACCAAAGTCCCTGCTCTTGTGGAATAAACTAATCAATATAAATATATAGTGTGTTAGGTGGTATAAGTGCTCATAAGGAAAATAAAACAGAGAAACCAGAAAAAATGAAAACTAACGCAGAGCCAGGAGCTAAACAGAGAAAGAGATAGCGATAAAGACAGATATCTGGAGAGATAGAGATAGATATGGAGAAAGCAATAGAGATAGAAAGTGATCAAGAAAGACCTCTCTATTAAGGAGGCATTTAAGCAAAGAGATCTGAAAAAATGGAAGGAGTGACAGTGCAGATATGGAATAACAATCTAACATAATCAATTAATAATCTCAGTTTCCTAATCCTAATGCCTCCAACCCCTACTTATTTGAGTGCAAGAAATCCAAAGTCTACCAATCAGGAATATCCAGGAATCACCAGGCACATTGTCATTTGTTCATGAATTAGACTTGGTCACTGGCTTAGTAACCTGTTACCTACATGCAACCATATGTCATGGTTTTTGATATCAACTAGTGAATACATTTCCATCTCTGCTTGTTGGTCATTTTCCTAAAAGATGAATGGAAATACTATTTCCCATTTCTTACATCTAAGGGAGCTACTATACTATTGCATATAACTGAAAAGAAGTTTGAAGTCTTTACTTCAACTTGATGAACTCTTTCAAGCTGTTCTAATGGAGTATTAGAGAAGTTTTAAGTCATAATCAAGTGTTGAACAATACTTTTTGGCTGCCGCTGATCAGGTATTTAACTTTTACTCTGATTTTTGAAACAATTTTGCTCTAAGGGTCAAAAGTATAATACCCTAAGGCACAGGAGTAACAGTTGTTCAGTAGAGCCACCACCTGGACAGTCAGTAGGCAAGTGGTCAAGTTCTCCATATGTTTCCCAAAAAAACTGTATTATTCCTGGGTATGACCAAGCTATATTTGATTCAAATCTAGTGGACATTTATTTAGTACTTTCTCTATGCAGGGTGCTATGCTAGGTGCTTTCACATAAATTTTCCCATTCATTCCTCATAGGAACATGCAGATCTACCAAGATGTCTTAAGGACACAGAGGTTTAATATTTTAACAGAATAGAATGAATGCCCTATTTTAGAATGTTTTGTACCCATTTTCCATTTCCATTTCATACTTTTCTTTAAAGGAACAGCATTTAAATGATTAAAAGTTGTATTCTTTCCTCGGTGATTCTCATTGCTCTTAAGAATTACTAAGCTGGGCGTGGTGGCTCACACTTGTAATCCTACACTTTGGGAGGCTGAGGCAGGCAGATTGCTTGAGCCTAGGAGTTCAAGACCAGTCTGGGCAATATGGCAAAACCTTGTTCCTACAAAAATACAGAAATTAGCCGGGCTTAGTGACATGTATCTGGTAGTCCCAGCTACTAGGGAGTCTGAAACAGGAGGATCAACTGAGCCCAGGAGATCAAGGCTGCAGTGAGCCATGATCATACTATTGCACTCCAGCCTGGGCAACAGGGAAAGATCCTGTCTCCCTCCATCTCCTGACAAAAAAAAAAAAAAAAATTACTATATGGGTTTGTATTTACAAAGCCATTTATATTGTACTTTGTGGATGACTTAAGGAATTTCTCCAGGCAATTTTGATTATAATTAATTATTGGCTTGCCTGCTAACTTAAGATTTTATCCTCTTAGGTAAGATGTGACTCTACTCTACATTTGAAGTTAAAAACAGATCCAATTAAAGATCTCTGGTCAAAATGAGAAGATGAGAAAACAGACCCAATTAAAACTTTCTGGTCAGAATAAGTAGAAACATTCCCTTTGGACCCACTCACAGACGTTTGAAGGTTTGTAATTTTAATGAATGAAACCTGTGATCCCACTGCATCTCTGGGCTGCTGCTGCTGTCCTTTCACGAAGCTCACTCATGCCATGGATTTTATCATGCAGATGTAACGGACAAGTATTGTTTGAATTAGGTAAACAATTGCATTTATACATCAGGAATGTTGTTGAGAGAAAACTGGCCCTTAACAAATAATTCCCAACTCTTTTCTTTAATGTTGAACATTTCCACATTATACTTGACCTACATTCTATGTTCAATAGCTCCCCCCTCATCCCCAAATAGCATGTTTTTAAGTGCCAGATGTAGATGCACTCAGCTATAAGGGAAGGTATAAAAGTCAGTGTATAAATGACTAGCACACAAGATATCTTTGTTCACTAATTTAAATATTCAAGAAAGAATTTGTTTATCTAGGAAAAATTTACTAGCACTTGTTCGACAACCATCCAAGTTATTAAGAATTCATCTCAGTGTTTCTCACCTTCAGATGATAAGTAGATAAGGACTACATTTAAATTTCAGGAATGTCTCACTTCAATAGATAGTGAGAGGAAATGATTTCCAGGCTCTGCCTCATGGGTGGAAAGGTATATGAGAGAACAAAGGGGACCTAGGTGATGTTTCACAGCATGATAATAGAGAAGAACCAATTTCTGGTGAGGAAAAGATACCACCAGAAAAGCTACGATGAACCAGAGAGAGCTCTGATATTCTATAGTAACTCAGTGGCTCAGCCTCACTCATGAGTCATTCTACAAGTCTAAACCCTGTGTCTGCCCTGTGGGAGTATGAGGCTACCATGATAAGGGAAATGCAGTTATAAAATACATTCTCAGGTGATCATAAATCCAGGAACATTTGATCCAGAGATTATTTGGAACAGTCATGATCCTGACATCTCTTCCATTAAATGGCACCTAAGACATCTATCACGCCACTTTGATTTCTAACAAAAAATGTGCACATTGACTATGAAGTAAAAATTCTGTATAGCATACCAACATGAATGTCTCTGCTGGACTCTCTACATAAAAATGATGTATGCGAGCTATTGAATATGTAGATGGTGCTAGTAAAGCATCATCAGTAGGAAATGGGTTTTGACTATTTATTTATTTATTGGTCAGGTCGAGATACATTGCGATCTCTTATATCCTTTCTGTGGGACCAGTGTGAGATGTTGAGCTTAATTAGGAAAATCATATATTACACAAGCTCCTTTCACAGGTGCCAGTAGAATTCCGTTTGATGGTAGGCTGCTAAATAAACTTTTAAGGAGGCAAATTCATTAGAGAAGTTTGTACGGAACGTTTAGTATGAGGATGCTTTCAAAAGAAAACAGTTTGGACTGTGCCAACAGATTGAGCTTTAAATCTCAGCTCTACTCTTTACTAGCTGTATGACTTGTATGAACTAGCCTAGGCTCTGTCTTAACTACAAATCAAGTTCATGGTATTAATCTCACTTGGTGGTTGAGATAAGGATAACAGGATATAGTGCCTAAAACATGGAAGCCCTCAATAAGTGTTAGTTTCTACTTTCCTTTGAAGATCTGCTTGTCATAATATTTCTAAATATAGTTAATTCTGCCTTTCATAGCCAGCCAAGATGAAGTAAAAGGATATGGATTTACCGTCCCACCTAAAACAACTTTGAAAATGAATGTAATATATGAAACAATATCATGGAACAAATGACCCTCAAGAGCAGAAAAACAAGCAAGGTGAGCCCTCTGATTGCCACAGCAATTGCTTGGAGAACATGGCCTGTCCACAACACAGGGAAGCAAAACCCAGGCAGGGTCTGGCAGACTCCCTGAGGTAAGGAGACAGAGCTGAGGGCCTGGGGATGTCAGCTGCACAGAGGGAGACAGCTGCACAGAGGCAGAACTCTGGAGAACTGTAGAATGTCCCCATAAGTATTCAGTTGAGTACTGATTAACCATGTGTGTAAATAAACTGTCAAGGCTGGGTAAAGATCCAGCAGAAATTATTAGGGGAACAGTATCAGAAGCTCACAAAGGGGCAGGAATAGTGCTTAATTCCAACAGCCAAAATGGAAAACTTCATGATTCATGGGGCCTCAGTTGGAATACTAACAAGGGTTTTGCCTCAACAGTAGGGAAAAAAATTAACATTAGAGTAAACATTGCACTGGTCCCTCTCAATAAAGTTTAAAGGCATGATCCGGGAGGATCAACTGTTCCTAAGTAACTTAACCATGTCTCAGAACAAAGCTCAACAACTATTACAGGAATATAAAAACACCCAGCACCCCACAAGGCAAATTACACAATGTCTAGCACCCAATTTTTAAAAAATCACAAGGCAGACAATGGAGGAGAAAATAAAATGCACAATGAGAAGAAATGTCAATCAAAATTGACCCCCAAATGACACGGGTGATAGAAACAGTAGACAGGAGCATTAAATCAGTTATTATAATGATACCCTATATATTAAAAAAGCTAGCAGAAAGACTGAACGTATTAAATAGAGATATAGAATACATATTAAAAAGACAAAAATAGAACATTTAGAGGGATCTATAATTTTGAGATAAAAAATACACTAGATGAAATTAAGAGAGAAAAGATGAGTGAACTTGAAAACATAGCTATAGAAACTATCCAAAATGAAACACAGAGGGAAAAAGAAAACCATCAGTGAACTATGTGCCAATTTTAAGTAGCCAAATATATGTGTAATTGCAGTCTCCAATAGAGTAGGGGAAAATATTTGGAGAAATAATAGCCAAAGTTTTCCAAATTTGATAAAAATTATAAACACACAGATTTAAGAATTTCAACAAATGCCTAGAATAATTAATGAAAATAAAACCACTCCAAGATGAATTTTAATAAAATTCCTTCAAGACAAAGAGATCAATCTTAAAAGCCACTTTTGTGTATGTGATGCAGAGTGGGGAAGGAATGCTACATAAAGAATAAAGACAAAAAGAAAAGCAGATTTCTTATTGAAACAACTTAAGCTAGAAGGTAGTGGAACAACACCTTTAAAATATTAAAAGAAAAAAATTGTCAACATAGAATTTGTTAGCCAGTGAAAATATTTTATAGAAACAAAGATGAAATAAAGACTTTTTCAGGCACATAAAAGAAGAATTAATAACCAGACCACATATCTATAAAATATGTCAAGAGGAACCCTTCAAGCAAAATGAAATGATACTGATAAAAACCTGGACATACAAAAAAGAAAAAGAAGACCACTAAAAGTGGTAACTGTCTTGTAAATATAAAGAACGTTTTTCTTGGCAGGGCGTGGTGGCTCACACCTGTAATCCCAGCACTTTGGGAGGCCGAGGCGGGCAGATCACGAGGTCAGGAGATCAAGACCATCCTGGCCAACATGGTGAAACCACGTCTCTACTAAAAATACAAAAATTAGCTGGGTGTGGTAGCGTGTGCCTGTAGTCCCAGCTACTTGGGAGGCTGAGGCAGGAGAATTGCTTGAAGCCGGGAGGTGGAGGTTGCAGTGAGCCAAGATTGCGCCACTGCACTCCAGCCTGGGCAACAGAGTGAGACTCCATTTCAAACAAAACAAAACAAAAATAATAAGTTAATCAACAGATTGAAGCAAAATATTACTAATGCATCATGGAGTTTATAACCCATAGAGAAGTAAAATGTATGAAGACAATGGCACAAAGACCAGGAGAGGAGAAAAGGAAGTGTATTTTGTAGGGGTCTTATACTTGAAGTAATGTAACAGTGCTTGAAGTTAAACTGTGATAAACTAAAGATGTATAGTATAATCCCCCAAACAATAACTACACTAACACAAAAAATTATTTATAGCTAATGCACAAACAATGGAGATGAACTAGAATCATAAAAAACACTGGAGAAAGAGAAAATGGAAGAAGAACGTATGTGACAATAGAAAATAAATAGTAAGATGGTAGATTGTAATAATCACATTGAATGTAAAAGGTCTGAACATACCAACTAAAGGCAGAGCTTCTCAGATTAAATAAAACTGACCTAATTATATGCTTCGTTAGAAGATACAAATAAGTTCAAAGTAAAGGATACAAAAAGATATAGTGTACTAATGTGAATAAAAAGAAGGCTGGAGTAGCTACATTAACATCAGAGTAAACAATGTAACAGGGATAAAGAGAGGCATTTCATAATGAAAAAGAGGGTAAATTCATCAGGAGGATATAACATTCTTAAACATTAAGACCTCCAATAACAGATCTTCAAAATATCTGAATCAGAAATAGATGGAACTGCAAGAAGAAAGAGATAAATCCACAATTACAATTAGATGTTGTTTATGAACTCTAATAGTTTTTTGTGGGTTACTTAGGTGGACAATTGATTGACAAGTGTGTAAAGGCAACCCAGTGGATAAAATAGAGTTTTTTTCCACAAATGGTTTTGGAAAAATGGAACATTAGCATCCAAAAACAAAGCAAAACAAAAACTCCAATCCATTCCTCATACAACATGTACAAAACCAAAAAAACAGTCCAATGGACTTCATCAAAATTAAACATTTTTACTCTCTGAAAGACACTGTGAAGAAAATGAAAGGATAAATCACCAACTGGGTAACAATGTCTTCACATGACATATCTGGTAACGAACTCATATCTCAAATATTTAAGGAACTCTCTAACAACCCAATGCCTTGAAAATGGGCAAAAGATTTGAACAGACATTCCTCAAAGAAAATACACAAGTGGCAAATAAGCACATGAAAAGATACTCAATAGCATTCGTCATTGAGGAATGGAAATTTTTAAAAATGAGATACCACTACACAACTAGTAAAATGAATAAAATTAACAAGACTTAGCATACCAAGTATTGACAAGGATGTGGAAGAACTGCAACCCTTATATCCTGCTTGTGAGACTATAGCATGGTACAATTCCTTTGGAAAACAGTCTGAAGTTTCTTCAAAAGTTAAACACACATCTACTATATGATTCAGCTTTTCTACTTCTATGTGTTTAAGAGAAATGAAAGCATATATGTATACAAAAACTTACACATGAATGTCATAGCAGCTTTATTATAAAAGCCAAGTACCAGAGACAATCTAAATGTTTCTTAATGTGTTAATGGATATGAAAATAATAGTATATCCATAAAATGGAATCTAGTCAGCAATGAAAAAGAATGAACTATATATGCAACTGCATGGATGGACCTCAAAATAATTATGTTGGGTGAAAGAAGCCAGAACACGAAGAATACATACTTTATGTTATTCAGTTCAAACTACTGTAACCAGTTACCATAGACTGGTTGTCTTAAACAATGAACATTTATTTGTTACAGTTCTGGAGGCTATGAAGTCTAAGATTAAGGTGCCATGAGATCTGATGTCTTGAGAGGGCCCATTTACTGACTTGCAGATGGCTGTCTTCATATTGCCTCTTCACTCATAGAAAACAGAGCAGAGAGAGCAAGCTTTCGTATCTCCTCTGATTCAAACATTGATCCCATTATCTAATTACTTCCCAAAAGCCCCCGTTCCCAATACTATCACACTGGGGATCGGGATTTCAACCTATAAATTTGAGGGGAACACAAACATTCAGTATATAACATACTATATAATTCCATTTATAAAATATTCTAGAAAACGTAAACAAATCTATGGTTGCAGAAAGCAAACAAAAGTTCCCTGGGAATAAGGTTAAGGAAGAATGGAATAGAAGACTTACAAAGTGATATAAAGAAATTTGGGGGGGTTTGATGGATGTGTTCATTATCTTGGCTGGGATGATGGTTTCACAGATGTATAAATAGGTGTCATTAAATTATCCACTTTAAACATGTGTGATTTATTGTAAATTAATATTTTCAATAAAGCTATAAACAAAGTAGGATCCTATTTGTTAGAAATAAAACATTTTATAATCGCATTACGCAGCACTTTTCTAAGCATGTTACTCAGAAGTAATGTCCCACAGATTTTAATATGTTTTACTGAAAAAGAAAATTCTGTGGTTTAATAATTGAAATAGTCTGGATTAAACGCAGTTAATAGATTTGTTTTGGGCAGGACTTCTGGGAGATTTTAATATGCCAATATGCATTGTGAAATTTCAATAAGGGAATATTATTGAGTACTGTATTTCCCTAATTTGATCAGAAATTTTCTTCCAAGATGATTTTACAGGATTAACATTCCTCGGGTTTTTTATTTGGAAAATGCTGGCATAAAGACATTGTGATGACTTAACAGTAAATACAGTCGATGTGGTAAGAACTTTGGACTCTTTTTTCATGAACTATTAAAATTTATGACTAGGCTGAGTGTGGTGGCTTGCACCTGTAATTCCAACACTTTGGAAGGCTGAGGTGGGAGGATTGCTTGAGCCCAGGAGTTCAAGGCCAGCCTGGGCAACATGGGGACACCCTGTCTCTACAAAAAAACAACAATATGACTTACGATTAGACAATATAATCTTCATCTAAATTCAAGCATTGGAGCAAATTGCAAATTTTAGAAAGACTTTAAAAATGTGTTCACTAAATTAGTAACTGATTGCTCTCCAGTGAATGTTTTGCATGGGATCTTTTTTCTTTTTTTAATTAATAGACTTCTTTTTTTTTTCTTTCAGCAGTTTTAGGCTTACAGAAGAAATGAGTAGAAAAGTAAAAAGAATTCTTTTATCTCCTTTACCCCTTCCCCGATTTCCTCTATTTATTAACACCTTGCATTTTGTAGTACATTTGTTATAATTGATGAACCAATATAGATACATTATTATTAACTAAAGCTCACAGACTACATTAGAGTTCACTCTGTGTTATACATTCTACAGCTTTGGACAAATATATAATGACATGTGGCCAGGTGCTCATGTTTGTAATACCAACAATTTGCGAGGTTGAAATGGGAGGATCCTTTGAGCTCAGGAGTTCAAGACTAGCCTGGGCAACATAGCAAGGCCATGTCTTTACAAAAAAAAAAGAAAAATAAAAAATTAGCCAGGCATGGTGGTGTGCAACTGTAGTCCTTGCTGCTCAGGGGGCTGAAACAGTAGGATCATCTGAGCCCAGGAGTTTGAGGCTGCAGTGAACCATGATGGCACCATTGCACTCCAGCCTGGGCAACAGAGTGAGACCCTGTCTCTAAAAACTCAAAACAAACAAAATTACATATGTCTACCATTACAATGTCATGCAGAATAGCTTCATTGCCCCAAGAATCCCATGTATTCCAGTTTTTCATCTCTTCCTGCCTCCCCCAACCCCTGACCTGTTTCACCGTCTCTGTAGTTTTCTCTTTTCTACAATGTCATATAGTTGGAATCATTCAATATATAACCTTTCAGATTGGCTTTTTTCATTTAGCAACATGCATTTAAGTTGTCTCCATGTTTTTTCATGGCTTGCTGGCTTGTTTCCTTCTATTGCTGAATAATATTTCATTATACAGATGAACCACAGTTTATCCATTCATCTACTGAAGGAAATGGTGGTGGCTTCCAAGATTTGGCAATTATGAATATGGTTATTATAAACATTTGTGTGCAGGTTTTTGTGTGAACATAAGTTTTAACTTATTTGGGTAAATACCAAGGTATGCAATTGCTGGATCATGTGGTACAAATATATTTAGTTATATAAGAAACTGCCAAATTGTCTTCCAAAGTGGCTGTACCATTTTGCATTTCCACCAGCAATGAATGAGAGTTCTTGTTCCATATTCTTGTCTGCATTTGGTGTTGTCAGTGTTCTGAATTTTAGCCATTCTGATAGGTGTGTACTGGTGTCTCCTTGTTTTTGTTTGCAATTCTTTAATAATATATAATGATAAGCATCTATTCATAGGCTTTTTGCCATTTGTATATCCTCTGTTAAGGTGTCTGTTCATATCTTTTGGCCATTTTTAAATTGGGTTATTTTCTTATTGTTGAGTTTTAAAAGCTCTTTATATACTTTGGATACTAGTCCTTTATTAGACATCTGTTTTTGCAACTGCCTTCTCCCACGCTTGGCTTGTCTTTTCATTTTTTTAACAGTGTCTTTTCCAGAGCAGAAGTTTTAGATTTGAGTTAAATCTAACTTATCAATTTTTCCTTTCATGGATCATGTTTTTGTGGGGTATCTAAAAAGCCATTGCCAAATCTATATTTTGTCGTATGTTATCTTCAAGGAGTTTCATAGTTTTGGGCTTCCATTTAGGTCTAATGATCCATTTTGAGTTAAATTTGGGGAAGGGTATAAGGGCTGTAGTTAGATTCACTTTTTTTTCCACGTATATGTCCAGTTATTCTAACACCATTTGTTGAAATGACTATCCTTTTTCCATTGAATCGCCTTTGCTCCTTTGTCAAAGATCAGTTAAATATATTTGTCTGTTTCTGGGCTCTCTATTCCATTTCATTGATTTCTTTATCAATTCTTTCACCAATACCACACTTTCTTGATTACTGTAGCTTTATAGTAAGTTTTGAAGTCAGTAGTGTCTGTCCTCTGATTTTGTTCTTCTTCAATATTCTGTTAGCCACCCTGGGTCTTTTGCTTTTCCATATAAATGTTAGAATAAGTCTGTTGATATTGATATCCATAATAACTTCCTTTTTTTTTTTTTTGACAGATTCTCACTCTGTCACCCAGGCTGGAGTGCAGTGTGTAATCTTGACTCACTGCAACCTCTGCTTCCTGGGTTCAAGCGATTCTCCAGCCTCAGCCTCCTGAGTAGCTGGGACCACAGGTGCATGCTACTACACTGTTAATTTTTGTACTTTTTGTAGAGATGGGGTTTTTCCATATTGCCCAGGCTGGTCTCAAACTCCTGACCTCAAGTGATCCACTCGCCTCAGTCTCCCAAAGTGCCAGGATTACAGGTGTGAGCCACCGTGCCCGACCAACTTCCTGGGATTTTGACATTGAACCTAAAGATCAAGATGGAAAGAATTAGCATCTTGACAACATTGTCTTAAATATAGGATCATTAAATAAATGAATCATGCTAAGTACCATAACTTCCTTCTTGTAGTTTTTATTGCCCTACTTTCATTCTTTCTCTCTCTACCAAGACTTTTTCCAATATGTTCTTTTTTCTCCCATCATTTGCCTTTTTGCACTTTAAAACATGATTCCTGCCCAGAAATTAGACAGATTTCTCATTAAGTCAAACAAATGAGAAGGTCAGGGATAAGATGGAGAGAATAGAGGTAGCAAGGATAAGAAGGAATGTTGTGGAATGAATAATATGTGCTCCATTGCCTACACAAAGCCTTAGCATCTTGCATAATGCCTTGCCAAGGGACTTAGTCAATATTACTTGAACAAATGCATGAGTGACTTGTAAATATGACATGTTAAACATCCATCAGTGACAAAATAGATGGTATTTTGATGACATAATTACCATATGATATCTGTGGATGGATCTATGACTTAGGGATTAGATTTTCTTCTCACCCAAGGAGTTTTTGATGAGATCTCTTAAAACTTTGCAATGATTTTCTCATTTCGATTAATTGTTTTCCTCTGTAATATACTAAGGATCCATCCTTTTCTCCTACTAAGTGGTAAAGTTGGGCCATCCAGGATGATGTTCTTGCAAAAAATCCTAAAGAAAACTTAGAAGTAAAGGAGGAAGGTACACAATAGATGAAACTTCCCAGCAATGTAAAAAAAGACATCATCCTTTCAGCAGGCACATATATTGAGTTAATAACAAAACTAACATCTTAAAATTGTACAGTGCTATCTGTTTTCCAAGGCACTTTTCACAGATGTAATCTTACTCAATCGTTTCAAAAACACTGTGAAGGAGAGACTAAGTGATCTGCCCAAAACCACAAAGTGGCTGGCACTGTCTCAAGCCCAATTCCCACTTATTCTTTTCCCTACCTTCGAGCCTTCAAATTATGTAGCTATCACAAAGTCATGCGTCCAGTAGATAAGAACTATATATTAAGGGCCCAGATGAAAATGTTAATTTTGAACTATTCTCATATTGTTTCCTCTCTTATGCCAAGAAAACTTATGTGTTTCTCCGTTTGGTTGGCAATTAAACTTCTTACAACTTCAGAGTAGTGAAAGAAGAATTGACCATCCTGTGCAATGAAACAAAACAGGACTTGTCTTTCTATTTTTAAGAAGAATGAGGCTTATGTAAATAAGAAATTTTGAGATCTGGGGGGAAAAAAAGGCATGTATTTATCCCATACGACTTGTCCTCCCATGATCCTCAACTCTGCACTGAGCTTCATTGCTAGAGTGAATCATGGCTCAAAATTACAGGAAATCCCAACTACAAGAAGTGAAATGTGCTCAACAAACATATGTGTAAGTATATTTGTATCTGTGTGAATATGCAACATACAGCACTAAGTTCTAATACTGAGAAGGCTGTGCTTTTATGCAGAGCAGAAAAAAATAAACAACTATAGATAGTTGTATATTAACTGTTTAAAGTCAAATGGAGGTGAACTATAAAAATAGAATGTTTAAGTACTTGAAAAAATAAAACCAGGTGTAAGTTTTAATGCTTTGAGATTGACTTGACTTCTACTCTTCTCACGTTATGGGACAAAAACAATTGATACCTTTGGGCAAAGTGTTATAAAAATGGTATACTAGTTTTTGAGAACTGGATTCTAGGCCCGGATCCACTACTAAGAAACCGTTTGTAATTAGGTACAACACCTGATGTTTCTGTCTTAGCATCCTCACTTGCAAAATGGTCGGTTGTGACTAAAATCTTTTTCACCTCTGATTTTCTATCATTCTAAATTACTTTTTAAGGCCTTCCAACTAGTAATAGAAACATGCCTGATGTGCAAAGAACTTTTTCATTAGAGTGTGGTGCTCTCTCCTTCCTACCATGCTGAAACTGTGAATTATGTACATAAATAACATTTTGTGAAACAGAGAATACTCGATCTAGAAAGATTAGATATCAATAATGCAAACTCATTTCACATACAAGCGAATTAAGACCCAGAAAGGGCAAGTGATTTTTCCTTATTAAGAACGTATGTTTTCTTCTTTTCACACTTATTTTAAATGTTTAAACACCTTCACTTCATGTATGTGAATAGGCACTAGGTAGAGATCTATCTTATAGTTGATCCTTTCACTGTAAGGAAATTTAACTCATTGTTTTTTCATTGATTCCTTAATATTACGTGTTCTACTAAAAATGTTTTCAAATAATGAAACACATCATATCAAATGACTGTATTGCACTAAGCTTACAAGGCACTTTTTATATATAGTACCTCATTTAATCTTATTCTAGCAATGGTGAATTAGGATAGGCACATATAGAGCATTATTACTATCTTCTGCCTCTACTAAGACTGAGAAAATGCATATTCATGACCTTTCAGTATTGCTGGTAAACAAAAGTTATAAAATTAATGTTCCTTGACCCCAGGGAGCTATGTCTCAGATATATAGCTAGATAGGGAAGAGAGTAATTCACAGTATGTTCAATGAAACAGGCCTTTGAAATGTCCAGGATGATTTCAGTGTAACAGAAAAAGCTCACGACACTTGAATCATAAACGCGCTGAATCAATTAAAAATTTTCTGAAAAAAGGTAGGACCAATATGCATATAAATTTAGATTGCATTCTTTGGATGCCATCTGTTCAGTATCTTGACTTTGACACTACCACATTTCTTAAACTTTGTATTGAAGCCTAACCTACATACAGAGAAGTTCATAAATAACAAGTGTATAGCTGGATGAGTTTTGACGAGGTGTACAGCTCACATACCTAGCACCCAAATCAAGAAAAAGAACTCGTGTAGTGTCCCAGAACTGCACTTCTGTGCCCTCTTCTGGTTATCAGACCCTCCCAAAACAATCACTGCCTGTTTTTGAATTTTATGTAAATAGAATAATCCAGTAACTCCTTCTTTTGCTCAACATGATATTAATATTTCCGAGCTTCATCTATATTGTGTGTGTGTGGTAGTTTGTGTAGTCTCATTGCTGTGTAGTGTTCAATTGCTGTGTAGTTTCAATCTACTTGTCCATTCTAATGTTGATGGGCATTTGCATAGTTTCCAGTTTCCGGCCAGTAGGAATAGTGCCCTTATGAACATTCATATACATGTTTTTTTGTGAATATATATGCATTTTTTACCCTTGCTGTACCAGTGGTATGTATATATTCAATTCAGCTTTAGTACATAATGAAAAGTGGTTTTCTGAAATGGCGTTCCCACCAGCAGCGTATGACAGTTCCAGTTGTTCTATATCCTTGCCAGGACCTGTTATTACCAAAACGCTTAATGATGTTGTTTTTATTTGTATTGTATACCTGTAGTTTTTAAAAAGTGACTTTGAAACAGCAAGCTTTTATATAAGAAAGGGAAAAAATTAAGTAGGGGGTGAGAAAAAATAAAAAGTGAAATAATCCAATTAATCTTGCGGTACAGCTAGATATGCTAAATCTGTCCTGACTCAAAGAAAATTTTGAGAAAGATACAAAACATATGGAATCATTCTAAGTATGCTGTTTGTATGAGAAAGCACTGAGTAATATAATTGGTTTAATGTGTGAGTCAGAATCAATGTACAATTTTTAGCTGAAGAGTTCTGATACTAGTTTGGAAGATATGTGAGTTCAGGAGCATGAGGAAAGTTTGGATACTTTGAAGGGTATGGGGAATAATTTCCCTACACTGGGTAAATGAAGCTCAGAAAGGATTCATTTTTGAGATGTTCACAGTTAGGATTTCTATGTAGTTTATAATGTGAAAATAAATGGGCAATATTAGCCTAATAAGCTATCAAATGTTGATTGTTTGTGACCCCAGATGCCACAATTCTTTCCTCATTCCCTAATAGAATACAAACAATGTAATTTACAAGGGAAATCAGTAAAACAAAGGATAAATCTATAGCTCATGTTATATTTTGGTTTATAGAAAAATTACAATAATTACGGGTCATTTACTTTGTTTTTTAAATTTAGAAATGATGAAAAGCTGTAGTTGACATAAGAGTGATTCCTCCCTCAAAGTGGAAAGCCCAGACGTATGAAAATCCAAAGAGCTATTTGGTAGTGATGGTGGTAGGAAACCTCATCCTTGCAAACCCAAACCTACTCTTTTCTTTTCTTTTTTCTTTTCTTTCCTTTTCTTTTCCTTTTTCTCTTTTCTTTCTTCTTTCTTTCTTTCTTTCTTTCTTCTTTTCTTTCTCTCTCTTTCTTTCTTCTTTTTCTTTCTTTCATTTATGTATTAGAGACAGGGTCTCACTCTGTTGCCCAGGCTGGAGTGCAGTGGCGCAATCATAGCTGACTTCAGCATCGAACTCCTGGGCTCAAGTGATCCTCCGGCCTCTGCCTCCTGAGTTCCTAGGACTCCTAGGCACACATCAAAATGCCCAGCTACTTTTTTTTTTCCTGTAGAGATGGGGTCTCACTATGTTGCCTAGGGTGGTCTCAAAGTCCTGGGCTCAAGGATTCCTCCCACCTCAGCCTCTCAAAGTGCTGGGATTACAGGCATGAGCTACTGCACTCGGCCTTTGCAAACCCTTTCTAACTGGCTCCACCAGTTTTCTATTTTTCCTATCAGCTGATCTCTAATCACCTTATATCTGGATTGTTACCAACATCAACTTCTCCATCTCCTACCTATTGCTGTAAAATTTTTCTTCAGAAAAAACAATGCAAAGATATGCCCATATCTAGGTGATATATTTTGTCACCTAGAAATCACCAACTTCTAGTCATGCATTCTTTTATGCAAAAAACAGTTGTTGATTCCTATATAGAAAAGTCTGAAGATAACAATATTTTATAATCACCAATGTAATCTGATGAATAAAATGCCCTCATATAAAATTAACATGAAGCCTATAAAATAGCTCTTTCTGCATATCTCTCATTATAGATTAAATTTCTATCTGATGGGAGAAGTTGTGTGAGATATTACTTCTGAATTTCTTGAGAGTATGAGGACTTAGTGAGCCAAATAAGAAAATCATTCTCCTCCCTTGCGTGTAGAGAAGTGACTCATGTCTGCATTGCATTCAGATAAGACTGTAAACTCCTAGTGGAAACTAACCTTCTGTGTATTAGTCATCTCACAATATCCAATACAATGATACACATATGAAGTTATATAATGATAATCATCTGATTATTTGTTAAATAAACTTAAAAAGACAACAATAATAGCTAACTTTGATTGACTATGTTCAGGCTATCAATCAATATACACGCATTTTTATTTTCAAATTTATTGTTAACAATATCCCTAGATAATGATCCCTGGGGATCTTTATCCCCAAATACAGATGAGGGAGCTGAGGATCTGATAAGGCAACTTGTCCAAGGCCGCTTGAACCCAGTTCCGTCTGTGCCCTTAGTCACCATGCTTTCCCGAAAGAAAGTGCCCTTGGCAAAAAAATTTAAAAATCAAAAAAAGGGGAGAGTGTTATCACAAGGGCTGACTGATCATCAACAAAAGACATTTTTCAATTTCCACCTCAACCACTGGCCACTGAAAGCCCCGCAGTAAATTAGACACCCACTTTGAGGCATTCTCCCATTCTCCTGACCACATTATCATGATAACAGAGTTTTTTTTTTTTGGTCTCCCATCATCTCAGGAAGAAGTCATGTTCTGCAAAGAAAAGCTTAGTTGAAATGAGAACACTTGGACACAGGAAGGGGAACATCACACACCAGGGCCTGTTGTGGGGTGGGGGGAGGGGGAGGGAAAGCATTAGGAGATATACCTAATGTAAATGACAAGTTAATGGGTGCAGCACACCAACATGGCACATGTATACATATGTAACAAACCTGCACGTTGTGCACATGTACCCTAAAACTTAAAGTATAATAATAAAGAAAAGAAAAGAAAAGCTTTGTTGAAAAGATATACAGCACCAGGCTTCCTCAGTGAGAATGTGTCTCCTATAAGGACTAAGGCCAAAAATGGAGACGACAGCCTAAGTTCTGAGGCTAAACCTCAGGACCTAGATTATGGATTGGCATGAAGGTCCATCTCTGCATTCAGAACAACAAATATTTAAAATGCAAAATACAGTAAATAAATTTCATGGATATAGGGGCAGGAGGCGTTAGTACATAATCCACCACAATCTTAAAATGTTAGTCCCCATAACTGGAATCCAAACAAAATTTTATGACAGTTCAAAGACAATACTATTTGAGCAGGTGTTCAACCTTCAAGCACCCTGCTTAGGCACTCCTTTATAATACTGTGCCCCTAGGCTCTAGGTCTATTTAGGAAAAGTGATTAAAGACAAGTTCTTCCCTGAAATTAGGGACTGGGGATCACAGCCACTGAGGCCTTCTGTCCCATGAGCAAAGACTGGGCAATGAAGCCTCAGCTGTTTCACCAAATCATATAATTGGAGTTGTTATTTTACTGATTAATGACACTTTCCTATTTCCATCAAAGTCAGTCAGAAGGAAGTAGATTTAAACTGCAAGAGGAATGATTAGGTACTTAAGTGAAAAAAAAAAAGTCCTAAAATTAGCAACTATTGAAAATAGTCACCATTTATTGAGCATTTGCTTTTGGTCCAGCACCATTTAGGCACTGTTTTCTTCTCTTTTTTTTAATAGACAGGGTCTCACTCTGTCACCCAGGCTGGGATGCAGTGGTGTGATCCTAGCTCACTGCAGCCTTGACCTTCTGGGCTCAAGCAATCCTCCCACCTCAGCCTCCTAAGGATTGCTTGAGCTCAGAAGGCTGGAATTACAAGCACACGCCACCACATCTGGCTAGTTTTTTTAAATTTAAATTTATTTATTTATTTATTGTAGAGATGGGGTCTCACTATTTTGCCAGGGCTGGCCTTGAACTCCTGGCCTCAAGCAATTCTCCCACCTCAGCCTCTGAAAGTGCTGGGATTACAGGCATGAGCTACTGTGCCTGGCCTGTTAGGCATTTTCTAAGACATACGTTAATACTCATAAGACTCTGCATGAGTAAGTACTTCTCCTTTTTTTGGATGAGGACATTGAAACTTGAAACAGTAAGAATTTTGTTCAAGCTCAGACTTGCCACACAAATTGGTCAAAAAGTCGTATTCTTTTTACCACAGGAAATTTGTCAAGTGGTAGACTTTGGAACACTGGCTTTATACAAAAATAAAAGATATTGTATTTGAGGCTGGGCATGGTGGCTCACACTTGTAATCCTAGCACTTTGGGAGGCCCAGGCAGTTGAATCACTTGAGCCCAGGAGTTTGAGACCAGCCTGGCCAACACAGTGAAACTCTGTCTCTCCAAAAAAAAAAAAAATTCGTCAGCTACAGTGTCATGCGCCTGTAGACCCAGCTACTCAGGAATCTTAGGTGGGAGGATGGCTCGGGCCCAGTAGACAGAGGTTGCAATGAGCCAAGATCATGCCACCGCACTCCAGCCTGGATGACAGAGTCAGACCTTGTTTCAAAAAAAAAAAAAAATTACATTTGGAATAAATATGTTTGAGAAATCTGGGTTAAACAAAGTTTAAACAAATTTCTTCACTATCAACTTTTTCAAAATGCCCTGGTAATGTACATCATGAATCCCCAAGGGAGGATTCTACTGTCTAACAGCTCACATTTTCCAAAACTGTTTTTGTTACAGAACACCTTTATTTCTGCTATAACTTAAATCTCTAAAAACTCATATCATGTAGGACAGAATTTAGGAAAATCTGTACTACACAAACCTGCCTTGAATTCTCCTTCAATAAAAACCTTCTGAAAAGTAAGATCATTAGTTCACAGAATCACAGAAACATGACAGCTCAAATTTTCAGTGGCTGCGTGATCACCCACATCCCCAACGTACAGTAACACATTCCTGGTTTGTCTGAGCTGGTGAATACCCTGATGGGTGACCAATTCCATGACCACACAATTCCTGAATGCTGGGAAACTCTCTACTTGCTAACCTGTCTCCTTTCCCCTCCAAGTTATTTCCTGAAGTCAATTCTTGCCACCGAAGAACAGTGAAACAAGCCCCTCACTACAACTAAGCGTGGCCACTGTGTATTGCACTTGCTGGCTGTGCAAATTGAAGCCATTCTTCACTAGCTGAAGGTTGCAGGTTGTAGCTACTCAATTTCTGGATGCAATTAGGTGTGAAAAATAGGAGGGTGAGGAATTTCTAGATTAAGGATTCTTTGTTCACACCTCAAGGGCATAGTAAATGACTCCTATTCAGTATCACAGTGTCCCAGATCCTCTGCCCTTGGATATCTCTCACACCCCAGTCTTTGTGTGCATGAAAGGAAGACTTGGTGTAGTCACTGTGGAGGTAAGTAGCATGGCTCCCACACCTATGCGAGTGTTCCCTTCGGCTGCTTTGTGAGGCAGCTTTCAAAAGCAATGCTGCCATGAATGACGCCCAAGGATTAAGGGAGGATGTGTTGCAAAATGGACATGATTTGCATTGTATCGACCCTAGCATTGCCAAACAAAAGATGACTGCAGGCTCCCCACTGCACCACACACTTTCTTTTTAGTGGTAAAGTGTTTTCCTGCAAAAATGGTATACAGATGCTCCTCCACTTACCATGGGGCCACGTCCCATAAACCCATTGTAAGTTGAAAATACCATAAGTCGAAAATAAAATAGTTACTATATCAAAGCTACAGAATATCATAGCTCAGCTTACCCTATCTTTAATTGTGCTCAGAACACTTACAGTTAGCCTTCAACTGGGCAAAATCATTTAACACAAAGCCTAGTTTATAATAAAGTGTTGAATAGCTCATGTAATTTATCTAATACTGTACTGAAAGTGAAAAACAGAATGGTTGTATAGGTACCATGGTAAAGTCCAAAAATCATAAGTCCAACCATCTTAAGTTGCGATCAGCTGTATACTTCATTTATTATGATTATTATTATTGCTTTTTTCTTTTGTGAGACAGAATCTTGCTCTGTGGCTCCCAGACTGGAGTACAGTGGCATGATCTGGGCTCACTGCAACCTCCACCTCCTGAGTTCAAGCGAGTCTTGTGCCTCAAACGCCTGAGTAGCTGGGATTACAGATATGCACCACCATGACGGGCTAATTATTTTTGTATTTTTAGTAGAGATGGAGTTTCGCCATGTTGGGCAGACTGGTCTCAAACTCCTGGCCTCATGTGATCCGCCCGCTGTGGCCTCCCAAAGTGCTGAGATTACAGGCATCAGCCACCGCTCCTGGCCTCATCTATATATTTCCCATCTTTGATAATAAGGTAATTGCAGAAAGGAAACAAACAAATGAAACGTAATGTGGAAATAACTGATATAATTAATTTTCTGAATGTCTGAAGCCTGGAAGCCTGTAAATATAATCCTATACTTGTCCATAGCAAGTTCCCAGAGGTTAGTAGTTTTGTCATTTATTTCTCTAATCCTTGCAGTTTCCAACTCAGTAATTGGCACTTAGTAGGCACTCAGAAAAGGTGAAAATGAGTAAATGAATTGAATTACCCCAATTGCTTGATTCAAAAGAAAAAAAGTAGAAAAAATAATTGTTTAATAAATAGACTTTCACCAATTTCAAACAAGACCTCTTCTCGGATAAGATTTAGGAATATTCTATAAAATCCAGCATGACTATTAGTGCTATGGAAATACAATATTCCATTTAAGATTTTTAAGTAGGGGCTGGGTGCAGTGGCTCACGTCTGTAATCCCAGTACTTTGGAAGGCCGAGGCGGGCGGATCATGAGGTCAGGAGACAGAGACCATCCTGGCTAACACGATGAAACCCCGTCTCTACTAAAAATACAAAAAATTAGCCGGGCGTGGTGGCGGGCGCCTATAGTCCCAGCTACTCGGGTGGCTGAGGCAGGAGAATGGCGTGAACCCGGGAGGCGGAGCTTGCAGTGAGCCGAGATCGCGCCACTGCACTCCATCCTGGGCGACAGAGCGAGACTCCGTTTCAAAAAAAAAAAAAAAAAGAAAGAAAAAAAAAGATTTTTAAGTAGGAATTTAGTAAAAGTGACTTCTGCCTTCAATACAGAACTTGCCCAAATTATCCTACACCTATGTTCTCTTTCTTAGAACTAAAAATACATTGACACCCTAATTCATGATTATTTTAAAATAAGCAGAGAAAAAAGAAACACATATGCACACATGGCATCATCCCAAATGCATGAGGATGTTAAAGATATTTCCAATTAATATTAAACAATATTTCTGACATAGGTGTTCATGATATTTCAAGTGCAATCTGAGGCCATGAGATTTTCGGCTGGCAGCTTCCATGAAGATCTGCTCATGAGCCCTCTCCCTCTTCATTTAATAAGCAAGGGAACTTATTATAACCTTGAGGGTGCAGTAACAAGCTAAGGTGACACAAGAAGTTACTGGGGAATTCAGGACTGAAACCAAGTTTCCTGGTTTTCAGCACAGAACCCCAAGTTGTTTATCTCCAGAGTTGACCTTCCAGCTTTTCCAGACCAAATCAGCCCCACTCCTGTTGACCTGAGGAGCCCCTTCCAGGGAATCAAAGAATCAGCCTCATTAGAAACAGGGCATTTTTGTTGTTGTTTGGTTTTGTTTTTCCTGAAAACCATTGCTTCATGCCATTCCTTCTTGGAGCTTTGGCTGTAATACATTTGCCTCTAGCAAACAGAGATCTTATTTCTGTTCACACTGAGCAAGATTACATGGCGACTCTTTGAAAGTGAACCTTGAAAGGAAGGTTTGCCTGATAACCACATGTGGATAATGAATAGAGCAGTAGCTTTAACAGTGAATTAATCCTTCAAGAATCTCACTTGAAGTTCACCAGGCTTTTCTTCTATTATTTAAAGAACTTTTAAAGGTTTAACTAAATCATTTATGGAACATTTCCCATTATGTTTTAGCATGATACAATTTCTTAAAAAGGCAACTCAACAGAGCTAATCAAATTAGATTTTCTTAAAAGGCAGAGTAATGAAGTTATGGGAATAAGGAAAAAACAAAAACAAAAACAAAAAAATGCTTCATCCAGGACCCAGACTCCAGCTATAGCTGTATTTATTTATTTATTTATTGAGACAGAGTTTTGCTCTTGTTGTCCAGGCTGGAGTGCAATGGCACAGTCTTGGCTCACCACAATCTCCGCCTCCTGGGTTCATGCGATTCTCCTGCCTCAGCCTCCTGAGTAGCTGGGATTACAGGCATGTGTCACCATGCCCAGCTAATTTTGTATTTTTAGTAGAGATGGGGTTTCTCCATGTTGGTCAGGCTGGTCTCAAACTCCCAACCTCAGGTGATCCATCCGCCTTGGCCTCCCAAAGTGCTGGGATTACAGGCATGAGCCAACCCGCCCGGCCAGCTGTACTCTTAATAACAGTTCATTTGGGGTGACTTTAATAGTATAGTAACTTACAGAGAATGGTAAATTTGTGTATGACGAGAATATTGGGTTTAATGTACCCATTAAACAAGTTTTATTTATTTTATTTACATATTTGTTTGGTTTATTTTTGTCATATACTGTGGCAAGCTTTTAATCAGAATTGTTTTTGCCAGAATAAAGACTGCCCTAAAATAATCTAAGTAACATCCTTAGTGAGGAAAAAAGAATTTTTCTTGAATTATAGTATTTCCTGGCACAAAATAAGTTAGTGCCAGGGATCTACTTCTTCAGAGATATTTTTCACCTCTTCAGGTTTAAAGGAATCAACAGATAGAGGGAAAAGAGAAGTGTGTGCCAGAAGTCCCCAAGTCACACCAGACCTGCATTCGCAGCCCTGGAGTCCCTTCCTGTCTGGGAAAAAAGGGTGGGCTTGGCTGATGCAGTGGGACAGGTCCGCTGTTTGTCTGGTCACTTAATGTCTGCCAGCTGGGGCAGGACTCCAGAGTGAGCAGTTTATCAGTCATGAGGCTCTTGGGAGATCTCACCATTGAGGAATGGGCCCCGAGGGAGCAGAACACTATCAACTCCACCATCTGACTTCTGCTTCCTATTACGACTCCTTTTAACAGGAGAAATGACTTCCTAGTGGTTGGGCATGTTCTAATTTATTGCTTTATTTGCTGGCTGTTGAATTGAATGGGAAAATCCACCATGAGAACACCTTAGCAACACTGAAAGGTCATCTGTCTCATCAAAGTCTGTCCTTTCATACACTCTCTCTACCTAGAATTTCTCTAATTATTACTTAATAATCCTAGCATTTGGTCTCAGCAGCCTTCTCTGCATGAAGCACCTGTTTTGGCAAAGTTCAAAAGGCCTCTGTACTCACTAAAAGTGATCCATTTGGAGGGGTTCATTTCTGGTAATTACAAAGTTTTTATTTCCATTGTCAATTTAAGCAATTGTGAAACATGTACATATATTTTAAGAGTCCAGATCTCACTTTGAAGAAATTCTTCAGCAGAACTGCATAATTAGCAATGAAGCAGAAGAATACCTTTTCAATAATAGAGTACATACAATCATATATTTTTTTCGGAGGAATAATGTTTATTTTGATTACTACACATGATTATGGATAGTATTATGATTAATATCCATATAAAGCTACATTGATTTTAAAATCTGATTCTAAACAATAGTCAAAGTTTTAGTTGCAAAATAGATCATATGTATTCAGATGCATTTCTTAATGTTCATTTAATTTCTAAGACCTTCAATATTTCTATTATGTCTGTCTTCTTATTAATATAAATATATCTAGTTTGATTTTATCTTTTTACTCCATCACTCATGTTTATGGTTATTCACACATTTTAACTCATTTTGAAATACAGTGGTCAGCTCTGTATTGCATAGGATGTAGACCCCATCAGGGGTCACCATGGCACAAAGTTAACAGATTCAGACTTGCAGCTGGACAGGTCTGCATGTACTTTTAGGCAGAAGTCCTTCTCTGGTCCCTACCGCTGCTTTAACACCCTGTGAGGATCCTTGACTAGATGCCAACAGCCTAATAAACTGCAGGTGCCAGTATGTGGCACAGGTATTTGGCATCATCTCAGGTGAAGGCAGCAAAGCACAGTGGAAGATGGCTTTGAAGTCAGGCTCGGGTTTAAATCCTGCTCTGACACTTAATCTGCAAAAGAGCCTTGGGCAGGTTATTTTACAGTTCTCTGACTTCCTGAGATAAAATTAATCATAAAGAGTTTTAGTTGGGTTTAATATGGGTGCCTGTACAGGGCAGTGGTTAAAGATATTGCTTCCTAAGTTCCAGTCCTGCTTTCCCATTTTCTAGTTGCTTCACCTTGGGCAAGTTAACATAAATCACTCTCAGTCTTGGTTTCTTCATCTGCAACATGGGGATAATAAATGTTACTTTTCATAGTGTTTTGGAAAGATTAAATTTTTTAAATGAAGGAAAACCATGTTTCACATGGCACATAGTAAGCACTCAATACTGGCTATTTATCTTTTACAAACATTTATCTTAAGTTCCTGGCATTAGTAGCTATGCAATACCCTGGAGTCCAGTGTCTCTTTCATGACCCTATGGGGTCTCAGTTCTCTATCTGTTTTCTAAGACCAGGAAGACACAATTACAAGAATAAGAATAATTGCAGAGCTGATTAAAGGGATTTATATTTTATAAAATGTTTTAGAAATAGATTTTATTGTTCAACTACATAGGTCTTATTTTTAAGCCTTTAAAATTATTTCTATATTTGAAATATTAAATCCTTAGGTTATGTATTCTGAAAAAAAGTATACTTCAGTTATATTCTCTACCTAAATATCTATGTTTATTTTTTACTGAAACAGTTGTAGCTGATATAAACACTTAGCAATCAAGCTACTTTGAAAATGTTTTCTATTTTCATTAAATAGCGTTTATCCTAAAGAGAAATGCTTAATGCCTTCAGCATTACTTTTAGAATAATACATATTTATGATATAATAGTATGCCACTTTTGGAACTTTTTTACATTTATGTTTCTAAAAAATGCTATTTACATAATTTTTCCTCAAGCATTTGTGTAATTCTCTAAAGCACATTCTTTGATGATTTTACATGTACATATTCCTTTCATCTTCTAGTAGCAGATTTGTTTATCTCTTCATTCAATCAGAGTATTTTAGATGAATATTGAAATAATTATTGGCTTTTAAAAAATCATGTAATCAACAGCAGGATATGGCTGCAATGATATCCATATTTCATCAGTTTTAAAATATACTCATTCTTTATAGCAAATTTTATATAGATAGCTTTTTAAATTACCTTTGACACATAGTTTAAGTTTATAAATAAAGGTGGCTTAACTCTGCTACCATATAAAGAAAACTTATCACCATTTTCTAAACTTTGGAAATATGGAGGACATTTCTATTTACTATGGTACATAATTTATGTATTACACATATTATTTGTGCATATGTGTACATATATGTCAATATATTATATATACATATTATATATTAAATTAGCAGCAGGATATGTTATTAATATCTTCAAGGCACCATCTTTCTCTGATCTGTATTCAAATCATCATCTCTTTCCATCCTCCCCCTTCTGCCCTATCATCACTACTGGCCATGGTTCTCGTACCATTCATAGCCCTTCAATAATTATGATAGAAGACACTAAGGAATTCTGTGCTTCTGTGCTCTGCATCCCTTCTCGTAGTCTCTCTACCCTGCCCTAGCCTCCATCCTTATCCCAACACACACACACACATACATAGCATTTCCTCAAGTCCATGGCTACTGTGAGGGTTGCATTAACCATATTTAAAAATGTATTTGTTGGCCAGGTGTGGTGGCTCACATCTCTAATCCCAGCACTTTGGGAGGCTGAGGTGGGAGGATTGCTTGAGCCCAGGAGTTTGAAACCAGCTTGAACAACATAGTAAGACCCCATCTTTCCAAACACTTTAAAAATTAGCCAGGTGTGGTGGCGCACACACATGGTCCCAGCTACTTGGGAGGCTGAGGCAGGAAGATTGCTTGAGCCTGGGAGATAGAGGCTGCAGTGAGCTGTTATTGCACCACTGCACTCCAGCCAGGGCAACAGAGTGAGACTCTTGTCTCAAAAAAAAAGTATATGTTATTTGGTGTTGCGTTTACACATAGGTAAATTATACATATATAATAAAATATATACATATTAATTTACATACACATATATCTTGTTGGGAGGTCCTAGCCGGAGAGCACAAAGACTTATATACCCTTGACTGAAAAATGATCCTCCTCTATCAGGGAAGGCCATCCTTTTTGACCAAGCAGCCTCAGGAGAGATGCACATGGAGCTGTGAGAAAGGGGACACCCACCTAGCCGGCCAGATCAGCCAAATCAACCCTGGCCATCAATCGGGTGACAGATGTCTCAGCCAGATGACCCTCACATCCACATACACATACATCTTTCCATACATTCATATGAAATAATGTAACCATACAATATACGCACAATTTTTTTTCCTTCTCTTTGGTCAAAAACTGTATTCCTTCCAGATACTAATATGGTACTAGAGGAAGCTAAATGCTCTTTTTTCAATGACCCCTGCAGCCTGAGAGCAAATTAGTGTTGTTCACAGATGCTTTTTGTGTGCATATTTAGTTAGTGCAATTACTTTTGTACCAATCTAATAGTATTTTCCAGAACATAACTTGGAGCAGGTCAGGAGATGGAAATAAAGGAAGGGCACACACTCTCTTGAGTATTTCTTTATATGTACAGCTTCAGCCTCCATAGATGTTAGGTGTGAATGTTTTTCTCCACTGCATTTAGATTATGTCAAAGGGAGTCAAAGTTAATAAACACAGACTGTGAGAAAGTCAATCTCTTTTTGAACATAAGTGCAGAAACCATTTCATCCCTAGTTCCTGGCTCAGTACCTACCACATAATCAGCACTCAATAAATATAGATTAAGTGACTGACTGGATGAATGAATATAGTGCAATTTTGGTCCAGGTAAAAATGAAAAGTGGAGAGGGAGAAATTGTTCTTTATTTTCAGAGACGCATGGCTATGTATTCTGAAGACAGACAAGAGAATCTGGTAGCCTGGAAATTGACAATCATGAAAAAAAGGAACTCAACAAGTTTTCCATTAGGGACTCAGCATCGTGATCTGGTTTCGGAAGCCTAGATATTGGCTGAGATCAAATAAAGAAGTTCAGGAGAGATGAGTGACTCTAAACATACTCCTATTCCTTAACCAGTAAGCTTGCAAACCATTGAAAATTTTGTGCTTAACTGTGGCCTCAGTCTACAGAGAAAGCTCCAGGCTCCACAGAAAATGTGTAAGAAATGGGTCTTGTAATGACAGTCTGGTATTATCAATATTCCACTGATCACAGTGACCTTACCTTGTATTAATGATTGCTTAGGGTGAATGACATACTAAAGTTCAATAAAAACATCTTCCATGTATAAACGTCATTGGGAGCTACTACCACCTTTAAAGAAAGTGTCATTCAGCAATCTAACCCTTGTAGTCTTTCTGGAAGTGGGTGGCCACTTAGGACTATCTGGACACAGGAAGCTTAGGATGCAATTGACCAGGCAGCTCTTTAGAAAATAGAAATCCAGCCGACCTTCCTGATCTCCACTGACTCTGCATTTGTTTAGACTGATGCATTTGCATACATTACGTGCAGCCTACTTTTTTCCCCCTAACTTGGTAATAAAAACATGGCAAGATGGAAAACACACCACGTTCATGCATTTTAATGTCCTAATATTTGTTAACTTGGAATGAAATATAAAATATATCTGGTTTTAGCACCCTAGCAAGCTGAATGCTTTGGCCATCTGTTCATTTCTTGCTTTTCTACATCTTAGCCATTTCACTTCTGCTTCTAATTGTAACTGCCACTTTTATGCTGATGCCACAAATCCTGAGACCTTTTTAATGCCACTTTCAGGCCTCCTTGGCTCATCTAAAACGATGGCTTAATCTCAATTGCTTTTAAATTTATTTTAAACCCAAGGGGTTGATCTAAATAAACAGGTATTCTTGAATAATACAATTCCATTTTCTTTATCTGACTTCTTGTTTTATTTTTCACATTGGCTACCCCAGTCCATGGCCTGTTCCTCAGGACTGTATCATTTTTCTTTCAATGTCTTACTCTCTCCATTCCATCGCAGCTGAAGCTTTCAATCACATTATCTTATTGCACATTATAATTTTGCTTTCACACTGCCATGTACTCTGTTTAATTAAATAATTTGTTGACACACTCAGATTTCTATTTACCCTCGTCTGGGAGTTCCAGCCAAGATAATTACATCCCGGGCTTCAGGACCTCCCTACGGTAAAATGTTGAAGTAGGGAACATTTGTCTTTAGCTGTCTCTCACAGGATTTATCAACTTGGTATCTTCTCTTCTCCCCTCACTTTCCCTCCTCCCTCCTTCCCAACATGTGAAGTGATTATCCATTTTGGCTCTTCCCATCCATTCCTGATTTTAAATAGTTTTCCCTATTATCTTTAAACCTAATTGTAAGTCTATGTCTCTATCCGGCTTAATAATAGAATAAAATTTGCAAAACTCCAATCCTCTTATTCCCACTAAAATATATTAGTAAATAAGAAAACTATTGGTTCTTAAGCATTTGAGCTAGTTCAACCATGTTGAGGGAAAAAAGTACTTACCAAGTGCTAACTATATTCAAGGCACCACAGTAGGTGCTAGGAGTGTGGCAAGGGATAAGGCGCCAGTCCCTGAACTCCCAAAGTGTGGAGTCTCTTAAAGAAAACAGACACAGGCCAGGCACAGTGGCTCATGCCTGTAATCCCAGCAGTTTGGGAGGCTGAGGTGGGCAGATCACCTGAGGTCAAGGATTTGAGACCAGCCTGGCCAACATGGTGAAACCTCGACTTTACCAAAAAATACAAAAATTAGCCGGGTGTGGTGGCGTGTGCCTGTATTCCTAGCCACTGGGGAGGCTGAGTTGGGAGAATCGCTTAAACCCGTGAGGTGGAGGTTGCAGTGAGCTAAGATCATACCACTGCACACCAGCCTGGGCCACAGAGCAAGACTCTATCTAAAAAAAAAAAAAAAAAAAAAAAAAGAAAAAGAAAAGAAAAGAAAACTGACACAGACAACGAATATTACAATACTGCCTGATGAGTTCCATGACAACACATACACCAACTTTGGACGCATAGACAATGGGCAACTACCCTCAGCCACCCTCCATTCATCTATCTAGTCTGTTTTCTTTTTGAAGTAGGTATTGTTTTATTAAGACTTTAATGAATAGCAATTGTTAACAGTTATTGAGAAAATATTATATGCCAGGGATTAATCTAAATATATTTCATATATTAACTCATCTAATTCTCATAAATTACCCCAGTAAGTTGATGCTTATACCCTCATTTTATAGATAATAAAACCAAGGCACAGAAAGACTAAATTGCTTTCTCAAAGTTAGACAGTGAGGGTTAAAGATATAACTCAACTTCAGTCCAGATGCAGTGGCTCACGCCTGTAATCCCAGTACTTTGGGTGGCCAAGGTGGGCAGATCATTTGAGATCAGGAGTTCTAGACCAGCCTGGCCAACATGGTAAAACCCCGTATCTACTAAAAATACAAAAATTAGCCGGGCACAGTGGCGCGCGCCTGTAATCCCAGCTACTCAGGAAGCTGAGGCAGGAGAACTGCTTGAACTCAGGAGGTGGAGATTGCAGTGAGCTGACATGGCACCACTGCACTGCAGCCTGGGCAATACAGTGATCACTTATTCCATTTGACTCTAGAACAGTGCTGTCCAAAAAAAGTTTTGAGTGATGGTCAAAATTTTCCAAATCTGTTTTGCTTAATACAGGGGCCACTAGCGTGAGCATCTGAAATGTGGCTATTGGCAACTGAGGACCAGAGTGTTTAATTTTATTTAATATTTGCTGATTTTAATGGACATAGCTCTTAACCTGCAGGTTTCCTCCTGGTCACTAGGCACTACTCCTCTCCAGGGCATGAGATGAGGTGAAAAAGAAGGAAAAGTCTGGGCAAAGACATCTAGTGGGGCTTTTCATCAGAGATGTCGACAGCAGAATGGGCTGGTCTAGAAAACACTTCAAGACCTGAAAGAATAAAAGTTAGCATAATAAGTATGGACTTGAAATTTAAAGGATGGCACCTCATACCAGTGACCTCTCATCAAGGCACTTTCATCTACCAACAAAGGGTACAAGTTACCGTCAGCCTTGTTCCTTCGGGCGCTTAAGAGAAATCATGGTAAAGCTCTATAATTAGACCTTAAGAGTGGAATTTAAATACTATATTTTATTTTAAGCACTGTGAATTCCCAGGCAAACAGAGACAAAATACAAGTTTAAAAAGAAGATAGAAGAAGCTCTTGACATGGGCATAATAATAAGATTGATAATGATAATATCGTTTATCAAACATCTGTAAGTCTAGTAAGCAACTTCAATACATATTATGTTAAATTATCATTTTATCCTTACAAGTCTGTAAGATGGGAATTACTGTTTTCGTTTTGCAGATAGAAACATAAAGGCATAGGGAGGTTATGGCACTTATGCAAGGTCACATGTCCTGTAAGTAGTGGAACGATGATTTGAGCCTTATCAGTCTGGGTCCAAAGTCTACGCTTTCTCCTCTGTGTAAATCGTGTTTTTGCTAAAACTGCCTCACAAAGCATTGATATCTGGGTGTCCAATCTCAGTCTCTAGCCTCAGCTTCAGTATTTGTCACCTGGCTTACATGGTAATACCAGTAGAAGACATTGAAAAGATTACCCAGGAGGTGCTCTATAAATTCTAGTTTTCCTTTATAGCTCATTTTCAATACCCCAGATCGATCTCCTTGTTACAAGGTTTTATCCTTGTCACTGAAAAATTCTAAAGAGTGCTGGTAGGATCAGGCGTAAATGCCCCAATCTGTCACAGAAGTAATCTGATGCCACCAATTCGCAGAGGTGCATTGAGTGGCCAATGTCAATGTAAAATCTCCACTGCCATCCTGCTGCCTCTCTCACCACACACAGGCATGGGCAGACCCCTGCCTTATGCCCTTCTTGGGTCTGGAGTTCCGTCATTTCTCTCCACCTATCCAAAGTCCATTTGTCTGACAAAATCCAGGTCAAATCCCTTCATCCACGAAGCCCTCCTGACTACTCCAGCGCCCACCCTCTCTCTCAGGCTAGGCCCCTGTCACTAGTTAGGGTCTTCGTCACACATTTTTATACTTAACCATATGTTGTGCTGTTATCAAGTTCTCTCATGCACATATTTCTTGACTCTCCAATGAAACCACAAGATGCTGAAGAGCAGGAATACACATTAAAAAATCACTTTGAAAGCTACAAAACATATCTGGTATCCATTTGGTAATTAGGAAATATTACAAAGAGCATATGCGATGACCAGGAGGGTAGGACTGACCATAGCCTCTAGTTTGTGTCTTCCCGTTCAACTATGATCTTTTCAGGAAGAGTGTATTTCTGATTGATTTTTGTACTTTCCTAAGTGTCTCCAGTGTCTTTTTCTAGCATTTTCAAATAGTGAATGCCCAGTAAGTATCTATTAGTAATATTTATAGCAAATTGTGTGCCAGGCACTGTAGAAAATGATGTTTATGAATCACCTCACTTAATCATCCCAGGCAGGCGTAACAGGTGCATGGTGCGCTATCCAGATCTCTTCTGAAAAAGTAAGCCTCTCATTCCCCGGCTCCCAGCAGTGTTGCCGGCTGTGTTACTCACCAGGAATTGCACGCAGCTGTCACTCAAGTTTGTGCTTTCTTCCCTCATTGACTGATCCAGGGTTTAAAGGTCCAGCCCACTTGCCTCAGGTGGGCAACTCTAAAGGGCCCTCTTAGCTCCTGGACGCCCACGTGGGATCAGCTGGGGCTTTTGTGGGCACTGCATTGTAGTTCAATTCCCAGCTCTACCAAATCCTGCTTCCTTTATTCCCACAGATGTGGATACCAGGGCATCCACTCCAAACCCCCTGCATGCAAATCCCCACCTCAGAGTCTATTTCCCAGGGAACTGACCTAAAACAGTAGGCGTTACTAGTATCATTATTCTCATGATACAGATGAGGAAAGAGAAGCTTAGAGAAGTTAAGTAATTTGATCAAATGTAAACACGTGGTACGAGACGGATGCAGGGCAGAGCAGATGAGCCAGCCCTGAGCTCTTACCAGGATGTGCTGCCTCAAGAGCCCAAGCATGCACAAACTCATTAGTTTTCTATTTAACCTAACTAGACAGAGGAAATGGTTGTAAATGTACCCATGCAATATCTAGGATGAACAGGAAAAACAACTTCCTGATGATGAAGAAAGATTGTGAGTAATTTTTCTTTTTATAAAGACAGGGTCTCACTAGATTACCCAGGCTGGTCTTGAACTCCTGGGCTCAAGCAATCCTCCTCTCTTGGCCTCCCAAAGTGCTGGGATTACAGGCATGAGCCACCACACCTGGCCCTATTGTGAATGATTTTTAAGCACAACTGTTAGTGTGGCGTCTTTTCCTTTGAGCGAAACAATAATCGCAGAAGTCAGGGCTGGGGGGGGGTGGCTCTGTAATCCCAGTGCTTTTGGAGGCCAAGGCAAAAAGATAGCTTCAGGTCAGGAGTGTGAGACCAGCCCGAGCAACATAACAAGACCCCATCTCTACCAAAAAGTATACAAACCCGCCAGGCATGATGGTGTGTACCCATAGCCCTAGCTACTCAGGTTGCTGAGGCGGGAGGATCACTTGAGCCCAGGAGTTGGAGGCTGCAGTGAGCAGTGATTGTACCACTGCACTCCAGTCTGGGTAACAGAAGGATACCCTGTCTCTAAAATGATAATAATAATTATCACAGAAGCCAACAAAATATTTGGAGGATAATGAAAAATATTGAGCACTTACATCGAGTTCTAGAAACTCTGCATGTATGGAAGTTCCCCTCGCTCCCTTATAGATGTAGAACAACTGTGTCTGGAGAACTGGAAAGGTGTTTGGATTGACCGTTTGCATGATTTCACAAGGTGAGGAATGGATCCCTATCCTCTCAAGATAGTGGTACCTTAAATAGCTAGCCTCTGCAATTAATCTGGACTGAAAAAAAGTTAGGTGCAACAATAGGCTTCTCTTTTCTATGTCTTCATTTTTCAATTTATCCTGCTCTGTTAGTTTTTATGTGTAGGAAGGAAACATTTATTTTAATCTAAGAAATATTTATGTCTTATAATCTAGTAATAGAAGAAGACAAAAAAGATGTGATCTTGAAAATATGAATAATTAAAATCAAATTTTGCAGGCCAACTATTTTTCTGAGCATGTGTTTCTGTGTGTGTGTGTATGTGTGTATGTGTGAGAGAGAGAGAGAGAGAAAGAGAGAAAGACCAAGAGAAAGATAGGTGTAAAGGAGAGAGAGCCTTTTCTCATAACTATTTTTCCTAGCTTAATATTTTAATTGAGAGATATTCTAGCACAATTCTACAGTAATACAGGCTTGTATTGGATAAAATACATGCCTGACAGACATGGGAGATGGTAAAAGGCCCTCTTGGTTAAGTACTTTCTAAGAGGAAAGATTTAGCTGACTCTGAAGCCCAAATAAAATAATGCTTGCACCCTATAATATATGAGTCCATTTTGAATTTACATAAATTTCTTTAATACCATGTTTTAATTTATCTTCTTTTCTTAAAACATTTCACAACATTAAGATCATTTTTTCCCTAATTTCAGCCCATGAACTAATTCAACAAATATTTGTTATCTCCTACATGCCAAGCACTATACAAAATGGTTGAAGAAATCTTCACTCTAATTATGGCCTAAAATTATAAACCCTAAGCCATTTAACCTCTTTGGATGTCTGTATTTATATCTCCAAAATAATGGCCGGGCATGGTGGCTCACGCCTGTAATCCCAGCACTTTGGGAAGCCGAGGCGAGTGGATCACTTGAGCTCAGGAGTTCAAGACCAGCCTGGCCAATATGGTGAAACTCCATCTCTACCAAAAAATACAAAAATTAGCCGGGTGTCGTGGCACACACTTGTAATCCCAGCTACTTGAGAGGCTGAAGCATAGGAATCTCTTGAACCCGGGAGTCGGAGGTTGCAGTGAGCTGAAATCGCACCACTGCACTCCAGGCTGGACAATAGAGTAAGAACCTGTCGAGAAAAAAGAAAAAAAAAGAAGAGACTTACTCTCCTCTGGATTTTTAAAATTTTTTTTAACATGAAACCTTCTCAAATTATATTTTTTTCTCATTTCTGACAGAATCAGAAATATTTTTCTTTCTTAATCCTACAAGAAAAAAATAATACAAACACAATGATCAATGTCAACAGACAAGAGTATTGCCAACCCACAGGGGAGTGCCAGGGTGGCCTCACTCTAGCAAGCTCAGCCGCACCTACAAGGAGCACCTGCTACTAAGGCTGGTCTCTCCCATGCTGAAAGACAGGCCCAGTGCTGCCTAATATTCCAAATTTTCAAAAGAAGCCCAACGTATAGATTTTTCATTTGAAATATACCTACTTAGAAACTTTGGCAACCAATTCAAAAAAGTCTAAGAACTTAATTTGGGTCATTACTGTCGAGAACAAACAACACACAATTGAGGCAGCTTCAGCCTGGGAGTTGTCAGTTTGAGACTTTGGGACTAGGAGATCTCTGAGATCTTTTTCTACTTAAATAGTTCTATGACTTTCATTAGAAGGCCTTGAGGCTTGGATCAGAGTGGCATGAAGCCAATTAAAATCACAGCTGCAACTGCCAGAAGAGACAGTCTCAGTGTTATATGCATCCTGAAAAAAGAATCGTCCTAAGAGAAACCATTCATTATGTTTAATAAAGTAGTTGGTAACAAGAAGCTAGGAAGAAGATCATTAAATCTAAATTAGATGATGTGTATTTTTAGGTGTGGGTTATAATTCTCCTGAGAACTGTGGAACAACCGACCTCTGATATTTCACATTAGTAGGGATTGAAATTGATATATTTTCTGAAATGGAAAGACCACTTTGGTACATTATTGATCAAATTTTTACATCATCAGCACTCACAATCAGAGAGAAGGTGCAGAACAGGTCCTTGAGAGCACTCATGGGACCATATTACATTACTGGTCCCATTGGTTCAGTAGACACATGGCTTCCATTGTGATACACATCCACCATTGTGTTAGCTTAAGGCATCTCAAAGTGAAGACAGGCACCTAGTTACAGAGTTCCGGAGAACATGAATTTATATCTTGGCAAAATGTTTATTAGTTGTGTGACCTTGGACAAGTTACTTAAAATCTCTGGACTCATTTTTTTCTCCTGCCAGATAGAAATTGTGAATATTAATTAAAACATACATGTAGATCCGGGCAAGGTGACTCACGCCTGTAATCCCAGCACTTTGGGAAGCCAAGGCAGGAGGATCGCTTGAGCCCAGGAGTTGGAGACCAGCCTGGGCAACATAGTGAGACCCCATCTCTCTCTCTCCCTCTCTCTCTCTCCATATATATATACACACATGTAAAAGACTGACATAAGGTAGGTATATTCAGCAAATGTTGCAAATGTTGATAAAATGAAAGAATGTAAGTAACCAATTGGTTTTGTTTAGAAGAATCCAGAAAATCTAAGACAGAGTTTCTTGTGAGAATATCCTAACACACTAGAGGGTTAGACCAGGGTAGGAAAAGGCTGTAGCTAGGGTCTGTGCATAGGAAATTACACATAACCCAGAGCTTATCTTATCTTTGCAGCAGCCAGCCTGCCCAAATCTGAACAAACTCATGGAGGTGTCAGACATACTGGGAAAATTCAAAGATGCTTTTCACATTTCCAGAAAAAAAATCCTTTATTATTTGTGTGCTTTTTTGTATCTCAAGTCATAACTAAAGCCCAACTGAATAGCCCACTTTATTCTATCACATTATTCAGGTAGAAATTAAAGCAGAATTGATACAGCTAAGGGGTAGCAAGGCCGGACACTCATGCTGTCCAAGCTCAGATTAAGCCAAGAATTCAATTTAGTTTATGAAAATGTCAGAGACTGTCTCTGTTACAGCTACTCTGACCTCATGAGATCTTCTCCATTGACAACTCCATAAAATCACCACAGTGGCTAGCTTCTAGGCCACCATAGTCCTTTAAATAATAGCTAAAACAAGACACAAGAACAGTTATCAAGAGTAGAACTGAAGGTCAGGAGGAAATTTTTGGCTAATGGATCCTGTGACCTTTTTTTTGGTGGTAGAGGAGAGGGAGACTTTCAAAATAAGCAATAGTTTAAAACTTCTGATATTCTGAGTTAGTGCTAATATTTATAACTTAATATATTTTTATCTTGGATAGATATCCCTCCAATGCTGATTTTGATTCTTCTAAGATTTGCCTCTAACCTTCAGCTCATTTACAATCTCCCCAGCCTAAAAGATGGTGTACAGATTGCCTGAGATAGGGACCAGCAGCTGTGTTTTTTCTGGCAATTCAAGCACTTTGAATATAGGTCTTGGCATTTGAAATGCTAGCCTGCAAACTCCGCATTGAAGTTCTTTGAGAATTTATCAGTTTGTGCTTAGGGACTTTTCAAATGGAAAAACGAAGTTATTCATGTTTTCACAGGCAGTTCCAAATTCCAAATTGTGTCAAGGGTAAAATGTTTCTGTGTTTGAAAGGCCAAGGCAGAATTGCGTAACCCAGAAGAGGACGATATAATGCTACCCAAGGAACAAATTGCAAGGCTTTAAACATTTGCTATTATAATTCTATAAATTTATGCAATAGGAAGTTGTTCTTTCTTGCCCCTTAGGGGAACTGAATTTGGTTTTCATAGTAAATGTGCAAGGCTCTGAGGATTAGAAATTCAAATAGTTACCATAAAGAAAGAATGTTTTTGCTTTATGTGTTTCCACACTTGGGAAGCTGTTTCTGAGTTTTGCCGGTGGCATGATGTATGAGTTTTTCCAAGTTGTAATAGGTAATTGCGATTTGGGCAATTTTTATCTTTTCTCTTTTTAAACAACTGAGACCTCAGAGTCTGTGAAGCTGGACTGCCATATTGGTTCCCAGAATTCATTACCCAGACATCTTTCCAGGCCACCACTCATTTTTTCACTCATGTTTTAAGCTACGGAATGGGATACGGACTACATAATATGAAAACTCAGAGAACTATGAGTGCATTGTAATGACTGAGAAGTTGTGAAGTGTGTAGAAGGATTTCTATTTGCAATAAGAATTTTTATATTTAAGTTTGTACATGAGTAAGAGTTTCTACAAAACTGTACACTGGTTAAACTAGCAATACTAAAGAAACCAATACTGAGTTCTTAGTTAGTTTGGAGCCGAGAGTCTCAAGAGGTAAATTCTAAGTAAGGATATGATGTGAGATGAAAATATAAATAAATAGGAAGAGAGGACCACTGAGAAAAATATCCTGGTCTAGCGGCTTTTAACCCCAAAGCTTGGTTTTCCCACAACATTTGTGCTGCATTCTGTCTGCAACTATTTTCATTTGGAAACCAAGCAACTGATTTCAAACTATAGGTATATATCTTGGAATATTTGCAAGCAATGGACTTGGTGAGGAAGGGTAGTTAGTTAAAACACACACACACACACACACAGACACACACACACACAGACACACACACACACACACACACACACACACACACAGATACAGGGAGAGAGAAACCAAGACAGCTATTCTTGTAGGTTCTATGTGTCAACGTTTTTTTGAAAGCTAACATTTTTTCCAGAAACTCTGGTACACACCCTAAACAACCACAGTAAAAGCATAAGATTTTGTAAGATCTTAAGAGGAGAATGATAAAGGACTTAGAATTCGAACTCTCCCCAGAAGTTTCATTCATCCAAACAGGACAAAATCATCAAAATTATGTAACCAAATACTTTGTTTTAAGGGTGGGACAAACTGTTTCTTTAAAAAGCATATAAAACCAAGCCAAATTTTATTCAGGCTGATATTATTTGTTGTGATTTGTTTGGCTTTATGGTGAGCACAGGTGTACAAGTTCTGCTCTGAAGAGCCTGAAGATGGAAGACAGTGTGCTAGTTCCATTTCCCATTAGAAGGGCGTACCATTATTCTATCAATCCTGGCAAGAACTTAACATTTGATATAACAGAGTAATAGGTATAAATCTTGCAAAGGTAAATGTATTAAACAAACAGAAGATAGTAGCATACGATTGCCTAAAATGATTATGCTATTCTACCCACTTTTCTTTGACTAAAATGACACAAAAGCCATCTATGCTTTTTCTTTGCAATGTTTTAATTTCAGAGCATATTTCTCCACATTGCAATGTTCCAAACAAAGTTCTTTCTTTCTTTTTTTTTTCCTTTTTTTTTTTTTTTTTTTTTTTTTTTGAGATGGAGTCTCGCTCTGTCTCCCAGGCAGGAGTGTAGTGGCGCCATCTCGGCCCACTGCAAGCTCCGCCTCCCGGGTTCTTGCCATTTTCCTGCCTCGGCCTCCGGAGTAGCTGGTACTACAGGCGCCCGCCACCACGCCCGGCTAATTTTTTTTTGTATTTTTTAGTAGAGACGGGGTTTCACCGTGTTAGCCAGGATGGTCTCGATCTCCTGACCTCATGATCCGCCCACCTCGGCCTCCCAAAGTGCTGGGATTACAGGCGTGAGCCACTGTGCCCGGCCACAAAGTTCTTTCTTAATCTGGCTTTCTTAGCAAATGAGAAGAAAAACTAAAAAATCAGTAATATATAAAATTCATAATCTGTAAGAATTGGGTGATTTGAAGTAAATAAGTTTGATCAACTTGTGTGTTTGATAGTTCAATATATTGCACATAGGTCTGTAGATATCTGAACAGGTGTAAACTTCAGAAGAATGATAAATTTTAATTTCACCCAACTTTTTAATTTAACTATATATATTTTCATTTACCCAATCAGATAACAGCCTACCAATTAATTCATACTTAAGAAGTAACATTCCTTCGACAAATATTTACTAAGCCTCTGACATGTGCTAGGCAAAAACTAGTCATTAGGAAATGATGGTATCTAGAATGAATCATTGCCCTTACCAAACCTATAGTGATCCAGCATGAAAGATAGGCAATTAAACAAGAAATAACACAGAGGTGCTAAAGTGTGATGACACAAGTGCTTACAGAAGAGCATATGTCCAAAGCATCTAACTTAGTTAAGGTGGGATAAAGAAAAGCTTATAGGAGGCACCACACCCAGATATCTCCCTTCTGGTATTTGCCAGCACCTAAGCTTATGCAATTGTTATTTGCCATGTCTACCATCTGTCTGCTCCTGCTAGCATGGAAGCTTCTTAAGGACAGTGGCTATTTTGTTCATTGCTGTATCCCTAGGACCTAAAGCAAGGTCTGGCGCATAAAGGGCACTCAATAAGTACTTGCTGACTTAATGACTGACTGGTCAAAAAAAATGGTGCTGGGGAGGGAGCCATCTGAGCCATATTGAGCAGTTTAGACTTCATTCCTCAGCCAGCGGAAAGCACGGGGAAGTTTTCAGCAGGGCAATGGCACGATCTGATGTAATGTACCACTCTAGCTCCACAGAGAAAATTGGGCAGAGTAGGGCCAGGCTGATGGCCTTTAGTCAGGGAGCTACACCAAGTGTGTTTCAAAATTAATTGATGGTGGTCTAAAGATCGTGATGGTGATAGGGTTGGAGAGAAGTGGGCAGATTCAGGAGATGTTTAGGAAGTGTCTATAATTGGACGTGATGGAGGGAGAAAGGGGAATAGTCAAGAAGGTTTCCAGGCTTGAGTCACTGGCTGGTTGGATAATGTTAATATTCCTGAGACAGGAAGGAGTGGAGCAGGAGGGGTTTTTTGAGGGAAGATCAAGGGTTTGGTTTTGAGCCTGTGTACTTTGAGGTGTCTGCATGACACCCAAGTAAAAATTGTCCAATAGATAATCTGATAAATAGTATCTAATTTCAAGCTAAGAATGAAGTCTGAAATGCAGATACAAGTTGAACTAACTCAACACAGAAATTTAGGTGCACCCCAAACTTGTTAGGGAGTTACAATAACCAGAACAGAATTTTTGTCTTTCCATTTTCATGACACTTGATATGCCTCACTTGCTAAGCATTAGCTGCTGCTGCTGACAACTTCTTGGTGTCAGACTCATCTTCAAGTTGAAGTGCCGAACTGCATTGACAGGGGCCTGGCCGAGTGCAATTTCCAAATTGCTTGGCAGCCAAAAGAGGTGAAAAACTCATTACCAAGCCATCTGTCTTGAGATTCTGTCCTGGTTTCTAGGCCAGAGAAATTTGAATAATTTCAAGAAAACTTAAATAGCACACACAAATTAGTGTTCATTCGCTATCTGCCCCATATCCTAGTTTCTTGTGCATGAACAAATCCCTCAGAAAGTTGTGCAAGGTGGCAGTATTAGCAAGTAGATACCCTAGCTGCAGCCTTCATTTCCATAGAAAACATAATTTAACAGAGGATCGGAAGCCTTTCCATTAAGTATGCTACTTTTGGAACATAAGTAACTTTTGTTACTAGTATTATATTTTATTCCCAATTGTATGTTCCACTTTTAATCCTGAAATAAAATATTCCTGTACAATAAAATTAAAAGGTAATAATTGCAATGAAATTTATCTAATGGTCAATTTGAATCTCTTGCTTGTTGTAGAGAAACTTTGCTAGATTTAAATCTTTCCGCCCCTCTTCCTTTTCTTTCCATTCTCGCTCTCATTTTCTCTCTCTCTCTCTCTCTCCTCCACTCCTTGCTTCTATGTCTTTTTTTTTTTTCTTTGTGAACCCAAAAGCATCTGAGACAGGTCTCAAGCAATTTAGAAAGTTTGTTTTGCGAAGGTTAAGGACACACCCATGACACAGGCTCAGGAGGTCCTGACAGCATGTGGCCAAGGTGGCCAGGGTACAGCTTGCTTTTATACATTTTAGGGAGATATAATACATCAAACAATAGATGTAAGATTTACATTAGTTCAATCCAGAAAGACAGGACAACTTGAAGTGGCGGCTTCCAGGTCATAGGCAGATTCAAAGATTTTCTGATTGGCAATTAATTGGTTAAAAGAGTCATTGTCCATAGAAAGGAATGTCTGGGTTACAATAAAAGGTTGTGGAGATCAAGGTTTTATCACGCAGATGAAGCCTCCAGGTAGCAGACTCAGTGAGAATAGATGGTGAATATTTCCTATCAGACTTAAAGAGTCTACTCTATCAGTAATTCCAAAAGGGAGGAAGGTATAATGAGGCATGTCTGGCTCCCCCGTCCCATCATGGCCTGAACAAGTTTTTCAGGTTAACTTTGGAAAGCCCTTGGCCAAGAGAAAGGGTCTATTCAGTTGGCTGGGCGGGCAGTGTGGGGGCTTAGACTTTTTTGTTGGTTTGTTTGTTTACACCTTGTATAATAAAATAACCTGGAATTTCGAGTCAGACAGAACTAGGTTTGAGTCAGGTCTCTACCTTATTTTACTGGAATAGGCTGAACCTATTCCTGAGTTTTAAATAATAATAATATTGATGATTTAAAATATCACAGGGTTACTATGAGGGTTAGATAAGAAAATATAGACAAAGAACATTGCAGAAAGATGACTCACAGGATGTGTTCCGCAAATGTCATTTATATTCCCTTTTCCTCCAATATAAAATGTCATTTATATTTCCATTTTCCTCCAGCAAGAAGGCTATTGGGTATCAGCATCATGAAACTTGCTGGAAATAGTTCAATTAGTTTCAGTGAGTGGAGGAAGAGAAAACCAGGCGGCAATTGATTCAAAAGTAAATGAAAAATAATGATTTGTAGATATTAAGTGAGGCAGCCACTCTGTCAAGAGGCAGAAGAGGGTGTAAGAGTGGAGCAACCGTGGGAAGGAGAATCAGAGTCAAGAAATATTTCTTGTTGCTAGTGGTTGATTGCTTTTTTAGAATGAGGAGACTTGAGTATGCCCATAACAAGAGAAGGGGACTGATAGAGGGGAGGAATATAAACGTGAGAGAGACCAATGATAGAGAAAAATCCTGAAGGAAATAGAATAACAGCAGCACTGATAAAAAGTAACTGTAGCAATAAAAACAAATTGCCACCTGAGTACAAGCTCCCTTTGGGCAATGCAAGCAGGACCTTTGGAGACCTGGAATCACTACATCTTGGACTTCATTCGGACTTTTTCTATTAGCCAGCAGTGCCAGGGCCTTCAGTGGATCTGTAGTTCAGGGATGAGGGGTACTGCCGGAGTCCCCTGGAAGTACCTGCCTTCCCCTGTTACCTTAAAAGGCAATTACTCATTGTATATCAAGTGATGAAGAGTTATACAGCTTAGATAAAAGCCTGTTTGTGGGAAGTACAGGCTACAGTTTGAATACAAGCTCCATCATTCATTATTTGCATGATCTTAAGAACATTTTTAAAATTTCTCTAACTTTCTTTAACTCTAAAATAAGAATAATAACTCCTACATACGAGAACTGGAGATAATGTATGCCAAGTAACTAATAATGATTAGCACACAGGGACCACTTTTTTTATTGTGGGGTGTCAGAATACTATAATTTGCCTATTTGCCTGTTATTGAATAGTTCTTTGTTTTGTTTTCTTTTCTTTTCATAAACCTTTCAGCACATATAATATAATGTGCTTGCAGAGATTTAAGCTGTTGTCACTATTATTGTTGTTACTCTAGGGTAGTCAAAAGAAGAGATTGTCCCAGAATTCTGAATGTGGCCAGAACCAACAGAACTGTGACGTTCCCCAGAAGAACCCAGGTCTTTGGTGCCACAGACATACGTGATGCAAAAATTATCATGATACCCAGTTTCAACATGAGAAAAGAAGGAATATTTGTATTATAGCTGAGGGCATTCACTCGAAGAATCTTTCCTAAGACTTCAGCATCTATTCATTATTTTCATCAGCTTTAAAATCAGTATGATTCTTCCCCAATTTAATAGTAATTATGACATCTACAAAAGCACACACTACAGAAATACAGAGGTTAAAAGAGTGTCTAATTTTATTTCACTTAAGAACATTATTACTGTTATTATTATTTAGTAAGTATTGTATTTAGCCAGTAATTTCAACTAGACTAATTCTCGTCATGAGTAGATTTTTAACATGAAGAAATTGGAATGTCTGAGGCTTACTTCATGATAGTCCTATTTTTGTGCTGCCTCTCCTCAATCCTGACTTCCTGTTCCAGTAGAAAAGGCAGAATCAAGATGTATTATATAATTACATTGAATAGTGAAGAATATTTGGAAAGATTTAAAGTAATAGGGCAAAGGTAGGGGTAAGAAAAGACCATATGGACCGATCCTTTGGTAAAAGTAGAAAAGCACTTCGCAAAATGCAGTGTGTACATAAGTCAACTAGAGATCTAGTTACAATACATATTCTGATTCAGTAGGCCTATGGTCAGGCCTGCGGTTTTGCATTTCTAACAAGCTTTCATATGAACTGCTGCTAGTTCCCCTCCCTTCCCCTGACACTCTGAATACTGGGGAAGAATCTAAAATCCAGTCATGAGTGGGGAGGAACAATGACATGTGCCCTCCTTTCACCTCAGCATCATAGAAAGTGTCTGAAAAATTCAAGCACTGGCCCCTTGCCATTTGGAGTCTCTCATGTTGTAACACAGCAGCTCGATGACACTTTGATGCTAGTAACTGACTTATACCCATCCACAGGCAGAAGGCATAGGCTGTGGAAACACTTTATCTAGAAACCTGACAGACATTGGTCAGATAGCCAGAGGAGTAGCAGTAACAAGGTGACATCATCTGTGGAGGACACACAACAAAACCAGGACCAGGAGTGTAACTGATAGCCTTTCTCAGAACCAGGCCACTACTATATGTGGGCCCAACAGTGATTCTCAAAGTAGATCTTCTGGAAAAATCATCACAAATCTTTCTCCTGAAAAAAATTTTTTTTTCTGGTGGGCCCATCAACAGAGGGGTTTTCCTCTCCACTTTCTTTAAAATAAAACAAACTCAGACTCACAAATTAATTCTATACTAAGCATTTATTTTAAAAAGAAATAAGAAAAATATGTGAATAAATCAATACATTAGAAAGGCCCTAATTTCTTTTAGAATCATTTACTTCAATAACAATGCAAGAATTATAGTGGAAATACATACTCCAGTTTATCTCCTGTTAAGGGTGTCTTTTTATTATAATATTTCCTTTTCTAAAAGCAGTCACCCTTTTAGGGCAGTGGAGACAGGCCAGCTATACCTACTTGCTTTTCATTGTCAAAGGTGGTACACATCCTATAATGACTTCAGGAAAGATTGGCAAAGGTGTACTGTGCATGATGATGTTTACTCAGCAGTGAGCTATCACACATATTTCAGTGGTTTTTTTTTTTCTCTTTAAGATTCTAATAGAATATCAGAAGCCTCATTTCCTGGTTAGTCAATAAGCATCCTGCTTTAGGCTTGGATGAGCACTAGGCACTCTTTTCCATTGCTGAGTGAGTGATGGCTGTGCTATGGCAGCTGACACCTTCACTAAGTCATTATCCTTGGAAACAAGGCAATCTATAAATTCAGAGGGCCGATTTTGCTGGCTGGGTGTTTATATCTATATTTGCTACCTTGGGAGCACACTAACGTTATTTCAGGGCAACTTGTATAAGTAGAGGTATATCCTAAATTTTACAATGGAATAGCAGCTTCTTTTGGTTGTTTCCTGGTGTGTTTTTGGTGTGTGTGTGTGTTCTTCTTTTTCAGTTATTTCAGTTTTGCCTTCTGGGTGTCTTAATATAAAATAACCCCTGAAAGGTCTTTCAGATTTATCTTCTTAAACTCTACTCATTCTCTGGGCTAAAGAGTTGTTGCAATTGCTTCAGAAATGGAAGCAATGATTTATATTTCACAAGTATTTTCAAAGGTGCTGCAACACAGCGGGACCCACGTCCACTTGTCTTCATTCCCTTGATAAGTAGGAGAGCATCCTGGAGGAGAGGCGGGCACAGGCTGTCACTGGGAAGCCGGAGTTCTTGTTCCCTGTGAGAGTCATTCATCCCTGCACTAACATCACACCTTGCTTAAACTACCCAGTCAAAAATAGATCTCCACTTGAGCTGGAAAAGCAGTGAGATGAAGAAGTACAGAACTACCAGTCTAAATACTTCAGTCCTTTCTGTAAAAATGACTCCCTGCTGGTAAGTAACCTTGGTCAGGTCAGTTCACTTAAGGCTGCAAAGAACTAATTCTCTTTTGCTACCAACCCAGTGAACAAACACTTTTTAAAATAATGAAAAACGTAGACAAAGAAAATGCAGCAAATTAACTTGAAGCTGATAGGATATGAGGTTAAAACACCACTGACAACATTTGGATAGGAAACAAGTACTTAACAACGGCACACTTGCTTTTTTTTTTTAATAAGTGGCAAATCTTGAAAAAATAACCAATTTTAATTAATAATAGTTTTACTATATCAGTGAGCTCTTTATAGGATGTAGCTATTAAAATCAACAGTTTGACAGTTTCCTTTTCTTCATTACTCTCCAATTGTTTTATAGGGATTGCTTTCTTCCCAACTAGATTTTAAACTCTTCAAGGGCAGCAATAATATCTTTTTCATTCAGGATTTTGGATCAGACCTTTGTGCTACCCATGTGCTCAACATTGGCAGAGAGGTGGGAAAAAATTCCAGTCTGGCCCCTAAAGAAGTGCTCCATGTGTAATAAGAGAACAAAGTGTGCTCTTGAGCTACCGACTTTCTAGTTACTCCATTCTGACAGTGGATCACAGCTGGATCAAGCTAGAAGTACAATGGGGAATGGCAGGGCAGATGGAGCAGGTGACGACATTTTGTACTCTTGTCCCACCTTATGGGTATTGGCCCTGGTGCTGTGGCAACAACTCATTATCTTGCTGCTCTTAAATCTGAGATCTCATTGGGGTAATTTTTACCTTTCCTTGAGTTTAAATTTCTACCCTTTTGTTTAACAAAATTGAAGTATCTATATGCAGTGATTCTTGGTATAGCCATTTATTTTACAGTGGTAATCCCATAATAATTATCATTTATTGAGCATGTATTAAATGATGGGTACTGTAAGTTGATTATCTAATTAAATCTACTCAAATCCCCTCTGCGGTAACTATTAGTCCCAATATAGAGATAAGGAAGTGGAAGCATAGAGATCTTATGCCTGGAAAATGAAGGAGGAGGTATTTGAAACCAGGTCTGTGTACAACGCCTGCACTCTCCTAATACAAAAGTGTTGAATGTCTGCAACTTATTCTCATCTTGGAAAATACGCATTTATATGTTTGCCAGGTTCTATGGCTACTGAATAAGCTATGTGCAGCAGGCTAGGAAAATGGATGGAGTAATCATTTGTTCCAGGCATGGTTAAAATACTACCATACACGGCCGGGCGCGGTGGCTCACGCCTGTAATCCCAGCACTTTGGGAGGCCGAGGCGGGCGGATCACGAGGTCAGGAGATCGAGACCATCCCGGCTAAAATGGTGAAACCCCGTCTCTACTAAAAATACAAAAAATTAGCCGGGCGAGGTGGCGGGCGCCTGTAGTCCCAGCTACTCGGGAGGCTGAGGCAGGAGAATGGCGTGAACCCCAGGGGGCGGAGCCTGCAGTGAGCCGAGATCGCGCCACTGCACTCCAGCCTGGGCGACAGCGAGACTCCGTCTCAAAAAAAAAAAAAAAAAAATACTACCATACACATTGCTTAATGATGACTGAGATGCAGTTGAGTTTTGAGACGTAGTTGCTGCCTTCAACCAACAGAAATACAAACTGAACCTTCTAGGCTGATAGACCTTGTGCGATTTATGAGACGAGAGACAGACTGACCAGACTGCCAAAACTATATCTTTTGTTCTTTCCCTCATGATTTCATCCATAATAGAAATGTAAAAAATTGTCGATGCAGACACCAAAAAGAGTGAAAAGAAAAGTCAAAAACTGGGAGAAAAGACTTGCAATCCACATCACTTACAGAAAGAACTCCCGCAAATTAATTAGAAAAAGACAAAGAACTCAATAGAAAAATGAACAAAAAGCTTGAATAGGCTCTTCACAGAAGGGAAGACACAAATGGCCAATGAAAAGCAAAAGATACACAGCCTCATTAGAAATCAGGAAGTTGAAAAGTTGAAAATTAAAACCACAGTGAGCTATCATGTTACATAAACCAGATAGGCAAAACATTATAACTCTAGTGAGAACATGGAGTGTCCCAGCACTTTTACAAGGCTGGTGAATATGTAAGTGGGTAAATTTGGAAAGTAATTTAGCAATTTAGCATTATCTAGAAAGCAATTTGGCATTTTCTAGAAAAGTTGTTTTGCTCTTAGGTATATGCCATAGTGACAATTTTTCCATATGTACAGGAAGACAAATGGTTCAAAGCAATACTATGTGTAATAACCAAAAAAAAAAAAAAAAGGATAAAATGAGAAGCAACCTCAATCAACAGATCGACAGCAAATGGATAAATAGATTGTGGTATATCCAAGTGATAAAGCAGTGAAAACATATAAAGTATAGCTACATGTAACAATATAAATGAATCTGGAACTAAAGATTGAATGAAAAAGCTGTTGCAGAAGGACACATAGAAGAAGATTCCATTTATAAAGCTCTTTAATGTGCAAGACTTTTGCTTTCTTTGATAGCAAGGGAACGATAGCACAAAATTCAGGTCAGGACAGGATGGGCTGTGAAGGGACCAGGAGATCCCAGGAGGGCTCTCATAAAATGTCAAAACTAAACATAGTGCTCTTTTTATTAAACTTTTGCTCAGGTGATCATTGCATAATTATTCTTTCTTTGTGTTTTTTTATTGTGGTAAAATATACATAACATAAAATTTACCATCTTAACTATTTTTAAGTGTATAGTTTAGTGGCACTGATTACATTCACACTATTGTGCCACCATCATAGTAATACTTGAATAAAAAAATTTATAGCAATGTTTGGTGATAATATCATCTTCCTATCTTTGGTAAATTTTAGCCAGCTCACAATCATAAGAAAAGTCTCTGATTTTGGTAAATTTGTACAGTGAGAAACTTGGTTTTTGTCAATGAGAAAAGCATATTGAGTTTGGTTTGGGGGGAATTAGTATAATATTTGAAAGAAGGTTATGTTGTTCAATCCCCTGAAGTCATTAAAAAGCAGCAACATATTTTCAATGGCATCTGAAAGTTCAGTGCTACTTGGAGTTTAAGGAGTTTTATCTACAACTTGTTGGATCAATTATAAAATTTATTTTATGTCAGATAGTGTTTTATTACATTAATTCAGTTTCATCTCTCTTAATTATTTTACAGCCCAAAAGTTAAAAAAAGAAGTATGACACATTTACATCTGGACATTTTCCAAATGTTACATAATTAGAAATGGAAAGTAATTGTTTTATAATGATTTTCATAATACCAACTCTTCATGTGTTCTGTGAAGAACGAGGATAAAACAGCAGGTATGAAACCCACAATGGAGTTATCTCAAATTTGTCATCAACTCGCCCATTTGAACATTATTGATCTCACCTTTTTTGTTAATGCTGGGATTTCAGACCCAAGTTCAGCAGTTTCTTGTTGCAGTTGTTTCTTTGTTCTCTGTGCCTGTTGCAGCATGACTTGATCATTATTGAAGTGCATTTGTAACTCCAGAAACTGAGGGCCGAAAAAAAGAGAGGAGAGGCTGTGTTAGGCAAGAATTCTGTTTTATAATAAAAGAAGCCATTGAATGCCTAAAGCTGATTATGTAACAAACTCCATTAGGGCCTGCAAATTTCCACCAGAGAATGAAGCATGATGGGAATTTTCAAGTCAGTTCTAATTTCTTTTCTGCCTTCAGGAGTTCTTTGATAAAAGCAATATAGTAACTCATAAAAAAAATCTGGCAAGACTCCAAAAAAGTGATTTAATCTGCTATATTTTATGACATTTTATAGCCAAGTCATTTTTAACAAGTTCATTCACTTGATAATTATAACAGATTATCTGATATGGTTATCTTTTATACAATAGATTTTTCTCATGAAATAATATTTGTTAATATTTTTAAAATCTCAATTTCTTTGTAGCACAGTTCATAAATATTTACAATGTGTGATATTGTGTTACACATTTGTTATAGGAGCCTTAGCCAACAATGCACCATGAATAATAACAGCAATAGCCTTTGCTGGTTCTGCTTCCTTAGGAGCTTAATTAAAAGTAAGTGCATGACATAAAGAATGCAGCCTATAGATGATTTGTGACTAACAACATGGCAAAGTACTTTAAGATGGTAAATAATTGTTTCACCATCACAATACCTGAGCATTCTCTAAATACTGAGAGGCAGAAGAAGCTAGTGCAGTTCCTTTGACAATGCATCCAGATTTTGGTTTTCTCAGTTATAACTTGAAATAACACCACCATCAACTCACCTTATTACAGAATGAAATGAAACTCTAAGTGTAGTATCTAAACCTAATGATAATTTGTTGGGGCCATTCGCTTAAGCTTTTTCTGGAAACCCATATCTAAGGGAATACATACAGACAGACCCTATTTGATAATGCTGCACATAGTGCTAACTCAAATGTCTGTAAGTCTCTGAAATATTTCTCTTTACAAACTAACATATATATGTATATATGTGTGTTTGCGTATCTATATAATGCATCCATACACACATAGATATGCATTACATTATATACATACATATACATATATATTGCTACATATACATGTATATACATATACGGTTACATATATTACATTATACATACACATATATATATGGCTTCCCCCACACCCCGCACCATGCTCTACGTGGTATCTTCCACACACTCTACCTTACGTTTATTCCCAGCTAAAGAGTATTAGTGCATCATATTGCAAAGGCACTCTGCCAAAAAGGACTCTACCACATTTTCCTGAGTTGTGTGAGTTCTAAAACACACATTGTTTACTTGGCTGTGGCTGTTCTTCCTATTTATTTTGTATTATGGTGAGCAGTTTTGACCCATCATGTAGGATAAAAAGTCAACAGGTGAGGTCTCTGGGGTTGTCTTACCGCAGTGAGTACCACGCGGTACTACAGAGACCGGCTGCCCGTGTGCCTGGCAGGTGGAGCTGCCCGCATCAGCGGCCTCGGGGAATGGAAGCGGAGAACGCGGGCAGCTACTCCCTTCAGCAAGCTCAAGCTTTTTATACGTTTCCATTTCAACAACTGATGGCTGAAGCTCCTAATATGGCAGTTGTGAATGAACAGCAAATGCCAGAAGAAGTTCCAGCCCCAGCTCCTGCTCAGGAACCAGTGCAAGAGGCTCCAAAAGGAAGAAAAAGAAAACCCAGAACAACAGAACCAAAACAACCAGTGGAACCCAAAAAACCTGTTGAGTCAAAAAAATCTAGCAAGTCTGCAAAATCAAAAGAAAAGCAAGAAAAATTACAGACACATTTAAAGTCAAAAGAAAAGTAGACCGTTTTAATGGTGTTTCAGAAGCTGAACTTCTGACCAAGACTCTCCCCGATATTTTGACCTTCAATCTGGACATTGTCATTATTGGCATAAACCCGGGTCTAATGGCTGCTTACAAAGGGCATCATTACCCTGGACCTGGAAACCATTTTTGGAAGTGTTTGTTTATGTCAGGGCTCAGTGAGGTCCAGGTGAACCATATGGATGATCACACTCTACCAGGGAAGTATGGTATTGGATTTACCAACATGGTGGAAAGGACCACGCCTGGCAGCAAAGATCTCTCCAGTAAAGAATTTCGTGAAGGAGGACGTATTCTAGTACAGAAATTATAGAAATATCAGCCACGAATAGCAGTGTTTAATGGAAAATGTATTTATGAAATTTTTAGTAAAGAAGTTTTTGGTGTAAAGGTTAAGAACTTGGAATTTGGGCTTCAGCCCCATAAGATTCCAGGCACAGAAACTCTCTGCTATGTTATGCCGTCATCCAGTGCAAGAAGTGCTCAGTTTCCTCGGGCCCAAGACAAAGTTCATTACTACATAAAACTGAAAGACTTAAGAGATCAGTTGAGAGGCATTGAACGAAATACGGACGTTCAAGAGGTGCAATATACATTTGACCTACAGCTTGCCCAAGAAGATGCAAAGAAGATGGCTGTTAAGGAAGAAAAATATGATCTGGGTTATGAGGCAGCATATGGTGGTGCTTACGGAGAAAATCCATGCGACAGTGAACCTTGCAGCTTCTCTTCAAATGGGCTAATTGAGAGCCTGGAGTTAAGAGGAGAATCAACTTTCAGTGGCATTCCTAATGAGCAGTGGATGACCCAGTCATTTACAGACCAAATTCCTTCCTTTAATAATCACTGTGGAACACAAGAACAGGAAGAAGAAAGCCATGCTTAAGAACGGTGCTTCTCAGCTCTGCTTAAATGCTGCAGTTTTAATGCAGTTGTCAACAAGTAGAACCTCAGCTTGCTAACTGAAGTGTTTTATTAGTATTTTACTCTAGTGGTGTAATTGTAATGTAGAACAGTTGTGTGGTAGTGTGAACCGTATGAACCTAAGTAGTTTGGAAGAAAAAGTAGGGTTGTTGTATACTAGCTTTTGTATTTGAATTAATCATCATTCCAGCTTTTTATATACTATGTTTCATTTATGAAGAAATTGATTTTCTTTTGGGAGTCACTTTTGATCTGTAATTTTAAAATACAAGTCTGAATATTTGTAGTTGATTCTTAACTGTGCATAAACCTAGATATACCATTATCCCTTTTATACCTAAGAAGGGCATGCTAATAATTACCACTGTCAAAGAGGCAAAGGTGTTGATTTTTGTATATGAAGTTAAGCCTCAGCAGAGTCTCATTTGTTAGTTTTTAGTGGTAACTAAGGGTAAACTCAGGGTTTCCTGAGCTATATGCACACTCAGACCTCTTTGCTTTACCAGTGGTGTTTGTGGGTTGCTCAGTAGTAAAAACTGGCCCTTACCTGACAGAGCCCTGGCTTTGACCTGCTCAGCCCTGTGTGTTAATCCTCTAGTAGCTAGTAACTACTCTGGGGTGGCAGGTTCCAGAGAATGCAGTAGACCTTTTGCCACTCATCTATGTTTTACTTGAGACACGTAAATATGATAGGGAAGGAACTGAATTTCTCCATTCATATTTATAACCATTCTAGTTTTATCTTCCTTGGCTTTAAGAATGTGCCATGGAAAGTGATAAGAAATGAACTTTTAGGCTAAGCAAAAAGATGCTGGAGATATTTGATAATCTCATTTAAACTGGTGCTTTATGTACATGAGATGTACTAAAATAAGTAATATAGAGTTTTTCTTGCTAGGTAAATCCAGTAAGCCAATAATTTTAAAGATTCTTTATCTGCATCACTGCTGTTTTTTACTATAATTAAATGAACCTCATGGAAAGGTTGAGGTATATACCTTTGTGATTTTCTAATGAGTTTTCCATGGTGCTACAAATAATCCAGACTACCAGGCCTGGTAGATATTAAAGCTGGGTACTAAGAAATGTCATTTGCATCCTCTCAGTTACTCCTGAATATTCTGATTTCATACATACCCAGGGAGCATGCTGTTTTGTCAATCAATATAAAATATTTATGAGGTCTCCCCCACCCCCAGGAGGTTTTATGATTGCTCTTCTCTTTATAATAAGAGAAACAAATTCTTGTTGTGAATCTTAACATGCTTTTTAGCTGTGGCTATGATGGATTTTATTTTTTCCTAGGTCAAGCTGTGTAAAAGTCATTTATGTTATTTAAATGATGCACTGTACTGCTGTTTACATGGACGTTTTGTGCGGGTGCTTTGAAGTGCCTTGCATCAGGGATTAGGAGCAATTAAATTATTTTTTCACGGGACCGTGTAAAGCATGTAACTAGGTATTGCTTTGGTATATAACTGTTGTAGCTTTACAAGAGATTGTTTTATTTGAATGGGGAAAATACCGTTTAAATTATGACAGACATCCACTAGAGATGGGTTTGAGGATTTTCCAAGCGTGTAATAATGATGTTTTTCCTAACATGACAGATGAGTAGTAAATGTTGATATATCCTGTACATGACAGTGTGAGACTTTTTCATTAAATAATATTGAAAGATTTTAAAATTCAAAAAAAAAAAAACAAAAAAGTCAAAAGGTATCCACATGATACTTACACTCAAAAAAGGTGGCAAAGGAAGTAAGCAGACCACAAGATGTCTTTAAGGAAATGACTAAGAAACCAGAAAGTAGAGATCAGGAACATTTAGTGATTTTTGGCCATCCCCTGACCTTCCTAAACATCATAACGTCACTGCATGCTGGGGGACTGACCTGCAAAGGGAGCTTGTCAACTTTGATGATCTAGAGAACACCTCATTGGGGCTCTCCTGGAACCAGCCCATGCAGAAATGATTCAGCCATTTCTGAGAATGTGTCCCCTGCAGCAAACCAGCTGTGTTGCATCCAAAAGTTTTCTGCAGATGTGTCTCCTTTGGAAAGTAATTTTTAAAATATAGTTTTTGATGGGCCAAGAGGTGTTTAAGAAACTGACTTAATCATATGAGGCCCATTGCAGTGTGAAGAGATGGACCACATCTGGTGAGAGAGTAAAAGGTTATAAAAAGGTTGAATGTATATCAAGAAAGAGAAAATAAATATTAAGCTAATCTAAGTTTAAATCTCATGCCTAACCTGGCACACTACAAAGTGAAAGCCACTCTTCCTAGGGAGTTGAGAGCCCTAACATGGCAGAAGACAGGGAGTAAACCAGTCCATAATAATTCATCTGACTGCACCAATGATGCCTGGCATATTTATATACTAAGTAGTGAGTGAATGGATCCACAGATGGTCCACACTACCCAGGTAAAATTAGCCTCTTAGTAGAAAGTGAAGGCCAATCTTTTTTTCCAGGTGGTAGGGTAAATGTTACAAAAATTACACCAGCAGGAAGATTCCACACCAAATATACAACTTATTTCTTTTGATATTAACAAATAAGGCTACATTTAAGCTCTCATAGCTTAGTTATATACGTAATCATAAGACAAGGGCTTCTCTCAGACCTGCTTACTCAGGGGAAAACTTTATGAGAAAGCATAAAGGGTCTTTACTAACATTTTTTTTCCAAATCTTTTTACTAGGCCCACTTTATATAAAATGAGTCCATGGCAATCAGTCAAATTGATTCTTGGAAAAGATACTGTGCTTCCAAAAGCTGGACCTGCCTCCAAAATATTTGTTTAATATTTTCTACAATCATTTTCACCTTCTCATTTCTAAATCTCACAAATTGGGAGAGAAAATACGTGAACTCTTTTCCATCCCCTTCTGCATCCCCACCTCTCCTATACACACATATATTTGGGGGAAAACAGTTAAATAAATACAGGGTAAAGAAATTCTCTTTGTTGTAAATAAAACAGAGTGTTTTAACCCCTGCCTATCATTTTTACCTGCTCCTACTGAGTCATCAGAGTTTTCAAGGCTGGAGTATTGAGAGAAGAGGCAGAGGAAGTGGAAAGGACCCAGAAGCAGTGACAAGTTCACCCTCCAAGCAGTGACCAGTGTCACTTACAGACCTGCAAATAGATACTATGGTCCATAAGTCACAATCCCTGTCACCATGGAAGTTTCATTCTAAAGGGAGAAAAGCTACGACATAGACAATAATCAAGTAAATATAAAATCGGGAATGTTATGAAACAAATGAAGCCTGATGGATAATCACGGCTGTCATGTGTACTGGGTGTGAAGAGCTGCTTTAGACAGAATACTCCTCAAGGTGGAATGAGAAGGAGCTGGCCATAGAAATAGTAGAGAAGCATTTCCTGGGGGAAACCAACCAGCACAATTGGTCCTGAGGTCGAAAGAGTGTGAGGGGCAACGAAGGATTTTGAGCAGAGACCCATAGTGACCGATCTCCTTTCTGCAAAGATTGTGCTGACTGACTTATGAAAAACAGCTGCCAGAGCCAAGCCAAAGGGTAGGGCTCGTTGCAGGCATCTTGGTAAGAAAAGTGGGCAGCTGGGACCAGGATGGGACAGAGGACAAGGAGAGGAGTGACAGGATGTGACTTGCTGATGGAGTGGGCATGAAGATGTCCAAGAAAAAGGAATAATCAACAATGGCTCCAAAGTTCCAACCTTGAGCATTTGGGAGGTGATATGTACAAAGATAAGTAAAACCAGAGACTAAGAAACAGATTTGGAGGGAAGGATAGGGTAATTAAAATCTGGAATTCCATTTAACGCTCTTTCTGTGAATTGGCTCTGTGCATTTACTGTCAGAAATGTCCATGAGTAGAAATTCACCCATGAATAACCTTATCGCTGATCCTGTTTGAGCCATGAAATATCTACTTTATAAAATGAGGATGTTACAAAGCTAAATACAGCAATTATTCTTTTAAACCTGGTGCAACAGTGACCACATGGGGACTACAATGGGTTTCACTTAATGCAAGTACATCCCAAGGTTCTCAAAGGAAAGTACTGAGACATATGGAAGTCTCATTAATTTATTATCCAGAAATGTGTTGTTGAATGCAGTAGTGCTAAAAGTAAGGGTAGAGGTTTCCACAGAATCAAGTTAGGTGCCCATCAACAGTGAATTGGATAAAGAAAATATGGTATATATATACCATGGAATACTATACAGCCATAAAAAAGAACAGAATCATGTCCTTTGCAGCAACATGGGTGTATCTGGAGGCCATTATCCTAAGTGAATTAACACAGAAACAGAAAACCAAGTATCACATTTTCTCACCTTTATAGGAGAGTTAAACATTATGTACACAAAGACATAAAGATGGGAAAGATAGACACTGGGTACTCCAAAAAGGGGAAGAAAAGGAGGAAGATAGGGGTTGAAAAACTACTTATTTGGTACTATGTTCACTATTTGGGTGATGAGTCCAATAAAAGCCCAAACCTTAGCATTATGCAATATATCTATGTAACAAACCTGCACATGTATCCCCTGAATCTACTATTTAAAAAAAAGAAAAAGAGTAGAGGTCTAAAATTAGTAACACAGCTTCTTCCCCACAAAATGCTTTCTCTAAATGTTTAGCAAATGATTGTTGCTCCTGTTCATGAATCTTGGCCTAGTTTAAGAGTCTGTGAGTATCAAAACAAATAATTTGACAAAGCACTCAATCTGGAAAGTTACTATTGCCTTGTTAGAGTAAAGCCCGTCATATTTTGAGATGAGATTCTTCCTATATTCTTTGGATTTCTGTGCCATTGGTGTTGGGAAGATTCCTAGAGGTTATACATGGTTTTACTTAGTTTAAGAACTTGTCTAGAGAAAAAAATTATTAATTGTACTACTGTCTCAGGGGTATGAAAGATTACTAATAGAAAGCTACCCACGGCTTTTCATCCATATCAGCTGTTCCATTGCATTGATAGTTTAATGTTTTATATGAAATAGTCAGCTGTTCCATTGCATTGATAGTTTAATGTTTTATATGAAATAGTATATGGAGTAACAGATATTACCTGAATTTAGTTGTCCCCTGAAGCATCAATCAACCAATCTTCAAAGATTTGAAGTGATGGGATAAATACTTTGTTCTAGAGTATCTCTAGAGAATGAGATTTCCCAATCAGATCAATTCAATAAACATTAAGAGAATGTGTATCACGCACCAGAAACTGTGCTAGAGGCCAGTTAATAGCACAATCATGGTGTTTTTGCAAACTGCCTCAAACTGTCACTTCTATTTTTTTCTAAACAGCAAGTAATATATATAGGGCACTTACTGTGTGCCAGTGTTTTAAAGGTGTCACCTGTTAAGTGGTTTCAGGGAATAACTCAGAGCCAGTTATTTTGCTCACAGATTTTTTCACATGTAAGCAACAGGATGACCAATTTGTTTCAGTTGGCCTGAGACTACTTCCACTTTTTTTACTGAGGTGAAATTTGCATAACATAAAATTAACCATTATCTTTGGGAGGCCGGGGCGGGCAGATCATGAGGTCAGGAGATCGAGACCATCCTGGCTAACACAGTGAAACTCCGTCTCTACTAAAAATACAAAAAAAAAAAAAAAAAAAAAAATTAGCCACCCGTGGTGGCAGGCACCTGTAGTCTCAGCTACTCGGGAGGCTGAGGCAGGAGAATGGTGTGAACCCGGGAGGCGGAGTTTGCAGTGAGCCGAGATCGCACCACTGCACTCCAGCCTGGATGGCAAAGCAAGACTCCGTCTCAAAAAAAATAAATAAAATAATAATAATAATAAAATAACCATTTAAAGGGAATTATTTATTGGCATTTAGTACATTCACAATGTTGGGCAACCATAAACTCTCTCTAGTACCAAAATATTTTTATCACCTCAAAAGAAATTCCCTACCCTGATAAGCAGCAACTCCCTGTTCCTACCTCCCCCAGCCACCAGCAACCCCCAATCTGCTTTCTTTTTCTATGCATTTACTTTTTCTGGATAACTCACATAAATGAAATCATACTGACCTCTGTGTCTGCTTTCTTTCACTTAATGCAAGCACGTTGCAAGGTTCTCAAAGGAAAGTACTGATACACATGGAAGGCTCATTAATTTATTATCCAGGAATGTGCTGTTGAATGCAGCAGTGCTAAAAATAAGTATAGAGGTCTCCATGGAATCAACTTAGGTACCCATCAACAGTGAATTGGAAAAAGAAAATATGGCACATATACACCATGGAATACTATAAAGCCATATAAAAGAACAAAATCATGTCCTTTGCACAATGTATTTGAGGTTCATCAACATCGTAACATATATCAATGCTCCATTCCATTTTACAGCTAAGCAACATTCCCTGGCATGTATATACCACACCCTGCTTATTCATTGTCCATGGGTGGACAATGTCATTTCCACCTTTTGTCCATCATAAACAGTGCTTCTAAGAACACTCATGTACAAGTATTTGGGTACTTGTTTTTCAGTTCTTTTGGGTATATTCTTAAAAGTGGAAGTTTTGAGTCTTATTGTAATTTCATGTTTAACTTTTTGAGGAACCAACTACCAAATTCTTTTTCACAGTGACTGCCCTCTTTAACATTGCCACCAGTAATGTATAAGGGTTCCAATTTTTCCACATCCTTGTGAACACTCGTTCCCCCCACCCCCCTTTTTTTTAAAATTATAGCCATCCTAGTGAGTTGAAGTGCTATCTCTTTGTGGTTTTGAGTTTCATTTTCTTAATGCCTAGTGATATTGAGCATCTTTTCAGGTGCTAATGGACCATTTGTCTATCTGCTTTGGAGAAATGTCCTTAAGGAGTACTTTGCACATGTTTTAATAGGGTCTAAGGTTGCTGTGGGAATTCAACACAAAGCATTTAGAACAGTGCTGGGCACAAATATTAACCATATTTCCAAGAAAAAAAAAAGTTAAAATGTACATGTTATTTTCTGAACTCTAACTCTTTTATACAAAAGTTACTGTTTTTTAAAGCATTAGCTGCTATGGTTTCCAATCTTAGCAGGGGCAGTATATTTACCTGGACATGGAAAGTTCGTGGATTTAGAGGGTTTTGATCCTTTCATACACTGGCCACTGGTTTACACTCGAACTTATTAAGACAATGACTCAGAACCGCCACCCTCCAACTTCCTGGTTGCTTCTATAAGTGACTTACTTCTCTGTGTCCAGCTCATAAGGAACAGATGTTCAAATGAGAAAAATAACACCATAACAATTTCCCCTAATTAGTACCTTTGTGAGCAAACCGAACAAGAAGATTGAACAATCCGAGAAACTAAATTACCCTCTCATCTGTGGGCGACCCTTCCAGTGCAGCAGGATGAGTCATGAAAGAGCAGAGATGGGACCTGTGCCTTTGCTGTGAATAAATGGGGCTCTCAATCTTCAAGTCTTTTAAGGCTATAAATCTGACAACTTTTAAGAGCACTTTAAGCTTTCTCTATTTTTTTAAAAGCTGATGTTTTCATACCATCTTTCTTCTTACTCTTTTCCTTTTCCTCTTTACACAAAGTGAGATAACTACACTTTTTATACAAAGACACAGCAATTCTGTGATTTTTTTATGAGTGTCTATCAGGGGCAGCATAAACATATTTCCAAGTTAACAGCTAACATGATAAACTTTAGGGCAAAAAAGAAAGGTGAGAGGAAGGAAAGAGAGACTTCTTCTTTTACCACAAGAAGTTCCCAGGCAAAATCAAACAATACCAAATGATTTGGGTTGTTCTAACATGAAATCTAACATTCATTTGAGAATACTATTTTGTTCTGACTTACCATTCGGCATCCCCTGACAGATGAACTTTAATATCATGAGAACAAGCTCTAGCATCTTCACTATTTTATTTGTATGCTATGATTTCAATATGATTCACCCTTGTCAATTTGAAGCCCAGGGGCCCAAAGTAAATGTACTGTGTCACCGAACTACAACGTTTCTCTCTCTGTCATTAAGAACAATTTATTCTTGAAATAAATTTATTCGAATCCAACTTGAAATCTACAGCCTTTATCACAGATTCTTGGAACTGAAAGAAAACTTAAGGGGCCCACTAGTCTAAGCCAGACCACCCTTAGAATCCACTGGGTAGAGGGATTTCAAGCCCAGTCTTAGGATTCTCTAAGGAAGAAAATTTTATCAAATCTTCCAATAACTTCTTCTGTAGCTTTCACTATACAAGGTGTGTCCACACAATAATGAAACATATTCCCATGAATCAGTCTTGAAACTCTCATTTCATAGTTACATTTTACAAAGGGAATTTCCTAGGTTATCCGACTAATATCTTACTTTTCACATAATTGTATACAAGTTGTTAAAATGAATATGTTAATTATTTCACTGTCTTTTAATTAACCTCTTTCTTATTTTCGTACTTTCTTTCCTTGAGTGCATTTTAACAGATAATGTAAACTTTCCCCCAAAAAAATTATTTTAAGAAATTTCTGTCTTATACACCCTTAGTGGGAATTTTTAAAAAAGAAATTTATTGTCAAATTTATCATCTCTTTGCTAATCCTTGATCATCATAGTCTGCAATGTCCTAAAAAGGCCCATATTCATTCTCTGATATAGAAAAACAAAACAAAAAAACAAGCCAGGCGCTGTAGCACATGCTGGTAATCCCAGCACTTTAGGAGGCTGAGGTGGGTGGATCGCCTGAGGCCAGGAGTTCGAGATCAGCCTGGCCAACATGGTGAAACCCCATCTCTACTAAAAATACAAAAATTAGCCAGGCATGGTGGCAGGTGTCTGTAATCCCAGCTACTGAGGAGGCTGAGGCAGGAGAATCACTTGAACCCGGGAGGCAGAGGTTGCAGTGAGCAGAGATCACACCACTACAGTCCAGCCTGAGACAGAGTGAATAATTAAAATTATTTAAATATTAAAAATATTTAATATTTAATAATTATTTCAATTTATTTTTAAATAAAATTTAAAAATCCAGGTGTGCTGGCCTGCACCTGTGGTCCCAGCTAAGCTACTCAGGAGGGTCAGGTGGGAGGATTGCTTGAGCCTGGGAAGTTAATACTGCAGTGAGCCATGATCATGCCACTACACTCCAGCTTGGGTGACAGAATGAGATCCTGTCTCAAAAATTAAAAAAAACTTTAAATTAAAAAAATATTTTAAAACACACAGACACACACAAGTGCTTGGTCCAAGGTCATAGCTAGCTGGAATATTTTTGCTGCAGGAACACTAACTGAACCAATCCCTTTTGGAATTATGTACAAATACAAGTTTATGAAAGTCTGTCTGTTTTGTAGCTTGTTAGGTAAACATTCCTTTTCTTTAAAGACTCATAAATGTGTTTAGTTCACAAACAATGTTTACCTTCCTGAGTTTCTTTCATATACTCCTAAAGAGTACACGATGTGGTTTTTGATAGGTATTTATAACCAGGCAGGCACTGTCTTCAAGAATGGGAATACAAAGATGAATAAAACTAGGTCTGTACCTGGTGAAGGCCGCCATCTTTCGGGAGCCACCAACACGTAACATATTATTTCTGGACAAGTGGCAAGTGCCACGAGGAAGATCTCTCTACAGGGCTGTGGAGGCCAGGGGAATGAAAAGTCAGGGAAGACTTCCCAAAAGAGTTGCAACATTTTTTTAGTTATATGATTATATTATAAAATTTTTAATTTAGTTTTTAAGGAAATATTTTGCATAAAAGACATTTTTTAAAATAATGTTTATGGCAGAGAATCTTGGAGGGCATGTTAGAGAATAGCAGGGAGAAGGAGGCAAAGTATTTGTCAATTGTGTCACTGAAAAAGGGAAAAGCTTTCCTCTTTAGAATATGTATGCAGATTAGGTGCACACTCACAGGTTGGCTCCAACTCTGCTTACTGTTTGTTCCCAAACCAGACTAGGCATCATTATCACATGGACAGCTTTCAACAGACAACCTACCTGAAGCCACACCTACAGAGAATGGAGGTCTAGAGGGCATCCTGGGATCTTTTTTTTTTTTTTTTTTTTTAGGCAGGGTCTCACTCCGTTGCCCAGGCTGGAGTGCAGTGGCAAAGTCTCGGCTCACTGCAGCCTCAACCTCCTAGGCTCAAGCAATTCTCCCACCTCAGGCTCCCAAGTAGCTAGGACTACAGGCGTTCACCATCATACTTGACTAATTTTTAAATTTTTTGTAGAGATGGGTCTCACTGTGTTTCCCAGGGTGGTCTTGAAGTCCTGGGCTCAAGCGATCCTCCCACCTCAGCCTCCCAAAATGCTGAGATTACAGGCCTGAGCCACTGTGCCCAGCCTGGATATATTTCTAATACAAAATCCCCAGATGATTGTTTCTTAATGAAACCTTACCTCTGCTTGAACCAGTATTTAGGAATCACCATCTAAAGCAATGACTTGAATTTTGGTGCAGTTTAGAATAAGTAGGGTCTCTGAGTTCTGTGTCTGGAGCCATTTTTCTACGAGATTCTGACTCTCACCTACTGTAAGAAGCCCTGATCAAGACAGAATGTGATTAATTTAAGTTTGAGCTCTTTTTAGGTGCCATCTACATGTATGAGGAACTGGAGTTTCTAGACAAAATAGTAATATAAACAAAGCACTCTGATATTTGTTGCAAGTTTTGAAACACAGCAGACATTGTCAGTCCCCCACCTTTACTTTCTGGCTTTCAATGTGCTTGAGCCTCTTCCAACTGCCAGTATTTGCATCTCCAGCCTGAGGACTTTTCCCAGAACTGAGGACCAATCTCACCATGTACCTAAGAAAATGGAAATGGAGCTGAGTGTAGTGGCTCACACCTGCAATCCCAGCACTTTGGGAGGCCGAGGTGGGAGAGTCGCTTGAGCGTAGGAGTTGGACACCAGCCTGGGCAATATAGTGAGACATAATCTCTACAAAACATAAAAAACCATCCAGGCTTGGTTGCACGCACTTGGGGTTCCAGCTACTTGGGTGACTGAGGGTTGCTTGATCACCCAGGAGTTTGAGGCTGCAGTGAGCTATGATCATGCCACTGTGCTGCAGCCTAGGTGACAGAGCAAGATGCCATCTCAAAAAAAAAAGAAAAAAAAAAAAAAGAAATGCAAGTGGCAGGGAATGAGCAACCTTCAAAAGCAGCCCCCAACCAATGCTTCTCAGGGGTTCATGTATAAATGTCCCAGCTCCCTTGCCTCCTGGCAGGGTAATTCTGAGAAATGTGTTTGCACTCTTTCCTAGAGCTTCCTCATGGGAGTAAGCCCCAGTCACTTACTATGGCAGCTGGCTTCTTAATGCACCTTTTGTTGGCTGCCTTCCCTTGCCTCTGTAATTTTCCTTCTCCCCTGTTGGTGCTTGCTACACCTCCCAGATAAATTTCTTGTACTCAAATTCTTTTTTTTTTTTTTCTTTTGAGACAGAGTCTTGCTCTGTTGCCAGGCTGGAGTACAGTGGCACAATCTCAGCTCACTGCAACCTCTGTCTCCCAGGTCCAAGAGATTCTCCTGCCTCAGCCTCCCAAGTAGCTGGGACTACAGGTGTGCGCCACCATGCCCAGCTAATTTTTGTATTTTCAGTAGAGACAAAGTTTCACCATGTTGGCCAGGATGGTCTCTATCTCTTGACCTCATGATCTGCCTGCCTTGGCCTCCCAAAGTGCGGGATTACAGGCGTGAGCTACCATGCCTGGCCTCAAATTCCTTTTTTTATATATTATTTTAACTTAATTTTTTTTTAAATTATTATTATACTTTAAGTTCTGGGATACACGTGCAGAACATGCAGGTTTGTTACATAGGTATACACATGCCATGGTGGCTTGCTGCAGCCATCAAACTGTCATCTACATTAGGCATTTCTCCTAATGCTATCCCTTCCCTAGCCCCCCACCGATAGGCCCCAGTGTGCGATGTTCCCCTCCCGTGTCCATGTGTTCTCATTGTTCAACTCCCGCTAATGTTCTTGTACTCAAATCCTTATCTCAGGGTCTACTTCTGAAGGGGCCCAAATCCAGAGGATATGGCCCATTAGATATAATAGTATCATTAAGTTCAAATAGCATTTTATAAGTACTTCCCCTCAAAAATAAAACTACAATGCAGACATAATAAATAAAACAGATAAGCCAATTTGACACCTATGTTTTATAAGATATGTTGAAAATAGACATTTGTTCAATTGCATGATTTTTATTCCAGAAGCAGTAGCTGATTTGCACACACTTGGAGGAAAACCACAATTAGGACTGTCAGGAAGGAAGGACAAGTTAGTCATCATTCTAGGTATAAGGCCAGATAGTGGGACAGATGGACTGAGGTTTCTACTTCCTAGTAACAAAAATAAATAAATTTATTTAAACCTATGGTCAGTGGGTCAGGTGGAAACCTGAAAGGCGGTGCTAGGTTAGCCGGACGTAGTGGTGGGTGCCTGTAGTCCCAGCTACTTAGGAGGCTGAGGCAGGAGAATGGCGTGAACCCGGGAGATGGAGCTTGCAGTGAGCCGAGATCGCACCACTGCACTCCAGTCTGGGTGACAGAGCGAGACTCTGTCTCAAAAAAAAGAAAAAAAAAGTGTGTAAATATACATACTGAAAAATCCTGGGGTCCTGCAAAATGTTCCATCTCCAACGGACCCTGATCTGACTGTAAATGAATGAAGGTTCAGTGATGTGCTAGAGCTGGCTCATACCAATCTGTGAGAGCCTGAAAGCCACTTGTGAATTTCAGGAATTTTGCAAGCCAGATTACTTCACTTCATGGCTTAAAATAGGCCATAGCAGGAGTATTTACACCACAGAAATGGGCAAACACTATACAGCTGAGCTTCTTCCTCCTCCTCCCCCAAGAGCCAGTTGTGAAGCATTTTCCAGCATAGCATTGAATCATGAAGTTGTCATGATCCACCTGTTCTATTAATAGTCAACCTGGCTGCAACAAGGAGACCAAGGACTAGGCATAGATCAAGACTCATTCTCCCGATGCCTTGTAAAATTGTACTCATATGTAAGAGATCAGGAAAAGTATTGCCTAGAAAGGTGGTCCTTCATTGGGCTTTACAGATGCACACAGGTTTGCACACACAAACAGTTTTAAGGGATTCAGTTTCCAGATCTTCAACTTCAAAATATGCTTTCTAAAAACTGAGTTGCCTGAGAATGAGACCACCTCTCCCCAGTCCCTCTCCCACTTTACAGAAGTAAGGCACGTCTTCTCACATAAGTCAATTCTTACTACTGGGCATTTTTCTGTGGTGTAAAAGGCTCCAAGACCCCAAATGAAGGCATACAAGGGAAAGATGGGTTTGGGAAAAGATTCCTTTCATGAACACGCAGGGCTCCTACCTTCCCCTGTTTGACACCTGCATCCATTAAGGTGGAGCTTGGCATTAAAAAGGAAGGTATTTGAGCTTATTTTGTAATTTTTCTATATTCAAAACAACTGGAAAATATAGATTCATGACAATCATTCTTTTAATTCTAACTGGAGTGCTTTACACTACCCAAAATTTTTAGATACTTTAGAAAACCCCCAGGCTACAAATCTTGCATGCCTTCTTTGCTATAACACCTCAGTGTGCTGTATTTCATAAGGTAGTTAAAATGTACTTAAACCATATTGTAAAATATTTATCCAATGACAGTCTTCATCTTATTTCATTTTATAAGAAGTTCAATATTTTCTGCATCCTAGTAACAAAAATAAATCAATTTATTTAAACTTATGATTAAAACACTTCTAGAAGTCAACTTAAAAATGACTGAAAAGCTGCACAGTTTGTTTAAGTTTCCTTAGTGGGCACATGAGCAAAGAAGTTTGGCACTGAGGTGGGGCTGCTCTCATAGCCCTCATCTGCAGAGTCTGCCCATTCGCAGGGCATATAAACACTCTTTTAGAATACCCAAAAGCACAGGAGAGAAAAAAAATCACTTTATCACTTTGAATAATTAAGTTGTTATTTAGCAACCCTAAGTAATGGATAAAAAAAAGTTTGTGGAAAAAAACCTAGAAGACAATAGTCTTAATGCATTGTGATATTCAAATATATATATCTGAATATTGACCTTTGTCATTTCATTTAAGAAAACCATAAACCAGGGGAAAAAAGAAAAACCTCTGAGTTCTATAGTCACTAATCCTCAGCCAAGAATGTATCTCATTGCTTTGTTTCCCCATGAGTATCCAAAAGTGAGCTTTTCTTAGATTCTATGATCTAAATGTGCCTGATGTAAGCTGTACTATGGAGTCATACCAGGTAGTAAATATCTATATTATTAATAGTATCAAAGCAATAAATGTGTTCCTGACATAGGCTAACCCTGGATATTTATGAGGCACCTGCACAATCTTTTAAGAGTTCATGTTGGCAGAATATGTTGAATTGTTTCTTCTAAAAGCATCTACTAAAAACAGTCCTCTTTTTATTCTTTATTAGGAATTCCAGAAGTTATAGTCTCCTATAAAATCAAAATCATGTGGGAGTAAAATTTATCTTCTTCCAGAAAGTTCCTCCCAGCATTAAAGATGTTGTATTTGTAGAACTTCAAACTGTGGTGGCAGCAACCATCTATGCTGGATTCCAATAGAATTCTCAATTTCAAGGTATCTTGTTTTGGCAACTTGATGACTACATTCAGCCAGATTGGAAATGGTGAAGGCAGATGAAATATCCTTGTTCAAGGAAAGAGAAAATATGTGTCTTTTTTTTTTTTCATCAAAAAGCAGACAATCTCAGGGGCAGCATTTTATCCAAATAACTGCAGACATTGCCTGACTTTTTTGGCATGTAAAGAATGGCAAGAAATAAACTCTGTTTTGGTGGAAAGAATCTATTCCTATTATGTTTTCTAGAAACCTGAGGAATAATCTATCCAACAGTTCATCTATTTGTGTGCCTGGGGAAATTTATTCAAAAAAATTCTTTTCTCTTGCAAATGTGTGAGGTAGTATTGATTTAACCACCATTTCTTACATTTGAGGCATAAAATCAAATGATTGCCTATATGCATGAAGAGTAACAAAAGACTTAGAAAATGATTCCTGCTAAATTACTTGAAAAAAGCCAAAGGGACCACATTTTAGAGAACAAAGAAAGGGGAATAAAAATGATTAAAGATTTTGGTGATGAAAGGAGCTATGCATGTTTGATCCAGAGGAAGACACTTAAATGACAATTATGAAGGGGGACAGCCATCGGTTTTCTTGTTATTCAATGATTAGACACAGTGCAGTAGACTAAAGAATGCCCCCGCGACATGGGCACGGTGGAGGGCAGTTCCCATTACCGCAGCTTCCACAAGCCCTCCACTCGGCAGAAGCAGATGAAGGGCTGTGCTTGCTCCTCCCTCGACTATTTCCTCTCTTTGTTTTCCTTCTCTCCCTCCCTTATTGGTTGCATTCACATTGCCCGTTGCACAGTATTCATTATACTCCTGAGCCCGCTCGGTTCTATTTACTGAGGAGCCTCCATTCATTGTGGGTGTAAACAGAATACATCCGATTTTGTCCAATAAATAACTGCCTCCAAATATTTCTGTGGATCTTCTCCTTTCCTCCTTGCTGATCAACTTCTTAAGAACGTTTTCAGCTGTTTTTTTGTTATTAAAACAGTCTAATGAGTGTTTAAGACATGGTAATATTTGTTTTAAAAATTTCAGTGCCGCTGGATTCAAGCATTTATTCCTTTTCTGTCCTTGGCTCAGGCAAACTCACCGTAAGTGCATGTGTGTGGTGGACACAGAGGGAGGGTCCTAGGGAGGAGGTAGGTATTGATCTGCCCTCACAAGGCTCCTCTCTTTCCTCCCCCAGGTGTTGGCTCCTCCAGTGTTAGGGCAGTGAGGAGAAAGAAGACACAGGCCAATGCCTCCTTACTTGGCTGGCAAGATGTGGTTCCCTCTGTTGTCGTTACTGTTGCTCTGTTACTGTGACCTAGAGACATGGCTTTGTTGCTGTTTTTGTGTCAGGGGCTCATGCACAGGTCTCCAGGAGAACACATGGGGTTATTTGTAGGGTCAACCTTCCCCGTGCAAGGCTTCTGGACTTGGGTGGTGGGCTTTGGCCAGACCACTCACCCGCTCTTAGGCCCTGCCACCAGGCACCAGCCCTGCAGCCTTTTTGTGCAGGGAACTCTTCTGGAAAGTAGCCTCGCCCCATCCTAGGGTGTCCACCCAACTCTCACATCCTTGCCACTCCTCAGGGTGGGAGCCTGGCTGCGTCTGGGCCACCTGCTCCCTCAACCTGCCTCTTTGCTGACCTTCTTCATTTATATCTCCATGTCCCAGCAGCAATGAGCACTCAGCAGGTCCATGGGTCATGACTTTCAAAGAGGAAGAGATCCTTTGTTTCTGACTCTGTGTGAAAGAGTCACCCACCCCCTCTGCAGACTACCTTGGCAATTATCTTAGGATCTCCCTTCCTTGTCTTGGAAGGTGAAAGTATTCTCAGCACTGGTAGCTCTCACTACACCGTGGGGAAAGGTGGCTGGCTCACCAGCTGGTGTCACTCCAAATGTAGAATGTGAGGTGCATGGTGCCTTTAATTCCCCATTAGGACAGCAGGGAAAATCCCATTTGACATTCTGTTACACACAGACTGATCTGGGTAGGTGGCTGAGGCAGCTCCCTGGCCTTTGGCCACTTAAGAAAGAGTCCTGGCCTCTGGTCCTTGCCTCATTCAGTCCTCCTGACAGATATTTGGAACTCGTCAAGCAGCTTATTGGTCCTTGTCAGTCCCGGAACAGTACCTGGTACATGGTACATTTCTTCTTGTAGTCACAAGATAAGAACCAAAATCTCATACTAACTCAGGTGCTCTAGTAATGAATATACAAGAGACTGAGGAGGAGAGACCCAGGGACAGAATGTCCACTGACAGTGCAGCTCCTCTTGCCATTTTCTCAAGGCATGAGCTGCATGTATCCCAGCTCATCTCCTCCCCCCCGCAACCCACAGCTGTCTCTGTAGATCATTTATTATATTCGTCAGAATATTCTGGGATTATTTCCTACCCCTCCCAACTCTGACAAAAGGAAGCATTTGGATTTCTCTGGTTCATGGTACCTTCCACACTTACCTTGAATATTTATGCTTTTCGTAAGTATTCAAAAGTAACAGCTTCCTTTCAATTTCATTGACTGTGTCAGATTATCCAATTCTCAATGTCTCAAGGCAGAAAGCCTATTGACAACATAGCCACATGATTCTAAATTGTGCCACAGTTAAATGTGTAGAACTGTCATTATCACAGAAATCAAAATGTGCACTTCTTTGTTTGTTTGAGACAGAGTCTCACTTTGTCACCCAGTCTGGAGCACAGTGGTGTGATCACAGCTCACTGCAGCCTCGACCTCCTGGGCTCAAGCAATCCTCCTGCCTCAGCCTCCCAAGTAGCTGAGACTACAGGTGTGCACCTCCACACATGGCTAATTTTTGTATTTTTTCTAGAGACAGGGTTTCACTATGTTGCCCAGGCTGATTTGTAGCTCCTACAATCAAGCGATCCACCTGCCTTGGCCTCCCAAAGTGCTAGGATTACAGGAGTGAGCCACCGCACTGGGCCCAAAATGTGTATGTTGATGTAAGGCGAACCAGTGGCAAATCTCAGGCAACTACTCAAGACCCTGTGCTTGGGAACCACAAAAAAACACTGGTGTCTGTGTAGCGGCTTAGAAGATATCTATTGGCGGAAAAGTGACAGTTCAGTAATTGGTGGGGGAGGGATGACATAAAAGTCTTGAACACATAACCAATCTGTAATTTCCAACATAAAAATCTTCAACACACAACCAATCTGTAATTGCTAAAAGTATCACCAAGGAAAAGGGATAAGACTATCTCCTCTTAGACACACTCTCTAGGGAGTCAGTTTATGACTTCTTTCAGCCTTCTCCCACCCCCTGCAGTGATTATAGCCTTGTCCTTAGTGGTTTTACCACCAAGATTCCATCTGGCTTAAGTGTGAACAGGGAAAGGAAAATGAATGAAGAGATACGTTTGCCTGGAAGTAACTTCAAAACTCCCAAATTATAGAAACGTTACAGATGAGCATCTCAGCGAATATGACTCCAGAACTTTTTCAATTCCTTCATTCTATAGGCAAGAAGCTTGTCCATGGCCACAGACATACAATTGGAAATAAAAGTAAACTTCAAAATGTGTCTCTCTTTTCTCTAAAGATTCATGTTATGAATGAATAAGGGAGAAATAGAGCTGCCTAAGAAAACTGTGACCTGATCTGATCTCCTTCCTAAATAGTGCGAATACAATGTCACCCCATTTCTCAATTATATTCTTGCCTACGAAACACACTGAAGGTTTGTTTATGGCTTTGATTTCTTAATTTGCCTGTCTTGATAACAAATTTCTATTGTTATAAATCATTGTATTACATAGTATTAATCTCTAACTCGGTCTCTTGGTGGCATAAAAGAACTAATCCACTTTTTCCTGATTGAAGTGTACCAATGATTCCCTGGAAGTAAGTTGTCCTTCATAAGATTATTTACAGAGAAAATGTTCCCTAGGAACTTAAAGAACAACTTTGGGCAAGTCACTCTGCCTTTCTAAATCTTAATGTCATCTTACATATGATAGTAATAATGATGCTATATTATAACCTAGAATGACTGTTCTAACAATTTTTTTATTTTTTTATTTTATATATTTATTTTTGAGACTGAGTCTCACCCTGTCACATCCAGGCTGGAGTACAGTGGCTCACTGTGACCTCCGCCTCCCAGGTTCAAGCGATTCTCCTGCCTCAGCCTCCCAAGTACTTGGAACTACAGGCACCCATCACCATGCCCAGCTAATTTTTAGTAGAGACGAGGTTTCACCATATTGGCCAGGCTGGTCTCGAACTCTCGACCTCAGATAATCTGCCTGCCTTGGCCTCCCAAAGTGCTAGGATTACAGGTGTGAGCCACCGCACCCGGCCCCAATAATTTATAAACTATAAAATCTGATATAAATATTAATCATCTACAAAATCCTGCTCTAGGGCTCCATACTACTGCACTTCACCCTGTATTATTATTTATTTAATATTCTGGTTACGGAAGGAGACTGAAGAGGTAAAATGAACTCGAGAATGACTATCAACTAGATAAGCATTTCCAAATATGTGATTATACACATGGATTGTTACAAATTTATTTGGATCATTTCTTAACATTGCACTTAAAGTGGAGCTGTATCTGAAAGCACCTGATACATTTTAACTATGTTAAGCCCTCCAGCTTCAGAGCTTCCTGTAACTCCTGGTATAGAGCTCAGCCATTGCTAACTGGAAGCAAAAAGAATTGGATTTTATGATGCAAAAGTCATATCAGGAATTAACAGACACACAAGTCTGACTTTTCCAGAGAAGCAGAAGTAAAAATAATATCAAGAAGCGGCTCCATGGAGCCCTTTCAATTTACAACAGCCGCTGGATAACCCCTCCTTCATTCATAACCAGTGTCTTGAAATTAACCTTGACCCATCCTGCACTCGTACTACTGACCTGTTCCCCAAGGCACCGTGCTAAAGAATTCAATGAATTTGCACTTAACTTTTATAACGATTTTCCTCATTTTAGAGATGAGACAATCTTTTATTTTTTTTGAGACAGAATCTTGCCCTGTCACCTAGGCTGGAGTACAGTGGCACAATCATAGCTCACTGCAACCTCGAACTCCTGGGCTCAAGCTATCCTCCCACCTCAGCCTCCCTAGCAGCCGGGACTACAGGCATGAGCCACCATGCCTGGCTAAGTTTTTCTTTTTTGTAGAGATAGGGTCTCTCTATGTTGCCCAGGCTGGTCTCAAACTCCTGGGTTCAAGCAATCCTCCAGCCTTAGACTCCCAAAGTGCAAGGATTACAGGTGTGAGCCACCATGCCTGGCAGAAAATTATTTTTTTAATGAGAAAGGAGCAGAGACTGGCACTCATGACAGCCCCTGGATATCCTCTCCTTCATTCACAGCCAATGTCTTGAAATTAGCCTTGATATTAGCCTTGACCCATCTTGTACTCCCTCTCCTGACCTGTTCCCCAGTACTAAGCCCTTAGTATAGCTCCACCTTCTATCACCCACAGGCTTCTCCTGACTAAATGCAGTGGTTCTTTCCCAGCCGGGTCTGCACTGCTTCTGGCCACTCTGTTAGACGCAGTAGATGGAGGCTATGCCCTTCCAGGCAAATTTAAGGGTGACATTAACCTATTCGTTTATCAGGCTTTTGCCTCTTTTCACACCTACAACTAGGAGAGAAAGAAGAGAAAACATAAAGCAGGTGACTTTTCTGTTGTAGATCAAGTTTTTAAAAGGTTTGCTCAAGAGGTACTTCATAGTCCCAGTTCTGAAAGGAGGCTGGGATACCTTCCAGATTTAGTCTGCTTTGTCTCTGCTTAACACTGAGACTCTTCCAAATGGCAGCTCCCTCAGGAATATGTGAGCAGCACACACTCTCCCTAACATTTGTCAAAGTGCGTTAGCAACTAATGCTTCATTCCCAGTAATATTTTGAAAATTTCCCTGATGTTAGAGTGAAGGGCCTTTTTTCCCCCATCTGCAACACCCCAATCTTAACAGCCCACCATGCATTTTTGTCTAAGTATCACACCAAGGCCACATTATATTCCTGTGCCCAACAAACTAGAATATATGTAAATAAACAAGTAGAATAAAATATAAGCCACAAGATCATGAAAATTTAGAATGAAAATTTAGATGGGGTTTATTTATTTCATAACTCAGCCAGGAGTTCCATTTGCCTAGACATAAGAGATAACATCTTTATCTATTGTTGTGTGACAAATTTTCACAAACTTAGCAGCTTATGGCAACGTGGATTAATTATCTCACATTTCTGTAGGTCAGAGTCGGGTGGTCTTGGCTGGGTTCTCTGCTTAGAGTCTTATAACGCTGAAGTCCAAGTGTCAGCTGGCTGAGCTCTATCTGGAGGATCTAGGAAACAATCCGCTCCCAAGTGCATTCAGGTTATTGGCAGAATCCAGGTCCTTGTTACAGTAGAACTGAGGTTTCCATTCCCTTGCAGGCTGTCAGCCAAAGGCCATTCTCAGCTTCTAGAGACCACCGGCGTTCCTCATCATGGCGCCTCCTCCATCTTCACGCCAGCAACATCCTGTGAAACCCTTCTTTTGTTTCATGTCTCTCTGCCTCCCTCTTCTGCCACCAACAGGAGAAAGCTCTATGCTTTTAAGGGCTGATGTGTTTAGATTAGGCCTACCTGGATAATCTCCCTCTTAGAAAGTTAACTGTGCCATAGAACACAGGTTATGGGAATTAGAGGACATGGAATCGTGGAGGACATGGAATCCTGGAGGACCATTTAGAATTCTGCCTACACACCTAGCAAGTAGAATTAATACAAAAATTAGCTGGGTGTGGTGGCGGGCGCCTATCATCTCAGCTACTGGGGAGGCTACTCCGGAGGCTGAGGCAGGAGAATCGCTTGAACCCAGGAGGCGGAGGTTGCAGTGAGCCAAGATCGCGCCACTGCACTTCAGCCTGGGCGACAGAGAAAAACTCAGTCTCAAAAAAAAAAAAAAAAAACAAAAATAAAAAATCCTTTTGCTGTATCCTCAAAAGATAAAGGTGTAGTAAGTACCTTTATCTGTAAGTTTTAACAGGCAGAAGCAGTTAGAAATAATACTGAGAATGATGTTTAAATCTCTGCACGTGAAAGTTTAAAAGTTAGACTGAATTGGTCTACCATATGCACACCAAAGAAGTGTATTTTATTTTATTTTGTGTTTGTCCCCCCGATTTTTATTTATTTATTTATTTTTAATTTTGTGGGTACCTAGTAAGTGTATATATTTATGGAGTACATGAGATGTTTTGATATTTGATGTGAAATAAATACATCATGGAGAACGGGGTGTCCATCCCCTCAAGCATTTATCCTTTGAGTAACAAACAATCCAGTTACACCCTAAGTTATTTTAAAATATACAATTAAGTTATTATTGACTATAGTGACCCTGTTGTGTTATCAAATAGTTAATCTTATTCATTCTTTCTCAAAGATGTATATTAAAGAAACAAATTGGCATCCTCCAAAGAAGGTACCAATAATACTTTAGTAACCGATTTTTCTTAATACACAATTTTATAAAATATTCTAAAATATCCCACCTTGTTCTACAAAAAATGTGAGGCCATAATTGTCCTGCTGACCCCACACCTTTAATTTGACAGCCCCTGGATATCTACCCCTTCATTCACAGCCAATGTCTTGCAATTAGCCTTAACCCATCTTGCTCTCACTCTCCTGACCTGTTCCCCAGTTAGTGAGCCTTTAGCACAGCTCCACCTTCTATCCCCGACAGGCTTTTCCAGGATTAACTGCAGTGGTTCTTCCCCAACCAGGTCTGGACTGCTTCTGGCCACTCCATAAGCAACCTGTGAGGAGGTCCAGTCACCAGAGTTTCCCCCTCTCAGCATCACACTGACTGTCAAGGAAACCTTCCCTATGCCCCAGAGATAACTGCTTCTTCCCTGGTAAACTTGTAACTCATGAATTCCCCTTGTTTGCCCTCCCATTTTAGTGAATTTTGTTCTTCCATTTAACCATGATATTAAAGATATTCAATTTATTATTTATTTTACTAATGGCTTATTTAAAATCACTTGTATATATCCCTTATGTTTGGGTCAATATTATCTCTCTTAGATTATGCACCTTCACGGGTGGGTAACAAGGTACCAGCAAGTGTTACAGTGCTTTGTGAAGTATTTGCCCAGGAATGTGGATGATCATGGTGTTGAGATGTTCTGGGTAGATAGTCCCAATTCAATACCATGTATCACACCACATGCCAAAACTTTCAAGGTTAAGATAAGCCCAGGTTTATACATGGGCCATATTGTTGAAAGTTGAGAAGTTGGAAATAAGAATTTTCAGGTGCCTTTTCCTGTATGACTGGAACAAAAGTTGTTCCCATCTAATTTCCTGGAGTGTACAGCCCTTGAGTCCCATAGACTCAAGCCCATCTCAGAGGCCAATGTCAAAAAAATTATTTTTTTCTTGCTGTTGAATATGAATTTTTAATTTTGATTAATAATCGATATATTTGTTCAAGTAAAAGAAAGTCTTCTTCCTCATTCATTGCATTCAATTGTTTTTGTAATGTTGCCAGGTGTGGTTGTACGTGCCTATAGTCACAGCTACTTGAGAGACTGAGGTGGGAGGATCACTTGAGCCTGGGAGGTCGAGGTTGCAGTGAGCTATGATGGCACCATTGCACTCCATCATAAGTAACAGACCGAGACCTTGTCCAAAAAACAAAAAATGTTGACCTCTCTTGGCTCTCTAAATTTAAATACAAACCTTGTGAATTTCCATACTGTTTTTAAAACGGGGGGACTTTAATCAAAGCAGAAAACTTTGCTTCAGAAATAAATCTTGGGAATGTAAACATAAGCATATTTTATCCTTTTTGTTAATAAAAAACATTTCTAAGTACTGTAGTCTTGGCTACAGACTGAAAATAGTCTCTAACATCTTTTAAAATGTTTTGTTTCTTTTTTACTCTATGTCATTAGGTACATTATCTTTGATTCCAGATAACAAAAGTGAAGCAGTACGACAGTGAGGGAATCATTTTCTGATATTTCCAGGATCATCACAATCAACTCGGGGAACTCAGTGTGCAGAAGCCCTGCAGGAGGGAAGGGGCTGTCACTCATCAGTGGTGTCATTCAGACCTTTGCCCCGGACTTCACCGGCAAAATCCCTGTCAGGTCTTTTTCCCTCCTTCTGGATTCCAGTTAAAGTTTGTGGCCAAAATATGCAGTGACAGATGGCTCATGTCATTGCTGTAATGTCAGCCTTTGGGTCTCCGAGGGGATGACTCCAGGAATAGAAAGTGGAGCACATACAGGAGTGGATGTAAAACAGAATCTAAGACAAGCAGGGTCCTCCAGTTCTCAGAGGAATCAGGAACTTCCCTTCTAAACTCATCTAACAACAGGGAGCAGCCCCTTCTCTCTCTCAATGTGCATAGACTGAGACTTGTGCATAGACTTGTGCATAGACTGAGACTTGGGTTCGGTACCTCCTCTGAGCCTTAGCAGCTTGATTTTGAACCTGCTCCTCAATTTTCTCATAAGTAAAATGGGCATCATCATTGTACTTATCTTCTGAGATTCTTGTGGGGTCTAAATAACATCTGAAATGAATTTAGCTAAGTGCTCTGCCCTAGCTAAGCACTCAATAAATGGTAATGCTACTTTCCTCCCACTATTAACTTGGTTTTATATGAAAAAACAATGCATAATTTAACATAAAACAAGAGGCAAAACATAGAAACCCTACTAATTGAAATGTTGTTTTGTTAAAATTCCCAATTCAGATGGGACTTAGACTAAATTAGACTAAAGCCAGCATTTCATTGTGTTATTATAGAACCAGAGGGTTTTCCCACTGAAACAGGCCTGGAGAGACAATTAGTTTTTCATTTCACAGTTGAGGTCTCTAAAGCTAAGAGAGATTGTGGTCTGCCCATAGTTAGATCTAAGAAGCTTCCCTGATAAAATTTCCCATGTTGACCATTGGAATTGGCTCTAATTTTCCATTTTTGTTTGCTTCCTTTTTTGAGAAAACATGTAAAGTTTTCTATCACATGCATTTACAAAGCTATAAGTTATGAAGGATCCTGTTTTTCTCTAATTTGGTATATCCTGATCTTTTCCCTAGAGGTCTGTGTTGGTGCTGCTGTTTTCCAGTTTGTCAGTTTGTCTTGGCATCAGTGCCTCACCATTTGGCACCTGACTCAACATAGTTTTACCACCATTATCTAAACAGTACCACCCCATCTGAATGTATTTCACAACTGGTCGTCTCCGTGCCATGCCTCTGCCTGGGTCTGCTTTCCATTACGTTACCCAACCATCTGCTCCAAAAGAATGTCAGGAGGAAGTGATGCTGCTTTGTGCAGTGTGTTAAAATCTTGACCTTTACTTGGGTTTAGTCACTGTGCATCACTGGATTCCTAACTTTTTTTCTTCAAGATTCTTTCCACACTGAGAGCCACGCAAAGTTCATCAGATTCATATTTTCTGAAATATCCTCATAAGCCTCCTCACCTATGATTAATTTGAGTGTAATACCAATTATAGTTAATTACTGGGTGCCAGAATCTTTACATACATGACTTTTAATTCTTATAATAGCCCTATGTGTTCCGAAGTGCTATTATCCCTGTTTTATGGATATAGAAACTGAGAATCGGGGGATTTAACTGACTTCCCCAAGAACCCACAGTAAGTGGCTGCCTTTCCCACTAAGCCAAGATGCCCAGGAGGTGCCTTTGAAGGGCACAACAGTTGTTCTCAAATGTTGGCATGCATAAAGTTGCCTGGCATTATTAAAAGTACACCCCATAGAAGCTGGGTGCAGGGGCTCACACCTGTAACCCCCACTACTCAGAGGACTGAAGCAGAAGAATCACTTGAGCCCAGGAGTTCAAGTCCAACCTGGGCAACATAAGGAGAGCCCCTTTCTTTAAAAAGTGTAGCTCATAGAGTCTATCGCTTAAATTCCAGGCTCTTTTCCCCAATTCTGATTCCATGGGTGGACCCAGGCTCTGTTTTTTCTGCACACTTTCCTGGAGATTCTGATGCAGACCATCTGTGCAGCACATCAGCTCAGGTGAGCCACAGCTTGGCTCTGCATCCCCAGCTATGCACCAGCTCCAACTGAAGCACCACATTTCCTCCCTTCCTTCTGCTTAAAGCCATAAATTAACCAAGTGCTGAGATTCGCTTTTATAATAAAACGTAAGCTCAATGAGGTTTTCCGGAATTCAGGTTTTGTTGGAGGCAGACATCTAGCCTGGGGATTAATAGAACTGGTTTCTTTGTCTCTTCCCCTTACTGACTTTTTGTATGTCATTTGATAAAATAACCTCATTGTGTTTTTATTCTTCTCCTCTGTAAATGGAATGTGAAAATCCATGTCTACTACACACCATAAAAGACTCTAAGGAGGAAAAACGTATCCGTGAGAGTTGCACGCAAATCTCCATGCAGAGATCATGGTGTGAGTCCTCAGGATCAAATTACTCTCTTATACGTGTTGGACATGTTGATTTAATCATGGTTGCTATTTACTTCACAAAATACAAGGGATAACACATTTGGTTGGAATTTGTGAGACTTGAACGCACTATCTTGCAATGCACGGGTTTTGTACTCTTGGGAGAGTTATTTATTGTCTATGTACCTCATCGTCTTAGTGTGTGAAATGAAAATAGTAATACTATTATCAACTTCATGGGGTTGTGTCACTTAGTGCTTTGCATAACTGAACTATAACAAATTGCTTAGTCCAAATATTTTCATTCTCAATAGCCTGGCTTCAAATTATTGACAATATCAGCATATTCATTCTTAAGTACGTGCTATACTTGCTGCAATATTAGGTGCTACAGAAAACAAATATGCCATTGTCCTTGCTCTTAGGAGAGTTACATTGAAGTAGATGGATGCTCTTACCTGATACCTAAAGCAACTGACTTGGGGGGGATTTTTGCCATGTGTAGTTAAGGATGAAAAGCCAGATGCAGAAAAATATATATAATATAATGTTAGTTTTTAAAATCATGACCAAGTCTCCCTTTTTTTTTCTTTTAGAGACAAGGAGTCTCTCTGTTACTCAGGCTGTGGAGTGCAGCGGTACAATCATAGCTCACTCCAGCTTTGAACTCCTTGGGCTTAGGTGGTCCTCCTGCTGTAGTCTCCTGAGTGGCTGGAAGTACAGGTGCATGCCACCATACCTGGATAATTTTTTATTTTTGTAGAAACAGCGTCTCACTATGTTGCCCAGGCTGGTCTTAAACTCCTAAGCTCAAGTGATCCTCCTGCCCCAGCCTCCCAAGGTGCTGGGATTATAGACATGAGCCACTGTGCCCAGTCCCCATATTTTTATATGTATATATAATATATACAGATATAAAATATGTATAATTTATATTATATATAATGTACTAAATATATGTGGATATATTATACATATGTATCATTAATATATGTTGTTTAGGACAGAGAATAAAGGAATAAAGAAAAGGAGAGACACAAGGAAAAATCACAAGTAAACAACAGTTAAAAAATTACAGGACTGTTCATGGTAAAAAAAAAAGAACATATATGACATGATTACATTCAAATAAATTAGTATCTGTCTGTGTGTGTGTACATAAAGCAAAGCACAAAAACATAGCCAAATGCTAACAGTGTCTAAATCAAGGTAGTGAGATTTAAGTGATATCAACTCTTTTTCTGTATTGTTAGACTCTATAACAACAAATGTGATTTGTAATAACTAAAAACCTTTTAGGGAAGACAGACTGTGCCAAATATATTTATTATTGTACATAATACATTGTTTTATCTTTTTAAAATTGTCTCTAACAGGTATGAATTACTTTTGAATGGGAAAATATGTTATTCTTTAAACAAATATTCTCAGTAATCATAAAATGCAGTGGAACAGAGTTATTCTAAATGGAAGGTCAAATCTCCTTCAGTTACCCAAATAAAGTAAAGTGCACAATGAATTTGCTCTGCAAGAAAAAAAATTGTTACTGAACTCTTTTTTTCCTTCCTTTTTTTCCTTCTGTAGACGTTTCAATTATGTAATTCCTAGATTTGTTGAAATAATTTCATTTTTAAGACAACTTTACAATATGATTTGACTTCTGTTTTTCCAACTCATTATTATTTTCTACAACTCCACATGTCCCAAACAGAGCTCATTAGCTTCTCTTCCACCTTAACCTACTTCTCTTCCCATCTCCCTTTCAAGAGGAATGTCACCACCATCCTCCAGTCACCCAAACTGGATATCTGGGAGCCACCATGGATATCTTGCTCTAGTTCTAGGCCCTCTGCAGGCAATGAGTCAATCATTTCTGTAGATGCTACATCCTAATATGAGGTCTCTCCTTATCACACCACTTCTTCTCCATAGCTATTGTCCTCATTGGTCCTACCTAAATTGTAGCAATTATCTTTAAATCAGCCCCCCGTCTCCACTTTGAAATTTTGATCAAGTAACACCACAGAAGAATATTCAAACTTCTTCACTTACTATGCAAACAGTTATGAGTTGTCTGCCTAGATTCACATCCTTCAAAGAACCAACCTTCTCCAAAATCTGTCATCCTGGGGGCTGTCAGTCACGGTACCCTCACTCCCCATCATATTATAAGCCAGACAATGAGAGTGCTCTCTCCCCATAGGCTCAGTGATTGCTTCAGAGTTCAGAGATGGGCATATGTAAAAGAAGCATCAAGCATTCTGCCCCAAATCTTTTCTGCTAGAGTTAGAGGGACAACCCTCTCTTGTTTTTGGTGGGTTACTGATTAATTTAGCAAACTCCTTTGTAAGACTTATTTCCTTGAACTTTCTGGGAAAGCTCTAGTGTGGAAACACAGAGCAAGAGAATTATTTTAGTCGCCCTATAAATAGGACATGGATTTTCATCCAGTTTAGGAACCAATCTCAATTCTAGAAAGGTAGCCATGTTATGTGGTGCTTTATGGTGATTTCTACATTATTATAAATGTGGTGGCTCCAAAAAAGGGAAGCTATTAATTCCAACTATATTTTCAACTAGGATATAAATGTCTTTAGGTTTTTACAACGTATATTATACAACTGCCATAAAATTATCTACTTTTCTGTTCTTTTTGTTGATTAATAATAGGCATAAAATTACACATAGCTGAAGTATACAATTCAATGCATTTTCACAACTGAATGCAACTTTGCTACTGTATCTTTTTCATGTACATAACTAAATTTTAAGATAGCTAAGGTCAGGACTATGTTTTCACTTTCCAAAACACCTAGCTCAGTCCTAGGTCCAGCAATAATGCTGCCCAATATTGATGTTGCTGTCTTTTACTTACCAGACAGGTATTGTGTACCAGAAAGTCACTGGGTGTAAAGGTAGAAAGACTACTTCAACATAAATTCATGTAAAACAATAATTATATTAATCTCTAACAATTATCAAGGATTTAGAGGTTTTATTATTATTTCTGTTTTACAGATTAGGAAACTGTAATAGACAGAGATTAAAAAATTGACCAAGATTAATTAGCCAGAAATAGAAGAGCAAGACCCCAAGATAAAACTTAATTTCCAAAAAATAATTTAAGCCATGCAGTCTCTCCACTATGATAATTATCTTTTCTTTGAGACTGAGAAAAAACTTAGCCATCTTTCTTAAGACCAAGGAATAGAACACACTTTCTTTAGTAAACATTAGTGATGATTCAGCGTTGGAGGAGGAAAGAAGTTGAAGAAACTGTAGTAGCGTTTAAAATTCTGCAAAGAAGATGGGCAAGACCACATGTTAGAAATGACAGACTTACTTTTTGATTGAAGGCATCTTCCCTTTCTTCCTGGATCCAGATCACCTCTGCAGCACTGGCTTCTTTTCCATGCTGTTGTTGTGTGTAATTGCTATGATCCTTAATTTGGGAGCTCTGCCTGATGGGTGGAATTGTACTTTTGAGTGGGCAGCAGCCTGCCTCTTGTCTCTTGAAATGCCTGTCATTTTATCACAAAGAGATGGATGTGAAAGTGAGATTGTCCTTGAGTCCACTGAGAAGATATCAACCAAACAACTCACAAAATCACATTTATTTAAATTGTTTAAGGTAAGAACATTTTTCAGATTCTTGAATTATATGTTTAAAGTAATCCAAGATTTTTCTTGGAGATAGGCAGTCTGGAAAGCTGTATATTCTACTAAGAATTTTGGATAACATCTTTATGTTCTGACTCAGAGTGTATTGTCAATATTTCTGTTAAAAAATGAAAAACAAGCAACAGGCATTAAGGATTTGGTAACTAACTTTCTTTGGCTATATTTTTACTTAATATAGCTAAGACAAAGAAAATTTTAGCGACACTTTAAACAAAATTATTTAAAGTGAAGACAATAATATATATGCTAATTTGATGTCACTGCCATGTAATGCTCTAAATAGTACAATAGAATTGACATATTTGATTCTGAACTAGTGGAGACTACACATGAAGAATATGTAGATTATGAATCTGTAGACAAG